>NC_000004.12:142046381-142671381 GCF_000001405.40 Homo sapiens | reverse complement strand
CATAGGACTATATTGAGATGAAGGCTGCAAAGGAAAGTTGGGTCATATGATGTTGTGCTGAAAAGGTTGTATGTAATTCTGTAATCCATTCAGGGCTTTGAGAGACAAATTGGCTGATGATAGCTGCACTTTAGGGAGATTGGTGGATCGCCAGGCCTTAGTATAGATTTATATGGTTCAAGAGAAAAGGTGGTTATAATGATCCTCTGATTTTCCATATGACAAGCCTGCAACCGCCCAAAACTTTGGTGTTTTTACCTACATCTATATTCTTTTCCCCATCTAGTGCCCTAGAAATAATTATCTTCCACACTGGGCAAAATTTAAGAGCTAGTTTAATGTTTTAGGTAAATTTACATTAAGATTAGGGTAGTCTTGCTTTTTCCCTGTAACTGACTGTATGTCTAATTATCTAGGCTTCTAGCTTCCCCTCTTTCTTTAAAAAAATTAATAGATAAAATTGTATGAACTTACCATGTAGAGCATCATGTTTTGAAGTATATACATATTTGTGGAATGACTGATTCTAACTAATTAACATGTGCATTATCTCACATAGTAATCATTTTGGTGGTGAGAACAGTTTACATCTACTCTCTTAGCATTTTTTAATAATACAATATATTATTAAATATTGTTGCCATGTTGTGTAATGATCTCTTGAACATACTTCTTCTATCTAACTGAAATTTTGTATCCTTTAACAACATCTTCCCAATCCCAGCCCCAAACCACCGCAGCCCTTGATAGTCACCATTCTACTCTCTTCTTCCATGACATCAACTTTTTTCTATTCTACATATGACTGAAATTTATGTAGTATTAGTTTTTTTTGTGCCTGACTTATTTCACTTAACATAATTTCCTTCTGGTTCATCTGTGTCCTCACAAATGACAGGACTTCCTTCTTTTTTATGACTGACTAGTATATCATTGTGTATAATACCACATTTTTTCTTCACCTATTTATCCACTGATGGACATTTGCTTAGGTTGATTCAGTACCTTGACTATTGTGTATAATGCTGCAATAAACATGGAAATGTAGATACCTCTTTGGGATCTTTATTTTAATTATTTTGCATATATAACCAAAAGTGGGGTTGCTGGATCATATGGTAGTTCTACAGCAGTCCTCCCTTATCTGCAGGACATGTTCCAAGGCACCAGTGAACGTCTGATACCACAAATAGCACCAAACCCTACACATACTATGTTTTTTTGATCTGATAACTTAGATGGCTACTAGGTGACTCTTAAGTGATTAATGGGCAAGTAGCATATACACCGTTTGTATGTGTATACAAAGCATGCGATTTCAAACTTATGAATTGTTTATTTATGGAATGTTTTACTTAAAATTTTGACTATACTTGACCACCAGCTACTGAAACCACAGAAAGTTCAACTTTGGAGAAGTGGGGCTCCTGTATCTTCAAATTTTTTGAGGAATCTCCATACTTTTCCCAGTAAAGGCTGTACTAATTTACATCCACAACAACAGGATACAGGGTTCCCTTTTCTCCATCTTCTGGCCAACACTTGTTATCTTTCTTATTTTTGATAATAGCCATGGCTATGGCTACTGCTTTTGCTGCCTGTGCTTTTGGGGTAATATCCAAAACATTACTGCCCAGACCAATGTTATGGAACTTTTCCCCTATATTTTCTTCAAGTAGTTTTATAATTTCTGGTTTTACATTTAAGTCATTAATCCACTTTGAGTTGATTTTTGTTTATGATGAGAGAGAAAGGTCTAATTTCATTCTTCTTCATGTGGACATCTAGTTTACCCAATACCACTTATTAAAGAACTGTGCTTTATTGTATAATCTTAGTGCCTTTGTCCAAAATTAGTTGGCTGTAAATGTGTGAATTTATTTCTGGGCTCTCCTTTCTGCTTCATTGGTCTCTGTGTCTGTTTTTATGCCAGTACCATGCTGTTTTGGTTACTACAGGCTTGCAGCATATTTTAAAGTCAGGTAGTATGATGCCTTCAGCTTTGTTCTTTTTGTTTCAGATTACTTTGGCTACTGGGGGTCTTTGTGGTGTCATATGAATTTTGGGATTATGTTTTATTTCTGTGTAGAATTATATTAAAATTTTGATAGAGATTCAATTGAATCTGTAGATCTTTTGGGTACTATGAGCAATTTAACAATGTTAATTCTTCCAATCAAAGAACACAGGATATCTTTCCATTTATTTGTGTCATTTTAAAGTTCTTTCATCAATATTTTACGGTTTCAGTGTACAGATCTCTCACCTCTTAGTTAAATTTATTAATGATCATTTTATTTATTTTTATTTTTATTTATTTTCTTTTGAGGCGGAGTCTTGCTCTGTCATCCAGGCTGGAGCACAGTGGCGCAATCTCCGCTCATTGCAAGCTCCACCTCCTGAGTTCACATTCATTCTCCTGCCTCAGCCTCCTGAGTAGCTGGGACTACATGTGCCCACCACCACGCCCGGCTAATTTTTTTTTTTTGTATTTTCTAGTGGAGATGGGGTTTCACCATGTTAGCCAGGATAGTCTCAATCTCCTGACCTCGTGATCTGCCCACCTCGGCCTCCCAAAGTGCTGGGATTACAGGCATGAGCCACCACGCCCAGCCATGATCATTTTATTTTTTAGTAGTTATTATAAATACAATTGATTTCTTTTTTGGATAGTTCACTGTTAGTGTACAAAAGTGCTACTAATTTTTGTATGTAGATTTTGTATTCTGCTACTTGTCTGAATTGTTTTTCTAGTTCTAATAGTTTTGGGGTGGAGTCTTCAGGATTTTCAATATGTAAGAACAAGTCACCTGCAAACAGGGACAATTTAAGTTATTCCTTTTTGATTTGATACTTTTTATTTCCTTTTCTTGACTAATTGCTTTGGCTAGGCACTCTAGTACTAGGTTAAATAGAAGTAAATATGAGCATCCTTCTCTTGTTATGGATCTTAAAGAAAAAGCTTTCAACTTTTTTCCAGTGAGTATGATGTTACCTGGAGTTTTGTCATATGTGACCTTTATTTTGTTGAGGTTCATTCCTTTTATACCTAATTTGTTTGTTTGCATAAAAGGAAGTTGGATTTTTAAAATATTTTTTCTGCATCTATTGAAGTGATCATATGTTTTGTACTTCATTCTGTTAATGTGACATATCACATTTATTGACTTATGTATGTTGTACCATACTTGCATCCCTGGGGTGAATTCCACTTGATCGTGCTGTTGAATTCAGTTTGATATTATTTTACTGAGGGTTTTTGCATTTATGTTAATCAGGAATATTGGCCTGTAGTTTTCCTTTTTTGTACTTTCTTTGGTTTTGATATCAGGGTAATGCTGGCCTCATATAATGAATCTGAAAATATTCATTCTTCAATTTTTGAAGAATTTGTATTAGGTCTTCTTTAAATATTTGACAGAATTCAGTAGTGAAACTGTCAGGTCCCAGACTTTTGTTTGATGGCAGAATTTTTATTACTAATTCAATCTCTTCTTACTTGGCTTATAGCTTTTTATTTGACCAAGATTTATCCTTGAATCATCATCATAGCACTTAGTTTCAGATTTGCACCTCTATACCCAATCCTTTCTATTCAATCATCTACTGTGAGGCCTCCTTCTTGAACAGAGAGACTGGAGTCTGTCTTCATTCTTCATTATCTCAATAGCCTTATAGTCTTCGCTATCCTCCAATGTACTACTCCTAGATCCAATTAGCAAGGGCTGGCCATATGTCAGGATCCTTTTATGCAATCTCATTTAATTCTCAAAATAACCCCCTAGAGATATGCTCACAGATGGAGACACAGGCTTAGAGAAGTTAAATGACTCATTTTTCTATGCAATTTGTAAGCAGCTAAGATAGGACTAGATATCAGTAGTTTGACTCCATAACCTGGATTCCTAACATCTCTAATGTCCAGGTTGCAGCCATATTGATACAGGCCAATACAGTGCATTACAGTTATTGAGTTGGTAGTCTGCACTTTATGGAGCCATATTCTGCTAGCATCAAGAGGTACATGATGGTGGAAGCAGCCTCCAATATGTAGATATCAGGTCATGACCAACTGGGTCAAGATTATAGGGAAACAAACTGCAGCACAGAGCAGAAAACAAGAAAAAACTAAAATGTGAAGGCTGGATAAATACAGCAGGGACTGAGAAGGAGGGCTACAATTGAGTAGACACACTGATTCTGAGAGATAATGCTTGTCATACTATGTAGGGAATAAGTTTTACTGATGCCCTCATCTGATCATGGTTTTGAGCCTATTATGCTGTTAGTATGATCAGCATTGCCCCACAATTTAGGCTTTCAAATGCCAGACCACAGTGATTGATCCAGGCTAAGGAAGGTAGATGTTGACAAATACATATCATGTTAAGTGATTTCTTTTATTTATAAAGTCCATGTTTTAAAATATGGGTGTACTTTTGTTTGTGATTTACAGCTGAGCTTCAGCAGCCATTGAAATCTGACAGAACGCATGAAAAAAGTCTCAGGTTGTGTTGACCTTCCATTCATATAAATAGTTTGTTTATTGAACAAATGAATATTAAGGGTTATTAGTCTTTCTTAAGAAATGTTAGCAAATTAAAAGGTTGATAGATTGCATTTGTCTTCATCCTTTTGCTCTCAAAGCCAGTGCTGGTGATGTAATTGGACATTAACAAACAGTAGGTGTTCAACAGCAAGAAAAGTACACACACACACACACATGTGCACACACACACACAGAGAAGGCCAATACCACATTAAAAATTTTAATTTTCAAGAGCTAAATATTGAGATATTCTAATATTTGGTAGGGTTCTTTTTTGCTTGATATTGTATTATAAGATTTTCATTAATATAATAAAATATTAAGAAAAAATCTGATTTTATTTGCCGTATAATATTGTTAAATAAATATTTGTTAACTCACATAACTTTGCCTTTGTGAAAATGACAGCTTTATCTCTGATTACTTTTTGTTTTTATTTACCTCTAAACTCTTTTTTATCTTTGTATTTTTAAGCTTTACTTTTTATATGCATTTCTTGTAAATAGGTTTTTAAAACTTTATGAAATGAATCTAAAATTATATATACATTTTTACTCTTGTTGCAAAAATAAACTGTTTCTTGCAGAAAAATTAGGAATTATGGATCAATTACACAAAAATAAGCAATACCTTCCTAGTTCTTAATATTTTGATTTATACTTTTCCATTTATACATATATATACACACACAGATATATACACATACAAGTATATGTAGTAGTCCCCCTTTTTTGTGATTTTGCAATTTGCAGTTTCAGTTAACTGTGATGAGTACCGTATAGTAAGATATTTTTAGAGAGAAATAGGCCAGATTGACATAACTTTTATTACAGTATCTTGTTGGAACTATTCTATTATTTGTTATTGTTTCTAATCTCTACTATTCCTTGTTTATAAATTAAACCTTATCATAAGCATGTATACCTAGAAGAAAACATAGTTCAGTGCTATCCATGGTTTTAGGCATCCACTGGGGGTCTTAGAACATAGCCCTCATGGACAAGAGGGGACTACTGTACACACACATACTTATATATTGATTTATCAAGCAAAAGAAGTATTATAAATATGACATTAGTTATTTTTGGTGCTTTTTTATTAATAAAATCTGAATTTTTTATCATTTCACATAGGTTATGAAAATATTTTCAATGGCATACAGTATCCCACTTGTATCATTTTTTATACTTCTTTGACTACATTATTTCCATTTTTTGCATTAGTAAACAAAACTGCAGTGAATGACCTTGTAGGTAAATCTTTGACACATCAATCATTATTTCTTTGGAATAAGTTTCTTTTTCTTTTTCTTTCTTTCTTTCTTTTTTTTTTTTTTTTTGAGACAGAGTCTCGCTCTGTCACCCAGGCTGGAGTGCAGTGGCATGATCTCGGCTCACTGCAAGCTCTGCCTCCCAGGTTCACGCCATTCTCCTGCCTCAGCCTCCCGAGTAGCTGGGACTACAGGTGCCTGCCACCACGCCCGGTTAATTTTGTTTGTACTTTTAGTAGAGACAGGGTTTCACTGTGTTAGCAAGGATGGTCTCCATCTCCTGACCTCATGATCTGCCCGCCTTGGCCTCCCAAAGTGCTGGGATTATTGGCGTGAGCCACCGTGCCTGGCCGGAATAATTTTCTAGAAGTGAATTTGTGAGACAAAAGGCATATGAAGTATGGTCATGTGCCACATAATGACATTTTGATCAATGATGGACAGCATATCCCATGGTGGTCTGATGAGGTTATAATATCATATTTTAACTGTACGTTTTCCATGTTTAGATATGTTTAGATATACAAATGCTTAATTGTGTTACAATTGGCTGTAGTACTTAGTTCAGTTATATGCTATATAGATTTGTAGCCTAGGAGCAATTGGCTGTACCATAGAGCCTAGGTGAATAGTAGGCTATACCACCTCAGTTTACATAAATACACTCTATGATGTTGGCACAATGATGAAATTGCCTAACAATACATTTCTCAGAACATATTCTGCTGTTAAGCAAGGCATGACTACATAAGGATTTTGGTTGAAAAAAGCAAAATTTAATTTCTTACTTTAGACATCTTGTTTTCTGTTTTCTGTATTTTGTAAATTTCTGTGCTCTTGGAATTCTGTTTTTTATATTTTATTAATTGAAATATATCTCATTTCTATTGATGCTTTCCTTTCAATTAAAAAAAATTCTTAAAACTTAATTTTTATAATTATAAGTATTATAAACTGATTATTTTACTGTTATCTTTAGTCTTCAGTATTTGTTATTATTTGTTGTTAGTCTTCGTGTTTCTGAATGGAAGTGACGTAAACCTGATTTTGGCATTCTAATGTGTTAGAAATGATCTAGTATCTCACCTTTGGCTTTTGAATTGTCCCATTTATATATTATGCAGTGCCAGGTATTGGATGGCAACGACCTGTTCTAGGCACAGAAGGGACAGCCCAGACTTGGGTGAGACCTTGGTGGAGTATTAGACACAAGGTTGAAAAGGGACCTGGCCTTAGCGGGGAGAAGAGATGGCAAAGAGAACCAGGGGCCAGTGAGCCAGGTAAATAGCTTGGGTTGGGCATAGGAACATCTTGGCAGTGTGGGACATGGCTTAGCCTGCTACCATCAAAGTCCTGGCATGGCTGGCATGTATGTTGGTGAGTAGGGAAAATCTATAAGATGCCTCTCTTACTCTTCCTAATTGGGCCCAAACTGAAGCTGTTAAGTGGGCCAGGTAGATCCCTCAAATAGATAATTAGAGTCTTCAGGCCAGAGAGTTAAGTGCATGGCATTCCTCAGATGAAATCGAGTTCATGAATTGCCTCAAAGAATGCAGATAACCAAGTCATTCCTCTGATACATTTCATTTCTTAGTCATCTTTTTGGAATATCTGGAAATATTTTCCCAAGGTAATTACTTCATTTAAGCAAACATTTTTTAAAAATACATCTTGAGTTTCTTTCTATAATTCATCATCTTTTAATTTTATCAGAGTGAAAATTTCCACTTACTGAAAGATTTTTCTAAATTTTCAATACATTTGTCTGAAAATCAGAAAACTATGGTGACAGTTGCTATAGAAATTCTTAGAAATGAATCAAAACACAATTAAAATGGTCTTTCAGCTTATAAATATATTAATTTTACTTTATGAAAAATAAATGGTCTATTAAAAATATTACACATAATTACTTAGCAGCTTGGATATATTTCAAAAAATATACAGTTAAGTGACCTTTTAAAAAGACCTGCTCCTTATATTGAAGAAAACCTGTCCATTCTTATTCTCTAAACAGAGATGCATTTCTTACATTACAATGTCAACTTAGACAGTTCTTAAAGATGTCATCCATTTAATTCTTATCTCTCATTTTGTTTCTAAACTTCTATTTCTATTAATATATCTATATTAAAATGTGTAATCACAAATTTCCTTGAACTTCCAAATCTAATCTTAAAGATAAATGAAATTAATTTATTATCCTTCAATATACAGACCTGTTCTCATTATTCTAATTTATTAACAATGATACTGATTTGCTTCTCTTAGTTCTTGAATGTTTTTAAAGAGATGTAACTTTTTTTCTGACGTGACCTTTTAACAGATAAACAAAATAGATATTAAACATTTCAATGAGAAAATGGAAATGGAATAACTCGCCTGACTACTTCTGATCTAGAAAAACACCCATTGTACTTCATACCTTTCTCTCACTTTCACCTCCATCTATGCTTTTAATGTCTTTCAATTTCTCAGTTGGTAAATTAAGTTTTTCCTTTATTCTGATAATTTGTTTCAACAAGAGACCCCCAACTTGTTCCAGTAACTTTTAATACTTAGGAAAAATGTGACTATTAATATTAATTAAATGTTTTGGACTAATGAGATGACTTTCAATGGTTATAGCATTTTAATTATGAGACCAGCCCATGTATTTTAAGATTATAACTATTTCTCAAACCTTTCCATAGCCAGGAATTTTTAAAAACTCCAATATGTCAAATTTTCTTTTACTTTACTTTTGGATTTGGATTTATAGGTTTACTTTAGCTGCTCCAATGAATAAACACCAAATTTTTAATTTCTTACTTCTTTGAGTCCAACATGAATATTTCTGATTAGTGGGCAGTTTTTCTCCATGGAATCATTCAGGGAACCCAGGCTCTTTCCACCTTTTGATTCCACCATACTCTGGTGCCTCTGAGTTCTCCATCTCAGATCTATCTGCTGCTTAAATGCTTTCAGCATGGAGGTGACACAATCTCTTCTCAAGTTCCTTTGGTGGGGGCTAGCACATGGACAAACCTGAATCCAGGGTAGCTAGGAAGTGTATCTCTAATTGTGCAGCCACCTCCCCGCGTCATCAACACCATGCTCTGAAATAGAGAGGGGAAAATTTTTGGTGGACAATTAGTCATCAATGCCACATAAAATTAAAAATGTGAGTACCTACCTCAAAGGTAATATAGGTGATGCTCTCTAATAATGAGACAATAACAAGGGAGCATTAAGATTGTGCAGAGTTTTCAAGAACATGACCACACATGTGCAGTGGTCAAACTTTGTTCAACCTCTCCCACCGTTTTTTTGTTTTTTGTTTTTTTTTTTGAGGCAGTCTCACTCTGTTGCCCAGGCTGGAGTGCAATGGCGCTGTCTTGGCTCACTACAAGCTCCGCCTGCCAGGTTCACGCCATTCTCCTGCCTCAGCCTCCCGAGTAGCTGGGACTACAGGTGCCTGCCACCACGCCCGGTTAATTTTGTTTGTACTTTTAGTAGAGACAGGGTTTCACTGTGTTAGCAAGGATGGTCTCCATCTCCTGACCTCATGATCTGCCTGCCTTGGCCTCCCAACGTGCTGGGATTACAGGCGTGAGCCACCGTGCCCGGCCAACCTCTCCCACTCTTCTGACCAATTATGCTTTAGGGTCCTGTTCACCTCAGTCCCCATCAGATCATGTGGAAGACTTCAACTTAAGGTAACGTCTCCTGAGCTCCATATGCATCTACTACTAGCTTCAGATGGACTGTCTCCTGTTTTGAAGGAAAGACTTGCAGTATCTGTAACTTAAAGTGAAGAAAAGTCTTTTCTCATTGTTTCCTAGTTAGTAGCTGTAGTGCACTATATCTGAATGAGGTTGAAAGATTTCTGTTTTAAATAGTCATCCTTAAGATCTAACAAAGCATGAAAGAAAGATCCCGTTGTATTTTTAAAAAGGGTTTATTTAAACTCTGAAAAAATTGCTAAATTTAGAAGTCCACAGTGTTTAACTATTATAAAAGATACAATATTGCAGGTGGAGAAACTCTCAAACATTACCTACTACTGTGATTGTAACCTATTTTTCAAATTCTACCACATCTTGTTTATATCCATTTTAAGAGCTTAGTATCAGGAACCTATTTAATATATGACTAAAATTGTTTATGCTGTAATTAAGCTCATTTCTTCTTGTGCTCTTCTCCTGCAGAATACAAACAATCGGTGGTTATAGTTGGCATGTTGAAATTTATTTTATTACTGCCCATATGTTTTTATGTTCTTATTGATAAATGTAAACCTCCCTGGTATTGTAGGACTTTTCTTAGTTCAGCTAAAGACTGGGTTCTTGTCCATCCCAAGGCCACAAAAATTTAGCCTCACAGACAGTTTAAAGGGTGAGCAAAATAGGGTTTTATTGGGTGAAAAGGGAGAAAAACGGGTGGGGGAAACACCTGCCTGGCGTTTGAATCCCAGGTCCACACAGGAAGACGACGAGGCAGGCTCCTCCCTGCTTCAAATCGTGTGAACTTCCCAAGGCTCCACCCCAGTGCGCAGGCTGCTTGGAGTTTCTCCAGGAATCCCCTCCCACTGGCTGTCTCATTCCCCCCTCTAAAGAAGTACATCTAACTGTGGTTAGATTAAGGATAAGGATGAAGACTGATCTTAACCGCTTCCTGCTGACAGGGGGCGCTGTTTTGGGGAAATGGCAGAACTCCCTCAGAGGCTGATCTAAGGGTTCCCGGCAGAAGGGGCCATCTTCAGAGGCTCTGGTTGCATGACTGTTTGGAGTTTGATGGCCTGAAGGTAAGAACAGACAAACCCAATTATTAGAAAACATGTATCAAAGTGAAACAAGGGGAGGGGTAAGGACAGCTCAAAAATCCTGAGGCCCTTTACCAGTTTGCATGGAGAGAGGGAGGCCAAAAGCCTGACTAGTTAAAATCTTTACCCTTTTGGTGGCATGTTGGGCTTCTGGGTTTCCTTCCCCTGGGCCCAGTCCTAAGGCAACCAGTTTCAGCTTTGGGAAATTAACTCTTTCCTGTTTGGAAAATGCATCTGAGGGGAGTGTCCCATAGTACAGAGACACAATTAAATATCAGTGAAGAGAGAACCAAGGAGGAGAAAGGAATAAAAAGAAGATGCCTTTTAAAGGAGTTCCAGGGGTTCAGGATACATTTTAAGGGGTACAGACTGAAGATGAATGGCTACCCATCTAGAAAGAGGGGAGTAGCCATCTCTAGTTCCCTTCTCTTCCTAGCAGATACCCAGGGGTAAGTGAGGGAGAGAGAGAACAGCATCCTCTTTCCCTCTTCCATCCTTGCATCCCCAAGTCCTGGTGACCTTGGCAGGTCTCGCCATGCAAAGCAGCTTGTACCCATGAAGTGGGGGATGGGGAGGGGGTGGCTAGAGAAAAGGAATTATCTGTTCTCACCTATGTCTCTTTCCCACCTAATGTCAGTAGCTTTGGAGTTCCCTAGACCTCATTTATGCTATGGATATTAACGTGGTCTTTATCCATGAAACAGGAAGCTTGGGGTTGGCTTAATTGGCAGAAATCAGCCACACTCACCTGCTCGGTGCCTTTTAACCTCTGTTGTTATCTGCCTCTGGATCCTTAACATCCAGTTTTCCTTCCTAGGGCTTTGAACCAAAGCTTAGAATTGAGTCTGGGACAAAACTGTATCTCACGGGTGGGGGTGGGGTTGCATGGATGCCTTATCATAAGCCGAATGCAAGGTGAAGCTGTGGAATTGAGTCCTCCTCCAACAAGGGAGAGGAAAGGATGTCTTGTGAGACACCCAGATGAGTGTTTGCTATAGTTATGCTTGCTAAGATTTGGGTGCATGGTGCTTGGCTTTGGTTAGCTCCCTTGGTTTTACTTTACCAAAAGGAAACCTCCGAGTGATGGGCATCCTATTTATTCCCATCACCTGGCAGGATTTGAAGGATAATTACTCAGAACTAGAATATTTATCAGGATTTCTACATCACCCATCCCTCATGTTGTTTCTGAGCTGCAGCTAGAGATTGCTGGTTGGTTCATAGGAACAAGCAGGGTTAGTTTCAAATGTAGGCAAAAAATTAAAAACAACTAATGAGTTTAGAATTTAGTGACCAATATATAAGTTTTGAAACATAATTTCTCTCTCTCCAGTCCTCTTTTTTTTTTCTTTTGAGACAGAGTCTCACTCTGTCGCCCAGGTTGGAGTGCAGTGGCGTGATCTTGGCTCACTGCAAGCTCCACCTCCCGGGTTCACGCCATTCTTCTGCCTCAGCATCCGGGGTAGCTGGGACTACAGGCATCTGCCACCACGCCTGGCTAATTTTTTTTTTTTTGTATTTTTAGTAGAGGCGGGGTTTCACCGTGTTAGCCATGATGGTCTCAATCTCCTGACCTGGTGATCTGCCCGCCTCGGCCTCCCAAAGTGCTGGGATTATAGGTGTGAACCTCCGTGCCCTGCCCAGTCCTCATTTTTGTTAAAAAAAAAATTATAGGACTGAATGGTTTGCAAAATAGAATTTAGTCTTAAACTTGGCCTGATTATTTGCATAAAGTGCAGCAAGAATGATTATTTCTACATACGCCTTTTGGGTTGGCTTTAATGGGATTTTGTTCCACAAGGAGTCTCAGATAAGAACTTTTAAAGCCAAGCCCAACCATGGGTTTGTATCTTCAAACACCTGTGAGTTGGGTGCTTCTGTCCTCTTAAGGTCGATAAACTTGGACCTCCTAGAACTGTTAGAACGTGACATTCTTTACTGACCACAGGTCAGGAACCCTGTACAGGGACTGCATAGATGAGGTATGAGACCAGTTTCCCCACTGGGCTTTTATTGGCTCTGCAAGTCAAGATCGTCTACTTAAAGGGAAGCATACCCTTCTAGTTAAAGCCTTGGTAAAATAACCAATTCTTCCAATTGCATCCTGCTGCAAAAGAAAAATGGATTCTTATTGCACTGATGCAAACAACTGTAATGCCGTAAGTTAAGAATGCTCACAGATAGTTTCAAAATTCTAGAGGAACCAGGCAGAGACAAACAAACATGCTCCATATCTTGATCACAGGATTATACCTTGCTTAATTCTTAAAGGCTGTAAATCATTCAAAATAAGTTTCCTTGACTATGAAAAACAGAACAAGGATCAGCAATATTTAAACCAAAAGTCAAAAAGGTTGCTTTAGTTTTCTGAGTTTAGTCCATTTAGTTAGCCCTTGTTTTACTTGATATTTGTGAACATTTCAGCTCTTCATGAGTCCTGTACATTTTCCTGTATTCCAATGTTACAATATCCAAAGTTATCAGAAGCCTGTATTTAAGAGCACCTATTACAGTTTTATAGCTTATTATAAACCATTTTTTGAAAAGGATTAAAGCAAGACAACAATTGTCTGTGAAGAGCAAAATGTTCAGTGAGTTACAGTTAGAAACACAATTGACAAATTTGGTTATCTTCATGGTTTACAATAACTTAACATAACCTTAATTATGATTGATAGCATATCGTTAGACATCAGGATTTTAGAAATCCCATGCAATTTTGGAACATATGTGAACATTATTTTCTAAGAAGATTGAATAACATTTTGGCAATCCTATGTACCTAAACATGTCAAATGATCCTATTTACCTCTCTTTTTGGACACTTCAGGGGCCTTCCGAAGTAATTGAAAAGCCCGGTGTCAAAAAAGACAATTTTGAAACTTAAATTTGATTTTCAGAATCCGTTAAATATCTTCCAGGTTTAAAACACTTGATATTATGAAATAGAATTCCAGATTACCATGTCATTTATTTTTCCAAAATGATGACTCAGAAATTTTAAAGCAGCAAAAACATTTTATAACCTATTTAGTCAATATGTTTACACAAAGAACCTCTTCTGAAAGATTAATTTCCACAGTTCTTTCACCACTTCTTTGAACCTTCAGCTTTTTCCTAATTTAACTCAAAACAATTCTTTAACCCTAGGCAAAAGTTTACATTTCCAAGCCTTCTTATAACCTTTTACTAAAAAACACATTTTACTGTTCTTACACACCCTGCATGTAAATCTATTTCTAGTAGTTTCAATTAACTCCTAGCAATTTTTAACTTTAAGATAAAACTTGGTAAGTTGCTTTGTGTGCTAAGTGCAGCCAAGGTTTGCATTCTTAGTTAAGGGTGTGATTAGTTCCATATGTCCACACCTTACCAGTTGTGAAGCTGACAAGTCAAATAGATCTCAAAACCCAAAAAGCAGTTTGTAACCTCAAAACACTTAACAAACCTTGCATCTGACCTGAATTTTACCAGTGGTCTTTAGGGCTGTTTATATTTCTTAAAGATTAAAGTCATGTGAACTGAAGGATACCACAGCTTTTATCTTCCCTCTAAAAAATGTTAGATCCAAGCGCTTGTTTTTCTTTAGGCCAAATTAATTAGAGCTCTTTTTACAGATATCACACACAGTACACACACAGAGGACCACCCAGTCACTGGGTGCAGCCCTTTAAGAGACAGGGCTAGGAAAACATGCAGATGTCTAATCTGAGAGGGCTCATCCCCTCAGACAGGATTGTGAAACAAAGCCTTGCCAAGTGGCTACTGGCCATGCCCCCAGGATGTAAAGCAAGATGGAGGCTTGCAACACAAACCATACAGACGTGTAAAGCACACCAGATTGGCCACAGCCAAAGACTAGTCCCACAAATCCTTTTCCACAACCAAAACTTTACAGAGAGTACAAACAGTGATAGTTGGGGGGCCTAACCCAGTAAAAACATCTTCTAAAAGGAAAAAAAAATCTTTAAGGGCTAACTTGTTGATGAGGTAGAGAAGGAGAAAGAACAAAAAAGCAGTTTAAAAATTCCTGGGGAAGAGCCTCTTATTCTTGTGCAAATGGTTCCTCCACCAGGGAGACAAGTTTAAGCTTAATTGCTGTCCAATAGAGTTACACCCCTTGGCCAAGGAAGGGGAAGACTGCTGCAACGGGAAGTGGTTAGGACCAGCCAGCCAGCTGTGCGGGATCCTTAGGCCATGCATCCTAGCCCCAGCAAAGCAGGGAGCTGCTGCTCAGCAGTGAGTCCCGAAAAAGGAAGGAAAAGGCCATGAAAAGGCCCAGGATCCACAGGGGGTAGGGGTATGGTTTTCCCCACTGTCAGAAGTCCCAGGATGAAAAGGCTTAGAAGCAACAGTGAGAGGTTTTGTGTCCCCATTTCATTCACCACTTCTCGAGCCCCATGTTGGGCGCCAAAAATGATGCAGGACTTTCCTTAGTTCTGCTACAGACGGGATTCTTATCTGTTTCCCAGCTATGAAAATTTAGGCTCACAGACAGTTTAAAGGGTGAGCAAAACAGGGTTCTATTGGGTGAGAATGGAGAAAAGTGGGCAAACTGGCCAGAGTCTCTCCACTAGAGCACTTCCCACCTGGTGATCAAATCCCAGGTCCACACAGGAAGCAGAGGGGCCAGGCTCCTCCCTGCTGCAAATGGTGTGAAGTTCTTGAGGCTCTACTCCAGTGTGCAGGCTGGTTGGTGTTTCTCCAGGGACCCCCTCCCACCTGGCTGTCTCACTACAAGTATGATTTAGTATTGCCTTTAATATTCAGTATTTATTTTACCTGTATGTTGTATTTCAGAATTAATGATTAATCAAGTATACAAATGTCATTATGTCACTGTCAATATTTAAGGAATGGTATTAGTCATCTAACTAACAGTAGGTCTGCTTTTGAAAACCAACAAAAATGCAAGAGGCTTTTGAGAGTGCAAGTAAAAATAGAAAATAAATTAGAGTAGTTGGACTTTAAAAGGAATAATGTACTTTAAATGGACTTTAAAAGGAATAATGTACACAAATCAAAATAACCAAGTAACATTATTAGGAATAAGTTTGTAATCTACAGTATGTTGCCACAGATTCCAATTTTTTTATACTCAGATAATTATGCCATTCATTAGCTTTAAAGAATGCTTTTGAGTCTTGTTACTTAATCGTAGACTCATGCTCGTTAATTATAGAAAATGTAAGGTGCAGGGTTTTTAAAAAAATATAATTCATTCAGGTGCCTGAAAAGCACTTAACATACAGGTTGTACAAATTAGCTGCATTTCACAGATAATTTTGGAGGCAAATATTAAAAATGAGCATATGGATGATCCTTTTACTTAGACTTGGGCCAGGTCTGAAAGAGTTTGGTTCATTGAAATAATGATATGCTCCATAACACAAAGAGGACTCACTGAAGATGGAAAATTTTAATCTATTCCCTGTAAATGAAAGCTTAGAAAATAAAATGACAAGAATTGAACAAGTGTGAAGACAATGGAGCTCACCTACTGGAGCTGGACCACCAGGTGAGATGATTTTCATAAGCATCATTCTAACCAGGAAAATTGATGCTATACAGCAATAATAAAACAATATCTAGGAAGGTTTTCTATTGTTGTTTTTTGAAGAATGTTAACTACTGAAACTATGCTTTCATGCAATGAATTAGAAGACAGAAACTCTGAATTCTAGATCAGATTTGTAACTTTTTATCTTACTGTTGCTGTGAGAATTGAGCAAGATAATGTATCTGAAGGTGACTGTTGCATATACTAGATTCAGGAATCCTTTCAATTAAGTGCTTTCTCTTTTTGGCAGCTATATAACATCTTATCCCCCATGGGTGCACAGGGAGTGATCCTCTGTGTATTGGACTGGCTTGGGTATTTGTGTCACTTCATGCTTTGGAACATTATTTTGAAGACAGGATCTGCACCTTATTTACTATTTTAACCACCTCCTTGCTGAACACAGTTCTCAAATATCCTTAAAATTATTTACTGACTTTAATTGAATAATTGAGTTTCAAATTAAAATGGAACTTTGGTCTGACTTTGTTGTCTCCTTGTCTCCTTTGTAATGTTAGATGGAAGAAGCTATTCAGGGAAGGAGTGACTTCCAGCTTTGAAACAAGAACTTTAGAAACTTCAGAAGCATACGGAAAAGGAAACAAGAAAAATGTAATCAAGCAAGCCTCTTGAAATGATACAATAATATAATAGCAGAATTAGATCCACAGAATTTATACAATTAAATCCACAGAGTTTGTAACTATCCTTAAGATCAATTTATTATCACTATGTCTGCAAGGAAGTGTGAAGAGCAGAGGAAAGTGACCAATGCCCTTTATGGTCTCAGTTCTCTAACTCATTTTATGTTTTTTTTTTTTTTTTTTTTTTATACTTTAAGTTCTAGGGTACAAGTGCACAATGTGCAGTTTTCATACATAGGTATACATGTGGCATGTTGGTTTGCTGCACCCATCAACTCGTCATTTACATTAGGTATTTCTCCTAATTCTATCCCTTCCCGAGCCCCCTACCCACTAACAGGCCCTGGTGTGTGATGTTTCCCTCCCTGTGTCTTAAGTGTTCTCATTGTTCAATTCCCACCTGTGAGTGAGAACATGTGGTGTTTGGTTTTCTGTCTTTGTGACAGTTTGCTGAGAATGATGGTTTCCAGCTTCATCCATGTCCCTACAAAGGACATGAACTCATCATTTTTTATGGCTGCATAGTATTCCATGGTGTATATGTGCCACATTTTCTTAATCCAGTCTATCATTGTTGGACATTTGGGTTGGTTCCAAGTCTTTGCTATTGTGAATAATACCACAGTAAACATATGTGTGCATGTGTCTTTATAGTAGCATGATTTATAATCCTTTGGGTATATACCCAGGAATGCGATCGCTGGGTCAAATGGTATTTCTAGTTCTAGATCCTTGAGGAATTGCCACACTGTCTTCCACAATGGTTGAACTAATTTACACTCCCACCAATAGTGTAAAAGCATTCCTATTTCTCCACATCCTTTCCAGCACCTGTTGTTTCCTGACATTTTAATGATTGGCATTCTAATTGGTATGAGATGGTATCTCATTGTGGTTTTGATTTGCATTTCTCTGGTGACCAGTGATGATGAGCATTTTTTCATGTGTCTGTTGGCTGCATGAATGTCTTCTTTTATGAAGTGTCTGTTCATATCCTTTGCCCACTTTTTGATGGGGTTGTTTTTTTCTTGTAAATTTGTTGGAGTTCTTTGTAGATTCTGGATATTAGCCGTTTGTCAGATGGGTAGATTGCAAAAATTTTCTCCCATTCAGTAGGTTGTCTGTTCACTCTGATGGTATTTTATTTTGCCGTGCAGAAGCTCTTTAGTTTAATTAGATCCCATTTGTCAATTTTGGCTTTTGTTGCCATTGCTTTTGGTGTCTTAGTCATGAAGTCCTTGCCCATGCCTATGTTCTGAATGGTATTGCCTAGGTTTTCTTCTAGGGTTTTTATGGCTTTAGGTGTAACATTTAAGTCTTTAATCCATCTCAAATTCAGTTTTGTATAAGGTGTAAGGAAGGGATCCAGTTTCAGCTTTCTGCATATGGCTAGCCAGTTTTCCCAGCACCATTTATTAATAGGGGATCCTTTCCCCATTTCCTGTTTTTGTCAGGTTTGTCAAAGATCAGATGGTTGTAGATGTGTGGTGTTATTTCTGAGGACTCTGTTCTATTCCATTGGTCTATAAATCTGTTTTGGTACCAGTACCATGCTGTTTTGGTTACTGTAGCCTTGTAGTATAGTTTGAAGTCAGGTAGCATGATGCCTCCAGCTTTGTACCTTTTGCTTAGGATTGTCTTAGGATTGTCTTGGCAATGCAGGCTCTTTTTTGGTTCCATATGAACTTTAAAATAGTTTTTTCCAATTCTGTGAAGAAAGTCATTGGTAGCTTGATGGGGATGGCACTGAATCTATAAATTACCTTGGGCAATATGGCTATTTTCACAATATTGATTCTTTCTATCCATGAGCATGGAATGTTCTTCCATTTGTTTGTGTCCTCTTTTATTTCGTTGAGCAGTGGTTTGCAGTTCTTCTTCAAGAGGTCCTTCACATCCCTTGTAAGTTGGATTCCTAGGTATTTTATTCTCTTTGTAGCAATTGTGAATGGGAGTTCACTCATGATTTGTCTGTTTGTTATTGGTGTTTAGGAATGTTTGTGATTTTTGCACATTGATTTTGTATCCTGAGACTTTGCTGAAGTTGCTGATCAGCTTAAGGAGATTTTGGGCTGAGTTGATGGGGTTTTCTAAATATACAATCATGTCCTCTGCAAACAGGGACAATTTGACTTCCTCTTTTCCTAATTTAATACCCAAATTTCTTTCTCTTGCCTGATTGCCCTGGCCAGAACTTCTAACAGTATGTTGAATAGGAGTGGTGAGAGAGGGCATTCTTGTCTTGTGCTGGTTTTCAAAGGGAATGCTTCCAGTTTTTGCCAATTGAGTGTGATATTGGCTATGGGTTTTTCATAAATAGCTCTTATTATTTTGTGATACATTCCATCAATACCTAGTTTATTGAGAGTTTTTAGCATGAAGGGCTGTCGAATTTTGTCGAAGGCCTTTTCTGCATCTATTGAGATAATCATGTGGCTTTTGTCATTGGTTCTGTTTACGTGATGGATTACGTTTATTGATTTGTGTATGTTGAACCAGCCTAGGATACCAGGGATGAAGCTGACCTGATAGTGGTGGATAAGCCTTTTGATGTGCTGCTGGATTGAGTTTGCCAGTATTTTATTGAGGATTTTTGTATCGATGTTCATCAGCGGTATTGGTCTAAAATTCTTTTTTTGTTGTGTCTCTGCCAGGCTTTGGTATCAGGATGATGCTGGCTGCATAAAATGAGTTAGAGAGGATTCCTTCTTTTTCTGTTGATTAGAATAGTTACAGAAGGAATGGTACCAGCTCCTCTATGTACATCTCATAGATTTCAGCTGTGAATCTACCAGGTGCTGGACTTTTTTTTGGTTGGTAGGCTGTTAATTATTGCCTTAATTTCATAGTCTGTGATTGGTCTATTCAGAGATTCGATTTCTTCCTGGTTTAGTCTTGGGAGGGTGTATGTGTCCAGGAACTTATCCATTTCTTCTAGATTTTCTAGTTTATTTGCGTAGAAATGTTTACAGTATTCTCTGATGGTAGTTTGTATTACTGTGGGATCGGTGGTGATATCCCCTTTATCAGTTTTTATTGCATCTATTTGATTCTTCTCACTTTTCTTCTTTATTATTCTTGCTAGTGGTCTATCAATTTTGTTGATGTTTTCAAAAATCCAGCTCCTGGATTCATTTATTTTTTGAAGAATTTTTTATGTCTCTATCTCTTTCAGTTCTGCTCTGATCTTAGTTATTTCTTGCCTTCCACTAGCTTTTGAATTTGTTTGCTCTTGCTTCTCTAGTTCTTTTAATTTTGATGTTAGCTGTCAATTTTAGATCTTTCCTTCTTTCTCTTGCAGGCATTTTAGTGCTATAAATTTTCCTCCAAACATGGCTTTAGCTGTGTCCCAGAGATTCTGGTACATTGTCTCTTTGTTCTCATTGATTTCAAATAACATTTTTATTTCTTCCTTAATTTTGTTATTTACTCAGTAGTCATTTAGGAGCAGGATTTCAGTTTCTATGTAGTTGCACAATTTTGAGTGAGTTTCTGAATCCTGAGTTCTAATTTGATTGCACTCTGTTCTGAGAGACTGTTTGTTGTGATTTCTGTTCATTTGCATTTGCCAAGGAGTGCTTTACTTCCAATTATGTGGTCAATTTTAGAAGAAGTGTGATGTGGTGCTGAGAAGAATGCATATTCTGTTGATTTGGGCTGGAGAGTTCTGTAGATGTCTATTAGGTCCGCTTGATCCAGAGCTGTGTTCAAGTCCTGGATATCCTTGTTAACCTTCTGTCTCGTTGATCTGTCTAATATTGACAGTGGGGTGTTAAAATCTCCCATTATTCTTGTGTGGGTGTCTAAATCTCTTTGTAGATCTCTAAGGACTTGCTTTATGAATCTGGGTGCTCCTGTGTTGGGTGCATATATATTTAGGATAGTTAGCTCTTCTTGTTGAATTGATCCCTTTACCATTGTGTGATGGCCTTCTTTGTCTCTTTTGATCTTTGTTGGTTTCAAGTCTATTTCATCAGAGACTAGGATTGCAACCCCTGCCTTTTTTTTTTTTACTTTCCATTTGAAGGTAGATCTTCCTTTATCCCTTTATTTTGAGCCTATATGTGTCTCTGTACCTGAGATGGGTCTCCTGAATACAGCACACTGATGGGTCTTGACTCTTAATCCAATTTGCCAGTCTGTGTCTTTTAATTGGGGCATTTAACCCATTTACATTTAAGGTTAATATTGTTATGTGTGAATTTGATCCTGTCATTATGATGTTAGCTGGTTATTTTGCCTGTTAATTGATGCAGTTTCTTCATAGCATCAATGATCTTTACAATTTGGCATGTTTTTGCAGTGGCTGGTACCAATTGTTTCTTTCCATGTTTAGTGCTTCCTTCAGGAGCTCTTGCAAGGCAGGCCTGGTGGTGACAGAATCTCTCAGCATTTGCTTGTCTGTAAAGGATTTTATTTCTCCTTCTCTTATGAAGCTTAGTTTGGCTGGATGTGAAATTCTGGGTTGAAAATTATTTTCTTTAAGGATGTTGAATATTAGCCCCCACTCTATTCTGGCTTGAAGGGTTTCTCCTGAGAGATCCACAGTTTGTCTGATGGGCTTCCCTTTGTGGGTAACCCAACCTTTCTCTCTGGCTGCCCTTAACATTTTTTCCTTCATTTCAACCTTGGTGAATCTGACAATTATGTGTCTTGAGGTTGCTCTCCTCGAGGAGTATCTTTGTGGTGTTCTCTGTGTTTTCTGAATTTGAATGTTGGCCTGCTTTGCTAGGTTGGGGAAGTTGTCCTGGATAATATCCTGAAGAGCGTTTTTCAACTTGGATCCATTCTCCCCATCACTTTCAGATATATCTATTAAACATAGATTTGGTCTTTTCACATAGTCCTGTATTTCTTGGAGGTTTTGTTCATTTCTTTTTACTCTTTTCTTCTCTAACCTTTTCTTCTCACTTCATTTCATTAATTTGATCTTCAATCACTGATACTCTTTCTTCCACTTGATGAAATCAGGTATTGAAGCTTATGTATGCATCACGAAGTTCTTGTGCCATGGTTTTTAGCTCCATTTAAGGTCTTCTCTACACTGTTTATCCTAGTTAGCCTTCCATATAACCTTTTATCAAGGTTTTTAGCTTACTTGCAATGGGTTTGGACATGCTTCTTTAGCTCGGAGAAGTTTGTTATTACCGACCTTCTGAAGCCTACTTCTGTCAACTTGTCAAAGTCTTTCTCTCTCCAGCTTTGTTCCATTGCTGGCAAGGAGCTGAGATCCTTTGGAGGAGAAGAGGCACTCTGGTTTTTAGAATTTTCAGCTTTTCTGTTCTAGTTTCTCCCCATCTTTGTGGTTTTATCTACCTTTGGTCTTTGATGTTGGTGACCTACAGGTGGGGTTTTGGTGTAGATGTCCTTTTTGTTGATGTTGGTACTATTCCTTTCTGTTTGTTAGTTTTCCTTCGAACAGTCAGGTCCCTCAGCTGCAGGTCTGTTGAAGTTTGCTGGAAGTCCACTCCAGACCCTGTTTGCCTGGGTATCACCAGCAGAGGCTGCAGAACAGCAACTATTGCAGAACAGCAAAAATTGCTGCCTGATCCTCCCTCTAGAAGCTTTGTCCCAGAGGGGCAGCCACCTATATGAGGTGTCTGTCGGCCCCTACTGGGAGGTATCTCCCCATTTGGCTACACAGGTGTCAGGAACCCACTTGAGGAGGCATTCTGTCCATTCTGAGAGCTCAACCACCATGCTGGGAGAACTACAGCTGTCTTCAGAGCTGTCAGACAGGGACGTTGCTGCCTTTTGTTCAACTATGAACAAAAAAGAAGCTGTCTGCTGCCTTTTCTTCAGCTATGTCCTGCCCAAAGAGGTGGATTCTATAGAGGCAGTAGTCCGTGCTGAGCTGTGGTGGGCTCCGCCCAGCCCAGTTTGAGCTTCCTGGCCACTTTGTTTACCTACTCAAGCCTCAGCAATTGCGGACACCCCTCCCCCAACCAGGCTGCTGCCTCGCAGTTTCATCTCATATTGCTGCACTGGCAGTGATTAAGGTTTCGTGGGTGTGGGACCCACTGAGCCAGGCATAGGAGAGAATCTCCTTGTCTGCTTGTTGCTAAGACCTTGGTAACAGCACAGTATTCATACAGGAGTGTCCTGTTTTTCCAGGTACAGTCTGTCACAGCTTCCCTTGGGTAGGAAAGGGAAATACCCCAACCCCTTGTGCTTCCTGGGTGAGGCAATACCCCACCCTGCTTTGGCTCACCCTCCATGGGCTGCACCCACTGTCCAACCAGTCCCTGTGAGATAAACCAGGTACCTCAGTTGGAAATGCAGAAATCACCCATCTTCTGCATCGATCATGCTGGGAGCTGAAGACCAGAGCTGTTCCTATTTGGCCATCTTGGAAGGCACTTTCATATTTTTCTGCTAACCTATGCCAATGCAGTTTCATAGCCTTGCAGTGGAGGCAAATGTTACTTAGGGAAACTAACCCAGGAAATACTTTTTTGTGGAGGAGATGGTGAAGAGAAGCAGTGAGTTCCTTTCTAAGAAATTAATTTTAACTCGTTTCAGATTTTGTGTCATTTGGAAGTTTAGAGTTGAACTCGGATTGAATGGTGGAGGAAAAGAGAAAGAGAACGAAAAGGAGGAGGAAATGTGCATGTACACAGTCAATCAACTGATAGTCACTTACTACAAACGGTGGAAAACAACGGTAGAACAAAAGAAAGTAACCTTCATTAGCATCTGCTTTGGGCAAAGCCCTGAGCGTGATGCTTTATATCTGCAGTCTTACTTGATTCTTACATTAATCAGCATGGGAGATATCATTACCTCCAAATTGCCTGTAAGAAAACTGGAGAAGTAATTTGCTTCAGCTGACTATGCTGATAAGGGAAAGAGGGGATTAGAATTCAGATCCGTTTCAATGTTCATGCCCTTTTAGCTGCACTGTGCTCCCTCTCTCTAGCTAGGTATTTTTGAATTTACTGGTCTCACACATGGTTATCAGCAAGCAGGGAAGAAAGAAAACACCTCTGGGGACACTGTCTATTTCTCCACACACAATTGGGCAGGCGTTAGGCACCATTGTGGTGGGTGAGCATTGTCTTCCATCCCCTCAAGTTATCATTGATGGCCTTTTCACTCTTTGTTGGCATACTTCTTCCTTCATGCCCTCTATCTTCTTGTACCAATAAAAATAGGAAAGGGTTGGTGTCAGGCATTATATGCGCAGGTTTCAATCCTTGCATTAACTGAATTTCATTTCCAAATTATTATTTTTAAAGTAATACATGTGCTTAGTTAAAATTTACCTGAAGATACAACAACAATGATAAAAAACCAGTAGGCCCTGCTCTACCCTTCCTGGACCCTGATTCTCATGTTTCTGAGGGAAATATGGTCAACTGCTTCAGCCATTTATTTTGGTATTTTCTTCTTTTTTCCTTAGTAACAGGCCTACTCAGCTGCATCTTTATTTATGCTCTTAATTTTAAGCATTATCTATTAACTTCTCTTTATGGAAAATTATCCTTATTTAGGCCCAAGATTTTCCCCTATACAAAAATTTTTATCCACCAGTAAAGTTATAATTACAGTCCTCAGTGAAATCATTGTATTGTGTTTACAGTTTAACATGTTGCTCACAGGTGAGCCACCTAGTATGTTAAAATTTCATTCCTTTTTGTGTAAATCTTTCTATTTTCCTTGGTGTTAATAACTGCTGTGTTTGGTTTGCTTAGTTTTGTATGGTCCAAACTTCTCAAGAGCACCCTTGCTCCTTAGAGAGGGCCTTCCTGGAGCACTCTGTCCTGGTTTCAATCTAGATTGGTTACTTTCTACACCTGAAGTCCAGTGGTCCTGCAATTTCCTCTCCCTGAGGGATTTCTTTGCACTTTTCTTTGTTGCAATTCCTGTTACCTGAACCTGTCATGTTCTGCATTTTTTGGTTTATGCTTTCATTGGTGAAACACATTCTCCATTATTTTTTTAATAAATGGATACTTAGGAAGTAAAGCCTTTGAATTCTGACATGTCTGAAAGTGTCAACATTCTGTCCTCATAATCAACTGCCAGTGTGGCTAGGACTAAAACATTTTTTCACAGAGTTTTGAAAGTATCACTTCATGGCATTGGAAGGTGTTTCTTCTAACATTCCAATATTGCTATAAAGAAATCTGATACTATGCTGATTTTGGATCTTTTGCCTGTAATCTTTTTTTCTTGTTTTTCTTCTTCTTTTTTAAAAATAGGATCTTCTTTGTAGCTGATAGTCTAAAAATATTATAATGACTTACTTTGATGTAGATTTCTGTTCATTCTCTGTGTTAGGCTGTTAGTTGTGTTAGTTTCTTGTGTTGATGTTTAAAATTTTTTTAAAAATCAACTTCATTGAGATATAATTTACATACAATAAAATGCACCAACATTAAAAATACCATCCAGTGGTTTTGATAAATGTATATACTCATATAACTATGACTACAAACAAAATATAGCAAGGGTCCATCATCCAAAAAGGTGCTCTTGTTCTCCTTTGCAGTCATCCTTCAGTTTACCCTGGCCACAGGATACTACTGATCAGGTTTCTGTTACTATAGAATCACTAACTGCATATTTGGGTCTCTTTCTGATTGTATAACACAGGTCTCTGTATTTTCATTAAAGTCCCAGCCTATGAAAATGTGTTAGTTTCTCTCTTCCTAAAAAGGATCTTTCATTTTTCTTATTTCTTCCTCCTTGTCGCTGCTTAACTTCTCAAGATGAGTCAATGCTTACAGTATTAATTAGGCCAGGTTCCATTTTGGGGGGAAAAAAGAAACCAAAATGGCAGTGGCTTATAGATAGAGTTTATTTCTGCCTTATGTAACAGTGTGAACAAGAATTCAACAGCTGATATAACCGTTCCAATGGCAGGAACTCAGACTCCTTTTATCTCATTGTTTTGCCAGCCTTAACATCCGGCTTCTGCCTCGTGGGCTAAAAATATCTCTGCAGCTCAACTCCTCATGGCTGTTTTTCTAAAAGTGGGAAGGGGAGAAGAGGATGTGGATAGCACAGAAGTTGCAAACATCACATTCTATTGGCCAAAATTTAGACACATGGCCACACATAACTGCAAGGAAGAGTGAGAAATATAGACTTATTAGGAAAGGCACATATCCAGCTAAATTTAGGGGTTTTATACTAAAAGAAAAAGGAAGAATGGATATTTGGAAACAAATTAATGCCTCCACTGCCTTGATTTCTGCTCAATTTTTTTCTGACTTCTGCCTCTACTGTTGTACTGACATTATCCATCCTAAGAGAACCTCTACATCCTAATGGTCAAATCATATGACTGCTTTTCAGTTGATAGAGCATTTCTTTTATTAAAATTTTGTCCAATTCTATTGATTATAAATTTTCTGAAACTCATTATCATCATTTACAAATGTCCTTACTTTTTGTATTGTTTAAATTGTGAGACAGAATTTAAAATTAACAAATGAGTCTTATTATTTAATACCTCTGTATATTTTTGTTTGTTGATGACTAGTAGCATACACTGTCAACAAAGCTTTAGATACATCTTGATTTTTAGTAATTATAGAATCAGATCTTAACATGTACTTTTTCTTTCTCCATAGAATAAATTAATACATAAAGCTAAGATGTTTGAGATGTTTCTCTTTGCTTTTTTTTTTTTTTTTTTTTTGAGATGGAGTCTTGCTCTGTCACTCAGGCTGGAGTGCAGTGGCCTGATCTTGGCTCACTGCAAGCTCTTCCACCACCCAGGTTCAAGTGATTCTCCCTGCCTCTGGGATTACAGGGACCTGCCACTACACTGTGCCAATTTTTTTTTTTTTTTTTTTTTTTTTTTAAGTAGAGATGGGGTTTTGCCATGTTGGCCAGACTGGTCTTGAATTTCTGACCTTAGGTGATCCGCCCAGCCCACCTCAGCCTCTCAAAGTGCTGGGATTACAGGCATGAGCTGCTGCACCTGTCCTCTTTGCTCTTTAAATTCAGTCACAGAATGAATAAAAATTTTTCCTGGAACTGAATGTTCTGTCACTGAAGTTAACTAAAGCTAGTTGACAATAATACCATTTTAATCACCAAAGTTTGGCAAAATAAAAAAATCCTGTCTTAAAGTTTTAGTAATCTAAGCAGAAGCCATTATCCCCTGATATAATTTCATATCTCTTTTTGGCTCATAATTTGAAAGATCTTGAGATAATCAGACTACAGTGATCCTGACAGGATAAGTGGAAACAGGTCTTCTTTCCTCCTTCTCGCCCTCCTCCTCCTCCTCCTTCTCCTCCTCTTCCTTCTCCTCCTCCCCCACTCCTCCTCCTCCTGACCCCCTTCCTTCTCTTTCTCCTCCTTCTCCTTCTTATTTTATTTTATTTTATTTTTTTTTTGAGACAGTCTCACTCTGTCACCTATGCTGCTGGAGTGCAGTGGTGTAGTCACAGCTCACTATAGCCTCCAACCCTTGGGCTTAAGTAATATTCCTGCTTGTCTCCCAAGTAGCTAGGACTATAGGCACCTGCCACCACACCTGGCTAATTTTTTTAGTTTTTGTAGAAATGGGATCACGCAATGTTGCCCAGGCTAGTCTGGAACTCCTGGCCTCAAATGATCCTCCTGCCTCAGCCTCCCAAAGCACTGGGATTACAGGCATGAGCCACTGCACCCAGCTCCAGATATTCTTATGCGGGGAGTTGATGTAGCTTTCCACTATTGTTTCAGTTTTCTTGATCATGCTCTGTTCTGGTGTGATTCCGAATGGAAAAATGCCATTCAGCACCATACTTACTATTTAATAATTTGTTTCTTTAAGCTTTTAAAATTGTATGAAATCCTCACTTAAACCTCTGCCCAATTAGCTATTAAGTATTTTCATGGTAAGCTTTGAAGAAGGTACAGGCAAATATGGCTGAGCTGGTTATATTCCAAACAATGAAGTGAGATGAACACTGAACAAGGAGCTGTTACAGAGTTATCTTTTTCAAAAAAAGTTGAAATATAGCAAAATATAGAAAAATTCATAAAACAAAAAGCTTTCTCCTCAATGATTTATCAAAGTGAACACCCCTGCAACCATCATCAGGTCAAGATTGCCAGCGCATTAGAGGCTTGCTTTCACCTCCACTGAATTGCTCCCCTCCTTAAATGTAATCATTACCATTACTTTGTTTTATTCACATCTTTTGTTTTTCTTTATAGTTTTACTGGATAAGTATGTATCCCTAAATCACTTTATACAGCACTTTCTGTTTTTATCTTCCCTGTATATAAATATTATAAAGCATACACTATTCTTGTCTATCTTGTTTTTTTCCACAGTTTTTACAATATTCATCATGTTGTTGTGAGAAGTAGTTTTTAAAATTTTTGGCCCTGTTTGCAGATGGCATGATTGTATATTTAGAAAACCCCATCATCTCAGCCCAAAATCTCCTTAAGCTGATAAGTAACTTCAGCAAAGTCTCAGGATACAAAATCAACGTGCAAAAATCACAAGCATTCTTATACACCAATAACAGACAAAGAGAGAGTCAAATCATGAGTGAACTCCCATTCACAATTGCTTCAAAGTGAATAAAATACCTAGGAATCCAACTTACAAGGGATGTGAAGGACCTCTTCAAGGAGAACTACAAACCACTGCTCCATGAAATAAAAGAGGACACAAACAAATGGAAGAACATTCCATGCTCATGGATAGAAAGAATCAATATTGTGAAAATGGCCATACTGCCCAAGGTAATTTATAGATTCAATGCCATCCCCATCAAGCTACCCATAACTTTCTTCACAGAATTGGAAAAAACTACTTTAAAGTTCATATAGAACCAAAAAAGAGCCCGCATCACCAAGTCAATCCTAAGCCAAAAGAACAAAGCTGGAGGCATCACGCTACCTGACTTCAAACTATACTACAAGGCTACAGTAACCAAAACAGCATGGTACTGGTACCAAAACAGAGATATAGACCAATGGAACAGAACAAAGTCCTCAGAAATAATACCACACATCTACAACTATCTGATCTTTGACAAACCTGACAAAAACAAGCAATGGGGAAAGGATTCCCTATTTAATAAATGGTGCTGGGAAAACTGGCTAGCCATATGTAGAAAGCTGAAACTGGATCCCTTCCTTATACCTTATACAAAAATTAATTCAAGATGGATTAAAGGCTTAAATGTTGGACCTAAAACCATAAAAACCCTAGAAGAAAACCTAGGCAATACCATTCAGGACATAGGCATGTGCAAAGACTTCATGTCTAAAACACCAAAAGCAATGGCAACAAAAGCCAAAATTGACAAATGGGATCTAATTAAACTCAAGAGCTTCTGCACAGCAAAAGAAACTACCATTAGAGTGAACAGGCAACCTACAGAATGGGAGAAAATTTTTGCAATCTACTCATCTGACAAAGGGGTAATATCCAGAATCTACAAAGAACTCAAACAAATTTACAAGAAAAAAACAAACAACCCCATCAACAAGTGGGCGAAGGATATGAACAGACACTTCTCAAAAGAAGACATCAATGCAGCCAACAGACACAGAAAAAAATGCTCATCATCACTGGTCATCAGAGAAATGCAAATCAAACCACAGTGAGATATCATCTCACACCAGTTAGAATGGCAATCATTAAAAAGTCAGGAAACAAGAGGTGCTGGAGAGGATGTGGAGAAATAGGAACACTTTTACACTGTTGGTGGGACTGTGAACTAGTTCAACCATTGTGGAAGTCAGTGTGGTGATTCCTCAGGGATCTAGAACTAGAAATACCATTTGACACAGCCAAATCATTACTGGGTATATACCCAAAGGACTATAAATCATGCTGCTATAAAGACACATGCACACGTATGTTTATTGCAGCACTACTCACAATAGCAAAGACTTGGAACCAACCCAAATTGTCCAATGATAGACTGGATTAAGAAAATGTGGCACATACACACCATGGTATACTATGCAGCCATAAAAAAGGATGAGTTCATGTCCTTTGTAGGGACATGAATGAAGATGGAAACCATCATTCTCAGCAAACTGTCGCAAGGATAAAAAACCAAACACCGCATGTTCTCACTGATAGCTGGGAACTGAAAAATGAGAACACTTGGACACAGGAAAGGAAACATCACACAACGGGGCCTGTTGTGGGGTGGGGGGAGGGGGTAGGGATAGCATTAGGTGGTATACCTAATGTAAATGACGAGTTAATGGGTGCAGCACACCTACATGGCACATGTATATATGTGTAACAAACCTGCACATTGTGCACATGTACCCTAGAACTTAAAGTATAATAAATATATATAAAATGAAAAAAATAAAAGTTTTGGTGCTGTATAGCATTTTCTTGTATGAATAGACCACATTTTAGCAATCTAGTAGTTTGTTGATGAATATTTGCTGTTTCAGTTGTTTCCAGTTGTGACAATTACAGACAGTGCTGCTGTAACATTCTTGTGCATGTCTCTTGGGGCTCGTGTATGTGCATTTATGATAGTATTATACCTAGGAGTGCAATTATTACATCTTAGGTTATGTTTACCTGCAACGTTAGCAGATATTGCCAAACAGTTTTCCAAAATGATACTGATTTATATTCCTATCAGCAGCAGTAAGTCAGAGTTCTTACTACTTCACATCTTCATCCAAATTTGTGATTCAAAGCCTTTTTAAATTTTAGCCAATCTGCTGAGTGTCTAGCAGTATCTCATTATAGTTTTAATTAGCATTTCCATGATTATTAATGAGCTTGAGTACTTTTTCATATGATTATTGACAATTTGGCTATCTTTTTTTTTTGAAAATGCTTTTCAAAGTCCCTTGACCTTTTTTCTATTATGTTGTCTATTTTAATTGTTAGGAATTATTGGTTGTATGTGTTGCGAATGTCTTATCTAGCTTTCTGACTTGCCTCTTTACTGTCTTAATGTGAACCTTGATAAATAAAAATTTTTAATTTATCTCTAATTTCTTTATGTTTGGTGCTTTTTAAATTCTTGTAAGGAATTTTTCCCTTTGCTAAATTGTTGATGTTATATCCCTGTATATTATATTTTAGGACCTTTGCTATTTTAAATTTTATATTTAGATATTTTTTATATCAGTATCCAACTGTCCTAGTACAAATAGTGAAAATAATCATTACCCTACAGCTCTACAGTGTCAACTTCCTCATAATTCAACTATCCATATATTAATTATTCCATTTATTCCACTTACCTATTCATTTGTGCCTTGTACCAGTACCACATAATTTTAATTACTGTAGGTTTTTAATAAGTCTTAATTTCCAATAGAGCAAGTCATCTTACCTTGTCCCTTTTTTTCAAGAGCATTTTGGTTATTTCTTTGCATTTTCATTTATGTTTCTAAATTAGTTTGTTAGGTACCATTGGAATATCTGTTAGTGCTCTTATTAAGATTGCATTGAATTGTAGAAAATATGACATTCGGTCTAGTTTGCCTAGTACAGTCACAGTTTACACCTGTTGCCCTCGTATCCTTTCTAGGTTAGTATTCCTATGAGGTTTTTCACCTTTTCACTATTCATATTATTACTGAATTATGATAAGCTAGAAAGGGTATACCTCACTTTGTAATTCTAGCTTCTGCATGGTCACATCTAGAAGTAGTAGTACCATTTGTTGAAAAGATTATCTTTTCAACTAAAGTAGATGAGATACATGGGTAGTGAACAGAATTTTCACTTTTACTTATGGTTTAATTGGAAAACTGACCAGCAATGATCCGCCTCTTTTTATCAATCTTTTTCTGTCACAATGCTAATAATACCTCTCATTCAAAGGCAACAAGCAGAATGCTTGTTGATGAACTGAACTCAAACACGAAGAGCTAGGAGTAGCTAACTCATTTTGATTTAGGGTCGTGGCAGAAAATTATTTGATTTTGCTGTCTCTGCAAAGCCGCCTGCCTGTGCCTTTGGTTTATCTAACAAATTCTGCCTTATGAAAATATTTGTCAAAAAAAAAGTGCTCTTCAAAGTGGCAGAGTCAATATTTATAAAAATATTTGGATATAGGTATTTTAATAAACAACTCTATGCCAAAAAATGTGATAACCTAGATGAAAAGGACCAATTACTACAAAGACACAATCTGCCAAAACTCACACAAGAAGAAATAGACAATCTGAATAAACCTATTTAATCAATAATTAACAACCCATTAAAACAGAAAGTTTTAGTACCAGATGTATTCTGCCAAACATTCAAGAAAAAAATTATATCAATTCTCTACAATCACATTCAGATGGTAGAAGCAGAGTACTTTCTAACTCATTCTATTAGGTCAGAATTACCTGAATATTAAAGCCAAAGATATTACAAAAAAAGCAACTTACAGACCAATACCTCTTATGAACACAGATGCAACAAAATACTAAGAAATCAAATCCAGTAATGTATAAAAATAATTATATACCACAACCAAGTGGCATGATCCCACGTATACAAGGCTAGGTCAGCATTCAAAAAACAGTCAATGTAATTCAACACTTCAGCAAGGTAGGAGAAAAACCATATGATCATGTCATTAGATGCCAAAACAAAAAAATTTGACTAAACTCCAACACCCATTCATGATAACAACTTTCAATAAACCAAAAATATTAGGAAACATCATCACTTGATTAAGACTATCCACAAAAAAGCCTATAGGCAGCATCATACTTAATGGTGAAAACGAGAAGCTTTTCCATTAAGAATAGACAACTAGGCCGGGCATGGTGGCTCATGCCTGTAATCCCAGCACTTTGGGAGGCCAAGGTGGGTGGATCACGAGGTCAGGAGATCGAGACCATCCTGGCTAACATGGTGAAACCCCGTCTCCACTGAAAAATACAAAAAATTAGCCGGACATGGTGGCGGGCACCTGTAGTCCCAGCTACTCTTGGGAGGCTGAGGTGGGAGAATGGCGTGAACCTGGGAGGTGGAACTTGCAGTGAGCCAAGATCATGCCACTGCACTCCAGCCTGGGTGACAGAGTGAGACTCCATCTCAAAAAAAAAAAAAAAGAGAATAGACAACTAAAATCAATGGAACAGTATAAAGAGCCCAGAAATAGACTAACATAGTCAACTGATCTTTGACAAGGAACAAAGGCAATACAATGGATCAAAGATGATCTTTTCAACAAATAGTACTACAATAACACAGGCAAAAAATTATTTTAGACACAGATTTTATACCGTTCATGAAAATTTACTCAAAATGAACCATAGACTTAAATGTAAAATGCCAAACTATAAAATGCCTAGAAGTGAGCATGGGAGAAAACCTAGAACTTAGGTATGGTGATGATTGTTTAGATGCAACACCAAAGGCACAATCCATGAAAGAAATAATTGGTAAGCTGGACTTTACTAAACTGAAATTTCTGCTCTGAAAGACAATGTCAAGAGAATGAGAAGACAAGCCACGGACTGGGAGAAAATATTTGCAAAAGACAAATCTGATGAAAGATTGTTATCTAAAATGTATAAAGAATTTTCAAAACTCAACAATAAAAAGACTAACAGCTTAATTTTTTTAAATGGGCAAAAGACCTAAAAATATACTTCAAGAAAGAAGATATATAGATGGCATGTAAGCATATAAAAAGATGGTCAACATCATGTCATTAGAGAACTGCAAAATTAAACAACACTGAGATACCACTACACACCTTTTTGAATGGCCCAAATCCAAAATGCTGACAACGCCAAATGTCGGTGAGCATATGGAGCAACAGGAACTCATTTGTTGCTGTTAGGAATGCAAAGTTATGCAGCCACTTTGGAAAACAGCTTGGCAGTTGGCTACAAAACTAAAGATACTCTTACCATAAGATCCAGCTATCATGCTCCTTGGTATTTACCCAAATGAATTGAAAACTTATGTTCACACAAAAACTTGCACATGAATGTTTACAGCAGCTTTATTTATAATTGCCAAAATTTGGAAGTAACCAAGCTGTCCTTCAGTAAGTGAGTAGGTAAATAAACTGTGGCATATTCAGACAATGGAATACTATGCCATGCTAGAAAGAAATGAAGTATCAAGCCATGACAATACATGGAAGAAATTCAAATGCATATTATTAAATGAAATAATCAAATCTAAAAGGGCTACAAACGTTATGGTTTTAAATATCGGGCATTCTGGAAAAGGCAAAACTATGGAGATAATAAAAAATGAGTGATTGACAGGATTTGCAGGGTCAGGAGGGATGAATAGGCATGACATAGACAATTTTTTTGCGGGGGGCAATGAAACCATTCTGTACTGTACTACAATGGTGTATATCCTCATTATACATATGTCAAAACCCATAGAATATACAACAAGAGTGAATCCTAAGGTAAACTATGGACTGGGTGATAATGATGTGTCAATGCAGGTTCATCCATTCTAACAAATGTACCATTGTGGTGCAGGATGTTGATAATGGATGAAGTTTTGTGTTTAGAAAGGGATGGTTCATGGGAACTCTATGTACTTTCTGCTCATTTTTTGCTAAAACCTAAAACTGCTTTAAAAAATAAAGTTTATTGATAAATAAAAAATAAATAAGAGTATGACCCATTTAGCAGAATTTAAGTGATGTACTTTAGCCATGTTTTTAGAGTATTTTAACAATTAAAATATCATCTATAGGAAGAATCATTGAAAAAGTTGTTGTCAATTGTAGCCATAAAATAAAATCCTATAATTACAAGTAATTTTATAAAAATTTAAAGATAATACCATATTCAATAAAAATAATATTTTCAGGAAATACCAGTGACATGATATTAGTAGGAGAAAGGGAGCTAATAAATGGACTAAAGTATGTGAATATATAGCAAAAGTAATTCTGCTTGTATGATTTTAAGGTTTAGATAATCCATATAGAATATTTTTTTCTTACATGTATACCATTTTAGGTTATTTACATTTTTTAGGAAGAGTATGATTTTAGGAGAAAATTGACCAGGAATATTTTATAAGTCCACTAATAAACTAAAACTAATACCTCTTGGTCAATAAATCACTATTTATTTAGTGCCTTCTTTCACTGGACTAACAATAATTTGGCTACCCTATCTATGAATTGGGAAAAATTTGCAACTCAATGATATTGAGACTTTTAATTCATGAAAATAATAGTTCCTTCTATTTACTTAGGTTTTCCTTAGTTTTTCAAAATTTTTTATTTCTTCATATAGGTTTTACACATTATTTATTTTGTTTATTTCTAGGTATTTGACTTTTGTTGCATTTTAATGTAAATATTACCTTCTGTATTAGTCCATTCTCATGTTGCTATAAAGAAATACCCGAGACTTGGTAATTTATAAAGAAAAGAGGTTTAATTGACTCACAGTTCTGCATTGCTGGGGAGACCTCAGGAAACTTTCAATCATGGCAGAAGTCACCTCTTCACAGGGCAGCAGGAGGCAGAATGGGTGCTGAGTGAAAGGAGAAGCCCCTTATAAAACCATCAGATCTTGTGCGAAATCACTCACTACCACTAGAACTGCATGGGGGAAACTGCCCCCATGATGCAGTGATCTCAACAGGATCCTGCCCTTGACATGTGGGGATTATTATAATTCAAGGTGAAATTTGGGTGGGGACACATATCACCGAAAATTATTTTTATTTCTGGCATATAGAAATGCAGTTATTTTTGTAGATTTTGTAGAAATCTTTCAAAACTTATTAATTTTTTTAGACTTTTATTTTAGGTTCAGGGGTACATGTGAAGGTTTGTTTTGTAGGTAAAGTCATGTCATGGGGGTTTGTTGTATAGATTATTTCATCACCAAGGTATTAAGCCTAATAACCATTAGTTATTTTTTCTACTGCTCTCCTTTTTACTACCCTCCACCCTCAAGTAGACCCAAGTATCTATTATTCCCTTGTTTGTGTTTATGTGTTCTCCTCATTTAGCTCCTATTGACAAGTGAGAACATGCAGTATTTGGTTTTCTGTTCCTGTGCTATTTTGCTAAAAATAATAGCCTCTAGCTCCATCCATGTTCCCACAAAAGACACGATCTTGTTCTTTTTATGGCTGCATGGTATTCCATGGTGTATATGTACCACATTTTATTTATCCAGTCTGTCATTGATGGGCATTTAGGTTGATTCCATGTCTTTGCTATTGTGAATAGTGCTGCAATGAACATTAATGTGCATGTGTCTTTATGGTAGAATGATTTCTATTCTTCAGGTATATACCCAGTAATGGGATTGCTGGGTCAAATGGTAGTTCTATTTTTAGCTGTTTGAGGAATTGCTATACTGCCTTCCACAATAATTGAGCTAATTTAAACTCACACTAACAGTGTATAAGTGTTCCCTTTTCTCTGCAACCTCTCCAGCATCTGTTATTTTTTTAACTTTTTAATAATAGCCATTCTGACTAGTGTGAGATGGTATCTCATAGTGGTTTTGATTTGCATTTCTCTAATGATCAGTAATATTGAGCTTTTTTCCATATGTTTGTTGGCCACATGTATGTCTTCTTTTGACAACTGTCTGTTCATGTCCTTTGCCCACTTTTGAATGGGGTTGTTTTTCTCTTGTAATTTTTTTTAAGTTCGTTATAGATGCTGGATATTAGACCTTCGTCAGATGCATAACATAACTAACTTATTAATTTTCATGCATCATAGAATCTTTTGAATGTTGTTAAGTACACAACCATATTCCTGGCAAATAATAATATTTTCATTTTTTTCCAGTTCTTATACCTTTTATTGTTTTTCTTATGTTATTACACTGACCAGAACCTCCACTATAATATTGATAGAAATGGTAATAGTGGTTGTATTTTTAAAAATTTCCAGTCTCAAAAAGAAATCTTTCAATATTTCACTATTGAAAGTGGTATTTTACATAATTTTTTCACAGATCTTTTTTAGCAGATTAATGAGAGCTTCTAAGAAATTTTAATCAGGAATAAATGGTAAATTTGGTTAAATGTTTTAATATATATGGAGATAGTTATATGATTTATCTTATATATGCTGTTAATATGCTGAATTGCAATGTTAATTTTTACATGTTAAGCTCACCTTGCATTCCTTGGTTGAACTTGGTTGTGTTGTATTATAATTTCTATATGTTGTTGGACTTGATTTTTCTTACATAAGGTTTACTTAGTATTTTTTGCATCTATGATCCTGAATGAAATTAGACTGTCATTTCTATTTCTCAAAATGTTCTTGTTTGGTTTTGGTTTTAAAAAAGTGAAGAATTTGAAAAATGAATTAGCAAGCATTTTCTCTTTTTCCTGTGCTCTGAAACAATTTGTGAAAGAGGTGTATTTTGTCTTCAGTGTTTTATAGAATTATCAGCCAAGCCATCTAAATCTGGAGTTTTTATTATGGGTCTAATTTGCTAATAGTGATAAGATTATTCAGATTATCTATTTATTCACATGTTAGGTTTGGTAACTTTTAAGTAATTTGCATTTCTCTTAAGTTGCTGAATTTATCTGCATTAAAGTGTTTCTAATATCTCCCTCCAGCCCCCTGCCTTTTCCCCCCACCTCCCTCCTTTTTATCTGAGACATGGTCTTACTCTGTTGGTCAGGCTGGAGTGCAGCGGTGTGATCACTGCTCACCAGAGCCTCAACCTCCTGGGCTCAGCTGATCCTCCTGCCTCAGTCTCCCAAGTAGCTGGGACTATGGGCACATCACCATGCCCAGCTAATTTTTAATATCTACCTTTTATCTTTTAATGGGTTTTTAGGGTTTTTACTGGTGCTTCTCTTTCAATTAATCTATTTTATGTTATTTTATCATTCTCTCCAAGTTTTTATCAATTTTGTGTCATTTTACCTTTTTGATATTCTCTAATGTGTTTTCTCCTGTATAATTTTACCTCTTTTTGAGTTCCTGCCTTTTACTTTCTAAATTTTATTTTACTCTCTTCTTCCAACTTCCTACCGAAAAATTTGCTCATTGCTTTCGGTCTTTTTCCTTTCCCATTATATCCATTTAGGAATATAAATTCTCCAACAATCATGATCTTAGCTGCTTAACTGCACTGTGTACACATACTGTTTTGTATAATTTTAATTCCTTTAAGTGTGTTAAGATAGTCCAGCAAGTGATCAGCTTTGGCAAATATTCCAGTGGTTTTGGAAATAAGTTTGTTCTGCAGCTTTTGGGAAAAGCGCTCTATATTTTTCAGTTAATGGTATTGTTCTTCTACTTGCATTTATCTTCAGCATTTACTTATTTATTTATTTGGTCTATTTGTTTTTTATAGTTAGAAGGCTGTGTTAAAATTTCAAATTGTTATTGAGTACTTTTCCTTTATTTTTCTAAATATTTGCTTTCTATATTTTGAAACTATAGTATTAGGTGTTTACAAATTTAAGATATTTTATATATTCCTAGTGAATTAAACCTTTTGTTGTTATGAAGTGTCCTTTTTGTCGTTAGCAATTTTTCTTGACTTAGAGATTGCTTTTTCTGATAATTATATGATTATACCAGCATTATTTTGAGATTATTTGCATCACATATATATTTCCCTTCTTTTGCTTTCAACTTTTCTTTGTCCATATAGTTTACATGTTTTTTAAATTGAGATGTTTTTATTTGATCTTCTTTTATGTTTTAAGATCCAACCTGTTTATGTTTATTATTATTTAAAATTTTTTTTTCAAATCTACCATCCTTCTGTGATCCTTCTGTCTTTCCTTAACTGTCTTATAGTGAAGTATTATTTTTTATCAAGTTGAAAGTTGTATATTCTTCTACCATTTTTAGAATTTATTCTAGATCTCACAACATGCATCTTTTACTTCTGAAAATTTAATATCAGTTGATATTCTTCCTCCATTACTGATAATATAAGAACCTTTGAACATTTTAACTCAATTTATTTTGCCTTTTAGTATATGCTATTATCATTGGGTATTTAATTCTTTTTATATATTTAATCTAAAAGTTATTATTTGTATTTTATAGCATTGATATTTATGTAGATATTCGCATATTTATTATTTTTATTGCTCTTTATTTTATTGTAAACTATAGTTACCATACTGATCTATCAAATACTAGGTCCTATTATTTCTTCTATCAAGTGTATATTTGAACCCATTAATCAATCTCTCTTCATCTCCCCCCTCCTCACAACACTCCCCAATCTTTGGTAATCACCAGTCTACTCTCTATCTTCATGAGATCTACTTTCTTAACTCCTACATATGAGTGAAATCATGTAATATTTGTCTTTCTGTGCATGGCTTGTTTCACTTAGCATAATGACCTCCAGTTCCATCCATGTTGCTGTAAATGGCAGAATTTCATTTTCTTTTTTTTGGCTGAACAATATTCCATTGTGTATGTGAAAACAAAGGTGACCCCATGTCGGATGCTAGTCTGCCATGCTGACTTCTGTTAGCCTCAGTCCCATGAGTGCCTCCTAATTCTACTTAATTTACTGTCCTTAGTGTAAGAACATGTCAAACCTTGTTGTTGTCACACAAATTATAGGCTATGACGCACATAGCATTCTTGTCTGTTTGAGAGAATGACAAGAATTGTCTTTAACTGTCTTGCTGGAGCACATATACCCTTTCCCTGTGGTATATAACCCTTGGGTCTGGGAAGTAACAGTGTGGAGATCTGTCTGTCTTGCTGCCTTTCACAACCATGCTTCTGTCTGTAAGTTCCCTCAATATGTCACCCAATATTGACAAAATGAATTTGTCTGCAATTTGTTCACCTTCATTCTTGAAGAATATTGTATTTTGGTAGAGAACTCTAGGTTGGCATGTATTTTTAAGCATATTAAAATATTTTACGTGTTCAGCTTCCTTTTTTCTGTAGATAGATTAGCTGACAGAGTAATTGTTGCTACTTTGAAGTTAATCCTCTCTTTTCTACCTCTTAAGATATTTTCTTCATCTTTAATTTTCTGTAGGCTTACCATGATGTATTTAGATGTAGATTTTTTTTATTTGTCATGCTTCCAGTTTTGTAAGATCTCTTGAGTCCATGGCTTAATGTCCTCAATAAATTTTGGAACGTTTTTAGTCCGTATTGTTTCCAATAATGCAATTATCCTTTTCTCCTTCTCTTTTTGTTTTGTTCCAGTTACCCAAAATAATAAACCATTGCATTATATTCCCTGTTCCTTACCTTCTTTTTGGCATTTTTATCCTTTTACCTCTTATGCTTTATTCTACATATTTTCTTGCAAATCATTTTCAGGGTTACCAAATAGTTCTGCAACTGTTGCTATTTTGCTTTTAAACCCATCTATTGAGTGTTTAATTTTAATTATCATACTTACTAGTTCTAGAATTTTCGTGTCACCATTTCTTATGGCTCCACTTCTCTGCCAAAATATCCAGTCTTGTCCTTCTGTCTCTTTGAACATAATAAGCTTAGTCACTTTAAAATCTATCCTGGTATCTGGAGGTCATATTACTCTGTTTCTCTTGTATGTTGTACCTGGAGGGTTTCATCCCTGTTGATTTATTGCCTTGTGTCCATATTTTGGATTATATGGTAAAATAGTATTTTTTAATTGGAGAAATAATTTGAGTCCTAGCATGATGTCATTTTTCTGCAGAGAGGATTTATGTTAGCTCCTGCCAGGCACCTGGTCACACTAGAAATACAGGAGTGCCTCAATTCAATTCTAGGTATGATGGCTTGAAGCTAAGCTGCGGTCCCAGTAAAGAGATGTTCACTTTTAATTCAACATTACTTCTAAGATTAAGCCTTTTCATGTCTCAACCCAAAGAGATAGACTTACCTACCACCTCAGCATAGTAGGTAAGTGTACTGTACCTCAATTCCATTTTTCCTAGTGCTGTGAGGCTATATAAATTGCTTCTTAGCTGAACCTCCAGATTTCTCAGAAAAGTAGCTCCAAAAGTCAGGCTTATCTTCCTCTTCTTCTGTCCTCCTAAGTCTCCTGACCTGGTAATTATTCACTTTCTTGTTTGCTCTGAAAAGACTTAAAATGCAGTATTTTTTATAACATTTTATCCAGATTTCTAGTTGCCCTCAGTAGCAGTATTAATTTGTATTAACCAGCCTGTCATTAACAGAAGTAGAAGCCTTAATAGAGTTTATTCAGTTTACATGTTAAAAACCTGAATGCTACCTCACCTCCCAGAAGAACATAAACATCACTAATGTGTTTAGAATATAAAAATAAAGTTCCTGAAAATTTTTAAATATTTAATTTGATTTAAAAAATAAAAGATAAACACAAAACAGAAACGTACTATGTTGGCTGTAAGTAACAGAAATCCAATTTTAATTAGCTTGGGTATGAAAGCATTGCCTTATTTAACCACATTCTTAGAAAGAACTATAACAGGAATAACTAGATTAAAAGCACAAAACACTGAGGAATATATCTCCCTTGGTTTTCATGCCTCTTCTGTTCTTTAGATGCTGAATTTACCCTACTTTGGACAAGCTTTTTCATCATGGCGGGAACAGAACTACTGATCGCGTTGGGCTTACATATTGCCATCAGAAAGGAGAAAAGAAGCTCTTTTCCTTCACTTCTTTTTCCTTCCATCAAAATCCAATAAGAAGAATCCTAGCAAATGTCTAGACAATGTTTAGTGTAGGCCCTATGCCTGTCTTTGGATCATCACTGTACTCAGTTTCTGTAGTTTGGCTTAAATCCTACATCCAACCTTGGACACATTGCTCTGGTCAGTTTCTCTAGAAGGGGCTATTCTAATTGGCAGCAGCAGATGCTAGCCTCGGAAGAAGAGGCATGCAGGTGAAGGGCAATTGGGCAGAGGGCAAGAATAACCCCTATATTATGCTGCATCAAACATTTCACAAACAAGTTCCATCCTGCTTCCAACATTGTATTTTACTATTGCCCCCTCACACCTTAATTCTTGTCACAGTGAACTTCTCAATTTTCCCTCCAAGTGTGTCATGTTTTTTCATGGCTCTATATTGTTTTATTGACTAGAAATATGTTCTGTTGTGCAAACTAGCATTGCCTAAATATTGTAAAGACCCAGCTTAACAAAACACCTCAGTGTGTTCTCTCTGCCCCTCAAACACACACACATACACACTCATGCATACACTCACGCACTCTAGGGTTTCCTTCATCTCATCTAGAAATAAACAATCTCTCCTTCCTAAATCAGAATCTCTGCATTTATCCTGTTGAAGCTAATATCATTCTTATTTATTTTCTTATACCAAACTATGATCAACTCCAATTTAGTTGCCATTTCTTATCTCATATATACTCTCTTACAGTTTGCCACACCTAAAACAATCCATAATCATTTGTTGAATAAGTAAATGAAAACTGGTGTTTTCCAGGAATTCATGCTCAGCTCAATGATCATTCAATATTGATTGATTGCCAGTTCCCTGGGAAGCAGGTTTAATATATGCCCCAGAATCTCCTCACTTTTCCAGCAGACTTGGGCTGAGAGAAGAACCACTGGGCACACTCTTTACCTATTACTTTTGTTTACATCCTTAGTCCTGGAAGGGAACAGCATACTCTCATCAAAATAGCATATTCTGTTTCTGGATTATTAATTGCTGGAAAGTGCTTCCATAAAAAATGGGTGAGAATAGAGAAGAATAAATAAAATGTGAGAGAGGTGGATTTTGTTTCTTATGGACATATTTTGACTGCACAGTACTGGATTATTTCTTAGGAAATAAATATTTTGTGTTATCTATGATACTTTATTTGTGCTCCTCCCCAGCACACCTTCCCTGTGATGCAGGCTGTGCACTTATTTGCGTTTATCTTTTGTTTGGGCGGAACTCCTATGGGAGAATAAAACTGTCATAGAGAATGAATATATCTTCTCTGCAAAGAAACTAAACATTAGGAATTCTGTAATATTGTGGGGCCATATCTTATGAAATGTCTATAAAAAAGGATGAATCAAAGAAAAATATAAATAACCTACGCATCCATGGGAATAATCATGGCAGGGAAATGGTGCGGTAGCAAGTGACAATCAAAGAACAATTCTTTTTTTTTTTTTTTTTTTTTTTACTTTAAGTTTTAGGGTACATGTGCACATTGTGCAGGTCAGTCACATATGTATACATGTGCCATGCTGGTGCGCTGCACCCACTAACTCGTCATCTAGCATTTAGGTATATCTCCCAATGCTATCCCTCCCCCCTCCCCCCACCCCACAACAGTCCCCAGAGTGTGATATTCCCCTTCCTGTGTCCATGTGATCTCATTGTTCAGTTCCCACCTATGAGTGAGAATATGCGGTGTTTAGTTTTTTGTTCTTGTGATAGTTTACTGAGAATGATGATTTCCAATTTCATCCATGTCCCTACAAAGGACATGAACTCATCATTTTTTATGGCTGCATAGTATTCCATGGTGTATATGTGCCACATTTTCTTAATCCAATCTATCATTGTTGGACATTTGGGTTGGTTCCAAGTCTTTGCTATTGTGAATAATGCCGCAATAAACATACGTGTGCATGTGTCTTTATAGCAGCATGATTTATAGTCCTTTGGGTATATACCCAGTAATGGGATGGCTGGGTACGCAAATAAACTAGAAAATCTAGAAGAAATGGATAAATTCCTCGACACATACACTCTTCCAAGACTAAACCAGGAAGAAGTTGAATCTCTGAATAGACCAATAACAGGATCTGAAATTGTGGCAATAATCAATAGCTTACCAACCAAAAAGAGTCCAGGACCAGATGGATTCACAGCCGAATTCTACCAGAGGTACAAGGAGGAACTGGTACCATTTCTTCTGAAACTATTCCAATCAATAGAAAAAGAGGGAATCCTCCTAACTCATTTTATGAGGCCAGCATCATTCTGATACCAAAGCTGGGCAGAGACACAACCAAAAAAGAGAATTTTAGACCAATATCCTTGATGAACATTCGTGAAAAAATCCTCAATAAAATACTGGCAAACCGAATCCAGCAGCACATCAAAAAGCTTATCCACCATGATCAAGTGGGCTTCATCCCTGGGATGCAAGGCTGGTTCAATATACGCAAATCAATAAATGTAATCCAGCATATAAACAGAGCCAAAGACAAAAACCACATGATTATCTCAATAGATGCAGAAAAAGCCTTTGACAAAATTCAACAACCCTTCATGCTAAAAACTCTCAATAAATTAGGTATTGATGGGACGTATCTCAAAATAATAAGAGCTATCTATGACAAACCCACAGCCAATATCATACTGAATGGGCAAAAACTGGAAGCATTCCCTTTGAAAACTGGCATAAGACAGGGATGCCCTCTCTCACCACTCCTATTCAACATAGTGTTGGAAGTTCTGGCCAGGGCAATTAGGCAGGAGAAGGAAATAAAGGGTATTCAATTAGGAAAAGAGGAAGTCAAATTGTCCCTGTTTGTAGACGACATGATTGTATATCTATAAAGAACAATTCTTAAGGTGGTGCAGTTGACTGAAGTGCACTGACACTGCACAGAGGTACTGAGACTGGAGAGTGTCATTTTAGGTCACTTTATAGTGTCACAGTGAAGGGCTCTTGTAGTAGGAGACTATGTATCAAAAACTTCAGTGATAGAATATACAGCCTCTTACAAAAGTCTCCCAAGCAGGATCCTTTAATCATACCTAGCTACTTGAGGCTTTCATTTGGATGAGAAATACATTGAGAAAACACAGCTTTATGGGTGTTTTTGGATAGTGATATATACCAGAGAATGGAAGAAATACCTTACAGCATCAAACACTACTAGTTTATTTGAGGAAATTTCAGTAAGTATTAAGAACAATTAACTTATTCTGCCATTTTGGTGGAGCTAGTTAGGATTTTTCAAGTAGAAAGACAGAGTGAATATGTTGGTTTCTTTTATTGGGTAGCAAATTCTTACAAACTCAGTAGCTTAAAACAATGTCTACACATTTGTTCATGGTTCTATAGGTGAGAAGTCTGGGTGTGGTGTAACTGGGGTCATTGCCCATGATCCCACAAGGCTGAAATCAGAAGTGAGTGGAGTTTAATTCGTACATGGAACTTAGAGCCCTTTTCCAAGTTCACATCATTGTTGGCAGAATCCAGTTACTTATGATTGTAGAACTGAGACCCCTGCTTTTTTGTGGGCTGTTGGCTGGGGGTTGATCTCAGCCTCCTGTGGCTGCTCTCACATCCTTGCCACATCACTCCTTTCATTTTCAAAGCCAACATTGGAGAATCTCTCATGTCAAATCTTTCTGACTTAAAGAAGATCCCTGTCCCTTTTAAGGATTTACCTGATTGTGTCAGGCCAATCCAGGTAATTTTCCTTTTGAATAAACTCAACTGATTATTAACCTAACCATGGGGATGATAGTCCATCATGTTCACAGTTCTGCTCATGTTCAAAAGGAGTGAATTTTGTAGGTTGCCTGTTCACTCTGATGGTAGTTTCTTTTGTTGTGCAGAAGCTCTTTAGTTTAATGAGATCCCATTTGTCAATTTTGGCTTCTGTTGCCATTGCTTTTGGTGTTTCAGACATGAAGTCCTTGCCCATGCCTATGTCCTGAATGGTATTGCCTAGGTTTTCTTCTAGGGTTTTTATGGTTTTAGGTCTAACGTTTAAGTCTTTAATCCATCCTGAATTAATTTTTGTATAAGGCGTAAGGAAGGGATCCAATTTCAGCTTTCTACATATGGCTAGCCAGTTCTCCCAGCACCATTTATTAAGTAGGGAATCCTTTCCCCATTTCTTGTTTTTGTCAGGTTTGTCAAAGATCAGATAGTTGTAGGTATGCGGCATTATTTCTGAGGGCTCTGTTCTGTTCCATTGATCTATATCTCTGTTTTGGTACCAGTACCATGCTGTTTTGGTTACTGTTGCATTGTAGTATAGTTTGAAATCAGGTAGTGTGATGCCTCCAGCTTTGTTCTTTTGGCTTAGGATTGACTTGGTGATGCGGGCTCTTTTTTGGTTCCATATGAACTTTAAAGTAGTTTTTTCCAATTCTGTGAAGAAAGTCATTGGTAGCTTGATGGGGATGGCATTGAATCTATAAATTACCTTGGGCAGTATGGCCATTTTCACGATATTGATTCTTCCTACCCATGAGCATGGAATGTTCTTCTATTTGTTTGTGTCCTCTTTTATTTCATTGAGCAGTGGTTTGTAGTTCTCCTTGAAGAGGTCCTTCACATCCCTTGCAAGTTGGATTCCTAGGTATTTTATTCACTTTGAAGCAATTGTGAATGGGAGTTCACTCATGATTTGACTCTCTCTTTGTCTGTTATTGGTGTATAAGAATGCTTGTGATTTTTGTACATTGATTTTTTATCCTGAGACTTTGCTGAAGTTGCTTATCAGCTTAAGGAGATTTTGGGCTGAGACAATGGGGTTTTCTAGATATACAATCATGTCCTCTGCAAACAGGGACAATTTGACTTCCTCTTTTCCTAATTGAATACCCTTTATTTCCTTCTCCTGCCTAATTGCCCTGGCCAGAACTTCCAACACTATGTTGAATAGGAGTGGTGAGAGAGGGCATCCCTGTCTTGTGCCAGTTTTCAAAGGGAATGCTTCCAGTTTTTGCCCATTCAGTATGATATTGGCTGTGGGTTTGTCATAGATAGCTCTTATTATTTTGAGATACATCCCATCAATACCTAATTTATTGAGAGTTTTTAGCATGAAGCGTTGTTGAATTTTGTCAAAGGCCTTTTCTGCATCTATTGAGATAATCATGTGGTTTTTGTCTTTGATTCTGTTTATATGCTGGATTACATTTATTGATTTGCGTATATTGAACCAGCCTTGCATCCCAGGGATGAAGCCCACTTGATCATGTTGGATAAGCTTTTTGATGTGCTGCTGGATTCAGTTTGCCAGTATTTTATTGAGGATTTTTTCACGAATGTTCATCAAGGATATTGGTCTAAAATTCTCTTTTTTGGGGTTGTGTCTTTGCCTGGCTTTGGTATCAGGATGATGCTGGCCTCATAAAATGAGTTAGGAGGATTCCCTCTTTTTCTATTGATTGGAATAGTTTCAGAAGGAATGGTACAAGTTCCTTCTTGTACCTCTGATAGAATTCGGCTGTGAATCCATCTGGTCCTGGACTCTTGAGAAAATTTTCACAACCTACTCATCTGACAAAGGGCTAATATCCAGCATCTACAATGAACTCAAACAAATTTACAAGAAAAAAACAAACAACCCCATCAAAAAGTGGGCGAAGGACATGAACAGACACTTCTCAAAAGAAGACATTTATGCAGCCAAAAAACACATGAAAAAATGCTCACCATCACTGGCCATCAGAGAAATGCAAATCAAAACCACAATGAGATACCATCTCACACCAGTTAGAATGGCAATCATTAAAAAGTCAGGAAACAACAGGTGCGGGAGAGGATGTGGAGAAATAGGAACACTTTATACTGTTGGTGGGACTGTAAACTAGTTCAACCATTGTGGAAGTCAGTGTGGCGATTCCTCAGAGATCTAGAACTAGAAATACCATTTGACCCAGCCATCCCATTACTGGGTATATACCCAAAGGACTATAAATCATGCTGCTTTAAAGACACATGCACACGTATGTTTATTGCGGCAGTATTCACGATAGCAAAGACTTGGAACCAACCCAAATGTCCAACAATGATAGACTGGATTAAGAAAATGTGGCACATATACACCGTGGAATACTATGCAGCCATAAAAAATGATGAGTTCATGTCCTTTGTAGGGACATGGATGAAACTGGAAATCATCATTCTCAGTAAACTATCGCAAGGACAAAAAACCAAACACTACATTTTCTCACTCATAGGTGGGAATTGAACAATGAGAACACATGGACACAGGAAGGGGAACATCACACTCTGGGGACTGTTGTGGGGTGGGGTGAGGGGGGAGGGATAGCATTAGGAGATATACCTAATGCTAAATGATGAGTTAATGGGTGCAGCACACGAGCATGGCACATGTATACATATGTAACTAACCTGCACATTGTGCGCATGTACCCTAAAACTTAAGGTATAATAATAATAAAATTTAAAAAAGGAGTGAATTATACAGGCCTGTATAACAAGGAATGGAAATGTTGGGACTGTCTTAGAATTTAGCCATCACCATGGATCCCTGTTTTAGGAGAGTGACTGTGGAAAAATATGAAGGACAGGTTAGAAAGGTATGAAGATATTGCCAAAAGGTGTCAGCTTGTGTGTCAACTCCAGTCATGTGGTGGGGACTTTCTGGGGCATGGTGCTAAGGGTTCACCAAGCCAGGAAGATTCCTGTAATTAGGCAAAGAAGGTAGGAGTGGCAGCAAATGCACTTTGTTTTCACCACCCTGTTAGGGAGATTCCAGTAGTCCTAGAAATGGACGGTGTCAGACTGAATTGAAGCAGGTACAATAGGAGTAGAGAAGATGCAGAAGTTGTACAGACTCTGTGTATATTTGCGACTGTGATAGATAAGCCTCAGATAAGGAAATCAGAGGGAGAAGTAAAGGCGATTTGACTCTGGAGTTTCCATTTTCAAGTGATTTCCACGGGTCACCTCAGAAAGTCAGAAGTGTAGGAGAATCTGGGATATGAGGATATTTAGGAGGCTATAGAGGAGTGTTAAGGGCCAAAACATCTCTTTGGGCAGTAATTTATTCCCATTGGCTTAACACACAATTTTTTAATTGATTGAGGTGAAGGTTGCACAGTGCTATGAATATATTTTGTATGCTTTAAATGGGTGAATCTTACAATATGTGAATTACATCTCAATAACGCTGTTCCAAAAAATTTCTGTAGTACAGGACTCAAAATGTGTTTTACAGCAGAAATCTTTTTTAACAATAACAAAATAAGGGTCTAAGATGTAGCTGAGGTTTTAGAGTAAACTCTATTTTCTATAGAGACCATGATTGGTTGTGCCAATCAACCAAGTTCCTTCTCTTGGATCACCATTGATCCTCATTAATTGTCTTTGAGTTTTCTCTTTCTCCCCTTGCCTGTCATCTTGTTTTGGTCCAAGGAATTTCCCGCATGATATTTTTTTCTCCTTCTCCACTCAGGCGGTCTCATTGTCTCTTCTTGCATTAAGGCTATTCATTTAGAAGGACTGAAGTGCAAAAAGTTTTATTTGCTCTTCATTGTATACCCCAACTCTTTTATCTGCCCAATTCCCTATTGCTTTAACCATTACAAGCAAGTATGACATGCACACTGAGATGTTGGGAGCACCTGGGCATCTTGGTACAGGACCCTGGAGAGAGGTTAAGGGATGGGGACTTTTTTTTTTTAATGGAAGCTTTTACTGTTGATTCACATCGGCATTATAAAGAAACCCCTGACTTTATCAAAGGGAAAATGTGATGAAAAGTATCAGTGTTAGCAATATGGTTTTATTTACATCATTAAAGTTTGTAGCCCGGGCCCACATTGAGCTTTTTGGGAGTCCAGTGAGATTAGTTTGCCATAAAATTGCAAAGCTGCAGTTACAGCAGCAACCATTAATTCAGCATCTATCCTGTGCCAGGTCATTTATACATGAAGAAATAATGATGAAGCTGTTTAAGCACATGGACTTTAGAACCAGAATGTTTGGGTCCAGATCTCAATTTTCAATTTACTTACTGTATAACCTTCATTAAGTTACTTAATCTTCTGTCTTAGTTTTTCTACCTGTAAAAGTAGGCTATTAACAACACTTGCCTGTAGATTTTTTTCTTCAGACAAGTAAGTTATACTACTTAAAGCATTGAGAATAATCATGTGCAACGTGCAAACACTAAATGTTAAATATTATTGTTTATATACATAATTATATTTTATTACATAATATTTTTATACATAATATTTTTATAAGGTATGTGTGATATTTTATTATGTACATAGAATATGTGATTACATCATATTTAATCCACATCATTATTCAGCAAGGTAGGAAGGATTTTTCTATTTGTGAGAAAACTGATTTAGAGATGTTAAAAAATAAATGCTTGTCAAATCTCTCAGAGTGAGAAGAGAGTGAAGTTGCAATTTAAATCCCACTGAGTAACTCTTACAATCATGTCCTTTCCACTCTGCTATGGTCTGAATTTATCTCTTATATTAGTATTAAATACAGATGATTGACATCCAAAAATATTTCTTTTCCTCCTGAATCTGGGCTAGATATAATTGACACCCATCTAAAGCAATTTCAAGTGCACGGGGACTGTATAAGTGGTGTGTGGTTGTAATCATCATCTATTTTACCATGAGCTATTTAGGACTGGCCTAAACAGATATAATTTTCTAAATCTTTTAGTAGATCTACATCACTTACCTCTCTACTGCTAAGTTTCTCACAAACAGTATTCTATTTTTTTGCAGATTTGGTCAATAATAAGAAGAAGGATTTACACTCCATTCTTAGTTCTTTATTTTATGTTTATATTTGGTGGTAGAAAATTTGCATAATAAAGTAGCAGACCACGCAATAATCAGAATCAGTGAATAATAGACAAAGGGGCTAAAATGTCCTGCATTTTATTATTGGTTTCCTACTGGATATAACTAAGACATTATAGTATGAAAATCCAGATACACTAGATTTAAAAAAAAAGCTCCTTCAATAGCATTTAAGGTTTTTTTGATATTTTAATTTACTTTTTTGATTTATAGTTCTATGAATGTTAACACATGTATAGACTTGTATAACCACCAACACAATCAGAATACAGTGCAATTCCATCATCTAAAAAACTCCCCGAATGGTTATGTTTTAAGTGAGTCTTTGAAAAAAATTAAATGGTTAAAGTCAGAAACACAAGGAATAATCTGAAAATAATGAAACAATTAAAAACTTGAACAAAATCTGAAAACTTGAATTTTTCTTTTGACTCTGCTGCTAAATAGTTGTAAAATTCTATGGGCATTCTTAACTTTTTTTTATTTTTAATACTCATATCTTTATTTTTTTAACTCTTATTTCAGTTTAATGCATACATGTGCAAGTAGGTTCTGCAGATAAATTGCATGTCATGCGGGTTTGTTGTACATACTATTTCATCATCCAGTTAATAAGCATAGTACCTGATAGGTAGTTTATCGATCCTCACTCTCCTCCCCCACTCCATCCTCAAGTGGGCACGAGTGTCTATTATTTCCTTCTTTGTGTGTGTGTGTACTCAAAGTATAGGTCCCATTTATAAGTGAGAGCATGCAGTATTTGGTTTTCTGTTCCTGCATTAATTCACTTAGGATAATGGCTTCCAGCTCCATCTATGTTGCTGCAAAAGACATAATCTCGCTCTTTTCTACAGCTGTGTAATATTCCATGGTGTATATGTACCACATTTTCTTTATCCAGTCCACAGTTGATGGGCATTTAGGTTGATTCCATGTATTTGTGCTTGTGATTAGTGTGGTAATGAACATATGTGTGCATGTGTTTTTATGGTAGAGCTACTTACGTTTCTTTAGGTATATACCCATTGTTGGAATTGTTGGGCCGAATGGTAGTTCTGTTTTAATTTCTTTAAGAAATCTCCACGATGCTTTCCACATCCCCAGCAGCAATGTATGAGAGTTATCTTTTCTCTGCAGCTAGCATCTGTTATTTTTTGACTCGTAAAACCCAGTTTCTTCATCTTTAAAAAACGAGGTTAGGTTAAATTAGTCCTACTACTCTTACTTGGTTTTAAATTTTAGGACTATGATTCTGTGTTAAATCATGTGAGCTCAAACATTTCAGAAAGTATCCTTACTTTGTGGCAAAATAAACGTATCTCTCTTCCTTTCCTTTCTTATCCACTCCTGAGATATAATCTCTAATCTCATATTCATTTCTCCTTTTGGGGGGTATTCCTGTGGTAATAACACTTAACATGAGATCTGCCCTCTTAACACATTTCTAAGCGGATAATACAGTATTAACTGTGGGCACAATGTTATACAGAAGATCTCTAGAACTTAATAACCTTGCATAACTGAAACCTTACTCCTATTGGATAGCAATTCCCTATTTCCCTTTCCCTCTTATCCCCTGGCAACAACCATTCTACTCTCTGGTTCTGTGTGTTTGAACCTTTTATATAACTCCCTGACTCTTTTATATAACTCCTTTAAGTAGTATTATCCAGCATTTATTCTTCTGTGACTGGCTTATTTCACATAGCATAATGTCTTCAAGGTTTATCCATGTTGTTGCCTATGGCAGGATTGCCTTTTATTTTAAAGGCTGAATCATATTCCATTGTATGTATATACCATATTTTCTTTGTCCCTTCATCTGTCAGTAGACATGTAGGTTGTTTCCACATCTTGGCTATTGTGAATCATGCTCAGTGAGCATGGGAGTGGAAATATGTCTTTGAGATCCTGATTTCAATTCCTTTGGATAAATATCCAGTATCAGGATTACTGGATTATATAGTATTTCTATTTTTAATTTTTTTTTTTAGGAATCTCCATACTGTTTTCTACAGCAGCTGCACTGTTTTACATTCTCAGGATGGCACAAATAATCAGTTTCTTCACATCTATGCCAATACTTCTTATTTCGTCTTTTTCGATAAAAACCATCTTAAGAGGTGTAAGGTGACATCTCAATGTGGTGTTGATTTGCGTTTACCTGGTGATGAGTGATGTTGGGCAGCATTTCATATATCTGTTGGCCTTTCATATGTGGTCTTTGGAGAAATGTATATTCAAGTCATTTGCATATTTTTATTTGGCTGTTATTTATTTATTTATTTATTTATTTATTTTGCCATTGAGTTGAAGGATCTATTTTAGATAGTAATCCCTTATTAGATATAGTATTTGCAAAAAATTTTCTCCATTCCACAGATTGTCTTTTCATTTTGTTGATTGTTTACTCTGCAGAAGCTTTTTAGTTTGGTATAGTCCCATTTGCCTAGTTTTGCATTCATTGCCTATGCTTTGGTGTCATATGCAAGAAATCATTGTCAAGACCAATGTTATGAAGATTTTCCTCTATTTTTTATGAGTATTACATAGTTTGGGCTTATTTTTAAGTGTTTAATCCATTTTGAGATTTTTGTGTGTATGTGTATAGTGGAAGAAAAGGGTCCAGTTTTATTTTTTGCATGTGGGTATCTAGTTTCCCCAGTGCTGTTTGTTGAAGAGACAATTTGCCTTCCCTTTGGCATATCCTTGACACCTTTATCAAAAATCAGTTGATCATACATGCGTGAGCTTATTTCAGGAGTTCTCCATTCTGTTCCATTGGTCCATATGTCTTTCATTATGCCAGCAGCATACTGTTTTAATTAGAATAGCTTTGTATTATATTTTGAAACCAGGAAGCGTGATTTCTCCTGCTTTGTTCTTCTTACAGTTGTTTTGGCTATTCAAGGTCTTTTGTAGTTCCATATAAGTTTTAGGGATTTTTTTTTTCTATTTCAGTAGACAGTACCATTGATATTTTGATAGGTATTGCATTGAATCTGTAAATCAGTTTGAGTAATATGGACATTTTGACAATATTAAGTCTTTCAATATTCATTTCTTAATGTTCCCCATTGGATATATTACTATAGCACATGAAGTATATAAAATCTAACTTTCTTTAATTCCCTTTAAAAAGGATGATTTGAATTACCATTCCATCATTGTAATGACATTTAGCCATAATGCTTCTTAAGTATGATATTTTTATTGATAAATTATAATAATTTGGACTAGCTCATTTCAACAAAAGGAGACAAAACCTGAAGAGTGACAAGTGACTTGAGAATCTCCAACTTTTATGCTGTTATCTCTATTGCATTGCCTGGAAATTGTGTTAATTCAATCCAGCTTGGCAAGGTGAGAGATGCTAAGCGTATCCTCTAAACAGGGTTTTCTATAGGATTTATATTGTAACTATTTTTTAGCAGATGACTTAATCAGGGATATTCTCCCTTTTCATCTGTGCTGTTTTCTCTGAACTCCAGGAGTCATGTGCTTGGGAAGCAGACAGACAGTGCCTAGGATAATGCCAGCTCGTTGTTTATTGCTCACGGGCTAACCTTTATGAAATTAATGGCAGCGCCTTCTCTCTTTATGTTACCCAAACTCATGTCCCTTCCACTCTAGGTGTGAAGATTGTGCTAGAGGTGTCTCTCCAGCCGTGAGCTTTTGCCTCTGGTGCTGTCCTGGTCTTGCTGAAGGGAGGGGAGATTATATTCTGAGCAGCAAGCAATGGTTGCTGCCCTTGAGCATTTTGCCTCCAGCTGTCATCCCTGTGACCTAAGGGAAGGTGGGTGCAGATCAGCTATGCATGTGTGTGAGTTGGAGCGAATGTATGTCAGCTATGTTCATCTTTCCACAGCCAGGGAATGGATGAGATCTGCCTTTTTTGTGTGTCAATTTGTCAATAGAAATAGTGCGGCTGTAGGCACAGAGTATTCTGGTAGGCTAGAAACTCCTGATATTCCAGGAAAGCCACTGAATAGAATAAATGATAATGGGTTAGGAGTGTGAGGGTTCTCAGTTTATGCATGTTTGAGCAAATAGAGGGTTTATTTTTTAAATTTTTATTCTATTTTTTTAGATCTTAGAGGTAAAAGTATAGTTTTCTTACAAGGATAGATTGTGTAGCTGTGAAGTTCGGGCTTTTAGTGTGCCCATCACCCAAATACTGCACAATGTACCCAATAGGTAGTATTTAATTCCTCATACCCTTCCTACCCTCCCCACCTTTAGGAGTCTCCAGTGTCTATTATTCCACTCTGGCTGCTCATATATACCTGCTCTTTAGCTCCCACTTACAAGTAAGAACGTGTGGTTTTTGGCTCTCTGTTTCTGAGTCATTTCACTTAGGATAATGGCTCCCAGTTTTATCCATGTTGCTGTAAAAGACAAGATTTCATTCTTTTTTATGGCTGAGTAGTATCCCATGGTGTATATATAGCATATTTTAAATTCAGTCATCCATCAATGGACACTTAGGTTGATTCCATGACTGCTATTATGAATAATGCTGCACGTGAAAAGATGCTCAACATCTTCAGCTTTCAAGGAAATATAAATTAAAACTAAAATAAGACAAAAATGTATGGTCACCAGAATGGCTAAAATTTAGAAGTGTTGGGGTACAAAAATAATTCCCCAAAATATGGCTCTTTAACATGCTAAGCACCTTAAAAATTGAGAGGTCTCAGAACATGCTAAGCGCCTTAAAAATTGAGAGGTCTCAGAAATAAGCTTCAGAACTACTGGCTTTCTCCGACCTTGTCTTGCCTCCCTCTCTCTGATCCTCTTTACAGAAGCACTGGGAGATATCTCTCTGAAGTTTCTTTATCTAAGAAAGCTTATTTCCAAAAGAAATGTGTTATGTTTTAAGACTCCCTCTCTAGGAATCTCATCAAATAACTGGGAAAGATAAACTACCAAAGAAGAGAAGAAACTGGGAGTCATCACCACACTGAGATAGACATTTCATCCATTCCGAGGGCAGCACCAAGAGATTTCATTGGGTGAGGGTTGGGGGGCTTTATCTGCATAAAAATGTCAATCTTTGTTTTTATGTAGTTCTGCCCCTCACCTTGTCCATCTAGCTTCCAAATAGAATCATTTATAAAATAATATCTAACACCTGAGTCCATACATCTCTCCCATATAAAGAGATTATTTAAGCCTCAAACATATGGCCCCTCTTTAAGTCTCATATTTTGTATATGACTTCTGTGTTTAGGCACATTATGAATTTGTATGCCTTTTTTTCTCCTATTAATATGGCTTTTGTCAGTTTATTTTCTGTGAACCTTCAGTGGGCAGAGAGGAAGCATTCTCTCAACCCCTACGAAAAAGTTAAACTGTCAAGTTGTAAACTAAAAATAAAATCTTAAGTCCCCCACTGACTGAAGACACACTTTCTTGGCCAAGGGGACCTCAGAAAAACCTTAAAAACTGAATTCCCAGCCATGATGGGAAGGGAGGTCAGACGTACCTTGTTATACCCTTTCCCTTTTGGAGTTTAGGCACAACTGACTCGCATTAATAAAAAATTAATAAAAATAGAGATCATGAGACTAACTAGGTGGACTCTTCGTGACAGTAAGATACTGAATCACAAATAGGACCTAAGGCCATGCCAGACAAGGGCTAACTCACACATCCCTACAGGTCACTCTGACCTAGTTTATTGGTTAACAGACTTCCTTATCTTAACTTAAAACATTCCTTTCTGCTGACTCCAAATTTGTAGACAAAGCTTTACTCCTTTAACCAGTTGCAAATTAAGGAATCTCTTAATCCACCTATAACCTGTAGATATCTATCTTTTTGGATCAAATCAACATATAACTTCCATGTATTGATTTATTACTTTGCCTGTAACTCCTTCCTTTCTAAAATGTATAAAACCTCCTCCCTTTCTAAAATGTATAAAACCAAAGTGCAGTCTAACTTCTGCAGATGCACTTTCTCAGGAACTCTTCAGATTGTGTTCCTCGGTACATAGTCAGTCATACTGACTCAGAACTAACCTTTTAAAATAAAAATAAATAAACAAATAAAAAATGAATAGTGCTGCGATAAACTTACAAGTTCAGGTTTCTTTCTGATATAATGATTTCTTTTCCTTTGAGTGGATACTCAGTAGTGAAATTTCTGAATCAAAGGGTAGTTCTATTTTTAGTTCTTTAGAAATCTCCATACTGTCTTCCATAGAGGTTGTACTAATTTAGATTTCCACCAATAGTCTATAAGCATTCCTTTTTCTCTGCATCCTCACCAACATCTGTTGTTTTTTGACTTTTTAGTAATAGTCATTCTGACTAGGGTAAGATGGTATCTCATTGTGGTTTTAATTTTCATTACTCTTAAGATTACTCATATTGAGCATTTTTCCCATATGTTTATAGGTTACTTGTATGTTTTCTTTTGAAAAAATGTCTGTTCATGTCCTTTGTCTACTTTTTAATGTGGTTGTTTCTTTTTTGTTGAGCTGTTTGAGTTCCTTTGGTTCTGGATATTAGCCCTCTGTCAGAAGTATTGTTTTCAAATATTTTCACTAATCCTGTAGGTTGCCTGTTTACTCTGTTGATTATTTATTTTGTTATGCAGAAGCTATTCAGTTTAATTAAGTCCTACTTCTATATTTTTGTTTTTTGTTGCATTTCCTTTTGAGGACTTAGTCATAAATTCTTTGCCTAGGTCAATGTCCAGAGGAGTTTTTCCTAGGTTTTCTTCCAGGAGTTTTATAGTTTCAAGTCTTACATTTAGGTTTTTAATCTATCTTTAGTTATTTTTATATACTGAGAGATAGGAGCTCACTTTCATTCTTCTGTATATGATTATCAAATTTTCCCAGCATCATTTATTGAACAGTGTGTTCTTTCCCTAGAGTATATTTTTGACAACTTGCTTGTAGGTATGTAGCTTTATTTTGGGTTTGTTTGTTTGTTTGTTTTGAGACAGAGTCTTGCTCTGTCACCCATGTTGGCTGGAGTGCAGTGGCCTTCGCCTACTGCAAACTCCACCTCCCAGCCTCAAGTGATTCTCCTGCCTCAGCCTCCTGTGGGTTCTTTGTTCTGTTCCATTGATCTGTGCATCTATTTTTATACCAGCACTATGCTGTTTCAGTTACTATTAAGAACTTATCTTGATATTTATTTGCTACCCGTTCCTATAACCATCACCACTGTGTTTAAGTATAGGTTTGTATTAACTAAGAATCTTAGTATAACATGGTGGGATGCAGTGGAAGTTTGGCTCTTAATACAACAAACCCTTTCTATTTGTGAATTTGGCCTTGGAGGACTTACCATTTGCAAATAACCTTGAAGATCATGATATCTGATTTTTTACAATTTAAGGTATGTGAGTAATATGCACCATGAGGCTGATGTGTAGGACTAAGTTATTAAATGACAAGTGAAGCTAGCCAAGCACCCAGCATCTAAATATTAATCTTTTTTACATTCTCCATTTGTTATTGTATAGCTTTTTGTTAAATGATTTAAACATTTCTCTTTGTAATGTGATGGAAGGATATATTCACAGAACATGAGATTCTGGACAGAAATTATGTCTATGAAAAGTCAAGGGTCTTTACAAAGATATATGTGTTGTGAATTTTAGATTTCCCAAGGATCTGTAGCCATAGCTACACACTGAGAGTCTACTGCAGTATAATCAGTGTATGTATGATGGTAACTCATGAAATTCTATTGATTTCCAGATATAGATGACCTTGGCAGGAGCATGTAACAGTCTTTTAGTTTTGTAATCTCCAAACTATTTTATTGTATATCCTGTGAAAAATAAAGAGCATGCATTTGTTATCTTCATATTAATATATACCTTATAAAATGTACTACTCACAAATCTATATGTATCAGTTTCGCTTATGTTCAGCTGCATATTGCAGAAATAGTATTTAAAACAAATAGTAGTGTATTAAACTAGATGGAATTGTATCTCTTTTCCATGTGAAATCTGTAGATTGACAGTTAAAGACTGGTAGGTCTCTGATCATCAGGGAGAAAAGCTCTCTCTTTATTGAATGTCTGTTCTCAACATGGGTCTGCTCCCTCGTGGTACAAAGCAGCAGCCGGATCTCTAGCCATTACATTCACATTCTAATTAGCAGGAAGAAAGAAAGGAGAAAAAAGGCCATGCTTCCCTTTGAGGAAGTTTTCTATATGGCACTTACATTATTTCTGATTGCATATAGGGGCCAAAACTTAGCTAGAAATAGGTCCAGGAAATAATAACTTTTCGTTCTAAGTGACAACATATTGAGCTAACAGTCAGGGTTCTGTTACTAAGTGAGAAGAGTGCTACAGACTGAATGCTTCTTTTCCACCAATTTCATAGGGTGTTAAATCCTAACACCCATGGTGATATTTGGACATGGGGCCTTTAGGAGATGATTAGGTCATGAGGGTGGAGCCTTCACAAATGAGATTAGTGCCCTCATAAAAAAGGCCCCAGGGAGTTTTCTTTCCCTTTCCTCCATGTGAGGCTATATTGGTCGGTGCAAAAATAATTGCAGTTTTGCCATTACTTTTAAAAATGGCAAAAACTGCAATTCTTTTTACACTAACCTAATCTCAGGATTTCTGTAAACCAGGAATTGGGCCCTTACCAAACGCCAAATATGTTGGTACCTTGAACTTGGACTTCTTGGCCTTCATAACAGTGAGAAATACATTTCTGTTGTTTTTAAACTACTTAGTCTATGGCATGTTTGTTTTAATAGCCAAGAAGGACTAAGACATAAAGAATGGATATTGCAGTAGGCAAATAGCAGTCTCTACACACTATGTGTTAAATAATTGCGAGGCCTAATTACTTTCTTAGTTATTCTATAAAAACTAAATATAAGCAAGAGTCTTAATATTTTCTTTCTGCATACAAATGAATCATCTCATTTACCAAAGTATGGATCACTCACTTCAGAGGCAGAAGCAGCAGGGAGAGTGAGCTTCCTTTGCCAACTCCTTGGCTATTCCTAGAGAGCTGCAACCAGCAAACACTCCTCTCCTTCCTCTATTTTTTTCTCCTGAAGGTTGTTAATTGGGTGGAAGAGGGGTGATCACCATACCTGCATGTGCAAATAGGGTATGCAAACCTATTGAGGTCCAAAAAAATAATGCATGTAAACCTGTGTATGCTATACAGTGAGCTACAGAAACCTGTCCTTAAAGAGGGAACTTCCAGGCCAGATGCAGTGGCTCACGCCTATAATCCCAGCACTTTGGGAGGCTGAGGCTGGTGGATCACCTGAGGTCAGGAGTTCGAGACCAGCCTGACCAATATGGTGAAACCCCATCTCTACTAAAATTACAAAAATTAGCCAGGCATGGTGGCGTGCACCTGTAATCCCAGCTGCTTGGGAGGCTGAGGCAGGAGAATCGCTTGAACCTCAGAGGCAGAGCTTGCAGTGAGCCGAGATCACACCACCACACTCCAGCCTGGGTGACACAGCCAGACTCCAGCCTGGGTGACACAGCCAGACTCCATCTCAAAAAAAAAAAAAAAAAAAAAAAAGAAAAAAGAAAAAACAGAACTTCCAGAAGGAAAATTAAGTGTTTGAAAAGCCAATTTATTTTTTGCACACAAATAATTTTTTTTTTTACAAACGAAAAAATAAAAGATATATGTATTTTAATGTTAGGCCAGATAAAAGTGTTTAATTCATAGTTATGAGTATGTTATATACTTACCATTACTTACTTTTCCTTGAAGCTAACAAAACAAAACAAACAAACATGAAATATTACAGATGCTTATAAATACCAGCATATATTCTGGTATGGTTCGTGTCTGTGTCCTTGCCCAGATCTCACATCGAATTGTAACACCCAGTGTTGGAGGCGGAACCTGGCTGGAGGTGATTGGATTATGGGTGTAGATTTCTCATGAATGGTTTAGCACCATCCCTTGGTGCTGTTCTCCTGAGAGTAAGTCAGTTCTTGCAAGACATGATTGTTTAAAAGTGTTTAGCACCTCTCCTCTTTCTCTCTTGCTCCTCCTCCTGCCATGTAAGACGTGCCATGCCTGCTTCCCCTTTGCCTTTTGCCATGATTGAAAGTTTCCTGAGGCCTCCCTGGAAGCCAGGTGGATACCAGCATCATTCTTTCTGTATATCCTGCAGAACTGTGAGCAAACTAAATCTCTTTTCTTTATAAATTACTCAGTCTCAGGTATGTTTTTGTAGCAGTGCAAGAATGGACTAATACATATTTTGTGGTGGTCCAAGAAAGCTTTTGAACTAAGGTTTCAGCATCAAAATCCTAGTAGATTTAAAAATTGGTGAACCTGAATCTTATTTTTTTAAAAAATGATGCTTCCATTGGCATGCAACTTTTCAGTTTGTAATGTGTGGGTGTGTGTGTACACATACATATATATATTTCTCAGTTAATTTTCAAAAATATTCTCAGGGTAATAAGTTTAAGATCAATATAGAATCAAATAATTTCAAAGTTGGTGATCACGTGTTCTAAACTTTTGAGGTCCATAAAAATAATGCAGTTTTTCTAATACCACACAACTAATTAGGAGTATAGCTATAAACATAGATATAGGGAACACTCTGTCTAAATTTTTTTAATTTACAAATATGAAAAGCATATGCTGTTAAAATAAATGTCATTTTATTCTGAGTCTTATTTATTTATCCTCTTAATTTTTATTAAATATACAATCTTAACAGTGTTGGTTATATTAAAATTACACCATCTAATGCAGTAGTCACTACCCTCAGATGGCTATTTGAGGTTAAATTAATATATTATTCTGTTCTCACACTGCTAATAAAGACATAGCCAAGACTGAGTAATTTATAAAGGAAAGAGGTTTAATGGATTCACAGTTCTACATGGCTGGGAGGCCTCACAATCATTGTGGAAGGCAAAGGATAAGCAAAGGCACGTCTTACATGGTGGCAGGCAAGAGGGCTTGTGCAGAACTCCCATTAATAAAACCATTAGATCTCGTGAGACTTATTTACTACCATGAGAACAGTATGGAGGAAACTGCCCCCCTGATTCAATTATCTCCACCTGGCCCCACCCTTGACACATGGGGACTGTTGCAATTCAAGGTGAGATTTGGGTGGGGACACAGCCAAGCCATATCAATTGACTAACATAAAAAAATCTATATCCTCAATCCCATTAGCTAAATTTCAAGTGCTCAGTAGCCAGATATGGGTAGTGGCTACCATATCCACCAGTGCAAATTATACATATCCATCATCTAGAAAGTGCTATGTTAGAAGGCTATTCTATTCACTACTTCTTAGGAAATTATAATTACATTCTGTTTCAGCTGGTGCCTGGGAGTGTTATGAACAGTGAGCAAGCAAACTAGCAGTATCAAAAGGGCTGAGAAAACAGTTGACTCTTCAAGAAACAGTTTTCCTATTCAAGAGAAAATGAGTATGTGTGAAATTAGAATAATAAGTGCAACTAAGCAGATAAGTGGTTTTTAGGAAGTCAGCATCATGGATATTTATAGATGGTATCTTAGATAAGCTTTTTTTGGAGAAACATTTTGAATCATAATTTTTATCAGTGATAAAGCCTTTTGGAGACAATATTAGAAGTATTCATTTCAGGGACCTATCAGTAAAGTTTTAAAGACTTTGAATTGATATGATATCCACCAATGTGAGGCTAACATGGTAATCTTTTGAGAAAAGGGGAAAGGGAAGTATCCCAGAGAAACAGGAGAGATAACTTTTTTTTTTCTTTTAGGATAAAAACTCACATTTACTTATGTGCACAGAATCACATACTTAAAACCTCTGTTCTTTTTGAGCTGAAACATTCAAATTGATTTTGGCTGATGAATTAAATGAGCCTCTCAGCAATTAGTAGGCAACCTCAGCATGCTCTGATCCTTCCATATGCAGCCTTTTGGTCTTAGTGTTAATTACAATAAACATAAATAAGTATTTATGTTTAAATATAAATAAATATTTATATTTAATAATATTTTCCATTACTGGAAAATTATTCGGAGCTGTAAGCAGGGAATCTAACTGAAGAGAGAAACCTCAGAAAACAATAAGAGAACAAAATTATTAGGAAATATGGATTCAAAGAAAGGAAATATCATTATAGAGTAAGAAGAAAAAGGCACTTCATGTAGCGAGACTGAACTTCCTTTGAAGCATAATAAGAGTTTGAGATGGGAAAAAGGAAGGGAGGCTCCTCTAAATCGAGGATGAGCAGTCCTGAAGATTCAAATATACACATAATATGACAAGAGTGGAGATTGGGGAACAGACACTGAGGAAGCATGATGGGAACAGAAAGTGTGTGTTTGAAGTTAGTATAGCAGCACTGGCTAGAAAGGTGAGATACAGTGAAGACAGAGAGGATCTTGAAAGTAACAGTTAATGGCTGTGCATGCAGTTGTCAAAGGCAGCAGACTCTGTTGAGATTTTGGTTGGAGAGGGACTCAACGAAACTGGTCTTTCCAGATGATAAGTCTTGGAGGGTGTTGTACAGAGTAGGTCAGAGGGAGAGCAAGTGGAGACCAAAGGGTACTTCTGTAACCTAGGAAGTCCACAAATATTTAATGAGCACCTACTATCTTCCAAGTATTGTTCTAGGCATTCTAGGCATTGGCAATACAGTAGAGAATATGACAGAGATGGATTTCAAGTGCAATGGGTGGAAGATTATAGGGTATTAAGAAAGAAAAATGTAGTTAGAAGCTATAGAAAACTCATAAATCCTGCATATTCCAGAATGTTGGTGTCAAGAAAAGATATTTTTTAGGCCATTGACATTATCATGTTTGTTTTTAATACATTTTCTTCCAACTCACTATAATGCCAAAGGTGTGGTATTTTCATGAAGGTGAGAGAGTAATTGCCTTTATTATTGACTTTTGTCCTATGCAAAAGAGTCAATAAAGGAAAGAAGTCCTGGTAATTCTGCCAGAAAACTCCAAAAGGAAACCTCTGCCTTCATTTTTAGGAAATCATTAACTAATGGCAGGTGCAGCAGTCACTCTACTGTTTATAATTAGAAGACAATAGGCCCTTGATGATTCATTCATTTATTTAAAACAAAAAACCAAACAACTTCTTTAATGCTTGTGCTCTGAAAATATAGCAGTAAATATGTCAGATAATGGAAAATCTTTGGGGTGGCAGAGTGCCTGCGAAGCATAGAACAAGGTTGGATGCAGATGTCCTGGGAAGGTTTCATGGTGTCTTTGTCCATAGAGGAAGCTATTGCCATTTGCCCCATAGAACAGGAATATAACCATTCATGTTGAGAAACTGATTTATTGAGGAATTAAGGGTAATAGTGGAAAGGTCTTGTCTTTTCTTCATCCCTAGCAGGCTTTATGACTTCAACTCTCTTGATCCTGGAAGCTATAAGTGTTCTTCTTTTTTAAAAAAGTATATTGTCTGTCTTAATTTGTATATCTTCTCTATAATTGCCCTGTAAAACAAGGCTAATGTGAATGTGCAAAATAAAATTGAAAGTACTATAAATCTGTACACAGAGCATTAATATATTATTAATTTTAAACTTGTTTTGTACATAGACATCTGGAAAAAATAGTGTTATATTTTTATTTTGGATCAGCTGGACAGACCAGCATCCAAATCCAATATATATTCTCTAGAGACCAAGAGGTTTGGATGCAGACTAATAACGATGGTATCAAGCTTTATGTCAGCCAGGACTAGAGCACTTAAGCAACATGTAAAGCTACATATACATATAAATAGGTGGCAATTTCTAGATGCCTCTTATTAACTTACCTAACTAGAGGATGTTCAGAGTGTATAGTAATGAAAAAGCTACTGCTATAGCCTTTAATAGAGTAATTCATTTAAACATTTGCATATATTTGACTACTTTTATATGTAAATAAAATCTTATCTGCTTTCCATATAGTACCACAACATTCAACAAAAAGGGAATGATTAATTTAATTATTGAATATCTACATGATAGATTTTACACAGCATTAAAGTTTGTCTTTCTATTTTTTGTTGAAAGATATGAGGATATATTTATGCAAAAAATGTTGAGCAAACAAATTTGGATATAGTATTATATTTTCATTATAATACCATATATGTAAAATAGAAAACAGTATTACCAAATATAAGTTAATAATCATATTGACATAATGTTATATAGATTTATTTATAGTTTAGATTTATTTATTTGTATATTTAGGTTTCTAATTATTCTATAATGATTATGCATTATTGTTTAATAAGTAAAAAAGCAAAAGTAAAATTTAAACAATTTGTTACCTTTCTTTGTGTTTTAAAAAATTTGCCTTTGATTTTCAAATGCTTAAAAGACATATATGCACCACAGATAATTGAAATTGTCATTTGCAGTGATTCTTACTTGATCTGAGTCCGGAGAAAATTGATTTTAGTATTTTTCTCTAATGAAACAGAAACATTGCCAGCAGCTTCCTCATGGAATTTTAGCACTTTCAAGGCCAGAGTGTTGCATATGAAAAGACTGAAAAATTCCTTTAGGCAAACATTCTTAAGGATCCAAAATATTTGAAAATATGTATTTGAACAGCTGTGTTTTAATCTGATATTTTAAAATTGTTTAATGCTTCTTTTTTTACCCTTTTATTGATATATAAAAATTTACACATGTATAGGGTACATGTGAGTGTTTTTATATGCAAAGAATGTGTAATGATCAAGTCAGGGTAATTGGGGTTTATCATGAGTGATAAACCTTGAGTTGCTTATTATTTTTTTATGTTGGTATCGTTTCAAGTCCTCTCTTCTAGTTGCTTTGAAATATATGTAATATTGTTGCTAGTACCTTGATCTGCTGTCAAACATTTGAACTTATTTCTTCTATCTAACTGTATGTTTGTACTCATAACTGACCTCCCTTCATATATCCCTTCCCCACCCTTCCCAGTCTCTGATATCTATCATTCTAGTTCTATTCTCCATGTCTATGAGATTAAAGTTTTTTAGTGCCCACAAAGGAATGAGAATACACACTGTTTGTCTTTCTGTGCCTGGCTTATTTCACTTAACTTAATGACTTCCAGTTCCATCCATGTTGCTGCAAATGACATGATTTCATCCTCTTTTAATTGCCCAATAGTATTCTATTGCATATGTATACCACATTTTCTTTATCCATTTGTCCACTGATGGGCACTTAGATTGATTCAGTATCTTTGCTATTCTGAATAGTACTGCAATAAACATGTAAGTACAGGCAGTTCTTTGATATATTGACAGATATTTGGATAGATAATAGTGGGATTGCTGGGTGGTGCAGTAGTTCTATTTTTTTGTTTTTTTGAGAAATCTGCATACTGTTTTCCATAGTGGTTGTACTAATTTAGATTCCCACCAGCAGTATATAAGTTTTCTTTCCTCTGCATTATCACCTGTCTTGTCTAACTGGAGTGAGATGATGTCTCACTGTAATTTTGATTTGTGTTTCCCATATGATTAATGATGTTGAACATTTTCTCATATATCTTTGACAATTCATATGCCCCCTTTTTTTTTGAAAAATGTGCATTCATGACCGATGCTAACTTTTTAGTAGGATTACTTGTTTTTGTACTATTGAGATGTTTGAGTTCTTTATATATTTTGAAGAGCAGTCCCCTGTTGGATAAGTAATTTGCAAATATTTTCTCTCATTCAAGAGGTTGTCTCTTCAACGTGTCAATTGTTTCTTTTGCTGTGTAGAAGCTTTTTAGTTTAATATAGTCCCATTTGTCTATTTCTGTTTTTATTGCCTGTGTGTTTTAGGTCTTAGCCATAAAACCTTTACCTAGCCAATGTCCTGAAGAGTTTTCCTTGTGTTTTCTTCTACTAGTTTTACAGTTTCTTCTAGTTTTACAGTTACATGTCTTCTATTTAAGTCTTTAATCCATCTTGAGTTGACTTTTGTATATGGTGAGAGATAGTGATTTAGTTTCAGTTTTCTGCATATGGTTATTCAGTTTTCCCAGCACCGTTTATTGATAATAGGTCAGGTCACAATTTTTGTTTATTTGGAGTCAGTCTTGGTAGGTTGACTCCAAATACATGTTCCTGGTGACTTTGCCAAAGATCAGTTGGCTATAAATATGTGGATTTATTTCTGGCTCCTCTGTTCTGTTCCATTTGTCTATGTGTCTGTTTTTATACCAATAGTGTGCTGTTTTGGTTACTGCAGGCTTCTAATAGGTTTTGAAATTAGGTAGTGTGATGCCTCCAGCTTTGTTCTTTTTGCTTAGGATTTGTTTGGCTATTCAGGCTCTATTTTGGTTCTATATGAAGTTTAGGATTGTTTTTTCTAATTCTGTGAAAAATGACATTGGTGTTTTGATAGAGATTGCATTGAATTTGTAGATGGCTTGGGAAGTATGGCCATTTCAACAATGTTAATCCTTCCAATTCATGAGCATGGGATGTCTTTCTATTTGTTTACGTTCGCTTCAATTTCTTTCATCAGTGTTTTGTAGTTCTCCTTGTAGAGACATTTCACCTCTTTGGTTAAATTTATTTTCAAGTATTTTTTTGTAGCTATTATATATGGGATTATTTTCTTGATTTCTTTTTTGACAATTTCAGTATTGGTGTATAGAAACATTACTGATTTTTGCACATTGATTTTACATCCTGCAACTTTACAGAATTTATTTGCAGTTCTAGGAGTTTTCTGTTGGAGTCTTTTGGTTTTTCTAAATATAAGATCATGTCATCTGGAAAGAGACAAATTTAACTTCCTCTTTTCCAATTTGGATGCTTTTTATTTCTTTTCCTTGCCTGATTGCTCTGCTAGAACTTACAGTATTATGATAAATAGGAGTAGTAAATTTGGGCATCCTTGTCTTGTTCCAGTTCTTAGAGGAAAAGCTTTCAACTTTTTCCATTCAGCATGATGTTAGCTATGGGTTTGTAATATATGGCTTTTATTATTTGAAACTATGGTTCATCTATACCTAGTTTGTTGAGAAGTTTTTATCATGAACAGGTGTTGAATTTTGTCAAATGCCTTTTCTGCATCTATTGATATGATCATAAGATTTTTGCCCTTTATTCTGTTGATGTTATATATCACATTTATTGATTTGCGTGTATTGAACCATCCTTGCATTTCTGGGATAAATTCAACTTGATCATGTTGTATTATCTTCTAGACATGCTGTTGAATTCAGTTTACTAGTACTTCATTGAGGATTTTTTGCACCTATGTTCAGCAGGGGTATTGGCCTGTACTTTGTGTGTGTGTGTGTGTGTGTGTGTGTTCTTGTCTGGTTTTGGTATTAGGATAATTCTGTTCTTATAAAATGAGCTAGGGAGAATTCCCTCTCTTTCAATTTTTTTGGAATAGTTTGAGGAGAACTGGTATCAGTTCTTCTTTATATATTTTGTAGAATATTACACTGAATCCATCTGTTCTTGGGCTTCTCTTTCTTTGGAGACTTTTTTGTTACTGATTTCAGTCTTGCTACTCATTATTGGTCTGCTTAGGATTTCTGTTTCTTTCTGATTTTATTTTGGTAAGTTTTATGTTTCCTGGAATTTGTCCATTTCTTCTAGGTTTTCCAGTTTGTTCTCATATAGTTGTTCATAATAGTCTCTGATGATCTTTTTTTCATTTCTGTGGTATCAGTTGTAATATCACCTTTTTTAATTTCTGATTTTTTTTGTCTCTTATCTCTTCTTAAATGAGTTAGCATTTTATAAATTTTGTTTATCTTTTCAAAGAATCAGCTTTTAGTTTTGTTGATCCTTAGTATTTTTTTTCTTTTTTTCAACTTTTATTTTAAGTTTGGGGTATATGTGCAGATGTGCAGGTTTCTTACATAGGTAAATGTGTGCCATGGTGGTTTGCTACATGGACCATCCCATCACCTAGGTATTAAGCCCAGAATCCTTTAGCTATTTTTCCTGATGTTCTCCCTCCCCCCACACCCCTCTCTGACAGGCCCCAATGTGTGTTGTTCCCCCAATGTGTCCATGTGTTCTCATCATTCAGCTCCCACTTATAAGTGAGAACATGCAGTATTTGTTTTTCCTTTTCTGCATAGGTTTGCTGAGGATAATGGCTTCCAGCTCCATCCATGTCCCTGCAAAGGACATGATCTTGTTCCTTTTTATGGCTGTGTAGTATTCCATGGTGTATATTTAACATTTTCTTTATCCAGTCTATCATTTTCTTTGTCCAGTCTATCATTGATGGGCTTTTAGGTCGATTCATGTCTTTGCTATTGTAAATAGCACTGCAAGGAACATATTCATGCATATATCTTTATAATAGAATGATCTATATTCCTTTGGGTATATACCCAGTAATGGGATTGCTGGGTCAAATGATCTTTCTGCCTCTAGGTCTTTGAGGAGTCACCACACTCTCTTCCACAATGGTTGAACTAATTTACACTCCCACCAACGTGCAAAAGTGTTCCTTATTTGCAATGTCACCAGCATCTATTATTTTTTGACTTTTTAATCATAGCCATTCTGACTGGTGTGAGATGATATCTCATTGTGGTTTTGATTCACATTTTTCTAATGATCAGTGATGTTGAGCTTTTTTTCATATGTTTGTTGGCTGCATCTATGTCTTCTTTTGAAAAGTGTCTGTTCACGTCCTCTGGCCTGCTTTTTAATGGGGTTGTTTGTTTTTCTTGTAAATTTGTTTAAATTCCATGTAGAATAAATTTTAAAATAGTTTTTTCTAATTCTCGGAAGAATGTCAATGGTAGTTTCGTGGGAATAGCATTGAATCCATAAATTATTTTGGAAAGTATTGCCATTTTTACAATATTGATTCTTTCTATCCATGAGCATGGAATGTTTTTCTATTTGTGTCCTCTCTGATTTCTTTGAGTAGTGGTTTGTTTTTCTGCTTGAAGGGATCCTTCACTTCCCATGTTAGCTGTATCCCTAGGTATTTTATCATTTTAGTAGCAATTGTGAATGAGAGTTCATTCATGATTTGGCTCTCTGCTTGCCTGTTATTGATGTATAGGAATGCTAGCGATTTCTGCACATTGATTTTTTTATCCTGAGACTTTGCTGAATTTGCTTATCAGCTTAAGAAGCTTTTGGGTTGAGACAATGAGGTGCTCTAGATGTAGATCCTTAGTATTTTTTAAATCTCTGTTTTATTTAGTTCTTCTCCGATCTTTATTATTTCCTTTCTTTTGTTAATTTTTTTTTTTTTTTTTTTTTTTGAGATGGAGTCTTGCTCTGTCACCCACGCTGGAGTGCAGTGGTGCAATCTTGGCTTACTGCAAGCTCCGCCTCCCGGGTTCACGCCATTCTCCTGCCTCAGCCTCCCAAGTAGCTAGGACTATAGGCCCCCGCCACCACACCTGGCTAATTTTTTATATTTTCGGTAGAGATGGGGTTTCACCATGTTAGCCAGGATGGTCTTGATCTCCTGACCTCATGATCTGCGCACCTCAGCCTCCCAAAGTGCTGGGATTACAGGCATGAGCCACCATGCCCAGCTATCTTTTGCTAATTTGGAATTTGTTTTGTTTTTGTTTTTCTAATTCCTTGAGGTGCATCATTAGGTTGTATATTTGAAATCTTTCTGGTCTTTTTTTTTTTTTTTTGACATAGGAGTTTATTGCTATAAACTTGTCTCTGCTTTTGCTGTGTCCCGTAGGTATTGGTATGTCATGTTTCCATTTTTATTTAATAATTTTTTTGATTTTCATCTTAATTTCTTTATTGCCCCAATAGTTGTTCAGGAGCATGTTGTTTAATTGCCATGTTTTTGCATAGTTTCCAAAACTGCTCTTGGTATTGATTTTAATTTTATACCATACTGTTATGAAAATTACTTGATATGATTTTAATTTTTTGAAAATTTGTTGAAACTTGTTTTGTGGCCTAACATATAGTCTATCCTGGAGAATGTTCCATGTGCTTATAAGAATGTGTATTCTTCAGTTGTTGGATGAAATGTTCTGTAAATGTTTGTTAGTCTTATTTGATCTAAAGTCCGGTTTTTCTTGCTTAAGTGCAATGTTTCTTTGTTTATTTTCTCTTCTGATAATCTGTCTAATGCTGAAAGTATGATGTGGAAATTCACCCATTATGATTGTATAAAAGTCTCTCTCTCTCTAGATCTGGTAAGATTTGTTTTATGAATCTGGGTGTCCCAGTTTTCAGTGCCTATATATATATTTAGAATTTTTGTATTGTCTTGGTAGATTGATCTCTTTATTATTATATAATGCCCTTTTTTGCCTTTTTTTCCTGCTGTTAGTCCTTAAAAGTCTGCTTTATCTGATTTAAATATAGCTAGTCTTGCCTGTTTTTGGTTTCAGTTTGTGTGGCAGTATACTTCTCCAACCTTTTACTTTATATGTGCCTCTATTGGTAAAATATGTTTCTTGTAGGCAGCATCTAGTTGGATCATTCTTAATCTAATCAGTTTGTCTATATCTTTTCAGTTGAAAGTTTAATCAATTTATATTCAAGAGTTGTTATTGATATGTGAGGTTTTGTTCCTGTTGTATTATTAATTGTTTTCTGGTGGCTTAGTATAGTCTTTTTTCTTTTTCTCTTGATCGTCCTTGTGATATGCTTTTTCTGTGGTAGTAACTATCATTTGAGTCTTTTTTATTACTTATTTGTATGTACTTAACAGTGAGTTTTATATTTTCATGTGTTTTCATGATGATGACTATTATCCTTTAACTTCCAAGTTTAGGATTCTCCTGAGCATTTCTTGTAAGTCAGGTCTAGTGGTATTGAATTACCTCAGCATTTGCTCATCTGTGAAAGAGTATTTCTTTTTATGTGTGAAGGATAATTTTGCTTGATATAGTACCCTTGGGTATTAGAGTTTTTATCAGCCTTTTGAATATATCCTCCCATTCTCTCCTGTCCTGTAAGGTTTATGCTGAGAAAGAGATCCAAGTGGGCAACTTGAAGAAAAAGTGCCTATCATTGATTTTAGACAGTTTGACTATAATGTACCGTGGAGAAGATTTGTGGCATTGTGTCTGATTGAGGATTGCTGGGCCTCCTGAATCTGGGTGTCTAGATCTCTTCCTAGATTTGAGAAATTATCTTCTATTATGTTGTTGAATAGTTTTTTGAACCCTTCTCTCTTTGCTTTGGGGGATATCAATAATTCATATATTTTGTCACTTAATAGTTTCTCATATATCATGAGGACTTTGTTCATTCTTTTTATTCTTTTTTATTTTTATTTGACTGGGTTACTTCAAAAAAACATGTCTTTAGGTTTTGAAATTCTTTCTTCTGCTTGGTCTAGTCTATCATTGAGTGTACCTTGTATTTCATTAAAGGAATTCTTCAGCTCCAGAATTCTATTTGGTTCTTTTTAAGATATATATCTCTGGTAAATTTCTCACTCGTAGTATAAATTGTTTTTTTCTGATTTCTTTGTATTATTTTTCACAATTTTTTATCTTACTGAGATTTTTTTGTATGATAAGTTTGAATTCTTTTTCTGAGATTTTGCAATTTTTCTTTTATTAGGATCTGTTGCTAAGAAATTCTTATATTCCTTTGGAGGTGTTATTATTTTCTTGCTTTTTAATGCTTCCTGTGTCTTTATGTTGCTGTCTGTGCTTCTGGTGTAACAGTGGCTTCTTCTAGATTTTCGACTTTACTTATATAGAGGAAGACTTTTTCCTGAAGTTCTAAAAATTGTGTTGTTTGGGTAGGGTTCTTTGGCTTTGATTTTGGCTGTGTGCCATAGCATATTCTCTGTATGATTTTTTGTGGCTGTAAATAGCATCAGTAGTATCTGTGATTTCCTCAGTAGTTTAGGGTACAGTTATTAATGAAGGCTATGGTGAATCTTTGCTGAAGACAAAGATGCCAACTAGGACAGTCTTTGGGCCCCAATTGGTGGCAGCAGTGGGCTAATATTGGATGGCTTATGTTGGCACTGGTGTTAGCAGACAGTCAGACTGATGCTGAGCTTACCTGGATTTCAGTAGTGGCAGCAGTGGGTTGGGTGGCTAAGAGGGTACTCAGGAACCTGGGAACCATTGTGGTGTAGGTGATGGAAGTAGCTGTGGCAAGATGATCAACTGGGTCCCAAGACATACTTACTGGTATTGGCAGTGGCTGTGGTATGGCGTCACTACTGACAGCCCCAGACACACAATTATCAGGCTCTCTCACTCTCTGTGGCAGCAATATCACAACACTATACAAAGTAGGGGATGGATCCCACCTTTCACATGCAAGCCTGAGCATGGAGGCCATGCAACCAGCAAGGGTGCACTTGGCACTCCCAGCCCCAAACAGGCAGCCCTCTGATTCACCTACCTCAGCCTCTAGCAGCAGCGGTAGTGGTAGGCCTGCAGTGCTGTGTGGAGGGGCAGAAGGGGTTCTGCTCTCTGTGCATGAGTCTGAGCACAGAGGCAGCTCACAGTGGGAGGGGCTCTCATTCTCTGCTTACAAGGCCAAGCACAAAAGTTGTGCTGCTGCTGAGGTTGGGGTTGCTTGTCTCAGCCCCAAAGGGAGCTCCTGGGCTCTAGAAACATGTGCTTTGGTTTCCTTTGCCCTAGGGGCTGCAATTTTGGGCATTTACACTGTCATTTCCATGAGGAATAGTACTTCCTGTGGGCTGGAGTACTGGGGGCTCTCCAGCATCCTTGGGTCTAGCCAGTGCTGTGCCACTGTAGTCCTTTGGTGGGAATGGGAAATGTCAATGGGGACTTACAGGATGTGGATATATGGGGGATGTTCCCAGGCTGGATTCTGTCCTGTGATGGCTATTTTCTCAAAATGGTGCCCAGTTGCAGCTGCTTAAGTCTCAGAGGTGAGGAAGTGAATGACCTAGTGTGAGTTCCCTGTCTGGTATAATGCCCTTGTGGTGTCTCTGAATCATCATCCACAGTAGTGTCAGGGGTTTATGTGAGTAAAAGAACTCTGCTTGGTTGGGATTGCAGCAGGCTGCAGTGGGGATGTGGACCACTGAAGTTCTCTCACTTACCCTTTCCCTGTAATACCAAGCCCCTGGGGGCTCCTGGCCAATATCAACTGAGCTGGCTGCATGCTTCCCTCTCCTTCTGTGCCTCTAGTGGTCCCCATGAGTTCTCTGTTGGACTCTAGTGTCCTCTCCTAGGTGTTCTATTCATGGTATGATTATTCATAATTTTGGTTTTTCTTTCTGGGGAGGACAGGTGTGCAATGTTTCTAGTTAGCCATCTTGAACTAGAATTGCTTCACTTTTCTTGATGCAGGAAGACTGTCTTCATTTTTTTGTTTGTTTTGTTTTGTTTTTTATACTAGAATAGTGACAATTCTACAATAAATTTTCTGTGGAGTTGGGAACGTTTTGTTTTCAAACTGTAAATTTTTGTTTATAAAAGGGAATTAGCTCCCAGCTTGGAGGTATTTTAGTTGCTGTTGCCTATTATAGATCTTGTTGTTTCAGAAAAAGACACAGTAGTCTTAAAGATAAATAGATATTCTATCACAGTGTATATAAACTGTTAATGAGTTACCACAGATTCTTAAATGACTTATGATAGTCATTAAGCTTCTCCAAATAGAAAGGAGCTTACAGATTCATGGATTTATATGCAGCATGTCTGATTTTGAAACCTGCTGACAACCACCTTCCAGAATTTAATCCTACCTAAGAGGGGATTTTCTAGTTTAGGATAAAGAAGAGTTCTGAGTGATTCAAGGAGTCATTCAAGTGAAAAATCACCTAGTAGGCTTCACTCATCTAAGGCCTACTTACCTCATTATTTATCTCAATTATTATTTTTCTGACATTATCTGAAAAGCATAGACAATTTATTATGAAATGTTTAAGAACACCTAATCCCTACCCCCAGTAACTGGTGTCACCGTTGATCCACATAGTTAAGATAGTTCTGTTAGTTCATTGTTGTCCATGTGTGGAAACATGAAATCTGCAGATCTTAAAGACTCTTTGAAGAAATCAGAACCTTCTTCATTTGAACATTAAGACAGAATAATAATAAACAGGAACTCCTACAAGTTCCGGGGGTAAGATAGTCCTTGAATTGCAGTCCTGGTCCTGACAGTTACTATTTGGGAAAATCTGGGCAAGGAATTTATTTTCTCCAATGTCACTTATATCTCTGTGTTTTGAGAGTTGGATAAGATTATGTAAATCCTCTAGTCCAATACTTAGTCCATCATAATTGTAGCTTTTACTACATAACAGTGGCTGTGGAGCCTAGGCAGGAAAAGATGTTGCTCGTTTGAGGGTAACTGAGATGACAGTAACTTTGGAGGTCAAAACAAAAAGCAGAAAATAAAACACTTCAATCTGCGTATTGTGAAGCCTGCAGGGATATGAGCATGGTCCCTGACTTGTTACAAACTAAGCCTTCTACTTTATTGATTTCCACAAAGAACTGGCCAGGGCAAGCATGCTGCTTTAGCTGATAGCAGAGAGGCCATGTGCTAAGGATTGTGGTGGTTTTAAAACCTGCACAGTCTTTAAAACTTGGTATTTTAGATGAATCCCAAATGGCTTTATTGTTGTTATTAAACTACAAGTATAAATGGGAAGTTCTCTTTCTTACCTTTTTTCTCCATTTGCAATTTTAAACATTGTTTATCGCTTATTATATAACAAATTGACCAAAACATACTGGCTTAAAACAAAATGTGAGTCACTTTTCTCACAGGTTTGTGGGTTTTTTGGATGGCTCTTCTGCTGGCCTTACCTGGGCCCAGTCACTCAGCTGGTGGTCAGCTAGGGCTGATCTTTGCTAGGACAAATTGGCCCAGCTACTGAAGGCTTCATTCTGAGCTTCTTCATATGTCATTGGTCTCAGGGCAGCATTTTAAGAGGATAAAGGAGGAAGCTGCAAAGTGCCTGGAGGCCTAGGTCCCAAACATCACATAATATCACTTCCTCCACATGTTTCTGGCCAAGGCAAGTCACAAGACCAGTCCAGATTCAAGGGAAGAATATAGATTTTATCTTTAATGGACTAAGTGGAAGAATCATATGACAAGCAGACATGGGAATAATTATTGTGGTCTTTTTTTATTAAAAAAAAGAAATTTGGCTGGGCGGTGTCGCTCATGCCTATAATCCCAGCACTTTGGGAAGCCGAGGCAGGCATTTGAAGCCAGGAGATTGAGACCAGCCTGGGGCAATATGGTGGAACCTTGTCTCTACTAAAAATACAACAATTAGCTGGGCATGGTGGTGTGTGGCTGTAATCCCAGCTACTCAGGAGGCTGAGGTGGGAGGATGGCTTGAGCCCAGGAGGTGGAGTTGCAGTGAGCCAAGATGGTGCCACTGCACTCCACACAACAAGACTCCATCTCAAAAAATAAAAATAAATAAATAAATAAATACATAGAATCTACCTTGGCTTTTCATAAAGAAGTAGTCAGGTGGATTTATAATAAGGAAAATGATGCTAAGTGACCAAAAATGCAGGGAAAGCTCCTGCTGTGAAGAGCAAAGCAAAATTTGTTCCCTCAAATGACTGCTTAATTACTTGTACCTTGCCAAGTTGATTGTTTACCTTGGCCAGGGTGACTGTATGTCCAGGTTTGTTCAGGGCAGTTCTGTTTGTTTACTTTCCCAAAGTAAAATAAAAAATAGTACTCTCTCTTCTTCTCAAAAAAACCAATTTTTGCTGGATAAACATAAAATAAGTTTTCTGTTCCCATTAAGTATAGTTCAACTGTATACATTTGTACTTTGACATTCCATCATGCTATGATAAAAATAATTTTGACTAGCCTTTGACCTTTATACACTACTGAGGCCATTTTCAAGGACAGGTGTATTCACAGAGGGGAAATTTTAAAAATTCCACCATTCTAGGTCCTCTGTCATTAATATATTAATTGGTAGCTGTAGAATCTTTTAGCAAGAAGGTGGCTGTTGAGCCCAGACTCTCTGTGGGAGCTGCCTAAGGAGTCACTTCATCCAAGGGCAAGATTCAGGAACAAATAGGCAGGGAGAGGAAATACCACTAAGAGAGTAAATGCTCAACATCTACCTCCCTATAACTAAAAATTAGGTAATGTACCAAATTTATGTAATTTCCACTATTACAGAAAACTTACGTAAATAGGCATTTTATGTAAAATACAAAAAAATGCAAAATAATGACAATAACCGAAACAATGGAAAAGTCATTACAGCTAATAGTCAAATAAATAAAAATGAAGCAACTTTGAGATAGTGTTTACTGCATTCATGCTCTGCCTTTCTTTTTTTTTTTTTTTTTTTTTTTGAGACAGAGTCTCACCCTGTCGCCCAGGCTGGAGTGCAGTGACGCGATCTTGGCTCACAGCAACCTCCTCCTCCTGGATTCAAGCAGTTCTCCTGCCTCAACCTCCCGAGTAGCTGGGACTACAGGTGCCCACCACCACACTCGGCTAATTTTTTGTATTTTTGGTAGAGATGGGGTTTCACCATGTTAGCCAGGATGGTCTCGATCTCCTGACCTGGTGATCCAACCGCCTCGGGCTCCCAAAGTGCTGGGATTACAGGTGTGAGCCACCATGCCCGGCCTCATGTTCCCCTTTTATTGTCCTCCAGAATTATAACATCTAAATGTTTGATATAATACATGTAGCTAATCAATGAGAGGCAATAATAAGTGGTCTAGCTCCCCAAAGTCAGGCTGTCTGTATTTAAATCCAGTTTCACACCTTACTAACCATGTAATTTGGAGCAAGCTGCTTTCTCTCTGTGTCTGTTTTCTCATCTGAATAAATGGAATTGACCATAATATCCACCTTACAGAATTTTTGTAAGAAACAAATGAGTTAATAAACACTTGAAAAATATTAGCTATTATTTTATTGCTGTAGGCCTTGGACATTGATGCAAACCTTTTAAAATGTAAAATGGCAATGCATATCAAGCACTATAAAAATGTTCTTTACTTTGCCTCAGTAAACACATTTCTAAAAATTTACCTCAAGAAATAATTCAACAGAAGAATAAAGATCTACACTGGGAAATGTCTGGTGCAATGTTATTTCCTTTTTATGACAAATGCTGTCAATTGTTTCATTTTCCAACATTGTTTACAATGCTTGAGTTAAATGGAATTGTTAATATTTTTATTCTCATGTTACAAATTAGAAAACATGAATTCAGATTCTGGTAAATTTCTAAATGTTCACCAATCATAACTAGTTCAATTTATTATGGCATACCAATAAAATGTATACTATCTAGTTATTAAAAAGAATTAAGAAAATCTGGTTGTAGAGATATGAAAAGATCTAAGATATAATAAGCAATAAAACAAATAGTTCAATACCATTTAAAGTGTGATCCTGTGCGTGTGTGTGTGTGTGTGTGTATTTATGCTGAGAACATTCTGAAATAATATATAAATAACTATGGAGTAGGAAATAGAGTGAAGGGATTCTTTGACTTTTTATTTTATATGCTGCTTATTTTCTTAAATGAACATGGAATAATTCAACGATAATAATAATATTGTTATAAAAGGAGAAAAATAAATTCTATGGAGAAAGAGAGAAAGTGGAAGAATGGAAAGCATGCTGTATTCTAGGTCCCATTATGGCTAAAAGTCCATGGAGTTTTACTGGCACCAGGCTACAGGGTGGTGATTTTTGCCAGCCATATGCAGTGGCCTAGGGTCCAGCAATGAGAAAGTAGAGAGTTGACTGATACAGGATTGAAATTTATATCAGGAAAGTGAGATGAGAAAATTGAAGATATTGGCCAGAGAGTCATTAACATGATGGGTAGGTCTGTAGATGGGAAGAATAAAGGTCAAGTGGGGGCTGATAAGGAGAAAGAAAAAGGTCAAGTGGTGATAAATTCTGAGAAGGTTAAAGAACAGAAGTATAAGAGGTGACTGAGTGAGGAAACTTGCAGGGGAGGGTGAGGAGGTCAGTTGCAGGCATAGAATCTTTGAAATAATCCCTTCTAATCTCCCTATTTTACCTCATCATCTGTGAGGATTAAACTTCCTCTGACTCCCTAATGCACTATTACTGCCTCACATTTTAAATAAATGGTAAAAATGATGCAGACTAGTTTTTCCCTAAAATCCTCCCTTTCATAATTTAATTTACACTACCATTTTTTTTTTTTTTTAAAAACAGGATCTCACTGTATCACCCAGGCTGGAGTACAGTGGCGTGATAATGTCTCACTGCAGCCTTGAACTCCCTAGCTCAAGTGATCCTCCCGTCTCAGCCTCCTGAGTAGCTGAGAGAACAGGCATGCACCACCACACTTGGTTAATTTTTTGTTTTTATTTTGTAGAGATAGGGTCTCACTATGTTGCCCAGGCTGGTCTTGAACTCCTGACCTCAAGCGATCCTCCTACCTCAGCCTCCCAAAGTGCTGGGATTACAGGCATGAGCCATCGCACCCAGCCTATGACGGTCTTTGATCCTATAAATTCAGCATTTCCTTACTCCAATCCAACAAGAATAAAATCAGTCTTATTTCAAGGTCTTTCCTGAAAAAGGCTTGAATTACTTTTCCACACTATGCTTCCACTTAAAAAGAAAAAAATGATGACTGCCTAAGTTCAAATCTCTCATACAATATTTAAAGAAAATATTTCTAGTCTATGGGTAGCAGGAACCTTGAACTGATTCCATAGAAATAGAAAGAAGAAAACTTAATATACACTCATTTACTTAAATGTGTTTATTGAATGATGGTTATTTAAGATCTTTTGAACAAATAACACAGATCTTTGTCATTTGTTGCTTTTTAAATAACTTTCTTATTATTAGAAAAATAAGAGTTTTTTATTTGAAAGTATCTGTTGAATTGTTTCATTTACCTTAAAAAACAAGAGAAGACTGCCAAGTGTCAATGTGCTAAATGCTAATTATTATTTTTCAATCTTAAAATAGTGAAGTCGAATATATTAGGAAGCCTTTGGAGAAACCATTCTAAAAGCAATTGTATATTGGAGTTCTAAAGAATGGTTGGTTTACACACCTACATTCTTGGGCTGTCACCTGGGAAAAATTATTTGGAAAAACACATATTTGCTGCAACTCAACTTTAAAATAAACTTTTAATTTTAGAAAAAAATTTAGATTTTCAGAAAAGTTGGACAGGTATTATGCAAAGTTCCCATGTGTCTCATATAAGCCTTCCCCTATTATTAACATTTTGTGCAAGTGTGGTACATTTAGTATAATTAGTGGACTAATATTGATACCTTATTTTTATCTACAGCTCATACTTCATTCAGATTTTCATAGTTTTTACCTTTTTGTTCCAGGATTCTATCCAGGATAGTACATTTTATTTAATCATCATATATCCCTAGTTTCTTCTTGGCTATGACAGTTTCTCACATTTCTTTGTTTTTATGACCTTGACAGTTTTAGTCAGGCTCTTTGTAGAATGTCTCTCTACTGGAATTTGTCTGGGACTTTTTGCATAGGTCAGGCTAGTGTTACATGTTTTTGAGGAGGACAATTCTCATCAACATCATATCGAGGGCACATATTATCAACATTACTTAGCGCTGTTGAGGATCATGTGGATCACTTGGATAAGACAGTGTTTGTCAGGACCTCCCATGTAAATTTACTCTTTTTTTTCTTCTTGCCATAGTGCTTTTTGGAAGGAAATCACTGTACACAGACCACATTTAAGGAGTGGGGAGTTCTGCTCCACCTCCTTGAGGGCTGAGTTTCTACAAACATTATTTGGAATTCTTGTGTACTGAAGATTTGCCCTTTCTCCATTTATTTATTCAATTATTTATTTATATCAGTATGGATGTTAGGTTATTTATTTTATACTTTGGGTTATAATCTATTATTGCTCTATTTATTTAGTTGCTCAAGTTTTTGTAACATTGGCCACTGGGAGCACCTTCAATTGTTCCCTTTCTTCTTTTGAATAAACCTATCATTAATTTTTTTTTTGAGGGGTATGTGAGAACAGGGTCTTGCTCTGTTGCTCAGGCTGGAGTGCGGTGGCTCGATCTTAGCTCACTGCAACCTCGACTTCTCAGCCCACCCCAGCCTTTCAAGTAGCTGAGACTGCAGGTGTGTGCCACCACACCTGGCCAAATTTTAAATACTTTGCAATGTTGCCAAGGCTGGCTTAGAACTCCTGGGCTCAAGTGATCTGCCCGCCTCGGCCTCTCAAAGTGCTGGGATTACAGGTATGAGCCACCAGGCCTGGCCTGAGTTTTTTTCTCTTTCTTTTTTTGATTACTTCTTTTCTTTCTGGAACTACCAGCCTCACCTTCTATACTTCTTTTCACATCCAGAAAATTATCTATTCATCTATTTCTCTAAGTATCCCTAGTTCTTTTGTTTTTTTTTTTTTTTTTTTGGAGAATGATATTAGAAGAACCAAGATCTGGCACTGGCTGTGCTTTGCTGCTATTGAGGTGTCATTGCAACTAGACCCTGTTTCATTGCTACTAGACTGTGTCCATGGACAAAGTAAGGAAATGTATGTTTTTAGAGTAATCTGTATATATATACACATTTATGAATATCTTTTTATATAACCTCTATATATTATATACAATATTAAGCTAAATATTAGTTTATACCTATTAATCTAACTCTAATCCATTAACAGATGAGCATTCTAGCCTCCTCCTGTTGCTAATCTGTAATCTCCCTTTCCAACAATGAGAAATCTGGCTTCCAACATATGTCATGTGTGTCCTTAATTTTTCAATTTCGGCATACACATGTATCAGTATTGGAATTGTTAACCTAAACTCCTATGGGCCAAGCAATTTTATCAACTAGAGTACAGTGCTTATGTACAGATCCTTTTGTCTTCAGTCTTAATCACTAAACACATTTGCAAAGTTGCTTGGTCAATACCTTGTCCTACCACTCTCTTCAGTGAAGTTGTTTTATACATTTGTAATATATAAATTCTGCATTGTATCTTGGGATTCCCCCGATCTCCTAATTGATTTTATAACAATTCTGCATACATTAAGTTTCACTTTTTGTGCTGTGAATTTTTATGGGTTTTGAAAAAGGCATAGTGTCATGTATTCACCATTATAGTACCCCACAGAATAGCTATGTAAATACTCCTCTAAAATTCCCCTGTGCTTCACCGATTCAGTCCTTCCTGCTTGTCTCATCAGTTCCTGGCGACTAATGATCATTTTGCTATATTTATTGTTTTGTCTTTTTTGGAATATCATATGTAGTCTTTTCAGAAGGGGCTCTTCCACTTAATAATATGTACTTAAGATTTATCTGTATCCTTCCAAAGTCTAACAGCTTATTTTTTAATTGCTGAATATCTCATTTTATATTTCATAGATGTACCAGTGTTTGTTTTTCTGTTTTTCTATCAAAGGTCATTTTGGTTGTCTTCCAGTTTGGGCTGATTACAAATAAATGTGCAATAAAAATTTGCATGTAGTTTCTAGGTAAACGTGCTTTCAAATCAGTTGGGTAAATATTTGGAAGCACAATTGCTGGGTCATATGGTAAGGTTATCTTTAGCTTTTTAGAAATTGCCAAATTGTCTTCCAAGGTAGTGGTAACATTTTGTATTCTCACCAACAGTGAGTGTAAACTACTGTTGATCTGCATCCTTACTAGGAATTGGTATTGTCAGTCTTCTTGGATTTTAGTTATTCTAATAGGCATGTAGAGGTATCTTGTTGTTTTAATTTGAAATTTCTTGAGGAAAATTTATGTTGATCAGTTTTTCATATGCTGTTTGACATCTGTATTCCTTTTTTTGATGAGCTATCTGTGCAGATCTTTTGCCCATTTTTAAAAATTTCTTACTCTTGACTTTTAAGAGTTGTCTGTATATTTTGGATATAAGTCAGATATGTGTTCTGCAAATATTTTATTCTAGTCTGTGTCTTGTCTTTTGATACCTTAATAGTGTCTTTTGCAGAGGAAGTTTTTGATTTTAACAAAGTCCAATTTATCACATTTTTATTTCACAGCTTGAACTTTTATGGTTATATCTAAGAACTCACCACCAAATAAAAGGACATCGAGTATAGCTTTTATATTCTACATTTAGGTCTATGTTTCTTTTTGTTATGGAAGCCTTGTGCTTGGTTATTTTTATGTATATGGATGTCCGGTTGTTCTGACACATTGTTGAAAAGACTATCTTTTCCCTACTGAATTGTCTGTTTCTTTGGAAAAAAATCAACTGGCTATATTTGTGTGGGTCTAGTTCTGGGTTTTCTATTTGTTTCATTCTTCCATTTTTTTTCTACTCTTTTGCCATTACAACACAATGTTGATAACTGTAGTTTTGTAATAAGTCTTAAAATCAGATAGTATGAGTCCTATAACTTTGTTCATCTTTTTCAGTATTGCGTTGACTATTCTATTTCTTTGACTCTTCCATAAAAAATTTACAATCGGGTTGCTGTTGCTGATATCTACAAAATTAATTGCTGAGATTTTTGGGGTTTTGTTTAATCTATAGACCTATTTGAGAAGAATTAACATCTTGATAATATTGAGTCTTTCAATCTATGAGCATGGGATATCTTTTCATTTATTTAGAACTTCTTGGATTTATTTCATCAGATTTTTATAGTTTTCTGCATATAGACCTCATACATATTTTGTTATATTTATTCTTATTTCATTTTTTGGAATTAATAATTATATAACTTAAAAATTATAAAATTTATATATTATAAAATTATAAAATGTTTAACATGAAATTCAAGTTGTTCATTGCTAATGTATAGCAAAGAAATTGACTTTTGTATATTAACCTTGTATCTTGCACCAGTGCCACACTTCCTTATTTGTCTCCATAGTTTATTGTTCTTGTAATTAGTTCTTTAGTATTTTCTACATATAAGTCATGTCATTTACAACAAAAACAAAAGACAAATTTATTTCTTCTCTTTACATTTGTGTACATTTTATTTCCATTTTCTACCTTAACTGTCTAGGAATTCCATTATGAAGTTGAATAGGAATGGGTAAGAGGATATTCTTGCCTTTTCCCTGATTTTAGAGGAAAAGTATCTAGTTTCTTATCATTAAATATAATGTTAACTGAAGGTTGTTTGTAGATAAGTTAAATAAATTCTTCTCTGTTACTACTCTGCTGAGAGTTTTTATTTTGAATACATGTTGAATTTTATAAAAATGCTTTTTCTGTATTTGATAAAATCATATCGTTTTTCTTATTTTTGCCTGTTCAGGTAGTGAATTACATTTATTTTCATATGTTGACCCAGACTTGCATAACTGAAATAAATATCACTTTTTCATACATAGTTAGATATGATATTCTATATATTTTTGTTGAGCATTTTTGCATTTATATTTATGACAGATATTGGTCTATGCTTTACCTTTCTTCTAGTGTCTCTATCTAGTTTTTATATTAAAGTAATTCTGTCATAATAGAATAAGAGGAAGTGTTCTTTCTGATTCTACTTTCTGGAAAGGATGGTTAAGAATGAATAAGATCTAATATTTGATAGCACAACAGGGGGACTGGAGTCAAAATAATTTAATTGTACATTTAAAAATAACTAAAAGAGTATAATAGGATTGTTTGTAATGCAAAGGTTAAATGCTTGAGGTGATGGACATCCAATTTACCCTGATGTGATTATTATGCATTGCATGCATGTATCAAAATATCTCATGTAACCCATAAGTATATACACATACTATTTACTCACAAAAATTTTTCTTAAAAAAGAATTGGTATCATTTCTTCTTTTAATGTTTTGTAGCATTCACAAATGAGCTAATCTGGAACTGGTACTTTTTTTTCAGAAGGTTATTAATTATTGATTCAATTTTTTAAATAGAAGACTTTTCAGATAGTAAAACCCATTTATAAAAGGGCATTCTTTTTCAGCACAATTTTAAAATCACTACAACCCAGGTAAGATCAAACATCATAAATATATACCTAATCACAACCACCAAAAATGGTAGGTGTTATGGAAACCAGTGATATAAAAAAAATGACCTCTTAAAAATGGATGGGGTGTTATCTTCTTTCTTTCTCTCATTTTCTGTCCTTACTGCCCACTGGCCATTACAGGATAACCCTCTGTGTTCCCTGTGGTTAGTTTACTTCTATTTAAAAAATCAGTTATTTCATAGTGGAAAAAGATTCCACCAACTCAACACAAATATATCCATAAACTTATTCACAGTTTACCATGTGATTCCCATCAAAGCCTCCCCATTTTGAAAATAGCATTCAAGGTCCCATATGCTCTCTGGCCTCAGTTCTCAATATACCTCTTCTCACATCCTACACTTCCACCATATTTCAGAATTTGTAGTCTTACTAACAAGCACTGCCCTCCTTGACTTTCAGGCTTTTGTACATGCTATTTCTTTACTTGTAACACTCACTTGCCTCTTTCCTGGCTAGTTCAAATACATTCTTCAGATATCACCCTAAATATCACTCCTCAGAAGTCTTCCTTGCCTTCCCCTTTCATTAATTCTCTCCTTCCTCCTCACAAGGTAAAATAAATGCCTCTTCTATATACTTTCTCAGTATTATATATTAATCTCTATAACTTAAAAATACTGAAACTTCTTCCTTACTAGCAATACTTACTACCACTAGCCTGTGTGTTATTCTCCGTTTATAATCCCCAGCACCTAACTGTTAGCCTTGTGTGTTGCAGGTGCTTGTTAATGAAACAGAATGTTAAAATGTGAGCCTTTACCTGTTTTCAAAATGCTGTTGGGAATAATGGAGAAGGCAAGAATCTACCACTTTTACAGAGTGTTGTTAGTTCATTTATCCAGGACTTGGAAAATATATGGTTCCAAATAGGTTCTGAGACCCTTTGTCTCTCTCTTGCCTCTGGGTTGTACACAAGGAGACTTAGGGATTCTATTTTGTTGTTGTTGTCGTTGTTGTTGTTGTTTTTGTTGTTTTGTTTTTTTGAGACAGGGTCTAGCTCTGTCGACCAGGCTGGAGTGCAGTGGTGAGCGATCTTGGCTCAGTACAAACTCTGCTCCCTGGGCTCAAACAATTTCCCTGCATTAGCCTCCTGAGTAGATGGGACCACAGGTCCGGAAGCCATTATGCCCAGCTAATTTTTGCATTTTTAGTGGAGACAGCATTTTGTCTTGTTGCCCAGGCTGGTCTCCAACACCTGAGTTCAAGCAATCTGCCTGCCTTGGCCTCTCAAGGTGATGGGATTACAGGCATGAGCCACCACTCCCGGCCCAATTTAAGGATTCTGTAGAAAAGTGTTTAGTTATTTCTCCTAATACCTAATGTAAATGACGAGTTGAAGGGTGCAGCAAACCAACATGGCACACGTACACCTATGAAACAAACCTGCCCGTTGTGCACATGTACCCCAGAACTTAAAGTATAATAATAATAATAATAATAATAATAATAAAGTGTTTAGTGTAATTTTTTTTGAGGATAGTCATAATATTGTCTCTAATCTCTTATACTCTCTACCTCCTAACTCAAGTCATGGAAAGAGATACTTCAAAGAAACAACTCATGGCCCTAGAGTATGGAGGACACATGGACCACTGCTTGATTTACATGTAGTAAAATCTAACTGTGAGCAGCTTTCTGGAACTTTTCCTGAGAGCGAAGCAAGAGGAGGGGCACATGCTGGACTTCCTCCAACAGTTGAGCAAGAATATATGACAGTGGATATGACTACTTGTCCTGTGGGCTTGCATAGCTTTGAAAATGCCTCAGACAAGAGATTTGCTGTCCTGGATGATCCCACAGAGAGAGTTTGTGTGGGCTGTCCCACCAGAAACAATATCTAAAAGGGGAGGTGTAGGTGTTAAGCCAAGAGAACATCAACTGTGCTAGGAATGTGTGGTAGTAGATTTCCAATAGGCACTTCTCTGAATAAATCATAAAAGCACTCCATAAAGAAGAAAGAGCATCTTCCAAAAAGTGAGCATTTGACAGCCAAGATAGAATCATAGGCAGTATTAAATAACTAAAAAACAAAACAAAGATCTTGTTTTCTAACATCATTCTTGAGTGAAAGGAACCAAGAACAACTGAATTTAGCTGGAGTCTAGGGCTAAGACAGTGAATGCACAAAATAGGCCTTAAGCATCTCCTACTTCCAGAAAGTGAGAAAGTAATAACACTACCAATATCACACAACAACAACAGCAATCCCATCCCTTCATTCCTCCCCCACCACCACACACACAGTGCTAGGGGTGTGTCAAAGGGGTCCAGGAGCCAACTGAAAGAATTTTCAGTGGTCAAAGCTGGAAGAATTTTAGCAACAAAATGAAGTAATTGGCTTATAACTCAAAGTTTAAAATAAGTACCCATGATTCTATACAGTTATGAGTAAATGACTGAATAAATAAACGTGGGAGAGTAGCTAAGTCTCTCATATAGCAAAATTCTAAATAATTTCTGTAGATACTCTGCCCTCAAGGAGGTGGAACATAACTCCCACTCTTAAATATGGTCTGCACTTACTGACTTTTTTTTTCCCCAAAAAACTACCATAGGGAAAAGAGAAAAGAAGGATAACTTTAGAGTAGAGAAACCAGACAAAAAGTGCCTTATCCAGGTGATTAAGGTCAAATCAATAGTGATATGTCATATGTAGATAATATGTACCTTTGACATGATGTGATGAGAATGATACTCCACTTCTGTGGACTTCCTCCCCAAATCCTGGTTTAATTATGAGAAAAACATCAGACAAATCTCAATTGAGAGACACTCTACAAAATAATTGACCAGTCCTAAAACTTGTCGTAGAAAACTGGAAAAGTCTGAGAAAGTCAGAGACAAGAGGATCCCAAGGAGATACAATGTCTAATTGAAAGAAGGTGTGTGGGATGGAATCGTAAAACAGAAAAATGAACTAAGAAAATCTGCATAAAGTCTGAACTTTAGATAATAATAATGTATCAATGTTCATCAATGTAGATAATAATGTTCCTAATTATAACATATGAGCCATATGAATGAAATATGTTGATAAGACTAGAAACTGGCCATGGGATATATGGGAACTCTCTTTACTATCTTAACAATTATTCTGACTATCTAGAACTGCTCTAAAATAAGAAGATATATTTATAAAAATGTTGTTGTAAAGAAAAGAAAAAAAAACTCATATTCTCTTTTCCTTTATACTTGTTCCCTGTTATAAAAGGAGAGTACAGGGCATATAGAATAAGAAGGGCCAAGGACAGAACCTATACCCTCCTTTTCCCCCATAGGTTTCTAAGGCTGAGAGGCGAGAGCTGGAGAGGGATGAAGAGAAGATTTAAACTTACTGAGAGATTGAAGTTTTAATTTTGATTGGAATAGAATTATTTAATCATTAAATTAAATTAATTATTTAATATCTAATAATGCCACTGTTAATACCAGAAAAAAAATGGAAAAGGCTATGGGAACTTTCTGAGATATAATTTGGGGAAAGAAAGGATTACCCCAGAAAAAGTAGAATTGAAAGTTACTTTATAAGCCAAGTAATATTGTTTCTTGATTCCACTCTACACATGTAGGTAGTTCAATATACTTGTTAAATTAAATATTCATTGAGTAAATGAGTGCATCCACACATAAACAGGCATTTCAGCTTCACACGCTGTTTGTATATTGCACCCACCTTACAGTCATCACCAGTGTTTGTTTGCATTTACATAGTTGCTCAGGACCTGGGTCTGGAAATCGGAAAACCTTGATGAGGTTTGCTTGAGGTGAGGGACTGGAGAAGCCAAATGGTTGGAAGGGATGGAAGGCATTTCTTCTCCATTCAGCTCCATGGCCTGGGTTGATACCTTATGGAAAGAGAGAGAAAGCTCAAAATAATTGCTGCAACAGTGCGGGCAAGGCTACCTTTTCCTAGCGGGATTTAGCCAGCAGGAGAGGTAAGTGGGGCAGGAAAGAAAAGGGAGAATAACTGCAGTTGGTAAAGTCCCTTTTCTAGACTCTCAAAACATAGTTGACAGCATCTGTGACAGGGACTATTTTCTTGGGTAGGCAGGTAAGGTCTCAAAGTTACTGTAGTTTTGACCTAAAGATAAATTTGACCCCATTTGAAATGTAAAATTGGTATGACTAGCAACACTGGGGATACACATGTATTTTATTTGATCCCTGGGTGTAAGAGATCCAATGTTATTCTTATATCCATTTTTATGACAAAGAAACTGGGGTTCAGAGTTCGGATTTCCTTGAGGTCACACAGGTAATAAACTAGTAAAGGTGAGACTCAGTCTTAGCAATGCATTCTCTGCATTTCATATATAAAACTCAATATAAATTGTCATTAATTTTTGGTTAGACAAAATTATACATTGGTTGAGCATCAATAACAGGACATGCAGTAAGCAAAATGCCAAACTTTCAGTGTGTTACCACATGCTCATAGGGACTGTATTAATCATTTTGGTTTTATAGGGAACTTATGGGGGCAGTTGTTCAGTTGTTTGTTTCTGACTTGAATTTAGCAGCCACAGATCAGCAAGTGTGGAAAATGCCAGATGGGGAAGCTGCACTGTGCTTCCAGTGAGTGGCCTGGCCCATGCCCATTTCATGAGAGTTTGATTTCACACCCACCAAACTCGTTATTGCAAGGTTTTTACAAAAGACCTCCTTTCCTCTTTGGTTAGACCATTTTCTTTATAGATTGATTAAGCTGCTATTCATAGCTAGCACCATCCCCTTCATGAGTCATTGAATTCTTTCTGGAACATCTTGAGTTCCAGGTGACATAAATTTCAATTTGCATCTTTTCTGCCCAACTTCTCCCACACACATGAGAAAATATTGTTCAAGCATATTACTGAAAGTTTCATAGACCTCTAGTTACCTGGGTTTTTACCACCCACTTGAACAGAACCTAGGTAGAGGAAAAATAAAACTGCCTATGCTCCTTTCTCTTATATATTTTTGTGGCTTCACTTGACAGCTTTAATAAATGTAGGATACAAATTCCAGGTCCACTCTTGGACCTTTGAAAACTAATTTATACTTTAGTAACATTTACTTTTTTACAACCTATAGCCATTTGTGAGTAGATTTTTTTTTTTTTGTATCCATTAGATGATTATGTTTTCAGCAGATTAGGGAAATGAGTGGAGAAGGTGTTCAAGACCACTTGGGTTTTTACAGTAAGAACAAATTGGCAGCAGCAGGTGTAATGTGTTTGGGAAGAGAAGCAGCATGTACAGCATGTGCATGCCAAATTGCTAGCTAATACAGCAGTTGCTGGCTCCTACAATGCACAGTTGTAGCACATATATATTTTTTAAGTAGGTTTTTTTCCACGCTGTGATTAATTTTCTTCCATGTAACACAATTGAACAAGATTGTGAGCCTCTCTCATGCCAGCCATTACCTCTTGTACTTTCTAAATAGCATCTACAGCCCCATTCCCTGCCCCTGTGAATTCAGGATCAGATGGTATAGGAGTCTTATCATTACAGGTCTCTGGGATAATCTCATATGCAAAATGATATGCCTATACTGATGCTCAATTTAGAATAGTTGTGGTGCTCTGTTTCAGGTAATCTGAAGGAAAATGAATTATTGGAAATAATGATAATAGAAAGAATAGAACTTCTATCTATTTCTAATAGAAATGGAACTTCTATCTATTTCTAATAGATAGAAATGGAACTTCTATCTATTTCTAATAGATAGAAATGGAACTTCTATCTATTTCTAATAGATAGAAATGGAACTTCTATCTATTTCTAATAGATAGAAATGGAACTTCTATCTATTTCTAATAGATAGAAATGGAACTTCTATCTATTTCCAAAGTTCATGAATAATTGTTGTCCACTGACCTTGATGATTTGAAAGCTAGTATATCAATCAATAACCTATTAATTTGACAGTAACTTGGGTAGTTTGTTTGCTTGCCCTTGGTTTCCAATAGGACTTGGGAAGCTGGATCTGAGAGATAACAGCTGTGTAGAAATACTTGAGTGCTTTTCTTGTATAGCACAAAACTTGGAGAAACAGCCTCTAAAGCTTTTTGAGAAATATAAAATATGTACTTATTTTTGTCCTTCTGGATCTTATATCCTTTCTGCAAAGAGTAAACAAAAGTATATTTTTTTAACCTGATGCATTTTTCTCTGCTATGTTATTTTTGGTCCTTTTCTTTATACCCCCAAATAATGACAAAAGATGGCACTCTTTTGCCCCTTCAAGAAATAAGTCCACATGTATTTCTGACATATTTCTTCCAGAAATCTCACAAAGACAAAGTGAGAGAAGAGTTCTAAGTTACACTTTGCTCTAAGGATAAATCCTATACATATTGTACAATTAGGACATGTCCTGCACCTGGGCCAGAGTTCATGTAATAAGATATAGTTCCATATAACAATGCATGTATCAAGCCTGTTGAGTTATGAAACAGCACCTTGCAATCTACTACAGAAGCTGAAATTGTGTGGGAAGTGGATTAAATGATTTTGACCCAATTTATTTAATGTATCTCCCTCTGTCAGGTTTAACTTTATCCAGTAAAATAGAATAGATTCTGCCTTTTCTAAGTCTTCAAAAATGTCTCAGGCATTTTGGGGGTGGAGGTGAAGCTAATGAGAAAATCTGATTTTCAATACATATTTTGTCTTCTTGTAATATTTGAACACCAAAAATGGACCACATAAACACGTTCTTTGTAACCTGTGTTGGGTTCATTTTTCTGAGTAGAACTAACACCTAGATTTTCACCACAGCTGTCGTGTGAAGTCTTTAATTCTCAGTTCTCTCAAATTAACTATATCTCTTAATTAGAGATTCCTAAGAAAAATTTAACTATTAGAATTATCTCTTCAGATGCATGTTTAAAACAGGAAGTAACATAAAGAGAGAAAATTGTGTGTTGGGTTGTTTCATGTTAAGACTGCTAATATTTGCTGAGCACAATGTGACAGATACTAAGTACCTAACATTGTTTAACTCATGTAATCTACAAATGCAATAACCCTTTGCTGCTTTTGAAGTTAGAAAATTGAATCTTAGCTAGCACAACTAGTAAGTGGCAAAGATGGGATTTGAACCCAAGTATTTTCTCCCCACCCAGTCTTCTAGTCCTGGGGCCTACTTTCTTAACCACAATGCTCTCCTGGGTAATTCCTCTATGTGTCAGCTACTAGATGGCATCAAAAAGAGCTGGACTATTTTCATTCCACAGCTCCCTCCACCCCATTGCCTCTGTACCATATTTTCAAGTCCTCAAATAGAGCGAAGTCTGCGTATCTTCCCTTGGGGGTCTCTGCATTTGCTGGTTTCTATGTATTAGAGTTTCCCAGAGAAACAGAAGCAATAGGATATCTATCTATCTATCTATCTATCTATCTATCTATCTATCTATCTATCTATCTATCTACCTACCTATCTATCTATCTATCCATTCATCCAATCTATCTAATTTATTATAAGGAATTGGCTCATGTGATTTGGAGTCTGGCAAGTCCCACGATTATCTGAGTGAGTCAGCAAGCAGGAGACACAAGAGAGCTAAGAGTTTAATTCTAGTCTGAAGGCTGGCAGTCACGAGACCCAGGAAGAAACATGTTTCCATTCATGTCTGAAGGGGAGAAAAAGCCAATGTCCCATTCAGAGGCAGTCAGGCAGAAAGAATCCTCCATTACTTGAGGGAGGGTCTAACATTTTATTCTATTCACTTCCTCAACTGATTAGATGAGGCCCACTCACATTACAAAGGGCAATCTGCTTTACTAAGCCTACCAATTTAAATGTTAATCTCATCAAAAGCCAGCTGTATAGAAACACCCAGAATAATATTTAACTAAATATCTGGGCACTCCATGGCTTAGTCAAGTTGACACATAAAATTAACTATCATAGTTTGATTCGGAACCACTCTTCTTTCCTTCTTTGCACACTTGTCTCTTTCTTATGCTTTGAATGAGATATTTCTAACTCTGAAAGGCCATCTTTGACCACTCTGTATAAAACAAGTTTCTTCTCCCCTTAATCCACTGACATTATCTCCTTCACAGCATTTATCACTTTTTATAACTCACATTACAAATGAGATATGCATTTATTTGTTTACCTATTTAACACTTGCTTCCCTCCCTACTTCCCCCATTTAAATGTTGGCTGTATGAAAGTAGAGAACATGTAGACTTTGTTTTAGGAACTCTATTCTATTAAATAAATGAACGCAGATGTTCAATACAATATTTAACATGTTAGGTTTAGCAAAATTGTGGTTATGGTTTGTATGTGTGTTTGTCTTTTTTGGTAGAAATAGGCAATAAAACATATTCACTTTTTAGTTACAAGAGACCACAGTAACAGATTCCCTGGGAACTTAAATTTAAGAGGACTATAATTTCTCTCTGAGACTAAAATTTACATGAAAATGTAATAGATCACAGTCAAGATGGTTAAATCACTTTAAAAAGTTGTAGCAGTAAAGTGAGGTCCAATTGTAAGCTCATTCGTGTTGTATTATTTCTAAAGGACAGCATTTGTTAAGGGCTGAAATATGTCCCCCCATTCATATATTAAATCCCTAACCCCCAGTACCTTAGAAGATGACTATATTTGGAGATAAGGGTTGAAAGAGGTGATTAAGTTAAAATGAAGCCATCAGTGTGGCCCCTAATCCAATCTGACTCGTGTCCTTATAAGAAGAGGAAATTTGAACACACAAAGAGAGACCAGGGATGTCTGTGCTCACAGAGGAAATACCATGTGAAGATACATGAAGAAGACAGCCATCTATAAGCCAAGGAGAGAGGTCTCAGGAGAAAACCAACCTGCCAACTCCTTGATTTTGGACTTCTAGCGTCCAGAACTATGAGAGGATAAATTTCTGTTAAGTCATCCCATATTTGATATTGTGTTAGGCAGCCCTAGCAGACTAATACAGCATCTAACAATCAGAGAAAAGTTGGACATTCATAGAAAAATAAGATAGTCACGAGGCAAATCTCATCATTACGGGTTTAAGCATCACTCAAGGAAGAAAGACCACAGCGTGTGTGTATCCATCTTGTTGACAAGATTTTCTGTGATGAAGATGAGATGAATTCATCAGCCAATCTCAGCCTGATGCCCTCACATCTTCAATTTTTGTGTCATTCACAAAATAAACATCATTATGTATATGGCAGACAAACTTCTCAGAAGGCTCCCATAATCCTCAGCTCCGGTATTTGCACCTTTGTGTGGTTTTTCCCTCTCCTAGATTGTGAGTAGAACCTGTGACTTTCTTCCAACCAACAGAAATTGGCAGAAGGACAGGACTCACATGGTTACATGAGTGTAACATGTTAAGTAATATGTGTTTATGTTGCATGAGATGATAGCATCCATCTTGCTGGCATCTCTTTTGCTAGTTTTGAGAAAGTAAACAGCCATGTTAGGGAACCCATGTAAAAAGGAACTGCAGATGACCTCTAGCAGCTGAGGGCATCCGCTGACCAACAGCCAAAAATTGGTGATTTCCAATCAGAATAAGAGAGAAAAAGCCAGCATTTATTAAGTTCAAGGCACTATTCTATATGACGCACAAAAGCAAACTCAATTCTAAAAATGGATACATATATTATGCCCCTTTTACATATGAGAAAAGCTAGCACTGAAGGCTAAAATAACATGTACGTTTTTATAACTGGTAAATGATAAGGCTGGGACTTTTTGCTGACTTTCATATAGCAAAATGTCTTTCACAATACAACCAGTCTCAATCCACGACTCCATGAATTATTTTCTTCTTTCTCTTCCCATTTATATTTCCCCTAATAGACAGAAAAACTCTTCTAGGACAGGAACTGTGTTATGTGATTGTATGTTGTCCATAGAGAATAGCATAGAACTAGACATAAAAAATGAACTAAATTTTTTTGCAGAAAATACATACAATGGTATCTTACTGAGTATCTCTTCCTAATTCTGTCATCAGTGATCTCATGTTGGTAGGCTTGAAATTGGACATGATAGGAGGATTTTCACCACAGACACTGAACACTACACATCAAGGCTTGACTTACTGTTTTCTTGATTATCTAGGTTTAAGAAAATGGTGAACAATATGTTGATCATGCAGATTAAAGGTAAAAGGGTTTAGCAACACAAAAAATGTACATATAGTTGAATTGTAGTTATAGGTTGGTATGGATACAAGAATAGGCAAAAATCTAGGAAAGCATTATTAAGAAATCAGTGACTATATGAAATTTAATAGACTATTGGATACTTTATTACTTGTAAATTATGTGATACCTTTGTATCTGTAAGATTTATAATAAACGTATATACATATTTATGTTTACATGCCTATGTGCATGTGTACATGGACACATCACTCTTATTGCAAGTTACTAGTTTCTTTATAGCTTTTTAAGTAAAATGTTTACAAATAGCATAAACCTTACCGTGGAAAATATAGCACATTCTGTGGATATCTAGAAGGTTTGTTAAATACTGTTATGTTTAAACTGTTCCTTGTATTTGAACATTCTAGATTTGGATTTGATATTTGTATCGTAGTGGGTGTAGAGGGATCAGATGATAAGTTGTAGTGCAAATCCTTGAGTGTCATTGCAAACTACAGGTGTGCTTTTGGTTTAAAAGGTGTAACTGAAAGGGCCTTATAAATGACTGGTGCTTTTTTTCCCCCTTGGAGATATGATTATATGAATTTCTTTTATGGCTTTGGTATTTCTACTTTAAGTTATCTGTAATTATTATCTCCAATTGTCAATAGATATTTCTCATACTATATTTTTTTATATATTATTTTCAAGTGGAATCCATGGTGCAGATAAGGAAGTTAAAAAACATGTTAGGAAAAAAAAATTGGTCATAATGTAGAAAGACATATCTATGATCTTACCAGGTAGATTGCATAATGTTGAGGTAAAAGGCAACTTTTTATTTAAAAAATACCTTTTCTTGAAATGTAAGTGAAGTTGTACTTTGGGCTTAGTAGACACCATTTCCAAGGAATAAACACTTTTATTTCTGCCCTTTACAATTCTGGAACGTTCTGCTACTAGAATGCAATTCTACTAGATCAGGGATGTTTCCCTGCTTTTTTCACTGCCATATCCCAGCATCATGTAAATATTTGGTGCATATTAGAAGCTCAATAAATATTTACTAATTAAATGAATCAGCCCCAGGTAGATATTGAGTGGAAATGCAGCTGTGTTACTCGTAGGCTATTGGGAAATCAATAACGATATCTAGGCTAGTTAAAACACATTTGAACGTGGACTCTACAACGTGGTGTATTTGTAACAGCTATGAAAGGGCACAGGTGGGAATTCAATCTCTTAAATGTAACCTGAGCACAGACAATATGTGGTTTTGCACACAGAACCTTGAGTTACTTGAGTAACTAGGTAGGTGATATTTACAGTAACCAGAGGGTAAAAAGGATGTAATGGTAGAGTGTAATTATCATAGCTTCTTTTTTGTGACATAGCATTGTTTATGTCATATTTGTACTACTTCTGGTTTCATGTCAGCTTTTCAGGAAGATCTGTATTGACATGGGCATGAGATTGAAGCAGATGATACTAGCCAATAATAGTAATATTTATTGAGTGTTTCCAGTATGCCATCCCTGTCCTAAGCACTTTACACTCATCTCATTATCTCATTTAATACGGACGAAGGCTTTGTGAATTACCTATTCTGATTATTTCATCGTGTTGATGAGAAGTGAGGAACTCAGAGGTGTTTACATTATTATTTTTCCTTGTAGAGCTTTTACATTCATGATATAGCAGCAACAGAAATATATGAGACAGATAGTAAGGTATGGTGGAGAAAGTAGAAGGTTTATAGAATTAGCTAATTAATCTTTGTCAACTCACAACCCACCCTGGACCTCAGTCTTCTCATCTGTAAAATGACAACAGGTCTTCAAAATCCTCCGTAGTTTGATAAAACATTTCTATGACTCTTGTTTTGATTTTTTTCTTGAGTGAGTCCATCTATTCTTTCTGTCCAATGGAAACTTTTGTTCTTCATTTCCCCTTTTTTTTTCTTTTTTCCTTTTGTTTGGCCTCTCATCATGATTTCACGGCACTATGGGTCAAATTGGATTTGGGACTGAACTGAGAGCCAAATAACGTGGTTAACATTTCCTAAGGTCAACCATATTTCACAGTAAATTTTCCTTCTTTCGATCCTTATAAGAATTGAAAATCAGTTCAGCTAGTTTAAGGATTCACAGTGCTCTTGTTGGATAGCTCGAGACTCTCAGTGCTAGCGAAATGTTATTTAGGGAAACTGTTCTGGTTTCAACTAAACCTACATTTTCATTCATTCATCCATCCAGGCATTTCCTCACCCAGTCACATAACAAACATGCTCTGAAGCCTGCCTGTGTGAAGCTTCATTCATAGTGGGTCACAACGAGTGTTACCTGCCTTCCCTTTAGGGAGCTGTGCAGCTGAAGGCAGGGCACCACTGTATAAACAAACAAACAAAGGTATGCTAGCATGTTGAAGTAAGTGCTGTATAAGAAGCATGCACTAGTTATTATGGCGATATGAGAAAACTTGCTGAATTCTTACTAAAAGAGTCAGGGAAACTTTATTGAGGAGAAGATATTTGTGTTCAATTCTGACAATTTTGAAAAGTATTCTGTTGACACATTGGTAATTTTCTGTCCCCCAGTGAAAGCATAACAGAAAGTGACGTGAGAACATGGTGTTTCCGGAGAAACTCACTCTGTAAGCTTCAAGTAACTTTCTCTGGCCAGGGTAAGGCTGAAAGTGACTCAAGACAGCATTTAATGTTAGTAGGTCCTAGTCATAATGCCCACATGAGAGAGAAAATAACTGCACAGAATTCTGAAGGAAGAGAGACCATTACGGTCTGTGGCAGTGTGAGGAAGCTTGGAGGGAGTGAGGGATTTTAATTGGACCTTAAGCAGATAGAGGATTGTCAGAGATTTTAGGTCAGGAAACAGAATAAGGAGGCTGAAGAATACACCATGTTGAGATTGCAGAGTACAGAGGAGGAAACCAGTTCCCTCCATGAGTTTGTAACTGTGGAAGACTAGCTTTACTGGAGTGGAAAACTTAGCTGGAAACAGCTGGATATAATGTTGGAAATGGTGAGTCCAAATTTTGTAATGTCTTGAAAGTCTTATTAAGGCTTTTGGTATTGATGAAAGCAACAGTCCAAGAGTTAAATGGTTTGAGTTAGAATTTTAGCAATGGTACTTTTTACCCTTTGACTTCTGTCATGGATAACATCATATTTCCCCATCAGTTTATTTCAGGCAATCAAGTAAAAGAATATATATAATAAAGTAATTTGTATATTATAGAATTCTATGCAAATAAATAGGTACATAAGTAGCCAAGAAGTTTTAAGTAGAGAGATATGAGAAAATTGGAGAATGTAAACTGTCAATAGAATGCAAGGTAGATTTGATAAGGAAGAGATTAAAGTCAGGAAAACAGGCAATGGTGGCAGTAATCCAATATTGCGGAATGTGTTCAGTGGTGTTTTTCGTGACTGTGCTTAAGCTAAACTTGGTCAATGTGTGATTTAGCACAGGGAACCTGTAATGATGTGCTAATTTCCCACCACGCAACTGCATCCTTTTACCAAACTAATATGGCCCAATCGAAAGGTAATAGATGGAGGTTTTTAAAAATGGAATTTGAGGGTGGGAAGCTGACAGATACTCTTTTTTAGCACAGTAAGATTTAGAAACAGGCAATAGAGATCACTTATGTCTGAGCCAGGTATATGATTGATTTTTTGAATTTTCTTCTTTGAGCTAGAAAACCATGATATTCTGACTCAAGAACAAAATTCTCCTCTTCCTGCTGTACTATTTTATGTCTCTGATATGGATGCAAGACCTAAATGGTTGTGGGTCCTTGAGTATGGAAGAGAAGGAACGGTTTTTTAAAAGAAAAAAGGAACTGGGTAGCACAAAGTGCTGTGATGTGGCTTGGCTCTGTGTCCCCACCCAAGTCTCATGTCCAGTGTTGGGTAAGTGACCCGGTGGGAAGTGAATGGATCATGGGGGCGGATTTCTCCCTTGCTGTTCTTGTGATAGCGAGATCTGGTTGTTTAAAGGTATGTGGCACTTTCCCCCTTAGCTCTTGCTCTCTCTCTCTCCCCTGCTCCACCATGGTAAGATGTCCTTGCTTCCCCTTCACCCCTCTGCCATGATTATAAGTTTCCTGAGGTCTCCCAGCCATGCTTCCTGTAGCCTGTGGAAATATGAGTCAATTTAACCTCTCTTCTTCATAAATTACCCAGTCTCAGGTAGTTCTATAAAGAACTATTGTAATACATACAAGATAATTGTGGGGAGAGAAGGATATATATTTATGTATTTATACATCTGTATATTTATATATAATATATAAAAGCATATATATGTATATGTATTCACATCTATTGAGTACCTATTTAATGCTTGTTAGCTATTCATTGAATACTTACTGAATCTCAATTATGGTACTCATAAACATGGAAGATAATTATTGTTTTTCTCACATTGTACAATTAAAGAGGGGTACTGAGAGTGTAAGGATCTAATCAAAGAGTTAATAAGACATCATTAACTTATTATCTTTTATCTGGGAGCATTCTCACCCAGATAAAAAATTCCGTTTTCTGAAAAATCTCGGATCACTAAATCCTTATTCATTTCTCTCTATCCATTCCAATCCTACTACAAACTGAGAATTAAAGTCATTTTCTATAAATAATAACATGCAAATTTCTCACTGATTTGTGCTTTTTTCAAAATATAGTGTTGTGGTTGTTAGAAGCAATGTTGTGGTTGTATTTGGTGTCTTTCCAACTTCCCACCAACTCTTCAGTATCCTTAAGAGACCACTACACCAGTGTCAGTGTAACTTCTCACTTCTTACTGGAGAAGCATTCAGGAATGTAGATACCCCACAGCTCTCTCTGCAGGTGCACCTTGTTCTCAGGTTCTTTCTGTGGGTGACACAAATGTGCCAATGCTCAGCACTTCTCAGGAAACTTGAGGTAAAATCATATCCTTGCACTTTAGCTGTTGAGCAGAATTTCATAGTTTTACATGCCAGTGATACAGAGCTTTATAGACCTAATTGAATTCAACAGCAGAGCAGTGTGACAAGCAATCTTCAAAGACACAAACGGCTTTGGAAAGAGAAGATAAAAGTAATGAGACCTACTACTGACAATCCAAGAAATGAATCTTTAGCATTGGCTGTCTATGGAGCAGCAATATGCAACTGAAGAATGGAAAAAAATGGCGAAATATTCACAAACTTATTTTAGTAACCCTGGTACAAACCAAAAAAGCAATTTATTCATTTATTCGCTGATTTATTTAATTTGCAAATATTTACTGAGTGCTTTCTATATACCAGGCACTGCTAAATACTGAATAACAATATAGCCTTCAAAAATACCAATTGGCTAAAATATGGGTCTCAAAAAAAAATAAATAACTTGTGCTCTGTTTACTTTTGGAATAATCTTATTCAAATTGACTCTTTGCCATTCTTTGCCAAAACCCTCAAAATATCATTTTATTTAATTCTATAATTGTTAGCAAAACTTACTTTTTCATTTTTTGGGACAATGTTTCCAGTCTATAGATAGATGTGAAATAAAATTATTTTTTGCTTTTTTATTGCAAGGAGATAATTATGCTGCTTATGCAAGAATTTATAAAGACTGAGGACATGTAGTAAGAATAAAGTATTGTTATTAAGTGAAACTCAGAACAAAGTTTCTCCGGCATTTATGATTATATATAATCATTACTGGCCTACTTTAAGGATAAATGTTAATCAGTATATGTGAATAATGATTAGCTGACTTCTTTCATATAACCAAATTAAATGGAAGTTAATGGATAGGTTAATTTGCTTGACTACAGTAATCATTTCACTGTATACATGTATATCAAAACATCAAGTTTTACATCTTTACACAAATTTAAAACATTTTTTTAAATTGCTCAGGATAACTAGGTTGCTGGGGTTGTAAGTCAAGGTGTGGGATCCAGATTAAAAATGAGTGGGAGGAAGAGAAGAGAAAAATAAAGGCAGGAGCTGGGTGGATTGGAAGCTTTTCTGGGGGTGCCAAGGCCCTCTTCCTCTTTTCCTCTTCACCTTCTGCCCCACTCCATGCTCTTTTTTTTTTTTTTTTTTTTGAGAAACATGAAAAGACTGAGTGAGGACTCCTGGAATTCTTTGGGATAGTCTCATGAAAGGGTAATTTCATGAGGTAGGGGTAGGGTCATGAAAGGATACTTTTTAATGGGAGCCAGGGAGAAAAACAGCAAGGCAATTATAAGATGCAACCTTAGAATAAGAAAGAAGGTCTGATGGTAGACTTTGGGTTTTTATAGGGTAAAATATTAATATGTCTTAGGGGTGAAAGTGGGGTTGATGAGATGTAGCAAAAAAGAAATTAGGCTTGACATGAAAGGAGAAGGGAAGTAAAATTCATTAACATTAGGGTTGGGTGTGCTACAGGTATGCAATGGGTGGTGAAATCTATGATTCCGAGTTCATCTGAGGTCTGTAAAAGCATTTTGTTATTTGAAAAAAACAGTTAAAATGAGTTAGATTGTTTAAAAATTGCTAACAAATTTTTTTATTCTTCTTTAAATATACTTTAAATGGCTTAATTATAGAGCATCTTCTGGGTGTTAGATTTCTTATCAAGTTCAGAATCAAGTCAGATCGTGCCTTCATGTAGCTTATAGTCAATTGTAGGGTATTATCTCCCCACTCAAATTAACTAAAAATTATTTTTCAACCAAACTTTCCATTTGTATTTTACTCCTTCCCTACCCAATTAAAACACTTTAAGAAATGTTACCCCTATTACTTCCCAATGGAAAAAAAAATACAGTAAAATATTACTTAATTTTTTTATTGTGCTGAAAATTTTCAGTGGCTATAGGAACAAGTGTAATAAGAGCTGTAAGTTAATTTTCAAATGAATGTTCAGGGATTTAAAAAAAGAGGAAGAATATGAGGCTCTTGGGATATGGTTGTTTACCAAGAGAACATATTATTAATGTCATTGAAACTCACTTTATTATTGAGTGTGAAATGAAATACATAAAGAAGCAATGTTAGTTTATTTCTGTTGGTTCATAGACACAGAAAAATGATGTGACTTCTTAAGTATATATTGTTATTCTCAATAGGGAGGCACAAACTAATTTTTCTCTTTAGTTGTGTTTATTCTCTACTTCCTGCATTTTTGGAAGAGGGGTTCTTGTTGATTCTTGCACCTAGCTACTCAACTAAGTCAATAAATTATATTGGAGGAGGAATGGAAGAAAAATAATGTTGATTTTATTTTATTACCTATGTATTTTGTACACACAGAAAATTTATGTATGAGAGGTGGCATTTGTTAAATATATGAATTTTTAATGTATCTAATCACTGTATTCTTTGTCAGTGGTAAGAGGAAAGCATCCTTCATTTTTCATGCGGACCTTTGTTTTATATGAAAGCTTTTCAGGGAAGAAAGCACAAATTCAATGAGCTATCAGAATGCGAATTTGGATGTTAGTGATAACTTTTACATTGCAATGAATCTTCTTAGAATATAATCCTCAATTTTGAGTTATCTATACCTTAGAGAAATTTTTACAACTACATTGCAGAGAAAGGAGCTAATCACCAGCATACACGGTGTCAAGGGTAGAGATCCCGTTAGAGACTGCCTGAGTTTCAGTCCTATCTCTTTTGCCCAGTTTCTCCCTTCTGTAAAGTAGTCATGATAACAGAGTTCACCTCATAGGTTTGTTTGTTATGCAAATTCAGTGATTTAACATTTATGAAACACTTAGAACAGACTTGGCACATGCTTAGCACTACATGGTTGGCTGTTAATAAGCAAAAGCAAGCAAACCACTCCTTTGTGGGGTAGAAACATATTTCAACATAGAGAGGAATATGTTGTTTTTAGCAAAAAAAAAAAAAATCCATGTTTATTTGCAGTGGTAGATATTTTGCATATTCATTTGCTTTTCATTTTTGTGTACTGGTTTCCAATAATGTGATATTTTTATATTATATTTCTTAGATGCTGATATTATCCCCAAAACTTTTGTTTCTACTTTTTTGTAAGGCAGAGAGACAGACTGTGTATGTGTGTACAATTGTGTGCAATGTAGCAAATATTATTTCCCATTATTATTCATACAGGCTAAAAATTTACATAGTATATTTAAGTAATTTGTTAATCTTATCTCTGATTTATCTAAAACATTTTAGGTAAACATCACAATGTTTAGTTTAAATTCTAGTCTCAGCAGTTACATTTGAAAAGGTTAAGTCTTATGACTTGTCAGTATTAATAATCCATTTGCAATTACCATACTAATTTGTTCCATATGCCTATAAAATATTTCTCTGAGCTACTAAATTATCACCTACTGAGAAGTTAAAAATATCTATTTGATACTTTTTCCAACAGAGAAGCAATTCTGCTTCAATCCTGAGTGGCGCTAAATTGTATATTGAAATATATCCTATCAAGTAATATCATCTTTGTAGCTGTTAATTATATCCATGATTATCTAACAGGATTATTAATGTATTTTTTTCTGCTCTCAATATATCAGTGATGGCAAAGAGACCTTATTTTGAGACTTGTCACAGTTCTAATTTGGATATTTTTGGAAAAATACATTAAGTACTCATGTTTCATTAACTTCTTTGGATACTTAGATATGTACATGATATAAAATAAAGTGAATAAGGAAATGGTGATGATAACAATGAAGTCCAATATCTAAATCTTTTCCTTATTTCTTCATTTAATTATTGCTTAAACATTTCTAAATCCTATTTGTATATGAAGAAAAACAAGAAGAGTTCCATGCCAGCAAGCCGATATCTGGGTGATTCAAGCCTTCAGGTAGTTCTGTGGCAGACTTTGGACCTTGGTAAGTTACCAGAAGTGATGAAGTTTCAGGTCTTACAAAGTAAGGCCAGAGTTGGGAAACACCTTGAAAACGAAAGAAACGACTTGAGAAAAAGAACTTCCTTGGTAAGATCAGACTGCTCTTTCTCCCTGTAATTTATAATTCTGTCCAGCAGCAAGTGGAAAAAAAAAAAAGAATAAAAAAAGAAAGGAAAAGGGGAAAGAATAATCAAAGCCAAACTAGAATCAGAGGGAAAGAATGCAGAGGGGAAAGGTTCAGCCTTGAGCTCACAGTCTCTCCCAGTTTAGCTCTGGAACTGTAATCCTTTAATTGAAGCCTTGCTCTGTTCCAAAGCATTCAGCTCTTATTAACAAATCTCATGAACTATTTGAAAAATATGATTGTTTGAGCCAAGCAATGTCTTAGGTAAATTTGTGTTTTAATTGCAAGCAGCTAGAGTATGCCTTGAGACTACTTGAATTGGAAATGGTTTTCTTTTTTTCTTATTCATTTACAGGAGCGTAAGTAAATAAAGAGCAATAATGAAAAACCTTCCTTACAGTATGTAATGAACTCACATTCTTATTTAAGAATGTGATTACTTTGGCTGTGGTGATTTACAAAGTGCTGTGTTTATGTAGGAGATATGCTTTTTAAAGTGTACCTTTTCCCATATGTATATATCTATTTCACTGTTATTACAGGTATCAGAAATAAGAAAAAATATTTATTGAGATAAACTTACTTATTTCAGCATATATTTATTCAACATTTTCATGTATTACCTAAAATGAAGGATACTTCTCTTGTTCATTCTACCTTTTCTACAGAGGGGCTGAGCCTCCCTGCTTCTTTTAACTTCATCATCTTCCTTTATCGGAAGGCTGAAGGGGGAGATAATGAGCTAAAGAACAACTTTCACCACCCACTGGGAGGGAACTACTGGAAGAGTGACTAGTTGTAGTTAGTGATCAGCGACATCTGCCCTGCCCCTCCTTTCCTGTCAGGGCAGCTGTGCTCTCGGACCCAGTGTGTGAAGTGATGGGTCTTCTGCCCACCCTCTGACCTGACCTCAGTTGTGTTGCTGTGTATGGATTCGAATTTATTCAAAGGACGATGTACTTCTACAGTATAGTTATTCAGAATGCAACACTTTTGCCAATTTATATAGGAAATGAAGACCGAAAACTCTAGCTCCTGACTGCTCTTAAAATAGGCTGAGACCTAGTGAAAATTAAATTAATTATACCAATGTCTTTCCCATCTAACCTACATATAAATATTTGAATGTGCAGGATCAGATACCTGATGTGTAAAAGGATAGCGTTTGAGGGGATGGTCTCTGAGATGGACCAGGCTCTGACAGTCAATCACGTGACTATCAAAAACCTTACAAGGCTCTGAACGTAGTCCTTACTTCTATATAAAGCCCAATGGAACTCACAGATGAAAAGAGAGCTTCACTTATTCTTTTGCTTTTTTAAAAAATGAGCTGGTTATAACTTTGCACATAAGTCTAATTGTGCACTTAGAAACTGATAGTAATAGAGGTTTACAGTTCTTTTCAACCTCCTGGAGAGTCCCAATACACACAGAACATTATATGGGCCAAAGAAACTTCTGAACCTAGAAGTGGGGTTTAAATACTGATTGTGCCTTTTACTGGCTTTGTAACACTGGACAAGTTACATATTCTCTGTAAACCAAGTGTCACATCAAAGGCAATCATTCCTATGTGTTATCCCTCTTTCCCAGATAGCAATCTCACCTTTTCTGCTGCCTACTAGACATTCTCTTTAGGATATCTCAATAATACCTTCAAATATCTGCCTGAAACAGAACTCCCTTCTTTGAAAGTACAGGATCACATTCCTTCTGCTTCCATTGACTCACCTTCTGCATAGACACCCAGGTGCCCTGTTTAGTAAATAAGACTCTTTTTTCCCCTCCTTTTACATCTCCTTCACATTCAATGCAAAAATCATTGCCATTATTCTTCATATTATTTCTGTGTTAACTTTCCTTTTCTCCATTTCTATGGCCATTACTCTGGTTGAGATTATTATGACTATGTGCCTGAAATAATGTAATAGATCACTTACAGGCATCAATGCCTTCCATAGCTTTCATTTCCACCCCCTTCATTTTGTATCCTACCTTCTGCTTCCAGTTTAATCTCCTCGAGGCACAGTTTTCATCCTGTCATTTTTCTTCTGTAAAGTCTTTAAATGGATCTCTTTGTGAACTGAATGAAGGCCAAACTGAAAGTGCCTCTAACACATATGAGTGTACGTACGTTGTAAAGTCTTTAAATGGATCTCTTTGTGAACTGAATGAATGCCAAACTGAAAGTGCCTCTAACACATATGAGTGTACGTACGTTGGTGTGTCTCTTATACTAGGTCGATGAGGCTCTGACAGTCAATGCACTTCCTCTGATGTTTTCTCATATTTAAATTCAGTTTTGCATTTTTGGCAAGGATACCAGAAAGTGAGGTTGTGACCTTATCAACATGTCTTATCCGAAGACTCTTGATGTCAATTTATTCCATTACTGAAAATGTTAACTTTGATCACTTGGGGAGGGTGGTGTTTGCCAGATTTCTTCACTACAAAGGCACTATATTTCTTTGTACTCTATAAGTATCTCATGGGAAAATAATTTGAGAGAATTTAAATATCCTGTAATTTATCACACCTTTGCCACTAATTTTAGTATCCGTTAATGATTCTTGCCTGAAACAACTATTACTGTGGTGTTTGCCAAATGGTAATTTTCTGGTTCAATAATTCCTTAACTTAGAAACAAGTTGTAGTTTTATAGTAAGGAAAAGTTTTCTTTTCTCCTTTACTTATTCATTCATTCATTTGTTCACTCACTTATTTGTGTTAGTACAGACACATGAACCCTTACGTTATTCCACAGGTTATAATCCCTTATGATCAAGATTTATTTTGTTATTCAGTGTTTCTGTATTTGACCTTTAGGATCACCAATCAAGTTGGCTACTTTGTCTTTTTGAAATGTGCCTATTCTTTCTTTCTTTCTTTTTAACTCTTTGGTATTTTCTAGCACAAAATATTTCAGGCTCATCTTATTTTTTCTCCTTCAGCCCTGGATTCAGCTGTTTCTCCAAGGAGCCATAGTTTTCTTATATTGGAGAGTGGTATTTAGAAACCAAAGTCTGGGAATCAGCTGGGCTCATTGGTGCAAGGGCATCCAGAATACCTGGCCAGTACTCATGAAAATCGTCAAGGTCATAAAACACAAAGAAAGACTGAGGAACTGTTTCATATTAAAGAACGCTAAGGAAACATGACAACTAAATGCGAAGTGTGTGTTTGGATTGGATCCTGATCCAAAAAAGAGCATTGGTGGAACAATTGGAGAAATTTGAATATGTTCTATAGACTAAGTAATATTCCATATTATATTATAACCTTATATATTTTGTCCATACCAGAGACTGATTTAAGAAAAATCAGTCTTAAATACTGACCTGAAAATAATATGAGAGTGCCTGAGTTACTCCATTTTTTTAAACCACTACTGGACTCCTCCCATTCCCTACAGTAATATTTTTCAAAGTGTGGTCCATGAACAACCTGCATCAGATACTCCAACATTCCATATTAAAAATGTAAAATTTAAAAATTTAAAGCCCAAAGTCTGGGCTCCATCAAAAACTTGCTGAATCTTAATTTATGGGTAAGAGAGTCCTCAAAAGTTCTATTCAGATCATTTTCATGTACCCTACTGTTTGAGGACTACTGGCCTAAGCCTTTATCAATATACTTCAATCCAAGATATTTATGGGAGCCTCCAGTCTTCCATGGTCTGGTTCTTATTAACTGCTGAGTTTCTTTTTTTTCTTTCTTTCTTTCTTTCTTTCTTTTTTTTTTTTTTTGCCATTCCTTAAGACACTACATTTTTCTACTATAAATTCCTGTACCTCTCTGCTTATGCCTTGCTATTTTACTTCTTTATACCTTTATCATTTCCTCTGCCTGACATAACTGTCCCACCTTACTTCACTTGATCCACTCATCAATCTATTTTAAGCCCTCACTGAGGTGTTCTCTGCTCCAAGCCTTCCTGGCTTCCCCAGGTAAACTGCAAGCCTCACATTACACACCAGGGAGTTCTGTTTCCCCAAAGGACTATGAATAAGCTTTGTTAGCGTGCTTGCACATAGTTCCTATTCAGTAAAGTTTTAGCAAAATGGGTTAATAACTAACTGACTTGCGGGAAGTTTCTATATGGATTCTATCTACTATCTTTTGTTGTGTGAGAAATCATTACTAAACTTAGGGTCTTGAAATAACAACTGCTTGTTTGGCTCATAAATCCGTGGGTTGGAAATTTGGTTTGGATCAGCTGGGTAGTTCTTCTGTTGATACAATTGGACTAACCCATGTGTAGGTGGGCAGCTGCTGGTCAGTGAAAAGGCTCTGCTTCGGGGGATTAGCTGACTGTTGGGTAGAGCCATAGCCATAGCTGTGCCATGACTCATCCACTGGAAGGCTAGACTGGACTTGGGCTTGTGCAAATGGAGGTGGCGGGTTCTCAGAAAGAGAGAGAGGGAGAAGTGAGAAAGAAACTGCAAGTTATTTTCACGCTTATGCTCAGAGCTAGACAATATCATTTCTGCCACTTTCTTTAGCCAAAGCAAGTCCCAACACCACCCCAAATTCAAGAATGGGCAAATAGACTCAAGTTCTTGATTGGAGATACTCAAATGTATTATGGCCATTTTTGCAATCAACTCCATGGCTCTAATATATATGAATTGATGATTGTAATTTACAGTGTAACTATAAACTGGATTCTAATTTTCTATTTCTATCACTGCTATTGCCTTATAGATAGGCCTCATTTCATTTTAATCTTCAAACCATTCTGTTACAAAATGTTGCTGCTGCTTTTCCAGCCCTGTCACCTTATTCCTTTTCAATTTGCCTATTCTGGAGAACCCTTTGCATCTGTTTTGGGAAACACAGGTAAGGATGTACCATTCCATTAAATACTTGGATTTAGTTACATCTTAAAATGAAGCCAACACTCTCAAACACAGCAAACTGTGGACTCTAAGTACGACAGTGGACATGTTGCCAATAAGAAAACACATCATTTTTGTAACCTTGATTTTTTCCTTTCATTGTCAGTTTTTCTGCCTTAAAAAAATTGACAAAATCCTGCTTTCATTCTGTCATATCAGTTGACCTATTTTCTTTGTAAAAGCAGTGTTCATCTTTCTGCCTAGCAGAGGTACTCTTCACTGCTAAACACAGCTGTCTTTAAAGGCACAGCCATCTTAGGGGCATGTCCCTTGGCCTCTTTACTGGTAGGGTGAGAGGTGTTTTGACTTAAGTTTGTGTGTTGAACCCTAGCATTTATTATTGACGTCTGTACCTTTGTATCCCAATTTCCACAGTCATTCTGGGAAATTCAACTACAATGGCATTTAGTCTGATTTTCTTATCCACCTTAGAAAAAAAAATAGCAATATCTAACATTTTGCAAGTAACATGAGAAGAGAGAATGGCGTGGAAATTATTAAGAAGACCTTTTGGTTTTCTACCCTAGGGACTTTATTTTCTCTTTATTTCTCTTTATTTTATTATCTCTCTATTTTTTTTTCTTATAGATTCTAAATAATACTCTTATAAATCTTTTGTTTTCTTTAACACAAAATGGGTTTTGTGCAACCTGTTGGGAACTGGACAATTTTGTTTTCAAAAAGCAATAGGATGTCTTTCTTATTTTTCAAGGACACCTTGTCCACAAGTACTTTCCTGCTCTTGGTCTCCTTGAAGCTTGGCATCCAATCCTGGTATTCATTGAGGGGAAAAAGTCCTAGAATTTGCTTTGTGACCTGGGCTATATGGGATGTAAGCATATGTTACAAAACTTAATGCATAAATCTGCTACTTTTGATACAGTCTGGCTCATGGAGAGATGGGATTTAGCTTCTCGTAATGAGAATTTGATGTGACTGGAAATTGAACAGAAGCATCTTTTTATTGAAGGTACTGAGGCTTATAACAATCATTCAGTGGCAGAAGTTATTGTTTTTCACATTACTTTTCAACTAGAAAACCTTTCAAAGCTTCATGAGAAAATACCTATCTTTGTTCAAGCAAGAAAACACTTGGTAACTTTTCCTTTACATCCACTTAAAGCAAAATGATGTAGTGAGAACCTCCTACTCTACTTTAAAGATATACCTCAGCTTTCCTCTATGTTAAAACCTTCTTTCCTCTTCCTAGGTCAGAACTGCCCTTTTATAAAATTTCGCTTTTCCTCTTTTTCCCCCTGTGAGAAGTGAGGATCTTAATCAAAAGAAAAAAGGAAAAAAGAAAAAGAAAAAGAGAACAAAAAAAAATTCTAGATATAATACTGCCAAAGGTTTGAAATGAACATAGAAACTCTTTGCAAAAAAAAATTATTTTTCAGGCTTTAGACAGAACCTTTTTTACAGTGCGCACATAAACATTTCAGTCTTACAGATCTTAAAAGAAGATGAGCACCAAAAAAAATATTGAATTCGATATTGAATTGACATTGCAAGAAAGACATTCTATTTCTTTCTCCATTCACAAATCAACTTTAGAAACTTTAACAAGTCAGCCAGGCGTGGTGGCTCACGCCTGTAATCCCAGCACTTTGGGAGGCCGAGGCGGGAGGATCATGAGTTCAGGAGTTCGAGACCAGCCTGGCCAATATGGTGAAACCCCGTCTCTACTAAAAATACAAAAATATTAGCCAGGTGTGGTGGCTCACATTTGTAGTCCCAGCTACTCCAGAGGCTGAGGCAGAAGAATCGATTGAACCTGGGAGGCAGAGGTTGCAGTGAGCTGAGATCGCGCCACTACACTCCAACCTGGGCAACAGAGCAAGACTCCGTCTCAAAAAACAAACAAACAAACAAACAAAAAAACAAAGAAACTTTAACAAGTCATGTAACCTTTCTCCTTCAATGTTTCCATTTATAAAATGCATATCTAGACAAGTGAAATAATTTTGTGAATTAATTTCTTCCTCAAAAGTATTTTTTTAATCTCAAGTATCTTTTAAAACAGTATTATATTTTATTCTTCCATAACAGAGGCTACATCCAGAAAAATCAGTGAGTAGAGAATTTTATAATTATTAATTTGGTCTTCTACCACATTGAATAAAAAAATTAAATTATGATCTTTTGCAGAAGTGTAAATTATACTATTAGTGAGTTTAGCTCTAACATATATTTTCTGTTATATTTAAGTGCTGTCTTATTAAATACTTTTTTGGGGAATTCATGATATGGATTTGGCAGTAATTCCCTGTGGAAAAAACAAATGATAATAAAAAGGTCTTTTAATTTTCACCAAAATGACAGTCAAGATTTTATCAACCTATGTGAGACTGGTTTTTTAAAAATTAGTAGTTGTGATGGTTAATATTGAGTGTCAACTTGACTGCATTGAAGGATGCAAAGTATTGTTCCTGGGTGTGTCTGTGGGAGTGTTGCCAAAAGAGATACATTTGAGTCGGTGGACTGGGAGGGGCAGACACACGTTCAATCTGGGTAGGCACCGTCTAATCAGCTGTCAGTGCAGCTAGGATAAAGCAGGCAGAAGATGTTGGAAAGAGCAGACTTGCTGAGTCTTCTGAGCTTCATCTTTCTCCTGTGCTGGATGTTTCCTGCCCTCGAACATCAGAATCCATGTTTTTCAGCTTTTGGGCTCTTGGACTTACACCAGTGGTTTGCCAGGGCCCCCCAGCCTTCGACCACAGATTGAAGGCTACACTGTTGGCCTCCCTACTTTTGAGGTTTTGGAACTTGGACTGGCTTCCTTGCTCCTCAGTTTGCAGACAGCCTATTGTGGAACTTCACCTTGTGATCGTGTGAGTCAATTCTCCTAATAAACTCCCCTTCATATGTACATCTATCCTATTAGTTCTGTCCCTCTAGAGAACTCTGACTAATACAGTAGTAGTAGTATTTGTGAGCTTTCAGAATTAAGAAGTATCTTAAATTCCACAGAGGAGCCTGATTGTCTTGTGCCCATGCAGTGTCACAGCTTTAGAAAAGAGGGCCATGTCTAGGCTGACCCTTTTCCGGCTCAGCATGCTTAGGAGAGGCACATGGCTGAGGCGGGGAAGGAAAGCGCAGGCTGTTAGCATTGAGGATTAGATCTCACTATAGCGCCTCACTTCCATAGCAATCTCAATAGAGAAAACATGTCTTGATAAACCCCCTTCTGTGAAATTGGAGAGGAACTATTTGTTTATGTTTATTTCCTGCTGCTTATCTGATGTGATGTCCTGAGATGTGATGAGGCTTTTAGAGATACCAGTCCTCATATACCACTTAGATGCCTCTAGGCAAGTGAGAGGGACAGAATGGCATTAGCTCTATTCTTATCGTAGATTTTTAAAGTGTATAAAAACTATTTCATGAGTGAAATGTAAATAAGTAACTGAAACTTTTTTTCAACATAATAATAGGAAGAAGATCAAGCAAGAATAAAGGGAAATTCAATGGCTTTCTCTTCTTATTATTTTTAGTATACTCTTGGCAGAATGTTCAATTTATACATTGAGAGTTTAAAGTATTTTAATGACATGTCTAGTTAAACTAGTGACATAAATAATATATATAGTTATCATAGGTTTGTTTTTAAAGGGCTATGATTACAAGATAAATATGTGTAGAAGTGTGGGTGACACTCTAAAATTAAATCACAATATTGATAAAAACTTATGCATATGATTTTGCTGTTTGCAAACTTGCTGTCATGTTGAAATAATAAAAATAGCAAGACATCCTTGCTATTTGATGCTTTTGAATGTTATATGCTATTACATGTAAAAATGAGAGGTAAGTGCCCCATTTTGCCTCTCATTTTTTAAATGAATTTCAAGTGAGTCTCAAATGAATCTCAAGTTTCATTTTTTAATGAATCTTGATTCATTAAATACAAGGTACATATTAAGAATTAAATTTGAATAATTCTCAAGCCACAAAGATAAACAAAAGCATAACAGTGAAAAAAACTTGCAACAGCACCACCACTCTCTGACATCTTAGGTTCTCTCAGCTTTTGATGAATGCACTGCCATTTTATGACCCTATTAGTCCATATTCATTCCTTTTTATCACATTTATTGCAAATCACTTTGTTTACCACCAACTAAAACTGAGAAGCACTATAACAACTGAGAGTGCATTAATCCTTTAACTGACACAGTTGCAAAAATTCCAGAGTTGTGTCGACTGAAATCATTGTGCACCAGACATTTTTAGCATTCCTGACCTACAGTTCTCCACTTTTGGCTGCATGGAGAAGTTGGGCTTCGCAGCGTTCTAACAGATGGGTGGGACTCTGTGTCTACTTCTAGTTAATGAGCTGAGACAGAAGGGGATATATATCAGTTCCAGGCTGAGGCAGTAAAAACCCCATGTGATTGTTCAGTCTTCACCTGACAGGCGATCAAGGACACATACTCCTGATGAAGCTTCAAAAAATTGAGCTTCTTTTTTTTTTTTTTTTTTTTTTTTTTTTTTAGAGGGAGTCTTGCTCTGTCGCCCAGGCTGTAGTGCAATGGCGTGATCTCTGCTCACTGCAAGCTCTGAATTGAGGCTTCCTTTAACCCAGGCCTCCAGTTTCTACACATAGTAGATTTTTCCCCACACTGCCCCCCCAACACCCACTGAATTATACCAAGAAGGAGAAATAAATGTATCTTGTGTTAACCCACTGAGATTTCCAGATGAATTTGTTAACAGTGGCACACCATAGCCTGAATAATACCTATGGATTATAGAATTTCTTCACTTTTAGGCTTTATATTTAGATATATTAGTAATAACTTTTTCTAAAAGAAGATCTATTTCCTCCCTAACTTTTGGTTTTTGTCTTTCTTTTTTCCTTTTTTTTTGCTGCCAAAACCAAATTGTCAAAGTCTTATTTGGGGCAGTCAGGATGATTAAATTTGGAAGTCAATGGGAATGTAAGGAATTGGGTGCAGGACAAATAAGTGCTATGAATCCAGAGAACAGAGCAAGATAAGACTGGATATCTGTCAAGCCACAACAGACAAAATGGACAATAAGTGACCTGAGTACACAGACTGAGCTCAAAATCTAGCGGTCAAGGTTTTGAAAAGAGCTTGGACTGAGGAATGATACCATGATGAGAACTTGTGGGCTCTTCCAGAAGTTTGAGATGATAGGTACAGTACAGAATTTAAAATGAAAGAATGGGACCCGTGTCTTAGGATGGAAATTGGCAAATAGGATTACCATGGTTGGCACCAGAGATGCAGGTCAAGAGCTGCAAAGGAAGTAAAGCCTTAGATATAGAACTAGGAGTGAGGTCAAAACAGAGTTTAGAAACAGGATTGACTTTGTCGTTGAACAGTTCGTTTTGTGGCAGCCTTATGGCCCTCAGGGGCAGAACCAGAACGTAGAAGGGGTAATAGGTGAATGAGCCCATAGATAGAACTAGAAACTCTGCAAGAACAGACAGCTCATTAGAGTGGGGAACCCTACCCTTTCTGATAGACCTATTTTAGGGGGCTCAATTCCTTTTTATATGGAATATAAATTATTTTAGTTGCACCTTATATTTCATCACTGGTATTACTTATTGTTACCTCTAATATTTTTTCTATTTTTTAGATATCTATAACAACTTCCGACATGTTGGGGTTAATGTTTACCAAGGCTGTATCTTAAACAGGTTTTGCACTGTAGTGTGGAACTGTGCCTGGACATCGGGAGCATGTGTCTGCAATCCTGAGTGTATTCCCAGATTCTGCCACTAACTCTTGCCCATGGACTGCCAGCTGGACAGGTGGCCTCTCTGGCCTCAGTTTCTTCTTTGTGGAGGCTGTGTGTCTGTGTGTGAGTGGGAGGTGGGAGATGGTAGACTAGGTGAACTTCAAGGTCTGTGCGTCTCTCCAGGTCTTTGAAGTAATTCTTTACAGTGAGTCTGACTTTCATAGAAGTTTCATTTCTGGGAACTAAAGGAGCTTTTACATACTCTTCTTGTTCTCCTCTTATTCATGTTGCTCTTAACATCCGAATCTAAATTTAGTTCAATTTTTATCCATTCTTTATGTTCTCCTCTCTACAACTGTTTCCCCGAATTTCCCATCAGCTGCCCTACCCTGGAGAACTGCCGGCCTTCCTTCTCCAGCATTGTCATCAGTTGTGAGTGCTTAAAAGACGCTCACTCCTGCACCAGCAAACCTCTCCAGGCAGCCTATTTGAAAGCATCTCTTAGGTGCAGCTGTGTGAAAAGTTGGCTAGGGATATAATATTGGAGGTTGGCTACTGGTCCTCCGGTGGTCACGACAGGGCAGCTTTGAGGAGCAGCTTTGTGCTGTATCGGTTTTGATGTATCTAATAAAGAGAAGATAAAGCCTCTTCCAGACCTCTGTCTTCTATTCTCCTGACTGAATATATGAGGAGATAGCGAGGTTTCCTAGGTATCAGCTTAGATGATAAAAACTGCAATCGATACTTTCCCCTGCAATTTGCGTGCTTCTTTTAGGCCCCTATCCCTGCTACTGCAACTGCTAACCTTGTCTTTCTGACTCAAATTGGAAATAAAACTGTCTTAGGTGATTTAAAACATTTTTTTTCCTAAATAACACATCAGCAGGAAATCATCACATGCATACCTCCCCCTCTTCTCAAGGTTAACATCCAAGGCTGGACTAATGGTCTTTTTCTCTCTGACCTGAGCTGACTTTCCTTCCCAGGGGACCCCATTTTGGTCATTGGTGCCCACTTTCATCCCAGCCTCCAAGCCTCAGATTCTTTCTTTATGCCTCTTTCTCCTTTATTCCCAAAACTACCCAAGTATTAAACTATCTTTTTCTTTCCCCAAACTTCCTTTTCTTCTATTTAAATTACCATAATTCTAACCCATGTCCTCATTTTAAAAATAACAGTTTTTCTTCACTTACATATAATTAGAACTCCTGTCTGGAGTCAGGGACCCAGTAATGACTTACCTTCGTTACCAAGGAGTGATGTGGTGTTGTTCCCACACAGTTGGTGACAGTGGGAACACAGTGTACTTGCACCAAAGAAGTTTCTTGGTCTTGCTAGTATAAAAAGAAGAGACTCATGTGACTCATGCTCAGGAGCCACACCTTTGACCAACCATAGAAGATAGGACAGAGTCTTCCTCTACCTGGCTAAAGATCTGGGTTCTGATTGCAGCTTTGGCTCTTAGTTTGTAACACAATGAAGTTCTGAGCCTCAGTTTCTTACCTGTCAATTAAAAGGTTGAAATTTATCCCATCTTTACAATCTTGTGTCTGTATCCTCATAAGTTACCCACAGCTAAGAACTCTCCTCGCTTGCTGAAAAGATACATATAAATCTATATCTGTATATACACACACACACAGCATGCACTTTCTGCTAGTAGACAGAAACATAGAAATGCTTTTTAATTTTTTTTTTTTTTTTTGAGACAGAGTCTTGCTCTGTTGCCCAGGCTGGAGTGCAGTGGCATGATCTTGGCTCACTGCAAGCTCTGCCTCCCGGGTTCACGCCATTCTCCTGCCTCAGCCTCCTGAGTAGCTGGGACTACAGGCGCCCACTACCACGCCCGGCTAATTTTTTTTTGTATTTTTAGTAGAGACTGGGTTTCACCGTGTTAGCCAGGATGATCTCAATCTCCTAATCTCGTGATCCACCCGCCTCGGCCTCCCAAAGTGCTGGGATTACAGGCATGAGCCACCACGCCTGGCCGAAATGCTTTTTAAATTTTTTTAACCAGTTTCAAAGTCCTCACCCTATGAAAGTTAGCTCTGGAGTCTGTATAAATCAACTGTAAAATACCCATTTACAACTATTCAGTGTCTAATAAATACATGAGATAGACTGCATTGTAGCCAAATCTTATAGATTCTCCCTCCTTAACATCTTTCATGTTTGCCTCTTTTCTCCAATGCTATAGCTGCTCTCCTTACAAATAAATATGCTTACACCTCTGACCAGGGCTGCTGAACTAGCTTTCTAAATATGGTATCTTTGCCAAAGCTTTTTCAGTCTACAATTTGCCCTTCACAGTGTGCCCGAGTGACCTGTAGAAGTCCCAGTGGCTACACTCTGATGGCTTGAAGCACATCTGCAGGTTCTATTTCCCACTCTGTCTCATAACCCATCTCTTTTGGGTTGCTATGGTTCACAGCCATCCTGCAGGCTGATATTTGGATTCTTCATGGCTTTTACTTTTAACTTTCTCCAATTGGATGTGTTGGATTCTCCTCAGCTACATGTGGTGCTTCCTGGGGGCCAGTCTTTTAAATCCTGATCGCTTGCCATCCCCCAGGCCCTTAGGACCCCAGCATGGATGCAGTTGATGTTAAGAGAGTATATAGGAATTTGTAGGCAAAGAGTTTGGGGCACAGCTTTTCCCACAGAGGGAATAGCATCCGCTGAAGCTCATTGGTGGGAAAAACATGGTATGTTTAATGCATCATTTTTCAAACTCTTTTTGGATGTGGTCTTTGATTACAAATATGTTGTTCATCATGAATGCAGTACACAAACATTTGAAAGAAAAGTTCTAACAAATAACACTCTTTTTTCTCCCATTACATTAAAATGAAATTCTGACTTTGACAAACTAAATTGCTTTCACACCTTACTAAAATCCATTAGTGAGGTTGAAAACACAAAGACACTAGTTTAAGGTTCAGAGTGGGTAGAGCCCAGGGTATGAGGGGTAGTTTGATGTAAGGTGAAGCCAGAAAGGGAAGCGAAAACAAATCTCACAGTACCTTGTCCAGTAGTTAAGCTTGCCTTTCATTAGCCTGAAATCCACTAAAAGGTTTAAATAGGGGGCACTTGGAGGGTGTGACATGAGCAGAGTTGCTTTATATTCCTACTGATTTGAGGAGATCAAGAGTAGGTATGGGAGACCAATTAGAGGAATTTCTTTTTTTTCCTTTTTTTTTTTTTTTTTTTACTATTGCAAGTGAGAAAATAATAGTACTGGACTATGGAGTTGGTGGAGGAGATGGAAAGGTGGGCAATTTGAAGCTTTTTAATAGAAAACATTTGTCATTCTGGGTGATGGTGGATCTGGAGTGGAAGGAAGTGGATGACTCTGGCTTTTTTCTTTTTCTTTTTTTTTTTTTTTTTGAGATGGAGTTTCACTCTTGTTGCCCAGGCTGGAGTGCACTGGGCAATATCGGCTCACTGCAACCTCCTCCTTCAGGATTCAAACAATTCTCCTGCCTCACCCTCCAGAGTAGCTGGGATTACAGGCGCTGGCCACCATGCCCAGCTAATTTTTATATTTTTAGTAGAGACAGAGTTTCAGCATGTTGGCCAGGCTGGTCTCAATCTCCTGACCTCGTGATCTGCCCACTTCGGCCTCCCAAAGTGCTGGGATTACAGGTGTGAGCCACCGCTCCCAGCCAACCTGGCTGTTTAGCTAGTGGAATAAGACTGACGGTGCAGCCATTCATTGAGAAATGAACACATAAGAAAATCAAGGGGAAGGTATGTCTTGACCTGGTCTTTTTCCAGAAGCAGACCCCAAGACAGGTTTAAGGGCAAATGTTTTATTTGGGGGTTGGGACCAGGAAACACCAATGGGGAGTAAGGAAGTAGGACTGAGAAGGGAAGAACAGCAATACAAGTTACATTATCAAGGTATTTACCACTGTGGAGTACAGTAGCTCATGCCTGTTGGGGAACCCTAGAAGCCAGCATGGACTATGTCTCAGCATATCCCATCTGAAGGAAAAGAGAACTGGGGTATTTATTCCACAGCTCCTCTCCTGTCAACTATGAGTTGACTAGCAGGCAACAATTCTCTAGCCCTTTGGCTTGTCATGTGGGGTAATCACAAAATCATAAAGCCAAGGGGATATGAAAGGGCATAGAAAGCAATCTTTTCTACAAGCTGCTTTGTGGAAGGTGAAGATGGAGCCAGCATCTTGAACTTAGTTTTAGATTTATTGCACTTGACCTAACTTTTCAGACATATAAATAGAGACATCAAGTTGGATACATAAGTCTAGGTTTCAAAAGAGAGTGGGAATGTGGAGTCTTCTGTGTAGAGGTGAAAATGAAAGCAGTGGTTAATATTGTTTATTGGAAGAAACTACAGGGTGAGGAAACAAGAGCTTCTGACTCTGCTCTGAGAAATCTGGGCATTGAAGGGCCAAGTAAGGGAATATAGTACTAAAAAAAAGCTGAGAGGAGTTTTAGAAAAACAGAACAGAAACCAGAAAAATTCAAACCTTAAAAACCAAGGGAAGATAATAGGGTAATACTTAGAAAAGGAAGGAGAGGTCTTCAGCATACAGTGTTGTTTAGAGGACCAAAAATGTCTATTGTGTCTTGCATAATGGAAATTTATTGATCTCCAAAACAAAAGCTATTTTGGTGGTGCAATGAAGGTAGGAGATATAGAGAGCATAATGATTATGACTGGACTATAGAGCAGGACTGCCTGTGTTCAAATGTCTGTCCAAAGCTGTAGGACTTTGGGCAAATAACTTGCCCTCTCTGAGTTTTAGTTTTCTCATCTCTAAAATTGGGATGACAATTATTCCTACCTGTGGAGCTGCTGTAATATTAAGACATAATGTAATAAAATACTTACAGCAGTGTCTGGCAGATGGTAAATATTAAATGGTAGCAATTGTTAACTTTATTCTTTATATTCTCAGAGATCAATGTTGCCTCTTTCTCCAAATTCTCTCTGATCCTTGGTATTGCACTTTCCAAGAATATTCTTAGGTTTTGGTGATATGAGACTCCTACAAAAGACTCAAAAACCTACCTAATCACCAATCTGATGTAGGAATTCATTTCTCTAAGCATGTGCTCAGATAGGCAGTGCAGGGTCCCAGTAAGTAACTTCTTCTTCTTTTTGTTTTTTTTTTTAAGACTTCAAGTTTTAAGGAATTCTCTATATAATTAGGTTAGTTTACTTAATAAACTTCAAGGTTCTATATTATGAGGATCCCAGATTAGCAGCCTCAGCATCATTGGGGAGCCAGTTAGAAATGCATAATCTCAGGTTCTACCCAGACCTACTAATCAGAATCTTCCCTTCAGCAAGAATTCTAGTTGATTCACACGCACATCAAAATTTAAAAAGCATTGCTTTTGAGAGCTCATTTAGTATTTCTTACACTTGGTTTTCTGCCAAAAGCATTCAATTTCAAAGAGCCTCCTTACTCAAATTCTGTAAGAGTGATTTCAGAGTACTTTCCACAGCTTTCCTGTGACTTTGTGGTAGAAATCCCAGGACTCTGGTTGATGCTGAGTCAATTGCTACTTCTCTGAAATAGGTCCCCCGCCACTTGACATTTATATGCGTCTAGTTCAGAACTACAGCAGGGATTTAAACAAGGTGCGACTGTCTATTGCATCAGAGTTCAAATGAACCACAACAGGACTAAAATATAGCCTTAGTGTCAGCTAGAGTATTTCTAACCTCAAAAATAGATAGAATTGGCTCAAATTACTATTCCATACCCTAGGGAAGTCTTATGCCTTCTTGCCATCCAATTTTTTAAAGTTTTCTATATGTAATTGACATTCTGTTGGCCATATGTCACTCTGAGCTTCTGCTTCCACTGAGTTGGTTTAGTTTATGTATCAGTTTGCCAGTCTAGCATCCTGCTACAGTTCTACTGCGTGATAACACAGAACAGAACTCAACACTTATCTCACTTTCCAGAAAAACAAATAAACAGAAACACTCACACGAGACCTTTGTGTATATCACAAATTATAATAAGTTTGAGGAGATGGAAGGGGTTTACATCACTGAAATTTAAACAGTTTAATAGTAAAACATTTAGGCAATCATTGTTTTAAAATGTGCTTTTGGACATTTTTACACCTTGAGACCCAGGTTCCTGCCTTGTCTCTTTACCCTCCCTCTCTCCTCCCTTTTATTTCTGTGCAGTCCTAGAAAGGAAATCACAAAAGGAAAATGGCCCCACAAGTTCTTTCCATCTTTTAGTTCACTTTAATTTAGTATTTAGGCTCCCTTTGTAAGCCCAGACTCTGCTGAAGCTTTGAAAAGGCTTCTTGCCATGCCATGTAACCAAAAATGGAGTCAACTCCCTCAGAAACACATGGATTGAGTATGGGGACAAGGGCGTCGTCCAAGGAAATTGGATGCTGTTGCCAGAGAAAGAATGTGTGCTTGCTGGGCAGCCATAAAACAACAAATGGCCACTTCATAAAACCACAAATGGTTGCTTCTTCTGGGCAGAGTCGCCTCCTCTTTCCTTTGTTTCCATGACTCTTTACGATTCCTTGGTTAGAATATCTACTAGTTTGTGTTATCGCTTCCTATTTTGTATCAAGTTATTTCATATGTGCCAAGCAAATTACTTGTGATTTATGTACTTTAACTCTTTCATACTCACAACACCATCAGCAAGGTAAGTAGTATTTTTGTCATTTTATACTTGAGGAGACTGGAATTATGGAATTTAAGTTTTACCCATAGCGACACAGCCAGATAATTACCCAGATAATTTATTTGCATATCTCTCTCCCTAACTAGACTGGGCTTTTGTGGAAATAAGAACCACATTTTAATATGTGGCTTTGAAGTACTTGGTCCCCTAGTACTTTGCAGGGCCTCAGTAATTGTTTGAATTGAATGAACACTTCAAAGGTACAAGGGATGAGAGAAAAATCCAGTTTCTTGCCAGTAAAGTAAAAAAAAAAATATATATATATATATGTGTGTGTGTGTGTGTATATATTACATATATAATGATGAAAGTGAGAGATCAAGAGATAGGAGAGAAAAAACTTGAAAAGAATTTCTATTCTGGATAAGTTCCCTTATCTCAGAGAAGTTGAACTCTCCTACCTCAAAGAGATTAAAATAAAGAATAAGGTATGCCTGCCCTCTTGAGCCACTTCTCTACCAAGATTACTAACATCCTGGTTTGCTCATTTTGAGTTCACAGACCTTAATTATGTACCACACAGCATGAATCATCCTGTCTGTTCCTATGGAGAATATCAATTTGTCTTCCAGACTATGCAGCAGAGCAAAGCTTCCTTCTGGCACTACAGGAAAGAATGAGGAAGAAAGCACAATAGAATCTCCTGTGCCCACCACATAGTGAGCATTTTCCACCCTGAGATGATAATAACCTGACCTATGACCACCACTTGGAGCACTAGGCTCTAATACTTGACTGTTTTAATCAGAGGCAATATCCTTGTTGTTGTGGCACCCTAGACAGGTCATTTACCCCCTGGGAGCCTCATTCATCATTTTAAACAAAAGGACAGTTGTTCCTGACAGTGAAAATTCACCAACCTGCTAGAACAGGCTCAAATGCACCTGGCTTTTAAAATGCCATTTCCCCCTCCTCCTAATACACGAGGCTATTGCCTTATCTATTTATTCACATGGAAACCAAAGCATAAAGTAACATCTCACCTACCTGGAATTTAATTGTTCTGAAACCTCAGAGAGCTCTGGAACAAAGCCAGAAAGAGATATTTACCAGGAAATAAGCAAAGATTTCTGAACTGCCATAGGCCCCTGCCTCATAACCCATGCCTATTACCTGAATGTAAGCCCATCAGGTTACTTACCAGATCTCAATGACACCCCTGTGTAACCATCCAAGGAATGAGTTCTTTTCCAAGCCAGAATTAAAATAGGATAGTTGAGGGGCCATAAAAAAGGCACACAGTCTCTGCCCCTTTCGTTGTACTTATTTTCAATATATGATCACCCTGGAGAAGGTAAAGACATCTTAGTCATTGGAATTCACCCAGATCACTTCCCATGGCTTGCTCCTTCCAGCAACTCATACCTGGTGTTTTGGTTTCTGCACCTACCCCTCACTTTGGCTCTGTACCTTCAACTCCAGCATTTGGTTAGACTCCTTGACTGGGGAGCCAGGTTAGATCACTCTCCTAAATCTTCTCTGGACATGCTCCAGAAACTGACATCTAGTCATTACCGTCTGATGGTCATGGGCTCCCGTGCCCTCCCACATTCCAGAACTACCCCACCTATCATTACAGTGCACAGTATGGGAGGATGAGATTTCATCACCAACAACAGTGATGGGGGTGAACATAGACCCTAACCAGGGAGAAGAGAAAAAAACTTCAAAAGGCAGCAGAAGAACAAATGAAAGCATAGGTGATGATGCTGTGCAGTGCGGGTTAAGTGAAAGGACTCTGGATAAGAAGTTGGGAGACCTGGGGTAGATAACTGTTGTGTCCGCTTAATTAAATCACATCACTCTTCTCTTGATGTTAGTGTCCCATCTGTAATTGGGAATGCTGGACAAGCTCTCAGGTCCCATTTCATTCTGACATTGTGTAATTCTAGAGGCAATAGAGCGTACCCATTTTTGAGGGCCTCACAGACATAATTTTATTATAGCACAGTATAATAATTAATATTCACAATGGTGACTTTGGGCCATCAAAGAAAATTGCATTATGTTTAATGTGCTTTTAAGGAAGCCTTATAAAATTTAATACATTTTAGAATGATTTTCTGTCAAAACGTTAAATTAATATATATATATGTATACACACACACACACACACACACACACAGACACATCTGTATGCACTATATTTGGTACTTAAATAGGTAACCCCTCTGTTATTCTGAAGACATGTCATCTTTAATGACTCACATTTCAAGGATTCTGTAGAGTGAAGCTCTATTGTATCTACAAAACAATTGAGCAAAATGACTGTTTCATACTGAGGTGTTTACCAGTACCAGAAAAAAAATGTTCCAAATTAAATAATTTAGGTGAGTTGTTATGGAGGCAATTAAGTTTTAATATGTTAACTTCATGTCATATTTCTTCCCTCTATACGACAAGAGCACTCGAATTAGCTAGCCTCTTCTAGGAATTTATATATTGATCTTTTCATTTGTATTTCAGAAAGTAGACTTTTCCTTTCATGACCTTTTTTGTGTCTCTGTTTGGATGTTTATATTCTTTGAATACTTTCATTGTTGTTCCATTACTAACAGAAGGGCTTAAAACTCTCAGGTCACTACTTGCAGTTTCTACACATTAGCCATTGAGTCTGTGACTCTCTCAACATTCTCTCATGCTGGAAACATTGCTCTGTCATGACTAGTACTTGGCAACTTGGTTCTTCCACCATTTAAGCTTTCCAAAGAGATGTCTGCCTCTATTGTACAGAAGTTGGAGAGATTGTCTACTTTCAAAGCTGTTCATTTGGGCTTCTCTCCAAGCTTAACGTTGGCCAGAGTCACAGCCTATTTTCCCACCTCAAGTGTAACCTCTATTAATAACAAGCCTTAGCTTGTAGCTGTCTTGAAGAAAAATGTTTTAGCTTTTCTCTCAATCTTTAAGAGTTCAAGCTCTCAAATAAAACATGGTGGCAATAAATTCATAAACTTGCATTGTTTTTGCCTGAATATTCCAGGGCCAATGATTTCTTATGAATTCCCATAATATTTTAGTCTTAAGAAGAGACCAAGGTATAATACATGAGGTTCTAAACTGGTCCCTAAATTTGTTTTCCACAGATAAGAAAATAGAATACAATAAAAAGTGAGGAGTCATTTTTTCAATGTAAATTATTAGAGATGACATTTTCCTTTCAGGAAATGTAAAAGCAGTATTTTTCTACTAGCCAGTGTTTGAGCCTCATTCAACACGCTGTCACTTCAGCCAAGTCACTTAACCTTCATGGTCTTCAGTTTTCCTGAGACATAAAATGGGGCATAAACTCTCTGACCTCCCATGGTCCATTTGGCTCTTTTACTGTCTGATTTGCTAGTGATCCACAAGGTGAAGGACACTTTTCTCTTGCCAAATTTTGCTAATTGGGTTGCAGAAAATTAGTGCAGGGTTTTGGAGCCACTCATAAATATTTATGTCTAGGTATTGCTCAGGCAGTATTTCAAGACTTGAGGGGTCAGAAGCTGAAGGATCCTTCATTAAATCTGTGAGATCCCCAGAGCTTGGTGAGAGGGTCAGGGCATGCTCTGTTTTGTCAGGATGTTTTATTCTTAAAAAAATAAAATCTCAGTAGCATACTTAGAGACCTCAGACTCCAGAAATACTACTTGTATACAAAACACTTATTTGGGGATATGCTCTATGAATTTGTAGGATGTAATTGTCTAGCTTTTTGCAACCTTATTTACCATCCTCATTGCCATGGGAAAGTAAAAAAAAAAAAAAGCACTGGGATCAGGAAGAGGGGAATAAACAACATATGTATTGCTATACAGTAGGAAATGTGCAGAGAATCAAAAGTACGATTTCAAAGAATCTTGAATGAAACAAATGGTCAAAATATTAAGTTAACTGAAATAATCTAGGTAAAATAATTTATATTATCATAATTTTGAAAAAGAGCATAAAATATTGCTTACATCTGGATGGTAAAGTTATAGATACTTTCTATATTCTTTATGTTTATCTGTAGTTTCTTAATATTACTCAGCAAGCATGTTTTACTTTTATAAATGGGAAAGTTAGTTGTATTAGGAATTCAGCATCCCTCTCAACCACTTCTACTACATCCTCAAATATGTATTTTGTCCAAGTTGCGTTAATGTTGAATGGTGGGACTTTTTAAATTAACCGACAATATGAAGACTCTACTTTGAAATATTGCTTTGGTATTCCCATATTTCAAATTAACAATATTACTAAACAACATTTAAGCACTGGCACTTTCACTATCAGGCTTGACTCTTAGAATATCTCCGTGTTGACACGTAATCATAATTCTCCTAACTTATTAGTGGCATATCAAGACAAAGAACCTGGGATTCTGACATCTGTTCTTCATGATGCTATCTAAGGCTCCAGGTTTCTCAATTTTGGACATGTACTATGGTTGAAAGTCATTCCTTAGTGGTATCTTACTCTATCAAATATACAATTTCTAGATAAGGCACATGCATGCTATGTTCATTGTGTATTATTCACAATAACAAAGACATGAAATAATCCTAAATGCCCATCAATGATAGACTGAATAAAGTAAATGTGGTACATATACACAATGGAATACTATGCAGCCATAAAAAACAATGAGATCATGTTCTTTGCAGGGAGATAGATAGAGCTGGAGGCCATTATCCTTAGCAAACTTACACAGGAACAGAAAAACAAATACTACATGTTCTCATTTACAAGTGGGAACTAAATGATGAGAACACACAGACACATAGAGAGGAACGACACACACATTGGGTCCTTTCAAAGGTTAGAGAGTGGGAGGAGGAAGGGGATAAGGAAAAATCACTAATCAGTACTAGGCTTAATACCTAGGTGATAAAATAATCTATACAAAAAACACCCATGACACAAGTTTACCTGTGTAACAAATCTGAGCTTGTACTGCTGAACTAAAAATAAAAATTAAAAAAATGTATAAAAAAGAAACTGATTCTTGAAAGATGAATGTCCCAGTCATGTTTTTCTGAAATTTGCATCCTCAATTATTTGAACAACAGACCATTTTATATATATATATATACACACATGTATATGTGTATATATATACACACATATATATGTGTATATATATACACACATATACATGTGTATATATATACACATATATGTGTATATACACACATATACACACACATATATATACACATATATATGTGTGTATTAAATCTAATATCTCTTGTTCTTTGCACAGGCTAGATAAAATAGTATGTGAAAATTGAACATATTTGCATACAAAGGAGGCTTTCTGAGAACTAGAGGATGGATAAGTAATTGTTGGCATAAGAACTTACCTTTTTGGTAAAAATTTAAAAAAGAGCTCTATGATGGACTTAGCCTCGTTTTCTCTTTGGTTATCATAGATATTGGTTGAGTTTCATCTCTGAATCTATCTGTCACATAGTACTAGCTCAGTGACCCTCAGTGAGTCACTCAGTTACCTTTTCTGTGTTATAGTTACCTTCTCTGTACAATGGGTATGATAGCATTACCTACCTCATAGGGTTAATTGCAGCATTATGAAAATTCTCAATATAAAGTACTCACAATAGTCAGTGTTTGGCACAAAATAAATGCATAGCACATGTTAAATATTATTAAGTTTAAAACTGCTGTACAGTAACTACATTAAATCTTTGCCTCATTGTGTCTTGAACTAATATAAGTGCCATTTTCCTTGATATATTTTATTATAATACTGTATACCAATTACTCTTGGAACATTAACACAGATACATTTAAATAAAACAATTATTTCTGTTTTTTTCTTACACACATGTAATCAGCATCCCTCCAATTTAAAATGTAGATTTGTGTGAACAATGTAAGTAACTGAACATGTACAACTCTTAGAATGTAACCATAAAATTTACATGGTTTTGTTTCTCAGTGTCTATATAAAATATATTTTCGTAAGAGAAATTTTTTCCCCATTACTGGTTGAAAACTTCAACAGGTTTATTACTCTTGAGTAATAGGAAGTTCTAAGGTCACTTTCTACACAAAATACAGTAACAATTCAGAAAATAGGTTGTCTAGTCCAATTTATTAGTCAACACTCAATCTTCCTTTAGTCCCCTCCTCTGGCAGGCGCAGTCTCAATCGACCACCTGTCTGTGGGGAATCAAGTATGGTCAGCCTGCCCTGTCTCATACAGGCCTCTCCCTCCCTCTCTGGAGTTGCTGCTTCCAACCCTCCAGAGTCACAATATGATGGTAGGAAGGAATATAAAGCATGAAGGTTGTTCTTTCTTGAGTGTAACATCATAATCTGCTTTATTCTTTCTGTTCTAGAAAATATTTTTAAAATATTTTTTCTCTCATGTATGCTTCTGATGGTTCTTTGGAAGGTCTCATGTGATGGCAACCCCGTGACTTGGGAAATGCACTGCATCCTCCAGCTGCAGCAACCAGCTCAGCTGTCTGTAGGCCCTTCAGGGTGGTCTCTTTCCATGCTCTTTCCTGTGTTTTTCCACTGAGAAGAAGCACCTCTAGAACAGCTTTCTCTCATGGGTTTCCACATCTTATCCACAATCAAACACTCATGAATTTGTTCCAATGCACTTTGAGAGCCAGATTGATTCTAACACAATAGTAACGCTTCTGGTTATTCTGCTTCTTAGTCATGGCATCTCTTATCCTGTAGACTTTACAGGAAGAAGTCAGATCTCAGTCCACTATGTTCCTACACACACACACACACACACACACACACCACACACACACCATGCAGTATTTGTGCATTATACTTCCTGAGTAGGCCCCAGAGTCTCTAACTAGGTTTTAGTTGTGTAGCTCAGCTTTCTCCAAAGAAAACTTCCACACATATTCCTCTCCATAAAAATCCACTTCTTCTGCCTTTTTAAACCTACATGTAGGATGAAGGCTATATCAGCCAAGCAGCAAGCTTTTGGGATCTTGTTCTGAGACTTACTTCTGGGTGGACATTCCTGTACTTACTTTGATATCTCTTTTCATTAGTATCTTGGTATCTTAATTTAAAATCAGATGTAAAATATATTTATAAGGAACAGCTAGGACTTTTTAATACAGTTTTAAAATATTTCAGAAACATTTCACTAACTATATACAATATATATTCTGTTGAGATTCCAGGTTAAAAATTACCAGGGCCACAATAAGTCTTATGGAATTCAAACTTTGGGTAATAGTTAAGATTTAAAAAGGAAAAATGCTGTGCAATGAAGAACAGCAAACATTACTGAACGTCATTAGAAGGATTTTTTTAAATGCTGACTCTACAATTGAATTTTAAGATTAAGAAAAAACCACTTATATTACAATGAAGTAAAATGACCTTTTAGCTACACAGTTTGAAATTTTACTAATGGATTTAGCTCCGTCAGAAAGTAAAGTTTCGTTTCATTTTCTGCCTATTATCCACAAATATAATAGATTATTAAGCTAAAGGGGAATTAATCCTGTGACAGTGGAAATGCTTTTGCATAAAGTTCATTTACTTGGAAACAGAAGCACTCATATTTACCAAATGTGCAGTAGCTAAGAAGTAGAATGGTAACAGGACAGTTAAACCTCAGTTAGAACAAGCACACCACTAAACTTAATTGGAAACAGCATTTATTTAGTGATTAAAATAGAGAGACTGAAAATGTGAGCCACAGTAATGCAATGATTTCTCTTGGGATTAATACATTTAAATGTAAGAATATTGTGCTTTAATTTGTATGTGTAAACAAGGTGCATTCTAAATTGTGCACATACATCAATACTTTGAGAAATAGGTTCCAATTCTGTTAATGTAATTTTAGAACCTGGAAGTATGATATTTCCAGAGGGTGTTTTCACTAATAATAATAAGAAAGATACCGCTTTAAGCATACATATACATTTTTTTTCTTTCTCTGAACATCTACCTTTTTTCCATTACATGATCAAACCGGTTGATGTTGATTTTGAACACAGAAGATTTACAGTGTTGCCACTATAAAAAAGGCAGTTTCTTTCAGTTAATTGTCATTGGTATATGTAGCATCTTATTTAATCTTACTGAGTTATGAGTATTAGGAGATGACAATCTAGTTATTGGTTTGACAAAATGGCTTTATTGCTTTATAGTATTTCTAATGTGAGAAGGAAATGAGCTTCATATGAAATTGGTTATTGAAAAAAACAAGTGTCAAAGAGCAATGGCTCTGGACATCAAGATTAATTTGCAGTCCAAGAAGGAAAAACTACTTCATATTTTATTCTTTAATAATCAACTCCATAATCCTGGAATAAATTTCAGATACTATTCTAAGCAATTGCTTCATGTGTATTAATTAAGTAAAAGCAAGAAAGATTATTTAAAGATTAGCAGAAATTTAAATGTTGTATCAGACACATAAAATTTGCTAGTTTTTCTCAAATAGTTTTTATATAATGAGATGATTTATTCACTTTCTGACAAATAATGCCTTATTTTCCTATAACAGGGAAGAATGTTTTTGATTATTGTATCAATGAGTTTCTAATCAGAACATAGGAACCATGCATTAATTTGAACACAGCAAGTCTAATACAAGAACTGTATCTATAAAAGGGGATCAGATTAACGAATAAAAAGGACTCTAAGAAATATAAGAATAATATTTGTAAGTATCAACCACTATTATCCAATAATAGATGTAAGGAGATAGAGCATCCAAAGGGTTTCATCTCTGCCTCCTCCAGGCCTGAGATCCAGAACTTTTTGGAGAGGGACAGCCATGGTCATGGGATGACAGAGAAGTTACCATGGTGCCATGCAGGCAGAACTTGCTGGAAATGTGCACTCTGGAACTTGCAGGAAATCCACCCTCTAGGGTTCTTGGGGAAACTGTTCACAGGGAAGCAGTATCCCCAGAGGCACTCTTCTATAAAATCTCTTGAGAGTTTTGCCGGGAGAAGCTAGTGGGTGGTGGGTAGTGGTGGCCATCGTGATCTTCACGAGCTGGTCCCTGGAGAAGCAGCCAATAATGCAGGAGCTGGGCACTGGGGAAGCCACATGCACTGCAGAAATAAGCTGGAGCTGAGAACGTTACATGTGCTCCAGGAACTGGGTGCTGGGGAAGCCAAGCATGATATAGGAGTTGAGTGTGTGAGAAGCCAGCATTCATGCTGCAGGAGCTGAGCAAGCACACAGGAACCAAGAAGAAAAAGTCTGCAGCGCTCTCTACCAACAAAGCCTAGCATCTTACTCACTGGCAAAGAAGAAAAATACATTTCAAGAGCTCAGCTTCATTTCTGCAAAGCAAGCATTGAAGGGTAGATTTGGAGTTGTGAGGCAATAAATTGATAAGCAGCACAAATATTTAAAGAAAAAAAGTGCCTAGTCTTTTGGCCTCAAATTGGACAGATTCTTTTAATCCCTAGGGGTTTGTGCATTGGGGCCAACCCCTGTCTTTTCTGGGCTCCAGTGTACAAAGGGATTTAGTGAAGAGTAGTAGCCAACCAGAACCCTTGCAGACATTTGCTAGTACCTAACATCTTCCTCTGGAAAGATGTTAATTTTCTACTTATTGCCAATTGCCTGGATTTAAATCTGACTTACAGCTATGTGAAGATTTCTCTACACCTCAGTTTCTTTATTCATAAAAGAGTAATAATTGTGGCACCTACTTACTGTTTTTACTTCTTTGAGGATTACATGAGCTAGTTAATTCAAACTATTTGAGACTTTAATTCTCTTTAAATATCATCTGTTTAAGATAATCTCAATATTAGTTATTGATACTTGTTATGACAAAATCAAATCAGCTTTTGTCCTGAAGGGATGCTGTCTTTAGGAAGTCTCTGCTAATAGTTCCATAGGATGTGGACTGCTAGCATCCCAAACAATGTGACGACCATGTCTTTCTGTCTAACATAGTGGTAAATCATCTTTCTTACTTTAAATATATGCAAGAAGTGAAAAAAGCACAATAAAAATATATTTGTTTGTGGCCAGAACATCTGGTTTTCAATCTGTAACTATTATTGGTGTGATTGATCTTTAACTATTTAACCCCAATGTTTTCTTCTATAAAGTGAAATAGTGTGTGTGTGTTTATGTGTGTGTGCATGTAGAATATGCCTTCTCTCTCTCTCACACACACATACACACCTTACAGTGCATAAAATAAAATGATGTATTTAAAGCACTATGCATGATTCCTAGAATATTCGTAGCACAACAAAGACGTTCAATCCATATTAATTACTTTTAGTATAAAGTAAAACCTTCTGTAGACACACAGACTGCCTCAGGACTTCATCTGGATGGCAGATGAGTATTTCTATTCCCAAGTTACTCTTACACTCTAGAATAGTTGGAGAAAACAGAGAAATGAGGGTAAGCTCAATGTGGAAGAAATAAAAACTAGAAGTAGGATTGCTAGATATTTTAACTCAGGTTCAGCATCTTCACACACAGAATCTTCAGATGTGATAGCTCCTGAGAGTTACCATTTTCAGTATCACCCTATGAAGCCTCCACAGGAAGGTTTCATTGAGCCTGGGTGAAAAAAAAAAACCCCAAAAAACTTCCTCCTTTTCATACAAATGTGACCATACTATTTGGAGATTAAATAGTTTGGCCTCAGTAAATGAAAGAAAATTTTCCTTTTTGGTCTGGATTTTATTATTCAAGGTCTCCACTTTAATCTCTGTGACATTCAGGGTGATATGATAAAGTAGTGTTTTTTTCTGATCTTCAAATGATAAAATGGTTTTGGAGTTCTTTTTATTTCATTCCACTTGTATTAAAATAATAACTGAAGCTTGTCTGGTATTTAATAGAGGAACTGTGTAAAAAAGTATTTCTCCCTAAAAAAGTGATTTGGAGTTAAAAAGGACAGAAAAAGAGGAACTTCAAGTTGAAATGTTGAAAAAGATATGTGTTTCCAGTAACTAGCATGAACATTTTATTTTCATATTCAGTTTCCTCCTGCAATTGTTCGTTTCACTAAAAACTTAGTAATTTTTTTCCCTACGTATTGATAGTACTTCTAAAAGTCATCTAAAGTACGCTAATTCATTTTATCATAATTACATAGCCCATCTCTTGCTGTCAGTTCCTGTTTGTCCCAAGGAACTCTTTAATTTAATAATATATTAAATAAAATAACAAAATATAGAACAGATTCAGAACAACAAAATATGTAACATCAGAGCTGGTGAATGATGTTTATTCGGTTTAACCAATGTCCTACTCAACAGTTTTTCACAGGCTTCCGTGGAGAACCACAGAAGAAACTTTGAACATTGGTGAAGGTTTTGTTCTCACAACAGCAAGATTCAGTATAAGAAATAATAAACTAAGGCAAAAGGAAGGGAGCGGCAAAGGGAAGAACACCTTAAATTGTGTTCTTTGCTAAGACCATTGATGAAATATTTAGATTGAACCATGTGGTCAGTTCAATAAGTCAATGCAGTTGAGCTCAAGTAATGTGACTTCCATGGAATTGATGAGCTATTAGAATTAACCTAATTGATGGGTTGGTTGACTAAACACAGATAAATCTTTAATGATGAATAGTTCTTCCTAGCAAAATTCCTCAGTCAAATATACCTTGAAGCATATTCTGCTTCACTAAGGAACATTTTTCTTGTTGTTATATTGTCATGTTGATATGCAAAATAAATGCCATCTGACTGTTTTTGACTTTCTCAGACACTCAGGTATCTGGCAGTATATATATATATATATTTTATTATCTCAAAGAAAAAAATTTGCTACTTAGAGGGAAATAAAATCCTAAATTGTTTATATATATATATATAAAATAACAATTTTGTAATTATATATAATCACAAAAAAAGGCCTGAAAAGGGCCAGGATCAAGTCTAAACAATTTTTTTCATTGTCTTGTACAAATATTTGAGGTTTACTTTTATCTTTTTTGAGGTATAATTGATAAAATTTCCAGCCTCACCATTGTCACTAATTTTATCTCTCTCTTTCTTTTTTTAAATGGATTCTCTCTTTTTTACCGCATTGGCAAGAAAATGCATGGTTCATAATTATAAGTTGAGGGAAGTCTTATTTCAATAGGACACATGTTTTGTTAAAACAATTTTGGGAAAAATATTTTTACTTTCCTTAACCTTCGCATCCATGCCTGCAATATGAACATGTAAATACCCACTACTTATATTCAAAATAGAATTTCAAAGTGGTTTCTTCACCAGGGTGCAATTTCTGTACTTCTCAGTGTTCATAAGAGAACACTTCAAATTACTTTAAGATAATATTTAGCATGAGTTATATTTTCTTCAACTGGCATAGACAACGAAGGTATCCTTTTATGATATCACAAAGAATATCATATCTAGTGTTATTGGCATTTAGCATAAATGTGAGTTTGCTTAAAATATTATGGTTGAAGTATAAAGGTTCATGGTTGTTTTAATTCCCGTTACTACATCTGTGTTTTAGTATATATATACTCACATGCATATAATTCTGATGAATTTACTATATCATAGTTACAATATCAACATTATTTTGATACATTTCTGCCCTGTCACAGAATTTGCAAGAAATTATTGTCAATGTCTTACCACTTTTGCCACACTCCAGATTGTTGGCTGCCCTTCTTGCCATGTGGATTTAACCAATTTAGCAATCAGTGTTGAATATGTTCTGTGTTTAAAAATAATGCTTACAAAGAAGGAGTATGGGAAACCACTTACATGAGGATTTAGGTGGATAATTAGCAATCAAAACCATGCTGTGCTATTTAGTGCCTGCTCTATAAAGGTCATGCATAATGAGCATGATTGTTTTCCAAAATCCTCAGGTCTAGGTAAGGGTTTTGTTGTTGTTATTTTTTAAGGTATAAAAGTTCTCCAACACTTTTTAAAGTTAAGGTATTAAAAATGATATTCTTGAAAAAGAGTTTTTACATCCTGAACTCCAGCTTACTTCAGTTTTCCATTGCTTACTCTAGCTTACTTCGGTTTTCCATTGCTTCCTCTTTGAAACCCAGATTTGAAAAATTCAAAGTAAGTTTTGCAATAATTATTAAATATTTCTGGGGTTCCTGTGGTAAGTTGCTTTTTATATTTTCCCCCTCCATAAATGCAGTCACACACACACACACACACACACACACACACACACTCATATACACATACATACTCACAGACACACATATATAAGCAAAGTGTTTAATGAAACCAATTTTTTATCTCTCACCGTTAAAATGAAATGAGGCTGCAAAAAACATTATTCAAGGACCTGTTGTCCATCATTTTGCTTAAAGTTGCAACTTCTGAAAACCTATAACCTGTCAACAACATTAGGTGAGGACTTACTTTACGTGTGTGTATGTGATTGTGTGTGTTGTGAGGACTCACTTTATGTGTTTGTGTATGTATGTGTATGTGTATCTCTCTCTCTCTCTCTCTCTCTCTCTCTCTCTCTCTCTCTCTATATATATATATATATATATATATATATACTGTATGTAAAATCTCTGGTCTCTGATAACTGGTTTTTTTTCTGTTTTGTTCATTTCAGTAACATCTTAGACACAGGTACTCAGCCTCTATCTAAGGTATACACTTTGATCTCCCTTTAAGAGCCCTGTCCATCCATTCTCACATTTTACCCAGGTCCTACTTCTCCCACTTCCAGTACCATCTCTAGAAGCCTATATTTACTGGCCACTCAGGACTCTGAAGCTTTCAGTTTGAATATATATCACCAAAGTTTTCTCTTGCTACCTATGAATCACACTTGCTGTCCTGTTAAGAACAGTTGTCCTGGCCGGGGGCAGTGGCTCATGCCTGTAATCCCAGCACTTTGGGAGGCTGAGGCGGGTGGATCACAAGGTCAAGAGATCAAGACCATCCTGGCCAACATGGTGAAACCCTGTCTCTACTAAAAATACAAAACTTAGCTGGGTATGCTAGCACGTGCCTGTAGCCCCAGCTACTTGGGAGGCTGAGGCAGAAGAATCGCTTGAACCCGGGAGGCAGAGGTTGCAGTGAGCCGAGCCAAGATCACACCACTGCACTCCAGCCTGGTGACAGAGTAAGACTCCGTCTCGAAAAAGAAAAAAAGAACGGTTGTCCTGATCATTCCCCTGGTGATTCTGCCCGTTTAGAGTCAAGTTCATTGATAATCAAAGGGGCAGGCTACCAGGGAAGTTTCAAGCCTTCTGGGTACTGAGATGGCCCCTTCCCATCTTTAGTGTCATTGCCTAGATTCCTTAAGTTCTGATAGGAACTGTTTGGTGAAGTGCAGGAAGAGACAACTTCAGCTCTAAAAATGCCAGGGCACACCACTCTACGTGCAGCTGCCACTTCTTTTTCTTTGAGAAAATAACAATTTTGCTACTTAGTGGGAAATAAAATCCTAAATTGTAGAAAGACAGAAAATGATGATGATATAGCCTTTTGTTGATTTTCAGGTGGTTAATTATCAGCTGAATTAATGGTCATTTATCTTTTCCCTGCTTAGAAATGTTTCGGTTTCAATTTTTAGAAGTTAAAATCAGAAATGCTTTCTGAAGCAGAGAATGGAGAAATGGAGAGCAGCTAATTATCAAGGCACACAGAGAAAAGAGAGATTAAGCAAATCAGTCAGCATTGTTTATAGAAATATTAAATATAAGACTGTTCAATTTCATGAACCAAGTATTGAATGTTAATTTTAATTCTTATACAGATAATTGGGAAATTTATTTCTATGCTATTAATCTATCAACAATCTTACTTACCCCCTAAAAATTGGGCAATTGTGCTATGATTATATAGTGATGAGACCTCTTGGTCCTGCAGAGTCTTGCTCTGTGGGGAGAAATGCAGTCAAATTAAGGATAGAGCAGAACCCTCTAAATAGGTCCCTAATGCAAAGGCCCTCCTTGCCTAAGTCTAAGGCCAGTACTGGGCTGGGGATATAATGCATGATGTAGACATAGGGAGTCTGAGAAAAGGATGGGACATCCAGTTGGAAATGTTCTAGAGGGAACTGAAGATATCAGCCTGGAAATTAGAAGTACATATGTAAATTTGGGAAACTTATTTTAGAGTTGATAACTGAAGACTGAAGATTGGATGAGATTTCTATGGAGAAGAGTATGGAGTGGAAAAAAAAAGAGAATGATGATTGAATTTAGGAAATATGCACACACATATTATTAATTGATTTAAATAGTCATTATCATAACAATAATTATAATGTGTTGAGCCCCTACCATGCACCAAACAGTTTGTGTGGATTAGAACATCCCATCCTCACAATCCCTTGAAGTAAGTGATATTATAAGCCATTTATTACATGTGAGAGATTCGCTATAGCTCAATTAGTGTTCTTGCATTTATTTTTGATAAATCAGGAATAGCAACCGTGGCCAAGCAAACTGCTCACTTTTGCTACACTGCCATAGAGTTAGTTCTTACTTATGTGCAGATCCTCCCAAGGAAAGTCTAAGGATCTGCCATGGGCACAGAAATAGGTAGTGAATTGCCCAAAGTACAGGAAGTATTAAATCTCTGCTCGGAATTTTGTTTTTGTGAAAAGGACATAAAAATTGTTGACATTTATCTGCAAGCAAGAAAAGCAGATGTACCCAGCTCTGTGTAGGAGGATAAACTAAACTCTCAGCTTTTCTGTCTCTGAGTTGTTACTTAACTCAAGGGACAACATCAGACAAAAGATGTGTCTCTAGATGCTCAGGGACTTTTGTTGAATCATCAACTGACTCATGAAGTGCCTAATGTTTGGCATTGCTGAACAAATTATACATAAATATAGTCATTTATATAGTCCCTCAAGATAATGTTTACTTCCTTTTGATAATGTATGATAATTGATGTTATTTCAGATATTGTTAATATAAGCATGAGACTGGAACATGCTGTAGAATAAACTCTTACTTCCCCAGGGAACATATTTTAATAACAAATTGTATTATTTTCAGTAACAAGTAAATTGTGCTATACCTGTAATAAAGAGTAAAACAAATGTTTTACTTACTCTTAGATAATTATAGAAATACATGCAGATTTTCTTCTTAGGTCATAAAAACGTAAAAAGGAAATTTAAGAGCAAGGAAATTAAAGAATTTTGAGTACAGAGAGTACAGAAAGGAATTCTAATGAATTGAAATCTGATGACACTCTCCAAACTTTGCATCATTAGTCTTTTATTCTGTTTATTTAAATATTTATTATAATTATATAATTTATTAATAATATATCCTATTTGTACCATAAGTAATTATACTTATAAATATATAGGCATTTGTCATAGTCCATTTATGCTGTTGTAAGAGAATACCATGGACTGGGTAATTTAGAAAGAACAGAAATTTATTTCTCACAGTTCTGGAGGGTGAGAAGTTCAAGATCAAGTCATCAGGCTCTCTGCTTCCAAGATGGCCCGTGTTTCTGTGTCCTTACATGGCAGAAGGTGGAAAGTAAGAGAATGCTCCTTCCAACCTTGAGCCCCTTGATAAGGGTGCTAATCTCATTCACAAGGGCAGCACCTTCATGACTTAGTCACATCCCAAAGGCAACATCTCTTAATACTGTTGCACTGGGGATTAAGTTTCAACGTAAATTTTGAAGGTGTCACCATCATCCAAACCATAACACCACCATAGCACAGCAATTGAAATTATTTTTCATGACTTGAGGTTCCATATATATATATAAATTCAGGATGGGCTAGGTTATGCTAGAGAAATGAACCCCTTCAACTTTAAAGGGCATAAAACACTAAAGGCATTAATTGTCAATCAAGATACATATCCACAATGGGTTGGCTGGGGCTCTGATCCATGTCTCTAAAATTAGATACCCGGGATCAATGAGTTTCTGCCATCTGCAGCAATGCCAGTGCAATGGCAATGAGAACAGAACTTGGCAAATTGTCCACTGGCTGTTAAAGCTTCTATCTAAAAATGACACCCATAAATTCTACTAACATTTCATTGGCCAAAGCAAGTTTATGACCATGGCATCCTAATCAATGCAGTCCCACCATGTTCCCAGAACTTGCACTGATGACTACCACATTAGTTGTCCTAACTGTATATTCAAAGACACAGATGTGGGATTTTGGATTTGGGTGTTCATGAATTGCCTTCACAACTTTTCAGGGTGGGTCATATTCTTATAAACATGTTTCTTTATTTGCTTAAGAATTTTGCTAATGCAGTCAAGGTAACATTTTTATTACGTTTTTGCCCTGATTCACTAACTTTGTTCCTGAATCTCGAACTGTTTTTAGTCTAATCTTTTATAAAGTGTGATACAGTAATTATGATGAGTAATTGAGAATAGATTTACTCCTTAAAAATGTCAACAGCAGTTCCTACTATGTTCTTGGGGTGTTGTTGAGTCATCCTGTATTATAAAGCTCAGCATTATTTTTAAAAAAAAAATAAATATTTTTTATACATTTTAGAATCCAGGGTAACAGTAATTCCTCTTTCTTAAAAATCAAAAGAAGTGGTTGAGAGCTTATTGAGTTGAATCTTTATACCAAGCAAAGATCAGATGAAGACTCACCATACAATCTTCCTAAAAGGAAGTACCTTTTTTCCTCACACTGATGGCAGAGTAGACTCTGTCTTTTAAGTAGAGCTTTGCGATTGCTACAGAGCAGTGGAAACATTTGTCTTTTGTATAATGCATACAACTGAGATTGAGCTCTTTCACATTGTGAGACTGATGATATATTTATAGTATATTTTGAATTTTGACCTCCGAAGATAAAATGAATGCCATAATCACATTTCAGACCTATAATTTTGGGCACTATAGTACTGGAATGTTTTTCTGATTCACTTATTTTAACTGAGACCGTATTTTTGACATGCCTTTCATTTGCTTTCTAATGCATTAGTGGCATCTGAATCTCTCTCAGCATTAATATTTAAAAACTCTAATTCTTGGCGTTGTGATTTACAAGTGCTAACATAAAGCAAAACAAAATTGTAAGGTTTTCTAAAAGTCCACAAGGCAGTAGGTGAGCAGATGAATGAACTTTGAATAAGATTTAAAAAATCTGAATTTACCCAGCCTGTCTTTTTACAAGTATCCATTTCATAATTACAGTTTATAATTTAAATATCTACATGTTGAGCATAGTTTTTACTTTAAGTATTTTGTCATATTCCATTTTTATACTCATTCTTCTTTTGATAGATGTTTTACTTATTCTGTTTTTGAATAATTTACATATATATTTGTTATTCATCAAGTAGTTACTGAGGTCCTATCTTAATCTGGCGGGCTATTGTGGTTCCTTCTCTTTTGAAGCTTGAAGGCCAGTAGTGAGGGAGGCAGCCATTACTCAAATAATCACACAGATTGGTTGAAAGTTGCTATCTTGATGAGTGCTATGAAAAAGGGAAGCCAGGGATGATCAGAGCATGTAATGGAAAGATTTCACCTCCTTGGATGGAGGTTAGGAAAATGTTCCCTGAAAAAGTAAAGCAGAACGACCAGAGACTTGAAGGATAAAGATGAGGGGATGAGAGTAAAAGGTGTCCCGGCAGAGAAACAGCCCCTGCAAAGATCTTCGACTGGGAGGGAGCAGGGCTATTCCTGGAAAGGCCAAGGTGAAGAATAATGAGAGCAGGGGGTGCTGCTGCTGAAGTGGATGGAGAGGCCAACTGCAGGCATATGCAGGCCCTCAAGTGGTTTTTTCATTATCTTAGGAACAACTGGAATCCTTTGAAAGTGTTTAAGCGGAGGGAAATGTTACCTGATTTGCGTTTCTAAGAGGATCCTTCCTACTACTTTGTTGAGAAAAAGCAGAGCAGGATAAAAGTGAATGCAGAAATCAATTTGAAAAATATTGCAGCAGCCTGGGCTACAGATGATTATCTGAACCAGGATGGTGGTGGCAAAGAACAGGACAAGTCAATATGTCTTAATAATAATTAGAAAATAAAATTAACATGGTGAAATTGGATATTAAAAAGTAAATCAATAATGTTTATATTTATCAGTTATATTCAGCTTAGTCAATATTTTAAAATTAGTATTTTGAGAAGCAACTAAGAACTGGCCTTTGTAAATGTCATTAACAAATTCTGGCTCCTTTGTTGAGAAATAGTCTACCACTGACTTGTATTTTACTATATTTGGTAGGGTCTTTCCCCTTAGTCGGAGACTGTGGAATTGACAGCAAATATGACCTTCACGCAGGCTTGTTAAAAAAAAAATCTACTCAAAAGAAATTTTATTCCATTCAGAGAATAACTGTCATTTTACTAAAGTGTGGATTATATAATAAATCATGTTATAATAATGTCGAAAGCTACATCATCAACATAGACTCAGAAAAGAGAAATTATTTCTCATAGACGACACAAATGTCCACAGGCAGCTACATGTGGCAGCTTTTCCAATACCATTTCAAGTTTTTGATGCTAGATAAGCATGTTTTGATTACATATGATTCATTATTCTACTGACTGATATCTAACACTTCCCTAAATCACAGAATTAATTTTCCATTAAAACCTATTCATTCTGGTACAAACATATTTCAACTGAAAAGTTAAGCAGAGACTTCCCCTCCCTGTCTCCCCTCCCTTCTTTCCTTTCTTTCTTCCTTCTTTTTTTTTAATCATCTCTTCTTCTCTTCCTGTTAAGAGTGACCCCTTTTAAGTCATGACTATTAGTAATGACTTTCACACCCACATCAATCTATTAGTATATCTATTGACTTTATTTTCAAACTGTATCCAGAATCTAGACAATTCTCCGCCCCCTACCTTAAAGCTCTAGTCCAAACCAACATCTGCTCCTTCCTTTGTTATTATAGTTACCTTCCAACTACTCTTCTGGCTTCTACCCTTGCCCCCAGGGTTATATTCTTCCCACAGCAGTCAGTGACCTTTAAACATATAACCTGTGTCATAACACTTCTTTTGGTTAATGACTTTGTGGCTGCCCATCTCAGAGTAAAGGCCATGTCCTTATTGTCATCCTGATAGCTCAATCTCTGACCTGTTCTCCTCCTCCCCTCCTCCCCTGCTCCCTAGCCCACACTGGCCTTCTTGCTCGCTCAGACATTTCAAACATTCTCCCACTTTAAGGCCTCTTCAGTTGCTGTTTTCAATGCCTGAATGTACTTCCTCCAGATATTTTGATTTGTTCCTTCACTTTATTCAGGCATCTACTCGATCATAGTCTGATCAGAGAGACCTATGATGAACACCCTATCTAAAACAGCAGCCATCAAATTGTTCTCAATTATTTTTTTCTGCCTTAATTTTCTTCCTTATGTGTATGTATGTGCGTCTGTGTGTGTGTGTATATATATATATATATATATATATATATGCACACACATATATATGTATATCACTCTCCTAATATATGCATGTATATTTGTTTACTAGTTTATTCCATTTTTCCTTCCACTGAAATGTAAGCTCTATGACAATTGGGACTTCAACTTTTCATTCAGCTCAGTATCCACAGTGGTTCTTAACGAATAGTGTCTCATACCTCACAGATGCTCAATTAATGTTAGTTTAAAGAATGAATGTTATAAGAATTGATGTTTTCTAGAAGCTGGAAAAAACAGAGAATTGATTCTCTCCTAGGGCTTGCAGAAGGAATAAAGCCATGCTGACACACTGAGTTTAGGATACCTGACCTTCAGAATTGTAAGATCAAATATTTGGGTTTTTAAAAGACAGGACATTTCTGACAATTTGCTTCAGCAGCAACAAAAACTAATGTACTTTCAGACCTCAGAATACTTTTCAACTCAGTGCTTCAGCCATCTATCCATTGGAGTTGACATATGTAGTAGTCAGTAGTATTATTCACTAAACATTTACGGTTTTCCTTTATTGCATGTTCCTGCCCCCTGCATGTTCCTATGTAGCTTTCAGAAGACTATGAACAGTGATGGAAGTAGCATACGTAACTTCTAGATATAGCTTTATAACCTTTGCAAATTTTAACATACCTCTGTTTCTCTTTTTTATTTTTTTGTGAGTGCAGAACTTTGGTGAGATGTAGTCTCCATGATTCTGGCTTCCTAAACAAACATTCTCTCACCCATTACCAGTTAATATGAAATGTGAATGAGAAGTAAATCTATCTGCTCAAGCTGCTAAGATTCTGGGGTTATCTGGTCAAAAAAATCAAAATTTAAACCAGTAGTTCTCAAATATTTTTGTCTGAGGACCCCTTTTTTACACTCTTAATATTTGTTGAAGACCCCCAAAAAGCTTTTGTTTATGGATATTATATTCATCAATATTTATCATGCTAGGAATTAAAATACATATTTTAAAGTAATTTATTTAAAAATAATAAATCCATTTTATGTTCACATAAAATATATTTTTATGAAAATAGCTACATTTTTAAAAGCATTCTTCATGAGAAGAATCATGATTAGATACATGCCCCTAGGTATCTTTAATGTTTGACTTAATAGAAGATACCTGAATTATCTTATCTGCTTCTACTACATTCAAACAGTTGCAATTTGTTGTGGTTAAAGTATAAGTAAAAGATCTAGCTTCATATAGTTGAAAATAAAAAAGTATTTTAATATCATTTTCTGATAATCATGGATATTATCCTTTGATACTACACAAGAATTCTGTGATAGTTTCCCAAAGGTTAATAGCAATGTAGAATCTGAAACCATATCAACAAACTTTTCATATTGTTATATCAGATCCACTGGTCTTGCACTTTAAATGGATACATGCATGATTCCATAAAAGCATCCGTTGGTCATTTTTAAAACATTGGCTCACTGTGGTTTCATGGATAGGAGAAATGCCAACACATTTCATTTTGCGACATCGAAAACCCACATTCTTTAATATTGCTATCAATTTCCTTAGAAAAAATTTTTCTTTTGAAAAATTGTTTAGACACTGCTGCCAGTTACAGGTTTTCCAAAATTCTAATATTCATTCAAATATTCAAATTCTGTAATTGGCAACAAACACAGTCCATTATTTTCCTTGAAGTGACAAAACTCACTTTTTTCATTTTCAAGAAATACTCAATTCTGCACATATCTGCAAATACCCAAGCCTGAATAACTATAGCTTGTCTGTTAATTATGTTTTCAGGTAAAAACAGGTTTAAATAAGAAGAGCAGCTAGTTCAGCTTGCAACACGGTCACACAAGTGCTTTGCTTAGAGATGACTATTGTGGGAGGGGAATTCTGACTTGGTCTCACTGATCCTGGTTCATGATCTTGTGTAATTTCCTCTCCTTCAGTATGGGCTGGGCCTAGTGACTTGCTGCTAACAAATAGAATATGACAAAAGTAAGAAGGTGTCACTTCTATGATTAGACTATAAAAGACTGTGATTTCTGTCCTGCTGGACTTCTCCCTCTAGCTCTTCCTCATTCTTGCCTGGATAGAGGGCAATTTGCAAGGAATAGAGAGTGGTCTCCAGCCAATAGGCAGCAAGGAACTGAGGTCCTCGGACCTAAAACCTGCAAGGAACTGAATCCTACAACAACTACATGAGTAGATTGGAAGTGTGTTCCTCTCTATTTAGGCCTTAAGATGACTCTCGCCCCAATTAACACCTTGATTACAGCCTTGTAAGCACTTGAGCCAGATAAGAAGTGTATGAATTCCTGATCCACAGAAACTGAGATAATAAATGTATGTTGTTTTAAGCTGCTGTGTGTTGGGGTAATTTGTTACACAGCAATAGATAACTAATACAGTTCTCTACTTCACCATGTAGTAGAAGTACTTTATATACTTTATACATACTTTCAACTCTTGTCATATAAAATAGTAAAATGTGTGTTTAAGGGCCAAGACAATAAAAGCAATAATTTTATTGTTTCATCAAAGATAGTCTTAAGTGAAACTAGCATTTTAGTGCATGATAGTAAATTATGCAAGGTCTACTAGTACATCTTGGTTCTATTGCCTTGATTTATTCTAAGGCAATTTTACGTACCATTTTATTTGTACCACCAGTGCAAATGCATATCAACAAAGTGAAAAAGAACACGTTAACACAGTTTAAAAAAAAAGGAAAAGAGGAAAATTTTAAGACAAATAATGAAAAAAACAGTCAATGTAGTAAGAATTGCCTTGACTTCACAGACCTCCTGAAAAAAATTCTAGGACCCCTACAGATCTGAGTATTACACTTTCAGAACTGCTAATCTAGATGATCTCAATTATTACATCAGATGAATTGTTAATTTCCTATCCCTAGTCTATATGTTACAACATAGTAAAATTACCCTAGGGAAAGGCAATTAATGCTCAATTTTCTTCATTTTAAAAAAGAAAACTGGATTTTATAATGTTTTGAAATTCTCGCTATAATTAACGTTGCTTATCAATTCATGACTGTTGAAACGTTGCTTCACCTCAGTGTTCACTGTCCACTAGTCCAAGATCAAACATATCGAAGAACAGTTTTGACTCTCACTGTTACTTGCTGCTAATGCTTTCTGCATCGTATTAACTATCAAGAAATATATTGTAAATATGTTTTTGGTATATGCATATATGTGTGTGTGTATGTATATGTGTTTGATTTTTATTTTGTATAAATTCTATAAAAAGGTTCTGGTATGAATTTGAATATGATTTAAATATACTTACAAATACATATTTTATTTATATTTTATTATTAATATTGGCATAATTAATAATATTACTTATGATGGGGAATTTAGAAAATAACTATGTTTAAATGAAAAATTATATATTATCTTTTCACCAAGATAAAATCATTGCTAGCTGTTTTGTCTTTCATGCAGTCGAATTTCATATTGGGCATATTTTAAATTTTCTATTACAAAATTAATAGGCAGTTTCAACTTTAGAACTTGTTTCAAAACTTCTAGCTGTGGTTGTAGATGAATTAAATAATACAAGTAAATTGATTGTATTGTGAAGAATCATAATTTCACATCACAGACAGCATTATCTGTCTAAAATATTTGAAATTTTAAAGCTTTTTCATTGCAGATTAATTTTGTCTATATCGTTAAACACGTTACATAAATGAGAATTTTAAAATAGGTTTTATTGGCCTGCTTTTTACATGACATCATATATTTTATAGATTTTGTTTCACATGTATGCATGCATGCAATACAGAAATTATAAAGCAAAAGGAAAAGCATATGAGAAACACTAAAGAACTATCTCATATTTATAAATAGTAGGAGTGACATGTTTCAAACCTCTGAAGATTGATTTTGTTTTATTAAACATGGATTTACGGATGTTACAAAGAAGTTCACACTAGTTTAAAATCCAGGTGATATCTCCGTGTGCATCCTGCTCCAGAGCATGCCATGGTCGATTAACTTATCTCTGATGTCTATACAATTGATCCTGTAGCCACGGCTCAACTGATCCTTTACAGCTGGAATTGATGCATTATGGCCAAAATTAACTCACTGGTCTGGTCTCTGACAGGTTATTGAAGGGAGAGCTCTCATTTCGCCACCTCCACTTCCACCACAGAATCAATACAACTAAAGAAATACTGTGGAGAAATCTGAAAATAGATAGCACAACAGGGTGACTATAGCAAGTATTTTGTGTGGCTGGCTACTGCTCTACTCTTTGTGCACTTTTACACCTATTGGATACAAGATGAAATTTGTTTTTAAGATAAAAGGGCTTTTAAATAGTATAGATACAGCATGTTCTTTGCAGACTGCTGTCTTTCTGGTGCCAGAAAGGGAAGTCACTAGATACACATGTATTGATAACTATTTTATATTTAATGGCCAGGGATTCCTACTATTAAAATCTGGGTTCTAGGCTATTATTACTTTCATTTATTATTGATAAAGCACTGTAAATGCACATGGTATTTAATGTTACATGAAATCGTGCCAGACAAATTACCTTCCCTGCAGATACTTAAAGCTAAAAGCAGAAATTTTCTCCCATTTTGTAGGTTGCCTGTTCACTCTGATGGTAGTTTCTTTTGCTGTACAGAAGTTCTTTAGTTTAATTAGATCCCATTTGTCAATTTTGTCTTTTGTTGCCATTGCTTTTGGTGTTTTAGACATGAAGTCCTTGCCCATGCCTATGTCCTGAATGGTATTGCCTAGGTTTTCTTCTAGGGTTTTTATGGTTTTAGGTCTAACGTTTAAGTCTTTAATCCATCTTGAATTGATTTTTGTATAAGGTGTAAGGAAGGGATCCAGTTTCAGCTTTCTACATATGGCTAGCCAGTTTTCCCAGCACCATTTATTAAATAGGGAATCCTTTCCCCATTGCTTGTTTTTCTCAGGTTTGTCAAAGATCAGATAGTTGTAGATATGCGGCGTTATTTCTGAGGGCTCTGTTCTGTTCCATTGATCTATATCTCTGTTTTGGTACCAATACCATGCTGTTTTGCTTACTATAGCCTTGTAGTATAGTTTGAAGTCAGGTAGTGTGATGCCTCCAGCTTTGTTCTTTTGGCTTAGAATTGACTTGGCAATGTGGGCTCTTTTTTGGTTCCATATGAACTTTAAAGTAGTTTTTTCCAATTCTGTGAAGAAAGGCATTGGTAGCTTGATGGGGATGGCATTGAATCTGTAAATTACCTTGGGCAGTATGGCCATTTTCACGATATTGATTCTTCCTACCCATGAGCATGGAATGTTCTTCCATTTCTTTCTATCCTCTTTTATTTCAGTGAGCAGTGGTTTGTAGTTCTCCTTGAAGAGGTCCTTCACATCCCTTGTAAGTTGGATTCCTAGGTATTTTATTCTCTTTGAAGCAATTGTGAATGGGAGTTCACTCATGATTTGGCTCTCTGTTTGTCTGTTATTGGTGTATAAGAATGCTTGTGATTTTTGCACATTGATTTTGTATCCTGAGACTTTGCTGAAGTTGCTTATCAGCTTAAGGAGATTTTGGGCTGAGACAATGGGGTTTTCTAGATATACAATCATGTCGTCTGCAAACAGGGAGAATTTGACTTCCTCTTTTCCAAATTGAATGCCCTTTATTTCCTTCTCCTGCCTGATTGCCCTGGCCAGAACTTCCAACACTATGTTGAATAGGAGTGGTGAGAGAGGGCATCCCTGTCTTGTGCCAGTTTTCAAAGGGAATGCTTCCAGTTTTTGCCCATTCAGTATGATATTGGCTGTGGGTTTGTCATAGATAGCTCTTATTATTTTGAAATACGTCCCGTCAATACCTAATTTATTGAGAGTTTTTAGCATGAAGTGTTGTTGAATTTTGTCAAAGGCCTTTTCTGCATCTATTGAGATAATCATGTGGTTTTTGTCTTTGGCTCTGTTTATATGCTGGATTACATTTATTGATTTGCGTATATTGGACCAGCCTTGCATCCCAGGGCTAATATCCAGAATCTACAATGAACTCAAACAAATTTACAAGAAAAAAACAAACAACCCCATCAAAAAGTGGGCAAAGGACATGAACAGACACTTCTCAAAAGAAGACATTTATGCAGCCAAAAAACACATGAAAAAATGCTCATCATCACTGGCCATCAGAGAAATGCAAATCAAAACCACAGTGAGATACCATCTCACACCAGTTAGAATGGCAATCATTAAAAAATCAGGAAACAACAGGTGCTGGAGAGGATGTGGAGAAATAGGAACACTTTTACACTGTTGGTGGGACTGTAAACTAGTTCAACCATTGTGGAAGTCGGTGCGGCGATTCCTCAGGATCTAGAACTAGAAATACCATTTGACCCAGCCATCCCATTACTGGGTATATACCCAAAGGACTATAAATCATGCTGCTATAAAGACACATGCACACATATGTTTATTGCGGCACTATTCACAATAGCAAAGACTTGGAACCATCCCAAATGTCCAACAATGATAGACTGGATTAAGAAAATGTGGCACATATACACCATGGAATACTATGCAGCCATAAAAAATGATGAGTTCATGTCCTTTGTAGGGACATGGATGAAATTGGAAATCATCATTCTCAGTAAACTATCGCAAGAACAAAAAACCAAACACCGCATATTCTCACTCATAGGTGGGAATTGAACAATGAGATCACATGGACTCAGGAAGGGGAACATCACACTCTGGGGACTGTTGTGGGGTGGGGGGAGGGGGGAGGGATAGCATTGGGAGATATACCTAATGCTAGATGACGAGTTAGTGGGTGCAGCGCACCAGCGTGGCACATGTATACATATGTAACTAACCTGCACAATGTGCACATGTACCCTAAAACTTAAAGTATAATAATAAAAGAAAAAATAATACATACTTTTATTGAAAAAAGAAAAGCTAAAAGCAGGAGGAGAGCAATGCAGGAGGGACATTGTGGGAAGAGTGGAGACTGATTAAGGGTTACAACCCTGGCCTTGCTTTGCCAAGTAGGTGGATTGCAAGGAGAATTTGAAAGCTGAGAAATTATTCTGAGATTGGGAAGCTTTTCAGCAAAATAAAACCTATAACTGAAAGCAAGTAAAGGCATCAGAAAAGAAGAATTTCAGCCCTTTGCATGACAAGTGTACATCTTCAGTTCTGATAATCCTCTTACATCATGTTCACCTTGTGTCTCAGCATCACCTCCCACTCATCATACTCCAAACATGCTCCATCACATTCTCAAACCTGAGTATGCATTCGAATTATCTGGGGGCTAGTTAAAACATGAATTGTTGGTCCACACGTCAGAGTCAGAGTTTCTGATTTAGTAGGTCTGGGGTTTGTATTTGCGTTTGTAATAAATTTTCAGTAATTGTTGTTGCTGTTCATGCTGGAACAACTTTGAGAACCTCTGTCCTAAACTACTACCTTCAATTTTTGTTATATCTTGTCCTCCAAACCACAGCTTGGAATCAACTCTAATTCTCATCTTTCTAGTCAAGCGATGCTCCAGTTTACCTTTGCTTTCCTTGGAATTCCATCTTTTCTTTTCAAACTCACAGCTACTAATCAGACATGACTGCTACTAGCAACAAGAAATCACATGATTTCAATACCACTATTTTGAACACCCTTTACATGCAAGTTACTGTGGTAGCCACTTTAAAATATAGTAGCTTGTTAAATAATACTATTAGATAAGTTGTATTAGCTTCATTTATAGGTGAAGAAATTCATTTGTAGTAAGATTAATTCACTTGTAATGGGTATTACAGAAAGGATATAAATGAAGGTCAGTCTGACATGAAAACCCATGTTCTTATTGTGTCCAACCTATATTCAGATGCCACCTGAGGCCACCACTTCTTTCAGGCAGCCCTTCTTGTATGATTAAGCAGGTGATATAGTAAACCGTCTCCCTTCTCTCATCTACTAATGATATCCCCTTTATTATACAGACTTGGCATATGATGATATAGCATTGGAACTCAGTACCAAAGGGATAGATTAACCAAGAAATATCACTGGAAAGGCCAGGAGTGGTGTTGATTACCTGTAGTCCCAGCTGCCCAGGAGGTTGATGCATGAGGATGTCTTGAGGCCAATTCAAAGCTGCAGTGCTCTGTGATCATGCCTGTGAATAACCACTTCACTCCAGCCTGGGCAACATAGGGAAATCTCATGTCTCGGGGTGGGGGGCGGGGGCGGGAAAGAAGGAAAGAAATGTTCCTGGGACAAGTAAATGTCTACATGACACAATAGTAGATGGAATAAAATTCTCAATTTGAAAAATAAAACTGAAAATTTTAGAAGAAAACATAAGATACTGAAATACAAACTTTAAAAATTGATAAACATAAAAACCTTTAAAAATGCAACAAAAGAAATGGTAAATAAAATCAAAGGTAAATCATAAAGAAAAAAAGTTGGCAATATTGTCATTGTTTTACATATATGCATATTGAATCCAGTAGAGGAGAAATAACTTGCCCAAAGCACACAGCCAGTCAAGTGACAGGGCAAGATTCTAATCCACTGTTGTGATACAGATATTAGGATGAAGAATGTTTTAGTTAATTCACCACTCTGTGCTTTTAAATTATTTCTCAATACCAAACAAATTAACTTGTATTTTGTGGACTCTATTTATACAAATACAATTTCTCAGTTAAAGCAGATGAACTAATTCTATATGCATTATCATAGATATACCACATAAATGTAAATATTGAATAAGACTAGTAAGACTAGTTAATTCACAATGTGTACAAAATGATATTTTTTAAGTTTAAAACACAGAAATCTTATGTATTATTTGTAAATACAAATATATGAATCGAAAGTATAAAATCATGGACAAGAAGAATACATACCAATTTCAGACTACTGGTAATCTCTGAAGAAGGAAGAAGGAAACAAAAGGGGTCAGGATGGCCTTAATTGTATAAGTGATGTTTCATTATTATGTAGCTTTAAAAATCTGAACCAAATATGGCAAAGTGCTAATGCCTGTTAGATTAATGTGGCCAGTACTTGTTGTAGTTTTTTCTCTTCACTTTTCAGGATTTTTGAAATTTTTTATGGCTAAAAATAGAAAATTTAACAAAGGTTTTTCATGGGTTGAAATAAATTTTGGATATTCTTGGTTAAAACACAAGAATTTTCTTTGCTGCAAAACTTTTCCATCATTAATATGCTAATGGAAATATGAATTGCCAAGAGGATAATGTGCTATGAAATATTTCCCAATCTTATTTTACCATGGAATCCTTTTATTTTTGTCTTAATGAAACATCTATTAACAACTCATGGATATTTTGGGAAATGCTGTTATACATCACAGCACTTAATTTTCCCTAATTGTTTCATGTAATTTAACTTAATTTTCCTGATTATATTTTTCATCTCTTTGATACCGAGACCAAAGTCTTATTCCCTTTTAGGTAGACATATAATGGATATAAAAGTAATACTTTGATGGGTTTGTTTGATTTTTCTGAGAAATTATTGTGTAGGTCATCATACTTAATGTAGGTTTGGGGTCAAGGGAGAGAAGTAATAAAAATTGCCCTTGCACACAGTTTTATATGGCACTAAAAAGCAAATCTAAGGAACACAAAGATCATAAGGTCAATGGTATTTATTTTCAAACAAATGGAATATATTTATGCCAAAACTTTGCCAGACCTGTTTCTGTAGACATCTGTCCTTCATTTATTCATTCATTTATTTCAACAAATATTTTCAAATAATCTGAGGAGAAATTATACTTTAATAATATATGGGTAGTAGATAAAATTCAGTGCATCAGATTTCTCAGAATTATATCATCAATAATTTCTCAGAGTAAAATAACTTAACCCTTTTAAAACTATATTAAGTGTAAGTCCAATTTACCATTGTATTTAAATAATTGATTCATTTAAATATTTTTGAATGCTATACACATCTTAAATTCATTGGTTAGCAAGGGTACAATTTTAATACAATAATAAATAAAGTAAATAGAATTGACTAAGCAAAAATTTATTGACTTGAAATTTTATTTCTTACGTATTGCCACACATATAAGGCTCCCTTAGCCAAGTTAATGTCAGAAGCAAACACCTCTCATCCCTACTCCTTCAATAATTTATAAATGTATTAATATGGGTATTAAATGAAAATATCAAATTTTTAAAGTTATGTGTAAAGATCTAGTACCTATGATGAATAGCTAACCCTTGTCTATCTTAATGTTTCAGAAGAGCAGTTTGTGATTCTCATTTCCTAATGATTACCTTTTATACCATTTTGTATTTGGTAAAATTATGCTGCTATTTGTTGAAGGATAAAACATTTAAATCTCATTTTTTATAAATTTTATTTTGCTGTAATTCATGCCGCTCTAAAAGCTGTTTCATGGACTTATACAAAAGAAAACATCTGTGCTTTGCAGAAATATAATTTGTATAGAGTTGAAATCTTATTGTAATATAATTTAATACCTTTAATATTGTTTAGGTTAATTTAGAACCCAGATTTTCATAGAAGAAATTTACATCAATACTAATAAAATAATCTGTGTTTTCAAACCATTATTGTATTGGAAACTAATACTGAAAACAGTTTTTAATCAATTCTATTACAGAGATTATTCAGGTATCCAAAAGTTTTCAAAGATATGATCTTTCATCTGCTTTGTCGTTTTAGTCTTGGAAATATAGTGATATAAAGAGTAAATGTTTATCTTCTCAAATTTTATCATATTTTAACATTGATCTGAAATGTTAATGATAAATTAATTTTATGTAAGACAAAGGACAGATGGAATGAATAATAGATTATGTGCTTTGAGTGCTTCTGGTAATGTTAGTACTTTAGCATTTTTATATAATGTGATCATGACTCACAGTGAAGTTACAGTTAATAATTGTGTAAAAATTTTCTGCTGCTGAAGGAATTCATATTTGCTTTAAACTGTCCTGCTACAGCTTATCAGTATTTCAGGCAGATGTCCCTCTTAACTGTGTAACTCATTTATCTCACTGCCAGCTGAAATAGTATGAAACAACTCAATTCTGCCAGTTAGCAGAAGTCAATGACAAGACATTAACTCAATGCTTATAACCACCTGGGTAATAAAATTATATCAGCAGTAGTCTGCTTATGCTACTGTAAGAAAATGGAATGATGTATTGTGCTACAAATTAATTAGCATATATATATTAATGAAGATTAAACATGTGATATTTAATTTTGTGAATAATTTCTTGTATGAGGAAATTTTACAGATGGGCCTCATTATGTATGCAGGTATAGCAATGGACACAAATAACTTAGAGTTTTAATTCCTTAAAAGTGTGTGATTATCAAAGTGTACACGCCCACCTATTGCTCCTGGATATTTTCCTGTGCTCCTATACGGAGGACTTGCTTGAAAGATGGTTGTGTGTATGTTAGGGGGTGGCAGAAAGGATATATACACATACGACATAAACCTTGTATAGAGTAAAAACTTAGAATGAAGAATGTCTTAATTATCTATTGCTTTGTACCAAGTGGCCTCAAACCTTTGTGGCTTATAACAATGAACATTTATTATCTCACACAGACTCTGGGGATCCAGAATTCAGGAGTGGCTTGGCTGAGTGATTCTAGCTTGGCAGCTCTCATAGGGTTACAGTGGAGTTGTCAGCTGGGGTTCCAGTCATCTGAAGGCTTGACCGGAGCAAGAAGGTCTGCTACCAAGCTTGCTTAATTATGTGATGGGCAGTTGACGCTGGCTCTCAGTTTCTCATCATGTGGGCCATTCCACTGAGCTACTTGAGTGTCTTTTTTACATTGCAACAGGCTCTCCTAGAGTGAATGATATGAGAGAGTAAGGTAGAAGCAACAGTGAGTTTTATAAACTAACCTTGGAAGTCATACACTCTCATTTCTGCATATCATATTGGGTATGCAGGTTAGCTCTGATCAGTGTTGGGGAGAGTTATGTGAGTGTGTGTGTAACAGAATGTGACAATCATTAGAGGAAGTCACCTTAGAGATTGGCTACCACTGGTGGGGAGGGAAAGACATAGCATGTATATAATTTTAAAGAACTGCTGTATCTTAATTATAATTCAGGGTAATGAAAATATCAATCACTAAAAATAATTTGACTGATTTCTGCTAGGTGAAGTGTCACATGCTTTTTTATATTAATGTTTGTGCTTATAAGTCACTTGTTCATGCCAATAACTGTCAATCAGGTTATGTGGATAGAACTGTCATTTTATACTGGGAAAACTCTGGTGTCACACATCAAGATGGTGCCAGAGTTATAATTAGAGGAATGATATTTAGGGTTTCTGACTTTTAATCTTTGGTCATTGCATCCTACTAGCCCAGGAGTGCCCCCAAGAGATTATTTAAATGCTAATTGCTGAAATAGATCAATATATTATGGATTCATTTCCAGCCATTGCTCTATGAAATTGTAATTCAGGAAGATGTCAACTTATTGTATCTATTCTGCTGGTACATGTTATGTGCTCCTACATTTTAAGACCTTTGTGACACATTGTGATAATGAAACAATAAGATTTATTAGTAAAGACAGTGAGTAATTTACCTCTACATACATTTCACTATAAATATCAAGATATGGTAAAAGGAAATACATCCATCAATACCAGACCTGCTGAATTTTAGCTATGAATCTGTACTTTCAATATAGAAACCAGAAGTGGAGGTGTGAAGAGCTATTAGCACTATTAAGGTATATTAGGGGAGAGGGAGGGATTGATGGCCATGTTTTTTAAAAATTGTGGCTCAGGGTATTGTTCTTACATCTCTTTCAATGGAAATAGACTCCATTCTCATCACTAGGTGGGCTGCTAAAGTAAATGGCAAGAGCAACTTAAGACGTTTTGAAGAGGAGATGTTAAGGTCAGTTTAGAAGCTCACTTTCTTTGTTTAAGGCTAAGACATATTCATAAGATGCACTGTTTCTGATGAATGGCTAATTTGATTGAAGGGAGTGCAAGGATGCACCTGGTATCTCTTTGCTCCATAGGATTACATTTCCTGGATGTATTTTACTACCCAGTTCCGGGAAGCCAACTGTCTAGTATTGTCAGCTGCGTAACATTAGATATTTTTGTATTTAATTAGGCTAAGTGTCTGATTTACAACACCTGAACCAAGGCTTCAGCATGGTCATTCAACTCAAAGAGACCAACACCCAACATGAATAACTCTGTTACTGCCCTGCTGCTTGACACTCATGGTGCTTTAATAGACCCAATGACTATTATTAGAATAAAAATACTGTTCTACTTGCAAACCTCAATTACTGGAAAAAAATTTGAAGAATAATTTTCACATATGCTTGTTGTGGGAGCAAGGAACTCCTTTTTGACTGCTGTAGAATTTATTTCCTGGGCCTGGTATGCAGAGGGTGGAAGGTGGGAATTGTGAAGGTTATGCTGCATTTTTTTTTGTCTAGTCATATGCAAACTAGATCAAGAAATTAATGCTTTGCCCAGATTCTTGGAATGGTGAGTAGGGAAAAGTTTAATAAAACAAGTATTTACAAAGATGTGGTTAGAGTTTAGGGAAAATAATAGACCGTGGTGCAATGCCTCTGTGAGTGTAACAGTAGCGAGCTGTTGCTATCTCTGGGTGATTAGGGGCAGAGGAAGGGAGAAGTACTAGAGTCCAGGGTGGACTGTGTCATTTGACAGGAGCTGTAGCTTTCAACAGAGGGATGCAGCCAACCAGTAGTAACCTGACTGGGGGAAAAAAAAAAACAAAACAGGAAAATGAATGCCCTGACCTCACTGTCCTTTCACCTCTAACTGATTCTGTCCACACAGGCTCCAGGGCACAGAGCAATGTGTGGATCCAAAGGGACAAAAGGAAGATACCAAGGACAAAAGCATACTTAAAATTGGCAGGATTAATATCTAAATGTCTTTGTTTGCCTTATTTCACTGAAACTAAACATTGTGTGTTGATCTCTGGAGCTGGATTGTCTGGGTTTGAATTCTAGCTCCAACACTGACTTTGGGCTGGTGACTTACTCTCTCTGTCCCACAACTGTGAAAGAAGATGATTATGGGGCTAAGCTGACAGGGTTGGAGTAATGAATAAATGAACCTATGTGTATAAATACTTGAACTAATGCCTGGCCCATAGTAAGCATTATACCTCTTTACTGTTATTATTAAATCCCGTATCCTGTAGTTGTTTGCTCCTGTTTAAGACAAATAATGTACATTGAATTAAGTTGGATTTCTGTTCATAGTGACTATTTTTCAGTATTCCTTTGGTATTGGGCTATATCCTGGGATTAAATATCCAGTTTGCAGTAATAGAATTGAGATCCTCAGAGTCCTCACTTTCAGCAAAAAAAGAGATCTTTTGCTGAAAACCTTCCCCTGAATATCTTCATGACAACCAAGAAATCTGGTGAATTTCTTTTCTGGAAAAGTTGACTGACTGGATTGCCCCTTTGAGAATTAAATTTTTGGATGGAAAAATTTAGTCAACTGCTCCTGCTTTCTCCAATAAATGAATCCCTTCAGGAGCAGCATTTTAAATGTGTTTATTGCACATAATGGTAGAAAAAACAAAAATGAATCTTTGACTTAGAACAATGCCTTTTCATGGGATTTATTGTCTAATTAAGCAATTTCCAATAAAACAAGCATTTAAATTTTTTCAAGAACAAACATCCATAATAATATTAAAAAGTAGAATGAGAAAATCACACTATAGTTTAGAAGGCCTGCATTCACATCACTGGCTCTGTGGTTTTCAGACTTTGGTTTTAGCCATGGAACCCTTTGAACATCATATCCTTACACATATGAATTATATGAAAGAAGGAGCCTTCTGGCTCAAGCCCACCTGATGAGCCCTGTTTCCCACTGCTCTGAGTTAACTCCAATGGCCGGGGGCTAGGTTGCTGAGGAGGACAGTGTGAAGGCTACCTTATGAGTCTCTGAATTCCCTTACACCCTTGGGTGCAGGACTTAGTCACCCCCTTGTCTTTTGGAGTCCTTTTTCAAGTGCAGAGTTCTGGACTTCAAGACAGTCTTCTCTGAAAATATTTGTGTTAGTGTGAAAAAAAAGGCATTTAATGAGGGCTTTAAGAACAGAAGGAAACACCAGAGAGAATTTAAATAAGACGATCAGCATTTCGTTTTCATGACCCACCATGATTGCATTGGAAACTTGACAAGAAGTCTGTGACCAAGAGTTAGTGGGTTTCAGGAGTTCAGGCTCCCCACATCCCATGTTAAACAATTCATCTGAGTGAAAGTTGACGAATAGCCCTTCTTAGATGACCACACACAGTCTTCCAGGCAAGAGTTTCAGGAGGCCATTCAAAGAGTAATTTGGCATAACTAAATTAAACCTTGTTTTTGCTACTACTAAGATCTTTATATACATACAATATTTAAAACAATCTCAAGGCCAGGCATGGTGGCTCATGCCTGTAATCCCAGCACTTTGGGAGGCTGAGGCATGCAGATTTCCTGAGGTCAGGAGTTTAAGACCAGCCTGGCCAACGTGGTGAAATCCCATCTCTACTAAAAACACAAAAATTAGCCAGGCATGGTGGTGGGTGCCTGTAGTCCCAGCTACTCAGGAGGCTGAGGCAGAAGAATCACTTGAACTTGGGAGGCAAAGGTTGAGGTGAGCCAGGATCGCGCCACTGCATTCCAGCCTGGGTGACAGAGTGAGACTTCGTCTCAAAAAAAAAAAAAAAAAAAAAGAAATCATGGTGTGTGCAGGGGATGGCAGTGTATACCTCTCTTTCTCACTCTTACTATTAATTTATTGGAAGCTTGTTTTTGTCAGGCTCTAAGCTGAGTTCTCTACATCATCTTTTATAAAACTAATAATATTATTATTGTGATAAGAAAATTGAAGCTGACCTAAGTAGCTTCAGTAAGATCTTACCATTAGCATCCATTCATAGCCCATGCTCTTAACTACAGCGCTAAATGCATTATACAAACTTGACAAACTTCAGCTCTACAAATTATCACAAAAAATAATAACAGCAATATAAATTTGAAATGTCAAGGATCATAGTAAATTTATGGTAAACATTTATGGCAGAAAACAAAAGACAACACAGATTTTATTCAGGATTATATGTTTCTACACCTTTGGTTGGAAGTTTAGGGAGGAATTTGGTCATAGCAGTTCTCATTGTGATTGGTGAATGATGTAACAAAGGCATTGGCTTCTAAGTGGCTTTCAAAGAAAGGATAAATTAAAGTCGAGATGGACCTGAGGAAGACCACATGAGGGCTGATGGGGAAGAGGCATTTGAAGGTTTGCTTATTCTTTTCCTGTACCTTCATGAAGATGTCTGTTTCAGGCAATTAGGAATTTTCAGGAAGGTAGCATTATTCCACTTTTCCCACATTTGCATATGCTTGAGAGTTTCATATGGCTGATTTCTACTTACCACTCCATTCTCATATCAAACATTGCCTACTTGGAGATGGACATTTGGCAAGCACTTCCCCCTTTCTCCTCTCTAGCCAGCCCCTCTCAAGATGTTGGAATCTCATGACTATTTTTCTTTCTCCAAAACAGGAATCACTATCTGAAATTACCTGGTTGATTTTTTTAAATTGTCTGTTTCTACAAAATAGAATATAAAATCCACAAAGCAGGCATCTTGTTGCTGTGGCCTAAGTGCTTGTGCTCCCCTAGAATTCATATGTTTAAATCCTAATCCCCAATGTGATGGTATTAGGCGTTGGGGGCCTTTGGAAGGTAATTTAATCATGAAGGCAAAGCCCTCCTGGATCGGATTAGTGCCCTTTTATAAAAGAGACCCCCAGGCCAGGTGCAGTGGCTCATGCCTGTAATCCCAGCACTTGGGAGGCCGAGGCAAGTGGATCACCTGAGGTCAGGAGTTCTAGACTAGCCTGGCCAACATGGTGAAACCCTGTCTCTACCAAAAATACAAAAACTAGCTGGGAATGGTGGCAGGCGCCTGTAATCCCAGCTACTCAGGAGGCTGAGCCAGGAGAATCACTTGAACCCAGGAGGTGGAGGTTGCAGTGAGCCGAGACTGTGCCATCACACTCCAGCCTGGGGGACAAGAGGGAGAGTTCGTCTCAAAAAAAAAAAGAGAGAGACCCCAGAGAGCGGCCTTGCCCCTCCTACCATGTGAGGACACAGCCACAGTTTACCAGACACCAAATCTCCTGGCACTTTGATTATGTACTTCCCAGCTTTCCCCCTAACACACCCCAGAACTGTGAGAAGTAAATTTGTTTTTTCATAAGCCACCCAGTATATGGTATTCTGGTAAAGCAGCCTGAATGGGCTAAGACACTTGTCTTTGTTTCTTTCAGTGTCCGCAGAATCTAGAATAGTGTCCAGTACATAGAAGGCAGTGCATACATATTTGCTCATTAAATTAATATTCTGAAGCTCTTGAAGTGCCCTGTCATATTATGAATTTCAGCCACATACCATTTTAAATGAAGTTTATAAAGAGTTCTTAATGACATTTTAAGATTCTTAATATATGATGTGAAAAAATTAAAAAGCTATATGTCAAATTTTTAATTCAGCATGATTTTGTGTACATATTTGATAGAGAAAAGCTTAGAGTAATATCAAAAAATATAGTTACCGTGGTGGTGGGTTTTGGGTAATTTTCTCTTGTGCTTTTACTACAGTATAATGAGCACAAATTACTTTTACAAGGAAAATGTAAAATAATCAGGAACTAAAAAAAGTTTGAAATAGATCAACAATTTTCCAATGCCACAGTTTTTGCTTTCAGATACCTTTTTGAGTTGCACATTAGAGGCTCTGCTTAGGTAGTTGTGACAATTACAATAATGGTATGATGATGATGATGACGACGACTAAAGTGAGACATAATAAAAGACAGCAAAGAAAGGAACAGAAAATTTTGGGGAGGTGGGGATATAAGAATCGTCTGCTACATTTTTTTCCTCATAAACTTGCCCAAGCTCAAGTAGTAATGTTTACATTATCAGTCTTTTCTTGGTCTTTTAGAAGATGGGATATAGAAAAAGGTATAGAAAAATCAACCAAGACAATCTGAAAATGTTATATTATTTGGACAAATGGTGATTCACTTGGAACTTGATGTATTACTAATGTTTTAGTAATATCGGGTTTATAGTGAGTATGTAGATGAGATCATAATCTTTGACCTGACTTACAAAATCAGCTAGCTGGACTGTAAGTTGATGAGGGTAGGAACTGTGATTTTTTCAGTTACAACTGTATCCTCAGGGTCTAGCATGGTGCTGTATACCTAAAAGGTACTTAGCTATTTTTTAATGAGTAATAAACTGGTCATGGGATTTTATTTCAAGATATGAAGACTGAAGTTATTTTCCTGCTGTATTACGATATTCTTATACTAAATTTTATACTACTATCCTGCTTTTGAGTAACTAAGATTGAGCAATGACTGATTTCTTTATTTCACCTAGAGTCAATTGAATTGGGTTAGCAAAGTTTACCTTCATATTTTAGTGTCTTATAAATGGCTATGGCAGATCAAATTGCCCCAACTTAGATATATAAATGTATCAAACAAATCTCAAAGTTTTGCTGGAGTATTGCAAGAAAAGTACAAAAATTTAAAAATCAATTTTAGAAGTAACTTTAAAGCTCATCTTAAATGTTATATTAAGGGTGTAGAGGAAATTGTTTTATTGTAGCCATCAGTTATGAAAATATATGCAAATATTCTTTTAACTCTATCCTATAGTGGTAATTGTTATGAAGACTTCTATTTTTTAAAGCATTGGTTCTCAAAATGGTTGCATATTGGAATCACGTGAGAGAGCAATAAACAATACTAACGCCTGAGTCCCAGCCTAAGTATTCTGATTTAGTTGATCTGGGGGGCAGTCTGGGGATTGGAGTGTTTCAAAGCTCCATAGGTGATTCTAATGCCCGACCAAAGGTAAGAACCACTGATTTAAACTCTTAACACACTATCTACTTATACTATAGTATTGTTTTCCAAAAAAATACTTACTTTTGTTAGCTCACGACCTGTAATGTGTTCTGATTTACAGGGAGTGTCCTTCCAAACAATGTCTACAGAGGATTTCTAGATGATAAAAAATTTCTCTTTTAGATAGAATGACAAGCAGATTATTTGCCTTCCTGTTAGGATTACTGTCAAGGGTAATTCTGTAGCTTCTGTAGCTATGCTGCTCTTTATAATAATTTTTTTTTAGTTCTTCTTAGCATTATGTCCTGATCTGTACCTCACTGAAGTTACACCTAATGTCCTCCTTTTCAAAAGTACATTAGGGAGGACTGGCACATTAGAGATTTTATTCTTTGACTTGAAATTTTAGAATAAAATTGAAAAAAATGAATGTATGAGAAAGTTAAAATAGGAATAGTATATTGAACAAACCAAAATGTGCCCTGTGGAGCTCATAAAGAGAAAAAGAAATTTGAAAATTTTAATACAACTCTGCTTTATAGAGGAATAAAAAATGAGGTGAAACATCCTTCATTTCCCAGGAATTCAGAAACTTAAGTCACATTCAATTTGGAACTGACAAGTCTATCTGAAGAAACAATTAGTTTAGAAAATTTGGAAGTAAAAAATCCATTGTATTTGATCTTTAGGTTTATTTTAGTTTGGTGATTTAAAAACATTCTTTGCCTATTGTTTTAAAAATTAATTGTTGAGTGAAAACTAATGGGATTTCATAATTTTACTTCTCATACACTAATGCATTTTAAAGTTTCAACTATAGTTCTTGAGGAAACTCAGGTAATCTTGAACACACTGAAAATAAGGAGTAAGACAAATACAAGTAATAGAAGCTCTAAATGTGGGACAAATAAAAACATAAGGCATGATATTTAAGGTCTATTACTCAATACGTAGGTGATGAAAATGCAATAGAACTCTACATTACATAATAAGCCAAATTAATTTGCATCTGAGCTACCTACAAATATTTTGAGCCAGCTTATCCTGATACAGGTTTTCAAGCTATGTGCAAAAGAGGCGTTTAATTATTTTATTGTGTATTTGCCAAATAAAATGAGATCAATGTGCCACAAGTGAATTAAATTTATGTTTGTTCTTTATTATTGCTATAATAACTTCTTTTTTAGTAAATGAAAATGAAATCAGGTAACCTGCTAAAGTTTTCTTGCCAGCTACTGAAAGAGCATCTGCAAATTTAGTAATTCCTCTAGGGAGAGTATAGGCTAACTGAAGAGCTATTCCTTTGTCAGTGATATATGATAGCTGGTGGCATTCTGTGTTGGATTAATCAGTTATTATTGTGTAAGTAAATGAACTGATATGAACCTCTAAAGCAGATAATGGCAAAGTGGCAGTTAATTATTCTATATAGAAAAATTAAACATCTAATTAGATTCTTACTAGGAAATACCTTCATGTTGATTATGAATCCAAAGTGACTCAGCATGTCTACAAACTGGATTATCTGGATCTAAAGTTATCATAAAAATAATGGTGTTGGAAGAGATAGTTTGCTCTCAAAATATTAAATGATAGGCCTAGACTTAATTAGATGCCATTTATTTCCTCATTATTTATTAAGTAGTAAATTCTTAGGTTTCCCATTTTCGCCTCTTAATGTTGCTTTGTATGATCATATATTGAGTGCTTACTGTAAGTCAGATACTGGGTTAAGCAGTGAGCATGCATCATATTATTGAATCTTTACAAACATGCTAAGAGGCAGGGGCCATGATTCCTCCTTTATACTCATGAGAAAACTGAGCCTGAGAGTTAAATAACTGGTCCATGGTTTTAGGCCTTACATTTAAGTCTTTAATCCATCATATTTAAGTCTTTAATCCATCTTTAGTTAACTTTTGTATAAGGTGTAAGGAAGGGGATCAGTTTCAGTTTTCTGCATATGGCTAGCCAGTTTTCCCAAAATGTGGCACATATACACCATGGAGTACTATGCAGCCCTAAAAAAGGATGAGTTCATGTCGTTTGCAGGGACATGGATGAAGCTGGAAACCGTCATTCTCAGCAAACTAACACAGGAACAGAAAACCAAACACTGCATGTTCTCACTCACATGTGGGGGTTGAACAATGAGAACACATGGACACAGAGAGGGGAACATCACACACTGGGGCCTGTCAGGGGATGGGGGGCAAGGGGAGGGATAGTATTAGGAGAAATACCTATGTAGATGACGGGTTGATGGGTGCAGCAAACCACCATAGCACATGTATACCTATGTAACAAACCTGCACGTTTGGCACATTTATCCCAGAACTTAAATTTAAAAAATAAAAATTAAAAATAACTGGTCCACGTTGCTACCGTCAGGAAGTGACAGAACCCGCACGGTGTCAGCAAGTGGAACACATTCTAAATCATTCAAGACATGGACTTGTTTGGTGTTAACATCATTTGATACTCTGTAAATTGTATTGGTTCCACTCATGTTTCTCAATGGTATTCTCTTCAAAAGTTATTTATCAGTTGCTGGCTTTTGTTGTGTTTTGGTGTGGGCTTTTTGGCACAACCTCATTTCCTTGACCAGGATGAAGCCTAGGAAGAGTGCTCTTAGGAGTCTAATTATTTATAGCCGAGTTTCCCAACCATGGCTTTAACATTTGGATTAAATTATTCTTCATAGTGAGGGGCTGCCCTGTGCATTTTAAAATGTTTAACAGCATCCCTAGACTTTACCCACTAGGTGCCAAACTTCCTCCTTTTTTTGGGAGAACCAAGAATGTCTTCAGAGAGTTTGCCAGATGTCCTGTAAGGGGCAAAATTGGCCTTGGTTGAGAACCACTGGTTTATATAATCAAGAAAGGCTATTGGATAATTTTGCCTAATCACAACTATCACACCACTATGCCATGGTTGAAACACTATAAAGTGTTGTCAAAGAAAACTTGAACTGTGTGGAGTTAAACAGGCAGCAAAACTTTTTACAAGACTATTGTAAGCCGGGCGCAGTGGTTCATGCCCGTAAACCCAGCACTTTGGGAGGCCGAGGGGGCAGACCACTCAAGGTCAGGGGTTCGAGACCAGCCTGGCCAACATGGTGAAAACCCATCTGTACTAAAAATACAAAAATTAGCCAGGCATGGTAGCATGCACCTGTAAGTCCCAGCTACCTCGGGAGGCTGAGGCAGGAGAATCACTTGAATCTGGGAGCAGAGGTTACAGGGAGCCAATTGCGCCACTGCACTCTAGCCTTGGAGAGTGATTAAATTCAACTCTGCTGAAACAAGAGGCAGAGGGGTTTTTAAACACTGGACTAGCTAGTGGAAATGTGCTAAAGGATTGTAGGGGCAAGGCTGGTCAAAGTGATTAGGCCATCTGTGTTTATTACTAATTGGAGCTCGTGGAAGTTAGGCTCCTACCCTCATTTCTTGATGCTTCCATGCCAAAAAGATGGCCCCTAGATCCTTGAGGATGTTCCTTGGTTGTAAAACTGGCAACAGACTGAAAGAAGATCTATATCTCAAAGTGGTAGCAAAAGAATTTACAACCTTAAGTTTTCTAAGGTTGTAATGCTTTAAGAAAAGGGGGGTCAGGGGCCTATAATCTGTAAAAACCTGTCTGAAATTTAGTCTAGCTGAAGGGAATGTTAAGGCCATTTTGGGTTATGATAATACTTACATAATTAGAATGAATCTGGATATGTCATTAAGTCAATAGTCAGGTTGGGACTTATGGAATCATCATGTACTCTCAGCAAAGAAAGTCTATGGAGGGGTCTGGTGTTGAAGCCAAGGCCTGCTTTATTGCCCTGAGACTATTCCTACCTCAGTTTCTGTATCTTTATCTTGTAGAGCTGGCAACTCACATCCAGAGTTCTGCTAACTCCAAGTTCAAGCTGCTGATACTCTCAGCAAATGATGATCATGCATTTCCCAAACTGAGATTCATTTTAAACAATTGCAAATTGTTTAAAGGAATAGGGTAGATGCTGTGTCTTTTTTTATCTTTCATTTCCAAGGCCTGACACGTAGTAGGAACTTTATCTAGTTGCTTGCTTCATGAACAGATGATACCTAGGTCTCAAATTTCCTGAATATTTATCTATATTAATCTTGCCTCTTACCTGTTAAATCACAAGAAAGCAGAAATAGTAGTCCCCTGCCCAGGAGACGTTTTCTGGATTTATCCACCAGAGGCATTGGAGCACAGCAGATACAACAAAGTTCTGGAGTCTCTGACTGATTTCAACAATCAATTTATTCCATGGCAATTTAATGAGCTAGTACTGAGTATTTAGCTTGAGCAAAATACTGTGCTAAATTCTGGAAATAAAACACAAATAAGACACCATGCCCATCCTGAAGGATCTCACTGTTTCAGAGGAGTCTGACTATCCTCGTGGCTATAATACTGTATGATCAATGGGCTTTAAGGGCTATAGGAGCACAAAAGAAAATACGAATTCATCTGGAGACATTATCAAAGACATTATGGTAGCAGGATCATGGAAGTTGAGACTAGAATGCTGGGAAGAATTTCAAAAGAGAACAATGTACATGAACAATGTCAGCCACAGCAGATGGGAGAAGTACTGTTTCTTAAGTTACCAGTCAATAAGGCATAATTATGAAATAGGCTCATCTTTTCTCCAACCACTGTCCTCCAACAGGCTTTGTTGGATCTCCCTTCTCTGCCCCTGGAGAATATCTCAGAAAGATCACAGAGCTTTTTCAGAAATAATAATAGAGCAATCATTGGATATTAGGACTGTCATTTTCAAATATTAAAAGTATAGTATAATCATATATCATAACTTTCACCTCTAATCCTATTTAAGGTATCTCCCCATGTTTCTAGCTCGGTTCTGACACAAGAATTCCCCTGACCCACAGTAAGAAAGGAGGGGCCTTGTCTTTTTTCACTCTTCCTCCACTTCGCTCTTGTGTTCCTTTTCCCTCATACTCCAGGATGGAACTAGGAAACAGAAGTAATGAGACAATGTCTCCCTGTCTGGTGCTCTTGTAAGTCGGTACGGTGCCATGTGCTTCAGATGCCCAGTTGCTTGGATTTTCTATAACAGGCTGCTGCTTGAGCATGATCTGAAAGTGAGGAGGTGAAAAGCCTAACCCTTCTTTCTTCTAGGCTAATAAGTTTTCTAGAAAACTCCATTACCTAATCAACTTTATATTCATTATATAGTTGGTGATAGGTGAGGAAGAAAGGAGGAAAGGACATGTTTAGATTTATCTCAACAGGTCTGGGTGGGAGTGTCTGGCACCTCTCTATAGAATGTGTGAACATTTATCACTTGTTGTCCTCAATTTTAGGACCTCTGCCAAGACTCTTATGGCAATGGAAATTTCCCATTAAATATCCTGCTACATTTAAATTTGTAGAATATTTATTGTTTGTGGGACACTTGTATACATTGATGGCAGCCAGCTTTATTAGACAAAGTCTAGGGTTTGGAACTAGCCATACCTAACATTAAAACAAACTTCGACACTCATTAAACTATGATAATATTAATTTCTTTATCTTCAAAATGGGGAAAATAGAACATACATTTTAGTGTTAATGCACATAACACAGAGCCTGGCATGTGGTGGGTGAAAAAAAGAAATGCCTCAACCTCTTCACTAATAGCAACTCTTTGAGTAGGCATTGCAGGAATTGTTTGGAAAATAAATACAATATCTGGGTATAGGAGAATTGTTGAAATTAGATGAAAGACAGATTTTGAAGATCTTGAATGCCATGCTAAGGATTTTAACTTTCTTGGATACCAAAACAAAACCTAAGAAGGAGGATTTAAACATAGTAGCATGGTTTCCAATCACTTATGCTTGAACCTCAAAATCATCTTGCTCTCCACCTTTCCATCTCCTCTAACCAGGACCCAAATCTGGCTAATTTGCAATAACTACAATAAGAATGATAGTATTAATGAAATATTTATTGAGCTCTTACTATGTGGCAGGCAGTGTGCTAAACAGTTTAATTACATTGTTGCATTTTATTTTCACAATCTTACTTCGTGGATGAGGACATTTTGAGCCTGAAAAAGTGAAAAATGCATTGGGAGTCTTACCTCCAGTTGGTGACAGGGCTGGGATCTGAACTCCAGCTATCCAGCACCAAAGCCCGTGGGCCCACTCCCTTCCTTTTATCTCCTAAACATAGCCAGAGAAATTTTCCTAGCCACTGAGGAAAAAGCTTTTAAAACAACAGTCATCACCATTTTTATTGATAAAAATTATATTCACATATGTAATTATATTCACACACATAATTTTGCATACTTGCACAGTTTTCTTTTTTTTTTTTTTTAATAGACAGAGTCTCTCTCTGTCACCCAGGCTGGAGTTCAGTGACACAATCATGGCTCACTGCAACCTCGAATTCCTGGGCTCAAGGGATCCTCTTGCCTCAGCACCTTGAGTAGCTGGGACTACAGGCATACCACTATACCCAGCTAATTTAAAAAAGAATTATTTTTGTAGACATTGGGTCTCACTATGTTGTCCAGACTGGTCTCAAATAAAACTCGCACCTCAGACTCCTGAGTATCAGTTTTTTAATACAGTATTTTTCCTATTTCTTCTTGGCCTGATTTCTCCCTGTCCTCCATCTTCAACACAAATCTCCATACCAATCACATCACATCACGTCACGTCATGCAAGCAAGGTAACACTTGCTTGTGTTGTCCTAATGTTCATTCTTCCATGTTTCTCTTCATTTCATATACTATTAATAATATAAATATGTTTATGTGATTTGTAATCATTTACATTGCACATATAGGTGATGTTTTACACATTTTTCTGTATCTTTCTTTTCTGATTCAACAATATAGTATGAAAATACTTCTAGATCAACTGGTAAAGCTCTCATTCATTCTCTTTAATGGCTGAATAATCTCCTATTGTGTAGTATATCATCACTCTCTCAGCCATTCTTCTATATATGAGCATTTGCTTAACAAGGTTTTGTCTTTGTGTTTATTTTTGGTCAAATGAACAGAAGAACAATAATCATCTCCTAGGTAACTATTAATGCACTAGGACTTTTATTCTATAGGGCATATAGAAAAGTATATGTATTTATAATTCTAACAGATGTTGCTAGATGGCTTTCCAAAAAACAAGTCATCTTCACACTTCACACTCCTGGAAGTGTATTAGAGTTTCTTTTTTCCTACATCCCTGCCATTATTTGGTGTTAGAGCTTTTTTAATTTTTGGAAGTCTGTTAGGTATAAAGTGACATTTCACTGTGTTTTATTTGAATTTCCCTCTTGGTAAATTTAAGCATCTTTTTTTCCTCTGTGAACTGTTCTTTCATAGTCCTTTGCCCCTATTTCTATTGAGTTGTCTTCTTATTAATTTTAATAGTATTTTGCATATTGTGGATAATTAACCCTTAGTATACCATTTGCTTGGCAAATATATTTTTCTAAATCCATCATTTGTCTATTGACTTGTTTGCCTCAGAAAATACCATGTAATCAAATAGATGTATAAGTTATGGGATTCCAATTTTGTCTAGATTTTCTTTTCTGTTTATCATAGATGCTGTCTCCTAATGTTTTTGTTTTGTTTATAATTAAGTTTATAACAAATATGGAATTTGTTTTTTGTGTATGGTGAAGGATGGGAATAAATAATTTTTAGATACCTAGTTGTGCCAGCATATTTATTTAATAATATGTTCTTTCTCTACTGATCTTATATAGCAAGATCTATTTCTAGGTATTTTCTCTTTCCATTGATCTGTTTATTTCTATACCAGTGCATATTGATTTGGTAATAATACAGTGGCTGTATTATAAGTTTTAATTACCTCCTTATTGGTCTTCTATTACATGATTTTATTGGCTATGATTAGGCACCTATTCTTCTTGTAAATCCCAGATTATATTATTCCAATCTGCTTTAAGTCCTGTTGGAACTCTAATTGCAATTCCATTGGATGTATGTGCTAATTTAGGGGAAAGATATTATTTTCATACTATGTCTTCCCAACTAAAGACCTTCTTATTTGGTTTAGATATTGTTTAATAACTTACAATACAATTGTATGGTTTTGTTCCATATAGCATATGTCTCATTCTGTTTTTATTAATTTCTCAGTATTTTGTAATGTTTATAAGTGCTGTAATTATTATATTTTTCTCATTTTAAAGTTTATTATTGCTAAAGAAGATAAAGGCTTTTTAAAAAATATTTATCTTGCTTCAAACTGCCCTACTGTACTCTTTCATTAACTCTTACTTTTTACTGTCCCAGCATTCATGATCTGGTACATTTGACCCAACTATTTCAGCCCACTCACAAGTATTTGATTGATTCATCTTCCCTCATTTTGAGATTTCTGATTTGGTTGTTTGGTTAGAGTATTTTTACAAGCATTTTCTTTATACACAGTACATGAATGACACTCTATATATTATTGCAAATACATAAATATTGTTATTTCACTCTAGTGAGTAATGGATATCTCGGCTGGTAAAACAATTCTATTGTTGCCAGGCTTGTCTCTCAATTTATTATAAATTTTATTCCAATGTCTTATAGCTTCCAAGGCTTCATATGAGAAATCTCAGTTATTATCGAACCAAACTAGGGTTCCACTTGCCTGGCAGAGTAAAGTCAGATATCCATGCTGAGTTTTGCAGTAGGAGAAAGGGAGGTATTTATTTGCAAGGCATGGAGCAAGGAGAATTGGAGAACTGATGCTTAAGTTCTGACCTTCCTGATGGCTTGAAAGTAAGGGTTTTTAAAGGCATGGATAGCCAGGCATGGGCTCACACCTGTAATCCCAGCACTTTGGGAGAATGGGGCAGGTGGATCACCTGAGGTTGGGAGTTCAAGACCAGCCTGGCCAATATGGTGAAAACCCATCTCTACTAAAAATACAAAAATTAGCCGGGCGCCCACCTGTAATCCCAGCTACTTGGGAGGTTGAGGCAGGAGAATCTCTTGAACCCAGGAGATGGAGGTTGCAGTGAGCTGAAATTACGTCATTGCATTCCAGCCTGGGTGACAAGAGCGAAACTCTATCTTAATAAATAAATAAATAATAAAGGCAGAGGTAAATTCAGGAAAACAGAAGTTGCAGACAAAATTATAAATCAATAATACATGGAGTTTACATGTTGGTTTTGGCCCAAAAGGGTGGGACATCTTGAAGCAGGAGATTACAATTCATAAGTACATTCAAAGATTTTCTGGCTTTCAAGGCTAAGGCTAAAAATTTGGGTTCAGCAGAAAAGAATGTTAGCTCTGGGTCCTGGGTGTGACCTCCTCCAGGTGCCTCAGGAAGAGGTTTAGAACAAGAAACAGTGGTCAGAGTTCAATCCTCAGTTTCTCCTTATCTGAAGCTTAGACACCAGAGGATCTGTTTGGTGGGATCTTGAGTTTCTGAAAAACAACTCGGGGACATATATTAAGATGTTATCTTTAGTTTTTATAAGGAACCAAACATCTGACAAATCTGATGTCCTTAGCTACTGTTTTTAACTGTTATTTTACCTTCTTGCTTATCAAATCACTTACTTACTTCTCAGAGCTAGCTAGGTGCCTGGAACTTCCCTTGAAGGAAGTGGAGATTTTCCTTGACTTCCATGCTCACGGGTGGAGGTGGAGGGGGACTTCGTGGGGAGCACAAAGGCTTCTAAAAGGGATTCCTACTCCATTTCATGGTCCGGTATTCTTTTTTCTTAGGTAACTTTTTCTTTGTGTTTTTAAGCTCATACAGTATTTTCTTTGTTTTCCAACTTCTGGACTTTTAATTGCACAGGCCCAGGAATATATATATTATTTTTATCATGAAGTCTGGAACTTAGTGAACCACTTCAATTGCTTATTTAGATTTTTTTCTTCACCTCAAGAAAATTCTCTCTATTATTTAATTGTCACTTTGCCTTCATTAGTTCTTTTTTCTCTTCTTAAAATTCCTCTTATTTGGATATTAGATACATTGTATTTATTTTTCAAATCTTTTATTTTTTTCCTCATGTTTTCATCTCAATTGCTTTTTGTTCTGGATTTTATAACTCTTGATCTTGATCTTCTAAGACACTGTTTTTGTTTCTGGCAGTGATAATTCACTTCTTCACTTCATTTAATAAAGTCTTTAGTTTGGAAATCAAGTGGGATTTTATTCCAATTTCCATTTGTCTTTTCCAGAAATACTACTTCTCTGGGCAGATTTCTCTTTCTAATTTTCCTGTTACCTCTGGCTGCTAATCAGTTAAAATGGTTTGTGAGTCTTCTTTGTTGTCTCAGTTCTTGTTATTAGGATATTTCACAAAGGGTTAAGGGCGCTGGCTTCCGTATTTGTAGGCCTGTTATAAATGAGCCAACAACTGGCAGTCACCTGATGACCTAGTGAACATTAGTAGAGGTTGGCAAATGTGATTAGGCAATCTGTGTTTACTAATTGATGCTTACGGAAGTTAGGCACTCACCCTTCTACAGAGACTGGGAGATTGGGGCACTATCTTTTTACTGTTAGTATTTTTTATTGTGGTAAATATATATAACATGAGATTTACTCTTTTAACAAATGTTTAATTTTACAATATAGTATTGTTAACCATTAGCAGAATATTGTATGGCAGATCTCTAGAACTTTTTTATCTTGTATAACTGAAACTTTGTATTTATTGAACAACTCCCTATCTCTTTCTTACCCTAACCCCTGGCAACTACCATTCTACTTTCTAATTCTATGAGTTTGTCTACTTTGAGTAGATCATATAGGTGGAATCATGCAGTATTTGTCCTTCTGTGCCTGGCTTATCTAACTTAGTAAATTGTCCTCCAGATCCATCTATGTTGTTGCATATGACAGAATTTCCTTCTTTTCTAATGATCTTGAAGAGATATTAGCAGTCCCATGTTCATTGCAGCATTATCACAATAGCCAAGGTGTGGAAACAACCTAAATGCCCTCCGTGGGTGAACAGATAAAGAAAATGTTGTATATACATGCAATGGAATGTTATTCAGCTTTTATAAAGAACACACTACTTTTCCTGATGCTTACATTTCAAAGGGATGGCTCCCAGGTTCTTGAGAAAGGCATTCCTGAGTTATAAAACTAGCAAGAAGCTAAAAGAGACTTACATCTCAAAGGAGTAGAGAAAGAATTTACAGGCTAGAATCTACAATTACTATTGCTCCTGATAAAACCTCTCAGTTTTCAAGTCTCTAGTTTTCAAGCCTCTTGTAATGTCCTGGCCTCAGGGGCAAGGAGTCTCACCCACCTGATGGAGCTACTCTATCTGACAGATGTTCAGGAGACCCAGCAGTCAGCCTTCTTAGGAATATATAGGATTTAAGTGCCAAGTTTATCCTCAAAAGCAGTTTATTGGGCTTAAGTGAAGTTCCTCAGAATTTTGCCAAGCTCTTCCCTCTAGAGAGAAAAGTTCATTAGCCTCCCTAGCTTGTGATAGTCCTAGCCATTAGTTTGACTCAGAATTGGCCAAATGTTTAGAGCTTGTTGTGGAGGAAAAGGGAGCTCCTGGATTTATTTTGGTGTACTTTTAGAATCCTCTCTATTTCTCTTACATTTCTAAGGCTGGGACCAGGCAGGGGATTTGGCCTCAGGCTGTCATTAGTGTTTTCAGCGACGGTTGTATTACGGAGTGATAGTGATAGGGTTTTGATCAGATTGCAAGGTGGGTTAGGAACAAAGAAGTAAAGGTAGGGAGTTTATAGATTACTCTTTGTAGATGTAAGAGGTTTTAAATAATTTCTTAACAATCTGGGAGGTCTGATATTTTCTACTGGTTAAAGGGAAGGATACTTGGAGGATTATTGAATTAGTAATTGGTATCTTTCAGCAATAATGACTCCTGTGGGTTGATGGATGACAACATCCTCAGAATTACTCTAGTTTCATGTTATGTCTGAACAGTCACATATTCAGTTTCTTGATAAAACAATTCTTATTTCTGTTCAGTATGTCTTAGACAAAAAAATAGTTTGTAAATGTAATCACAAGAAAATGCAAAATTATCTCATAATTTGAGTAACACATTAAAATCTTAATCGCCTCAATGAGTCTGTCCAATAAGGCATACTGTAGTTTATATATACAAACACAATTTTAACCTATTCTAAATTGTGTTTTGAATTATTTTGTGACTTCGTGAGTTTCTTGTTAAAATCCCTTCTAATCAAATGGGATATGCTAACAATAACTCCTTGTTTTCAGATATTTGGTTATTATCATTTTACATGATTGAGGCCTTAATTACATATTTTTTTTCTCTGAGTGCTGTATTATTTGCTTCTTGATAAGTCAAATGAACAACAAGAGCAGTTCCCCAGTGGCATTAAAACTCAGTTTCAGCTCCCTAGATAGAAAAAATGTTTTTATGGAGTATTTTTTCTTTATCTTTGCAGATCCAAGGCAGATCACAGGAATGAAGGAGTGTTTTCTGCTTTACCTAACTACAAAGGTCCTGATAACCAGTCCCTACAGGGAAAAGTCTTTCCAAATAACTTTTTGGAATGCTTTCCACATTTTGGAAAATTGCATTCCACTCTTAAACTCTGAAAGTAAATATTTACAGAGTCACACAGATTGCATCTATATTTGACAATACTAACTCATAATTGTGTCTTCCAGTATTCAAAGAATACATTGTAAAGAGTATCTTCTAAGCTAAATCATAGTATTTCAAATTAATTCCTTTTTAATTTTTTAATCAATTAATTATTTATTTTTAATTGCCAGTATAAGACACATTTTATTATTTATTTTCTTTTGAGACAGGATCTCCGTCTGTCACCCAGGTTGGAGCAGTGGTGCAGTCTCAGCTCACTGCAACCTCCCCATCCTGGGCTCAAGCAATCTTCCAATCTCAACCTCTCGAGTAGGTGCTACTACAGGCAGATGCCACCATACCCGGCTAATTTTTGTGTGTTTTTTTCAGAGATGGGGTTTTGCCATGTTGCTTAGGCTGGTCTCGAACTCCTGGACTCAAGCAATCCTCCCACCTCCACCTCCCAAAATGCTGGGATTACAGGTGTGAGCCACCACACCTGGCCTAAATTAGCTCCTTTTTTAATAATACTTTTTAATAGGAAGATTCTTTGTAATGACAGTTGACTGTCTCACAAAATCACAGTCATCTTCAACTTTTAAGGTAGCTCTAATTATCTCAGTTTATTTCCATCACAGTGCTTTGTGGTAAATGACTTTTACCTGTTAGAGGAATTATGGGTAGGGGTTGGTAGATCTGAGTTGTGATCATGTGTTGCTTGGGTTCGCATTTTTGACACTGACTTATTCCCCTGATGAACTCTCCCAAGAAAAGTTTATATGTAAGTATATGTGTATATATATATATACACACACGCACACACATACATATGTATGTATACATACATATATATGTATACACATATGTATGTATACATATATGTGTGTGTGTATATATATATACACACACACACACAAAATACATTGCAAGATTGAAATAAGGTAGTTGTGCTATAATTTCAAGTTCCTTTAAAGGCTCATAAAAACAAATTATATATGCATAACATATGCTTTGACTGCAGTTTTTTCTTTTCATTCACAAATACCTTTCTCATTTTCTGGGCCAAATGAGGCACAGACCACACAATTCCAGGTAGTCATCTACTTCAGCTTTTTTTGAAATGATTTTTTTCATGTTCTCTACTTGTTTCAGATGTGTAGAGGGTGGACTCCTTAATGGAGGTTAAGCCATGGCATTTTGCAGGTGGCAGTATGCCAAGAATGCTACAGGCTTTCTATGCAATGACTGAAGCTAGTGACAATATACTGGTAGGAGAAAATTAGGACTACTACTGGGAAATATTGTTGTTTTAGGATAATTTTGAAAAAGTCAATGAAATTAAAATCAAACCAATAATTTAGACATAGTTTTACTTATGTTTAAGTGTACTGCTGTTTATTGATTTAATTATTTATAACTTTGATGCTTTTAGCCTGTGTTTCCCCAATAAAGCATTTGCTTAAATTTTAGGTGAGGAAAAGATTAAACACTATGAAACATCTTTTGGATTTATGAACCTACTTGGAAGTATTGGAGATCATAATTGCCTCTGTATAAATTTGAGGTTTTCATTATTAACAGATGTAGCTTTGATTCTGTATTATACTTTTTTGGGAAAATGATTTGGTTATGGGAACATATTAGACTAAAAATTGGTTTTAATGAATGTCAAGATAACTATAATTTATCATATTGCATTGCTGGTTGGCTTGGCTTTGTTATTCTAATAATTTTCGTGAGGCTAGGAGAGCTGGGGCTCAGCATCATTTCTCACCTCACATTAGTTACAACCAGAGTAATGGGATGTGACGTGGCTAATAAAGTGTCAGGTAAAAAGGCCTATTTTATGTGGGCATGCTAGAGAAACAGGGTGGCCACAAACATTCAGATGTGGCTTTTTATGAGAGCCAATGTGATGCAGAAAATCACAACTCTAACGAATCCCCTAAAACAAACAAAAAGCCTCATCATCCTACTAATGATAGATTCATCTTATTCTGATTATACAGCATGAAACAGCATTTATACAGATATCCTTTTTTTCTTCCCCCCCCCTTTTTTTTTAGCTATTTGCCAGTTTATAATTCTGTCTCCTCAAAGAGTGTGAGTGAATCTACATTAGTCCTACTTTGCTTCATAAATCCCAGTCTTAAAGTATATCTTTTGATAAACCATTCACTGTTGTGATGAAGTTAAGACGATTATTTACTCTAATGAACTGAAGCAGAGATGTGAATAATTGAAAGCATGAGTAATCCAAAGTCATTTCACATTATGTTTCCTATAGCTGGAGTTAAAACACAAATAACCAAATATATAGGAATACATTTGCTGCAAGTATGGCAGAATTAATACCTTTATTACATAAATAATTTATCTAAAGCAATAGGAAACAATACTCTCACAAAGAAAGGAAAGAGGTCTGAGAGAAAATACAGCCAATGGAATACATACAAATGGAAAGTCTCATATGCTAATGGTAGAAATGTAAATAAAAACTACCATTTTGGAATCTTGTTTGACTGTAGCTACTAAAGATAAAAATATGTGCGTGCCCCATAATCCAGAAATTTTACTACTGTATACATTTAATAAACATGTATTTACATATTCACGAAATACATTTATGATAATGTTCAAAGCAGCACTATTCCTCATAGCCACAATGTGAAAGTTTCTCAGATACTAACAGTAGAATACATAAATAAATTTTGGTGTAATCATACAATGGACTAATTACAGTAATGAATATGAACATGCAAAAGATAGATGAATATATAAAAAGAACAATATTGAGCAAAATTAACCAGGAAGAAAAAAAATACATACTTTGTAATTCTACTTATAAAAAATTAAAAACAGGCAAAACTAAACTTCTGCTTCAAAGTAGACTGTAGTAAGTAATGTGAGGCCAAGAAAACTGCTGATTAAACTACAAAAACTGAATAAATTACAAAAATCATATTGTTAAAGATAACAGAAAACTGAGGAATCAAGCAGTACTAGATGCACTAAAAGTTCAGACAGGCGAAAACATTTCAGAAGTTGCTGAGGATCAGCAGCTTTTGTTTCCCTGGGGCATTTGCCTATATGGGCTGAAGCATGAGGATTCGGTATTCACCTAAGCAAAGCATCACTCCTGGGAGAAAGAGATCAGCAATGTTTTGGTGCCCACTCAGCAAAGAAGTAACAAAATCAGAGAACACATAGCTGGTTTATAATTCAATACATTCTGAGGTTTTGAATGAAACTAAAGTGCTAAAGCAAAAGCCTCTGAAAGTCACAGTAAAATTATTCTCACCTTTATCATGATTAAAAGTCTGAAAATCCTGGTGGTAAAATCGGTAATGGTGAAATGACAATGCAGAGTGCTGGCACCTTTTTCTTAAGGATGCTTAAGGATTTGGGAGTCAGCTGGAGGATAAGAATCCAAGGTAACCACAGGCAGAAGGTGGCTACCAGAGGACAGAGAAACCAGAAGAATATATATATATATATTTGCCATTTATCAACTCACTATTTTACTATTTATATGATTAACACATTGTCATAATGTTTACCATAACATTGATATAACTGTTGTGGAAATAGTTTGGATATATATTTATCTAAAGATATATATGTGTTTGTGTGTGCATGTATATGTGTGCGTGTGTGTGCGTTTCATATGTGTATATCTAGAGAGAATTATTTTTTCTCAAAACCGATTAGATTTGAGAAGAGTCGTTTTTTGGTATTTTTATGAATCAGAAATATTGTCCTATTTATTAATTTTTCTGGGAATCAATCCCAAGGAAATGTTACTAAAGTTTTTAAGAACTAATTTTATAGTTTCACGTATAATAGATAAAGATGCTTAACTAACATATGTATTAATTAATACAGAAAAGTTTAATGAAAGTACTACATTGGAACTTTGTAGAATATTAGTCATTAAGATGCCTGTAGAAGATTTCTTCGATCCTTAAAAAAACAACTGCTTTCCAAGCTATCCTTCCACTGTACAAAACTACAAAACTGGACAAAATATAGTGACTGCCTACAGTTGTTGGGCAACAGACATTGCACGAATTTATGCTGTTAAATGGGGAAAAAATGAGGCTCATCTCACATTGTTTTAAGTTCTCTGACTTGGAGCAAAAGAAGAGATATTAAGCAGAGAGTGGAGATCTAATTGAGGAGGTAGAGCAAAGACTGAATTTGGGACGGAGGTGTCCTATGCAAAGATAGAATGAGATTTTTGTGGGACTAACAATAAAATTTTTAAAAGATGAAGAAAAAATATTGAGAGCAGCTAGGGAAAAATGCATATTACCTAGAGGACAATTATTGTCCAAAGATAATAACAGCCAGGAAACAATAGAACCATATCTTTAAAGTTTTGGAAAGAAAACAAAAGCTATCAATCAGAGTTCTATATTTAATGAATGTATGCAAGAAAACTGAGAGTAAAATAGAAACATTTTCCAATTTGAGGGAATTCTTTGTCTGCAGAATTGCACACAAGGAAAGCTAAAGTAGGTTCTGCTAGCTGAAGAGAATAATAGTTGTATTGATGGGAAAGAATGAAGAACACAAGAAATCATAAATCTCTCTTGGTAAATTTAAAAGCCTGTATTTTATGGTTTTATTATTTTTCAACTGAAAACTGTTTAGAATAAAAATAATATTATCTATAGTGTTTATAACATATGGCAAGAACAGCACATTAATAACAATTAGAAGTAGACAATTCTAAATTAAGGGTGCAAATTGCAATCTTCAGAGTCATGTATTAGTCTGTTTTCATGCTGCTAATAAAGATATGAGAGACTGGGCAATTTATAAATGAAAGAAGTTTAATTGACTCACAGTTCAGCATGACTGGGGAGGCCTCAGGAAACTTACAATCATGGTGGAAGGGGAAGCAAACATGTTCTTCTTCAAATGGCAGCAGTAAGAAGAAGTTCTGAGCAAAGGCAGAAAAGCTCCATATAAAACCATCAGACCTTGTGAAAACTCACTGTCCCAAGAACAGCATGGAAGTAACCACCCCTATGATTCGATTATCTCTCACCAGTTCCCTCCCATGACACATGGGGATTGTGGGAACTATAATTCAGGATAAGATTTGTGTGGGAACACAGCCAAACCATATCATTCCAACCCCCTGGTCCCTCCCAGTTCTCATTTCCTTACATTTCAAAACACAATCATGACTTACCAACAGTCCCCCAAAGTCTTAGCTCATTCAAGCATTAACCCAAAGGTACAAGTCCAAAGTCTCATCTGAGACAAAGTAAGTCCCTTCCACCTGAGCCTGTAAAATCAAAGCAACTTAGTTACTTCCTATAAAATGGAGTTACAAGCATTGAGTAAATACAGACCTTTCAAAGGGGAGATTGGCTAAATCAAAGGGGCTACAGGCTTCATGCAAGTCTGAAATCCAATAGGGTAGTCATTAAACTTTAAAGTTCCAAAATGATCTCCTTTGATTCTGTGTCTCACATCAAGGTCACACTGATGCAAGAGATGGGCTCCCACAGCCTTGGGCAGCTCTGCCCCTGTAGGTACAGCTCCCCTACTGGCTGCTTTCACAGGCTAGTATTGAGTGTCTGTGGCTTTTCTAGGTGCATAGTGCAAGGTGGTGATGGATCTACCATTCTGGGGTCTGGAGGATAATGGCCCATTTCTCACAGCTCCACCAAGCAGTGCTGCAGTGGGGACTGTATGTGTGGGCTCCAACCCCACATTTCCCTTCCACAGGGGTTCTCCATGCCCTAGCAGAGGTTCTCCATGAGGGTTCCACCCCTGCAGCAGACTTCTACCTGGACATTCAGGCATTTCCATACACCCTCTGAAATCTAGGTAGAGGTTCCCAAATCTCAATTCTTGACTTCTGTGCACCCACAGGTCCAACACCCTATGTAAGCCACCAAGTCTTGGGGCTTGCATCCTCTGAAGCAATGCCCTGAGCTGTACATTGGCATCTTTTAGCCACAGCTGAAGCTGAAGCAGCTGGGATATAGGGCACCATGTGCCAAGGCTGCATAGAGCAGGGGTGCCCTGGGACTAGCCCAAGAAACCATTTTTCCCTCCTAGGTCTCCAGGGCTGTGATGGGACAGGCTGCTGTGAAGGTCTCTGACATGCCCTTGAGACATTTTCCTCATTGTCTTGGTGATTAACATTTGGCTTCTCATTACTTATGCAAATTTCTGCAGCAAGCTTGGATTTCTCCCCAGAAAATGTGGTTTTCTTTTCTATTGCATCCTGAGGCTGCAAATTTTCCAAACTTTTATGCCCTTCCTCCTTTTCTATGCTTTGCCTCTTAGAAATTTCTTCCTTAGATACCCTAAATTATCTCTCTCAAGTTCAAAGTTCCACAGATCTCTAGGGCAGGGGCAAAATGCCACCAGTCTCTTTGCATAGCAAGAGTGACCTTTACTCCAGTTCTTAACAAGTTCCTTCTGTCCATCTGAGACCACCTCAGCCTGAACTTCTTTGTCCATATCACTATTCGCATTTTGGTCAAAGCCATTCAACAAGTCTCTAGGAAGTTCCAAATTTTCTCACATCTTCCTGTCTTCTGAACCCTCCAAGTCTCTAGGAAGTTCCAAACTTTCCCACATTTTTCTATCTTCTTCTGAGCCCTGCAAAAGGTTTCAACCTCTGCCTGTTACCCAGTTCCAAAGTCGCTTCCACATTTTTGGGTGTCTTTAGAGCAGTGCCCCTCTCTCTGTGGTACCAATCTCACACTGCTCATTAAGACATACCCAAGAATGGGTAGTTTATAAAGGAAAGAGGTTTAGTTGACTCACAATTCAACATGTCTGGAGAGGCCTCAGGAAACTGACAATCATGGCAGAAGTGGAAGCAAACACATCCTTCTACTCATGGTGGCAGCAAGGAGAAGTGCCAAGCAAAGGGTGAAAAGCCCTTTATAAAACCATCAGATGTCATGAGAACTCACATGAACAGCATGGGATTAACTGCTCCCATGATTCAGTTACCTCCCACCAGGTCCCTCCCAAGACACATGGGGATTATGGGAACTACAATTCAAGATGAGATTTGGGTGGGGACACAGCCAAACCATGTCAAGTTACTATTTTTAAAATTGTATAAAAAGGTATAAAAATAATTTAAAAGCAACAAAAGAAATAGAATATATGCTGGTCTGTCCTCCAGTACTTGTTACCTTTTGCCTTTTTGGCAATAGCCATCCTAATGTGAAGTGATATCTTACTGTGTTGTTAACTTGCATTGCCCTAGCAACTAGTGATGGTGAGCATTTTTTTCATATAGCTGTTGTTCATTTGTATGTCTTCTTTTAAAAAATATATATTCACACTCTTGGCCCATTTTGTTTTTCTTTGACATGAAGTCTCACTCTGTTGCCCAGGCTGGAGTGCAATGGCACAATCTTGGCTCACTGCAACCTCCACCTCCCGGGTTCAAGCAATTCTCCTGTCTCAGGCTCCCAAGTAGCTGGGATTGCCACTGTGTGCCACCATGTCTGGCTAATTTTTTTTGTCTTTTTAATAGAGACGGGATTTCACCATGTTGGTCAGGCTGGTCTTGAACTCCTGACCTCAGATGATTCACCTGCCTTGGCCTCTTAAAGTGCTGTGGCCCATTTTTCAATGAGGCTTTAGTTGCCTGTGTTTTGGGCTCACGTATAAAAAATGTTTGTTCAGATTAATGTCAATAAGCATTTTCCCTATGTTTTCTTCTAGTAGTTTTATAGTTTCAGATCTTATGTTTAAGTTTTTAATCCATTTTGAGTTGATTTTTATATAAAAGGTGAGATAAAGATACAATTTTATTCTTTTGCCTTGTACAGTGTTGATGGCAATGTAAATTATTATAACACAGCCATTGTAGAGAACAGTGTGGGGGCCCCCAAAAAATTAAAAATAGAACTACCTTATGATCCAGAAATTCACTTCTGAGTATATATCTAAAGTGTTTGAAATGAGTATGTTGAAGAGATATTTGCACTGCCATGTTCATTGCAGTATTATTCACAATAGTCAAGATATGAAAGCAACCTAAGTGATCATCAATGAATGAATGGTAAAGAAAATGTATATATACACAATGAAGTATTATACTATTCAGCCTTAAAAAGTAGGAAATCCTGTCATTTGCAATAGCATGGATGAACCTGGAGGATAATATGCTAAGTGAAATAAGTCAGACACAGAAAGACAAATATTGCATGCATGATCTCTTTTATATGTGAAATCTAAAAAAGTTATAAAGTCATAAAAGCAGAGAGTAGAATGGTGGTTACCAGGGGTTTGGGTGGTAGGCTGGAGTAGAGGCATTGTGGAAATGTTGGTCCAAGGATACAAAATTTCATTTAGACAGCAGGAATAAATTCAAGAGGTGTATTGTATAATATTGTGACTATAGTTAATAACAATATATTATATTCTTGAAAATTGCTAAAATTATAAATGTTTTCACCACAAAAAATGATAATTATGAGGTAATGGATAGGTTAATTAGCTTGATTTAGCTATTGCACAATGTATACATATATCAAAACATCATATTTTACACCATAAATGTATATAATTTTTATGTGTCAGTTAGAAAGAATAAAGAAAATAAATACAATAGACCAGGCATACAGGTGGTTATTACAGGTGGTTCAGGCCTGTAATCCCAGCACATTGGGAGGCCAATGCTGGAGGATCACTTGAGACCAGGAGTTTGAGACCAGCCCCAGCAACACATCAAGACCCTGTCTCTACAAAATATATATATAAAAATTAGCTTAGGGTAGTGGCACGCATTTGTGGTCCAAGCTACTCAGGAGGCTGAGGTGGGAGCATCAATTGAGCCTGGGAGGTTGAGACTGCAGTGAGCCATGTTTGCTGTTTGTGCTCCTGCATGCCAGCCTGAGTAGCAGAGCAAGACCCTGTCTGAACAAAAAAAAAGGAAAGAAAATAATTATAATAAAACCATAAAACCAAGACCCTCCTTTCCCCCCTCCAAAAAAATGCTGTCTATAATACAAAGAGATCTATATACCTTGAAGTAAAATGATGGGAAAATACATAACATGCAAACATAATCATTAGAAAGTTGATTTAGCTATTTTACTATCAGACAAAGTGAACTTTGAGATAAGGATTATTACCTGAGAAGGAAGATAAGAAGGTCAATATATCAGATGTCATAACTATTCTACATTTGAATGTACTCTAATAACAAAGCTTAAAAATTGGCACAACCAAAGAAAGAATACACAAATGCCCATAGTATTTTTAACATTGACTCTCAGAAATTGGTAGGATCACTAGACAAAAAAGCCTAAACACCATCTACGCCAGGTGTGGTGGCTCACACCTGTAATCCCAGCCCTTTGGGAGGCCGAGGCAGGCAGATCACTTGAGATCAGGAGTTTGAGACCAGCCTGGCCAACAGGGTGAAACCTCGTCTCTACTAAAATACAAAAAATTAGCAGAGCGTAGTGGCACATACCTGTAATTCCAGCTACTCAGGAGGCTGAGGCATGAGAATTGCCTGAACCCAGGAGGCAGAGACTGCAGTGAGCCGAGATTGTGCCACTGCACTCCAGCCTGGGTGACAGAGGGAGACTCCATCTCAAAAAAACAAAAACAAACAAAAAACACCATCTATCAAATTGATCTAGTTTATATATGTAGAATACTATTCCCAACATCTCCAGAACACACATTTTTCTCAGGTACATATAGAGCACTCACCAAAATAGAGCACATGCTGGGCCATAAAAGAAGGTTTCAGTAATTTTTTAAAAATAGACATTTTGCAGAGCAGTTTTCTGTAGCTACTGTCCAGTAGATTTAAACTAGGAAAAATTAAAAGACATCTTAAAAATTATCAAATATTTGGAAATTAAGTAGTACATGACTAAATAATTTGTGGGTCAAAGAAGAAATCCCAGAGAAAATTAGAAAATGCTTCAATCTAAACAAAAATTAACACATAGATATTAAAATTTGTGGGGAGAAGCTAGAAAAGTGTTTGGGAACAAATGAACATTTTTAAATGCTTAAAATACAAAAGATAGCACACTTCATATTAGTTAACTAAGTTTTCACGTTAAAAGGCTTGAAAAGGGAGAGTAAATTAAAACCAAAGTAAGCTGAAGAAAGAAATAATAAATACTGTAATCAAATAGAAAAAGTGAAAAAAAATAAAAGACTGGAAGTTGTGTTTTTCAAAAGATCAATCAGAAGGATGCACCTCAGCAAGGCAGATTAAGAAAGAAAAGTACACAATACCAATACTGGGTTTGACAGAGAAGACAAATATGCTAAAGATATTAAGAGGAATATAGGGAGTATTATGAACAGTGACCAACTTTAGGCCAATAAATTCTATAATTTTAGATGAAATGAAGAATTCTCTTAAAAAATCACAACTTAACAAAATTGACATAAGTAAAAAACAAAATATATGAGCAGTCCTGTAACTGGTAAACAAATTACATTTGGAATTCAAAACATTCTCATAGAGAAAACTCCAGGTCAACAGGGCTTCACTGGTAAATTATAGGAAACATTTAAGGAAGAAAAAATTACAATCTTATATAAACTTTAATAAAGTATAAGCGGAATGAGCACTACACACCTGATTTTACAAAGACATCATGATTCTGTAATCAAAGATATTCAAAGAAAGTACATTCCATTATCCCTCATCAAAAGAGATAAAAAGCTCTTAACAAAATATTGGAAATCAATTTAATTATATATAAAGAGGATACTATATTATGAGCATTTGGAGTTTTTCCCAGGAATTCAAGATTGGTTCAACATTTAAAAATTAATCATGTATTGTATAACATTAGCAGAAGAAAGGAGGAAGTTCTATGATCACCTCAATGAAGGTAGAAAAAGCAACTGAAAAATTCAACATTCATTCATAATAAAAGCTCTCAGAAGTCTAGGAATGAAAAGAATTTAATCTTATGTGCACATCTATTATATAAAAACTCTACAGCAAACATTTTTAATGGTGAAATTTTGAATATTTTCCAGCTAAGATCAGAAACAGGTTGTGTCTGCTTTCTATTCAACATTGTACTGAAATCCTAATCAATGCAAAAAGATGAGAAAAAGAAGTAAAAGCCATCACAATTCCAAAGGAATAAGTAAAACTGTCTTTATTCACAGAATATATGTGTTTGCAGAAAATCTTGACAAATCAAAAAGGCAACTAAAAGTAATATGTGCGTATATAAAGACCATAGGATGCAAGGCCAATTTTATACAAATGTATTTCTGTATTCATGCAGAAACAATCTGCAAATAAATTTTAGATTAATTGTTTATAATAACATCCCCCAAACGTAAAATACTCTGGGAAATTAATAAACATGTGCAAGATTTCTACAGTGAAAACTATAAAATGTTGCTTAGAGAATTTAAGATTTTTATTTCATGTTTAATCCATGGACTAAGAAACTCAATTTTATTAGTTCTCCAAAAATTGATATATAAATTTAATGTAATTTCAATCAAAATACTGACAGATTTTGGGGGGCTAGGGTAGAAATTGACAAGCTAATACTAAATTTATATAGAAATCCACAGGATCAAGAATAGACAAACGTTTTGAAGAAGAACAAAGTTAGGGAATTTGTATTCTCTACTTTCAAATTTTACTATAATGCTTCTGTAATCCAGACATTGTGGTACTAGCATAATGTATTAGTCCATTTTTACACTGCTCATAAACACATACCTGAGACTGGGCAATTTACAAAAGAAAGAGGTTTATTGGACTTACAGTTCCATATGGCTGGGGAGGCTTCACAATCATGTTAGAAAGCAAGGAGGAGCTAGTCACATCCTTGCTGCCTGGATGGCAGCAGGCAAAGAGAGAGCTTGTGCAGAGAAACTCCCGTTTTTAAAACCATCAGATCTCATGAGACTTATTCACTATCATGAGAATATCACAGGAAAGACCCACCCCCGTGATTCAATCTTCTTTCACCGGGTCCCTCCCAAAACACGTGGGAATTATGGGAGCTACAAGATGAGATTTGGGAGGGGACACAGAGCCAAACCATACCACGTAAGTATAGACAAATCAGTCAGTAGTCCAAAATACAATGTCCACAAGAGACCTGTATATAGTGGTCAGTTGATTTTTGCATAGGCATCAAGGCATTTACTGAGGAAATTCTTAGCAATAAATATTTTTAGAACAACTGGATAAACCTATGCAACAAAATGAACACCAGCTTTTATTCTCACTAGATAAATTATTTTCCAAATTGCAAGAGCTAAAATATAAAACTTTAAAAAAGAAAACAAAATAGACTATTTTTCTAATGCTGTACAGCAAATAATTTCTAACATATGACTTAAAAAGCACAAACCGTAAGTGGAAAACTGATAAATTAGAGTTTCTATATATAAAAAACTTCTGATTTTTGAAAGAAACCATTAAGAAAATTAAATGGCAAGCCACAGATTAGGAGAAAATATTTCTGACAAAAATATATATTTGACAAAAGATTGTATCCAGAATATAATAGTGACTCCTATCCCACAATAATAGAAAATAAACTTCCTAGTTAAAAAAAGATTTGAATAGTTCTCAAATAAAGATGTAACAAATGGGTGATAAGCATGATGAAAATGCTTAAAACTAAAAGTCACAAGAAAAAGCAAATTAAAGCCACAGTTACAACTACATATGGATGGAATATCTAAGATTAAGAAGTCTAAATGTTGGTGAGAATGTAGAACAAATGGAATTCTTATACTTTGCTAGTGGGAGTAGAAAATGGTACACCACTTTGGAAATTCCTAAATCTTGGTAGTTAGTTTATTGGAATATAAGTTTATTTCTTTTCATATAAATTCCAATCTGGCTATTGCTGGTAGCTAGAAGGCTTTCTATATAGTCACACAGGGATCTAGGATCCTTTCCTCTTGTGAATCGGCACTTCTTGTCTTCCTCATTCAGCTAATGGAGAGGGAAGGAGAACATGGAGGATAGTATAGAGGGGTTTTGTAGGCCAGACCCAGAATAAATGTATGTAACATCTACCTGCACTCTGTCAGCCAGATCTCAGTCACCTAATTGCACAGAAGGCTGGGAAGCATTGTTTACATGTGTGTAAAGGAGCAAAGGGGAAAGGATTTGGTGACTGGCCAATCGTAGCCTTATTCGTAGTGCTATTTAATAATGGGTGTATGTGGGAGGTAATTTGTATAATGAGAACACTAGTTTATGCGTGTAATTACCAGTTCTAGTAGTAAATTCATGTTACCTTGGACAAGAAATTTTTTAAATGGTAGATTAAGAGCATAGCTTAGAGTCACATTTGTTCAGTTCCTTATTTCTTAACCTGAGCCTTTAATTAAACCAGTTTGTGCAATGGATCTTACAAAACAGGAAGCTATTTATGTATTTTCTAGTTCTTAGAGATTAAACTTTTACTTCCGTAAAGTAGAAGTCATAATATTTGCCCATATTCATACTAGTTTTGTCCTGAAGATCAAAGTAGATAGAGTCTCTGAACTATCAAAACTACATTATGAAAAATGAATTATTTTCCTTCTTAGCTGACAAAGGAGTATTGATCTATGTAATGCTGACATAAATTCAGATCTTGGAAAACAGAGCCCTTGTAGAATGAATATCATTATTTGTTGCTTTTTGTGGCTCAGAGATGAAGACTATTAGCCTAAAAGCTAAATACTTAAGGTTGGTTGGTTGGTCTTTTTTATGAGAAAATTTTCACTCCAAAGAAGTGTTCCTAAAAAGGTTTAAATGAAGATTGAGACTATGCTGGATTCTGATTGCTTTGTTCTCTTCTCTCAGCTTTCTGGCCTAAGATCAAAGTCTCTTCTTTCAAAGCAACTTTGTATCTCCCTTAATGTCAGGTTAAAAAATTTATTGGTGCATGCTTTCTCTGGAGGCTACTTCTATTCCCTAGAAAGAAGCAAACTAATCTCCTAAAATCCCATGCAGAACAGGGATTCTCTGATGAGTGGTCAGATATTTCTGCTTTTGTGCACCCAAGGACAAATTAAAATTCTGAAAACTTCAGTTTCCTTTTGCTTATACAGATATTTTAAAAATATAGAGCATTATTAGTCAAAAACGAAATACAGGACCCCTATTTGCAATTGTTTTTATAACATCTAAACAAAGTAGACCTTTTTCTGAGGATTTCCTTAATAAATGATGAGAAAACGTGGACACATAGAGGGGAATAACACACACAGGGACCTGTCGAAGGGTGGAGAGTAGGAGGAGGGAGAGATTCAGGAAAAATAACTAATGGATACTAGGCTTAATACCTAGGTGATGAAATAATCTGTACAACAAACTCCCATGACACACGTTTACCTATGTAACAAACATGCACATCCTGTACATGTACCTATGTACTTAAAAGTAAAAAGAAAATAATAATAAGTAAAAGTGTTCTGTTTCAGAAAATTACATATCAGCTATTGTTTAAATTGCTTTTTAAAAATATTTTGGAATATTTTGATAAATTGATGATGTATCAAGACCCTTCTAATTCTAGTGTTTCATTGCCAATGGAAGTCTTACAGGATGGTTTCTGGAGGTTGTGGCTTTCAACCTTAAAGATAAGCTATATACAAGCTTTTCTTTAATAACTGTGTATGACTTAATTTTTCATAAATTTCACACATTTTTATATGCATGTATATTTCCAGAATATTCTTAATTGGTGTTAAAAAATACTAATAATTTTATTTTTTCAAAGCATATTTCTTTGCCCTGATACTTTGAGATTTGTTGAGCAAATCTGTATTAATTGGTAAGTTATCTTAATTTTCAAGTTGCTCATTTTTATATTGTTGTTCTTCTACAGCTTTCGTTTCCAAGTTAGCAAAGTCATACCATTTTAACCTGGCTGCAGATGATAGCTCTCACACTTCATTTGCCTGTTTTAGGTGTTCCTTTCTGCATCTTCTTTAATTGTAAATATTCTTCTTAAGTTATAGTGATATGAAGTGTACATGATATCCCAGGACAGGAAAAGTTTTTTTTTATTTTTGCATTAATCCTCTCATGATGCATAACAGTCTCTAGCTCTTACCAACTTCTCTCTCACCAACATCCACCAGGACCCATGCAGCCATCTAAGGATCCCAGATTCCATCCACCTCTTTCTAATTAATTCAGAGCCCTGGATCCTGTGGATATATTTTCTTTCCATTATCACATTTTCCTTTAATATCCAAGTAACAATAACTTTCAGTACTCACTCAACACGATAGCAAGAAATTCAGGTCCCTTTGTAAGAATTTCTGATAATCCCCAGTGAGTATTTTTGAATTCAATAAATCTATTCTGGTTGCTGCTCATCACTTCAGATAAGGCATCTTCCCAGCTTCCTCTAATCATATCATTTCTTTCATCCTGTCTTAGCTCTCTGCCTCCCAGTTTGATCTAAAATATGTACACAGGCTCTACATGCATCCATAAAGCACACAATTTCAAGTTTACACAATTGACTAAGACCTAGAGAAACTATGATGCAAAAATGAAAACCTGAAACTGAATATCAGATATCACTGCCCCTTTCGTCCATTAGTAATATCCACTCACAGAGAGTTCGGGGGAGCTATCATGGCAAAGTGGTAAAGATCTTAGCTAAATAAACTGGTTGCCACTATTACTTTTTTGAGAATGTTCAGCACAATGTCTGAACAGAATTACACTCAACAAATGGAGGTTGCTGCTGTGATGTTAGCACCATGATTGTGTGCTTTGAATATCTAACTAACGCCATTGTGAGACCCTTGGCATTGACCTATTGAATGCAAAAAAAAAAAAAAAAAAAAAAAAAAAGCATAGCCTGACTCCAGTCATTATTACTCATTCCTATTATTATGGACATTTTTATTTTTGTATCACTGGGGACAATTACATACCTCCAAATAATTCTTTTGCAGACTCCTTATTTTGGGGGGACTATGCATAAAGAAGAAGCCAAAAACTAACTTCATATTATAATCTTTGTCCATACTAAAGAAATTTTTATGTCATTAAATGAAATATTGCATTATGTATTCATAGATAATCTTATATATGACAGTCATTATTTCAAACTCTGGAAATAAAATTATTTTAAAATGCACATGATCTCTTCTCCTTATAGAATTTACAACCCAATGGGAATTGTAAACTCTTCATTAATGAATCACACAAATAAATATATGCTATGAGACAAAGGAGAAGTACTAGATGCTGTGGAAGCAAATAATGGAGAATTAGACCAAGTCAAAAAGGTCAGGAAAGGCTTTAATCTCAGTACAAAGCATTGGCGTATGACTTACTCCTCTGGTTTATGGCTGCCATAATAGAAACTGATACATACAGAGCCTGTTTTATGTGCTTCAAAGTACTAATCAGTGTCTCTTAGAGAAAAGAGAGTCCACCACAAATACAAATTCTTTTACTTTGGAGTTATTAAATAATCAGAAATATTTAGCGTTGAAGTTCTAAGGAGGGATGGTGATCAATACATTTTGTTTTATTTTCCCTTCATGTTTTGGAAGCAACTGATTAGTAGGCATGGGAATCAGGCAAATGAAGTTCTGCATAACAGCTTTATTAAGGTTAAAAGCTTAATTGGATAATATGATATACTTGATGCTTTCTAATATTTCATTCTGGAATTAACTTATCTACCCAGACAGATAGGCTTCCTGTGTGGAGCAGAGTTCACTGTTATGGGCTTACCATACATAGGAAGCAATAAAGGAAGGTAGTTTCTTGAGAGTAAAACAGAGAAGCCCAAATGAGTAAGAAGGGAAGAGAAGGACAAGAGTGTTCTCTAGTGGAGTTCTATTAGCAATATATATAAAATTCCTAAGGAATGGAAGACTCCCACCCCCAGCCATGTTCTCTTTCTTTCCTTCATGCATTTAGACATAACAGTCAAACCCTATGGCTCACCAGTGTTAAATGTGGCCCTTATGGGAAAGAGACTGTTGGTTCCCAGGAAGTCCTGCTCTCTATTCATGAAATTGAGAATAGCACAGCTACTTTGTGTATCTGGCAGGGAGTTTGGCTTTTAATTCTATAGCTGCATTGTCCAATAAATTAGCCACCAGCCACTTATGGCTATGTAAACTCAAATTACATAGAAGTCCAGTTCCTTATTAACACTAGGTACATTTCGGTGGGAAATAGCCAGTTCTCAATAGCTAGTTAATACTAGAACGGAACAGATTATAACATATTTGCACTATCACAGAACCATCTATTGGCTAGCACTACTCTAGAGGGCACTGAAAAAGTGAGCTCCAGGACCTTGCTGTACCTTATGCCAAAGCCCATTTACTTTATTTTTTATCCCAAATTATACCTAGCCACATGCCAATATGTTTCAAGAGAGTTAATACAACTATAACACATAACAAATATGCTTTGATAATACAAATTCAATAAATAATTTATAAAAATATTATAAAATCTCTAACAAAGGAGAAATTATATCCAAAGATAAAGCTAAAATAAATAATTAAATAAATAAACTTCTAAATGTTCCTTCCCTCAATTTCTCACTCTGTGCAGTCTCATTAGAGGGATTCCTCTCAGAAGCATGGATAGAGTTAGGTGCTTTTAGTGGTTGTAGGGGTTTGTAATAGTGTAGTTAGGACCCTATGTTCTACCTGGTGATTTTTTCTGTTTTCCTTTTTCACCCTTTTCAGGCCTTAAATAAATGTTGTGTCTTTAGGGGTACCGGAAATATTTTCTTCTACCTCTCCCTTTTTCTAAAGGAGAAAGATCAGCTTCTAGTGTTCATTCCCCTACTGTTCTCTCACTCATTTGTAGTAGGTTCAGAAGAGGATTAAACAGTTTAATCTACTTTTTTTTTTTTTTTTTTTTTTTGAGACAGAGTCTCGCTCTGTTGCCAGGCTGGAGTGCAGTGGTGCGATCTTGGTTCACTGAAACCTCTGCCTCCAGAGTTCAAGTGATTCTCCTGCCTCAGCCTCCCGAGTAGCTGGGACTATAGGTTCGTGCCACCATGCCCAGCTAATTTTTATATTTTTAGTAGAGACGGGGTTTCACCATCATTTCTGATGAGGATTTTCACCTTTTATTATGTGACTATAAAAATAACACCCTTAGACATTCCCTTTTCTATATGACTTTTGTGCCAAAGATATTTCTGCTACTTTTCATCCAAAACTACTTTCGTCTTGGATCCCTATTGTCTAGCTTCCCTGAAGTGCCTGCTGCTTATAATCACCACACTCTTCTGATTATCCTCTTGTCTTCAGCTATTTTAGATGCCAATTTTACTAAAGACCTTATTTATCATCAACTCATTCGCTTTACCCACTTCATTATTTAGATACTAGAATTTGTATGGAGAAATGCATGCTACCTGCCTTGGACCCATTGAGCCTCATAAAAATTTAACTATAGTGGACTACGGTGGAGATGGCCAGATGGCCAGCAGAGATCCTTGTTTTTTTCCAAGTTGTATAATTGACTTCTCAGACTACCTTGCACCCAGTTGAGTAATGAGACACTTACAGACATGGCCTGTAAAGTACTCATTTTCCCTCATTCCTAGTCTCCTGGCTGGATGCCCATATTGAGTGTGACTAAGTGACCTGTCTGCAGTGTGGTGGGGTCTCTCTCAGGCTGAGTTTCTGAAAAACTTCATAAAGCTGAAAGGATCCTCCCCACCCTCCTGCCTCTGTCAGGCAAAAATTGGATCTATGAATTGATAACATAAACCTAAGTGACTGAGATTTTGTGGTTAGCTATTACTAAAACTAGAATTTACCATAACATATACAAACTAAAAACAATTTGAACAACTCAATTAGGAGAAAGGATTTCCAATTAGTATAAGTATAGGTTTTGCAGTCATTTATGTCTTTGCAATCTTTCTATATTTGGCACATGTAGATCTGTTGCTTTCCAAAAGCAGAAAAAAATGACTATCTGGAGTGACAATCAGAAGGATAACTAGTGATAGTCTATTTTGATTTCAACTGCAATTAATACTTTCCCTGTACATTAGTTAAGAAGGAAATATTCTTTCTTAACTTTTATTTTAGGTTCAGGGGTACATGCGCAGTGTTATATAGATAAAGTACATTCCAAGGGGTTTTGGTGTACAGATTATATCATCAACCAGGTAATAAGCATAGTACCTGATAGGTGGTTTATCAATCCTCTCCCTCCTCCCACCCTCCATTCTCAAATAGGCCCCAGTATCTATTCCCTTCTTTGTGTCCACGTGTACTCAATATTTAGCTTCCACTTAAAAGTGAGAATATGTGGTATTTGGTTTTCTGTTCCTGCATTAGTTCGCTTAGGATTATGACTTTCAGCTCCGTTCATTTGCTGCTTAGGACATGATCTCATTCTTTTTTATAGCTGTATAGTATCCTATGGTATATATGTACCATATTTTCTTTATCTAGTCTACTGTTGATGGGGATTTAGGTTGATTCCTTGACTTTGCTATTGTGAATAGTGCTCCAATGAACATTCATGTGCATGTGTGTTTATCGTAGAATAATTTATATTTATTTGGGTATATACCAAATAATGAGCCTGCTGGGTCAATTGTTACTTCTGTTTCAGGTTCTTTGAGAATCACCACACTACTTTCCACAATGGTTGAATTAATTTACATTCCCACCAGCAGTGTCTAAGTGTTGTCTTTTCTCTGCTAATTCACCAGCATGTTATTTTTTTGACATTTTAATAGCAATTCTGTCTCATGTGAGATGGTGTCTCTTTGTGGTTTTGATTTGCATTTTTCTAACAATTAATGATGTGGAGCATTTTTTTCATATGTTTGTTGGCCACAGGTATGACTTCTTTTGAAAAGTGTCTGTTTGTATCCTTTGCCCACTTTTTAATGAGTTTGTTTCTAGCTTGTAAATTTGTTTAAGTTCCTTATAGATGCTGGATATTAGACCTTTGTCAGATATATAGTTTCCAAATATTTTTTCCCCTTCTTTAGGTTGTCTGTTTACTCTGTTGATAGTTTCTTTTCTGTGCAGAAGCTCTTTGGTTTGATTAGGTCTCATTTGTCAATTTTTGTTTTTGTTGCAATTGCTTTTGTTGTCTTCATCATGAAAACCTTGCTGGTTATCCTCCAGGGTTTTTATAGTTTTAGGTTTTACATTTAAGTCTTTAATACATCTTGAATTGATTGTTGCATATGGTGTAAGGAAGAGATCCAGCTCATTCTATGAGGCCAGTATTATTCTGATATCAAGACCTGGCAGAATCACAGCAGAAAAAAGAAAACTTTAGGCCAATATCCTTGATGAACATAGATGCAAAAATCTTTAACAAAATACTAGAAATTGAATCCAGCAGCACATCAAAAAGCTAATCTACCATGATCAAGTAGGCTTTATCTCTGGGATGCAAGTTTGATTTAACATATAGAAATCATTAAATTTGATTCATCACATAAACCGAACTAAAAACAAAAACCACATGATTATCTCAATAGATGCAGAAAATGCTTTCAATAAAATTCAGCATCCATTTACATTAATAACTCTCAACCAACTAGGCATTGAAGGAATATACCTAAAAATAATAAAATAATACCTAAAAATAATAAAAGCCATTTATGACAAACTCACAGCCAACATCATATTGAATGGGCAAAAGGAGAATTCCCCCTGAGAACAGGAACAAGAAAGATTCCCGCTCTCATCACTCATTCAATATAATATGGGAAGTTCTAGTCAGAGCAATAAGTAAGAGAAAGAAATAAAAGTCATCCAAATAGGAAGAGAGGAAGTCAAACTAGCTGTTTGCAGGCTTTATACATCTATACCGAAAAAACTTCAGTCTCTGCCCAAAAGCTCCGAGATCTGATAGATAAACTTAGCTACATTTTAGAATACAAAATCAGTGCACACAAATCAGTAGAATTGGCCAGGTGCAGTGGGTGCCTATAACCCCAGCATACTGGGAGGCCTAGGTGAGCGGATTGCTTGAGCTCACGAGTTCAAGACCAGCCGGGGCGACATGGCAAAACCCCATCTCTACTGAAAATACAAATATTAGCTAGGTGTGGTGGTGCATACTTGTAGTTCCAGCTACTCAGGAGGCTGAGGTGGGAGGAGTCCCTTCTCTTTAATTTTTTGGAATAGTTTCACTACAAATGGTATCAGCTCTTCTTTATATATCTGATAGAATTTGTCTGTGAATCCATCTGGTCCTGGGCTTTTTATGTTTGGTAGGATTTGTATTACTGATGCAATTTCAGAACTCATTATTGGTCTATTAAGAGATTAAATTTCTTCCTGGTTCAATCTTGGAAGCTGTATGTTTCCAGGAATTTAGCAATTTCTTCCAGGGTTTTAAGTTTGGGTGTATAGAGTTTTTCATAGTATTCTCTGAGAGTTTTTTGTATTTCTGTGAGGTCAAGTGGTAATGTCTCCTTTGTTGTTTCTTATTGTCTTTATTTGGATCTTCTCTCTTTTTTCTTTATTAGTGTAGTAAGTGGTCCTTTATTCTTATTTATTTTTCAAAAAGCAACTTCTGGATTTATTTTTTTTTCATCCCAGTTTCCTTCAGATCAGCCCTAATTTTGCTTATTTCTTCTCTTTTGCTAGTGTTGGGGTTGGTTTGCTCTTATTTCTCTAGTTCCTCTAGGTTTGATGTTAGATTTTTAATTTGAAATCTAACTTTTTGATGTGGGCATTTAGCACTATCAAATTCCCTCTTAACACTGCTTTAGCTGTGTCCCAGAGATTCTGATAGGTTGCACTTTTATTCTTATTAGTTTCAAAGAATTTCTTGATTTCTGTGCTCATTTCATTGGTTACCAAAAGGTCATTTAGGAGCATGTTGTTTAATTTCCATGTAACTGTATGGTTTTGAGCAATTCTCTTAATATTGTTTTCTATTTTTATTGTGCAGTGGTACAAGAGTGTGTTTGGTATGATTTCACTGTCTTTGAATTTGCTGAGTATTGGTTTATCACCAATTGTGTGGTTGATTTTAGAGTATGTGCCATGTTCCGATGAGAAGAATGTTTTGGGATGGAGAGTATTCTAGATGGTATTAGCCCCATTTGGTCAAATGTCAAGTTCAGGTCTTGAATATCTTTGTTACTTTCCTGCCTTGATAATCACTCTCATACTATCTGTCAGTGGGGTTTTGGAGTCTTTCACTATTATTGTGTGGTTGTCTAAGACTCTTCTTAGGTATCTAAGAACTTGCTTCATGAATCTGGGTGCTCCTGCATTGGGTGTGTATACATTGGATAGTTAGGTCTTTTTGTTGAATTTGACCCTTTACCATTTTGTAATGCCCTTATTTGTCATTTTTGATCACTGTTTGTTAATGTCTGGTTTATCTGAAATTAGAATAGCGACCCCTGCTTTTTTCTGTTTGCTTGGTAGATATTTCTCCATCCCTTTTCTTTGAGCTTATGGGTGTCACTGCATGTGAGATGGGTCTCTTGTAGACAGCACAGTTGGGTCTTGTTTCTGTATCCAACTTGCCACTCTGTGCTTTTTAATTGGAACATTCAGTCCATTTACATTTAAGGTTTGAGCCTGTCCTTGTGTTGTTAGCTGGTTATCATGCAGACTTGATTGTGTGGTTCCTTTACAGTGTCAATGGTTTATGTACTTAAGTGTGTTTTTGTGGTGGCTGGTAACAATCTTTCCTGTCAAGATTTAGCACTCTCTTAAGAACCTCTTATAAGGCAGGTCCGGTGGTAATAAATTCTCTTAGCATATACTTTTCTGAAAAGTATCTTATTTCTTCTTTGCTTATGAAGCTTAGTTTGGCTAAATATGAAATTATTGGTTGGAATTTCTTTATTAATGCTGACTATTGTCCTCCAGTCTGTTCTGGCTTGTAGGTTTCAGCTGAAAGGTCTGCTGTTATCCTAATGGAGTTCTCTTTGTAGGTGACCTGTCCCTTCTCTCTAACTGCCTTCAATATTTTTCCTTTCATTTCAACATTGAAGAATCTGATAATTATGTCTTGGGGATGGTCTTCTGGTGTAGTTTTTCACAGGGATTCTCTACATTTCCTGGATTTAAATGTTTGCCTCTCTAATAAGGTTGAGGAAATTTTGTGAATGATATCCTCAAATGTTTTGCAAGTTGCTTACTTTGTGCTTCTCTCTTTCAGTGATGCCAATGAGTCATAGATATGATCTCTTTACATAATCTCATATTTCTCAGAGGTTTCATTCTTTCTTCTCTGTTGGTTTTGTTTGTTTGTTTTTTGTCTGAGTTAATTTAGAGAAACCGTCTTTGAACTCTGAGATTCTTTCCTCCTCTTGGTTGATTTTGCTGTTAATACTTGCAATTGTACTATAAAATCGTTGAAGTGGATTTTTGACTTCTATCAGCTCAGTTTGGTTCTTTCTTAAAATGGCCATTTTACCTTCTAGTTTCTGTACCATTTTATTATATTTCTTAGATTCATTGAATTGGGTTTCTTCTTTCTTTTGAATGTCGATAATCTTCATTCCAATCCATATTCTGAACTCTATTTCTGACATTTCAGCCATTTCAGCCCAGGTAAGAACCATTTCTGGGTAAGTAGTATGGTTGTTTAGAGGTAAGAAGGACACTCTGCCTTTTTGAGTTGCCAGAATTTTGCACTGTTTTTTTTTTCTCATCTGTGTGAGCTGATATTCCTTCAGTCCTTGAAGTTGCTGTCCTTTAGATGTTTTTTTGTTTGTTTTGTTTTGTTTTTGTTTTGTTTTTTGGGGGTTTTTTGTTTATTTGCTTTTATATTCTGTGATGCCCTTGCAAATTTGCTTGTGGTATGAGTTCAGTCGACTAGTTTTGATTCTATTCTACTCCTGGGTCTTGGAGGTGTCCCCTCCAGTTATTGTCTCTATGCCCAAATTTCTTTTATTAAGTGTTCTGATCAATGGGGCTCTCTCAGGCAAGGGCCACAGTTGGCAGACAGGCCATATCTTTTCTGGGTCAGTTCTAATCTGCTGTAGTTGTGCTTCCTGGGAGATCACAAGGTTGCACCTGCCCACAGAGTGCAGACGGAAGCAAAACTGCTGGTCTAGAAACTCTAGCAGGTGTGGCCTATCTGGCTATGACAGGTGGGTGTGAGTGGAGTTTCTTACCTTACCATCCAGGTGGTTTCTGGGGCAATAGGAGGCTGTGGTCTTTGGCAAATTTAAGTAAAAGTAAAACCACTGGGCTGGAAGCTCTAGCAGGTGTGGCTTGCCTAGCTAAGAGAGGTAGGGGCAGGTGGAGTCACTTATCCAGCCATCTGGATGTTTCTCCAGACAACAGGTGGCTGTGCTCTCCGGCTGAGTTCACATAGAAGTGGGACTGCCGGGCTGGAAGCTCTAGTAGGCGTTGACTGCCTGGCTACCAGCAGCAGGAGTCAGTGGGGTAGTCTGCCCTACTGTCTGGGTGTTTTCCTGGGCAACAAGAGGTTGTGCCCTCCAGCTAGGTTCACACAGAAGTAGGACTGATGGGCTAAAAGCTCTAGTTGGTGTTGCCTGCCTGGATACCAGCAGTGGGAGTGGGTGGGGTCACTCACCCTGTGGTTACTCACCCTGTGGTCACCTACCCTGCTCTACAGGATTTTCTCAGGACAACAGGAGGCTGTGCCTGCCTTCTGAGCTCAGACAGCAGAAGGATCACTGGGCTGGAAGCTCTAACAGGCATTGCCAGCCTAGCTACCTGCAGTTTGAGGCAAGGGCAGGGTCACTTACCCTGCTGTCTGAATGTCTCCTGGGACAACAGGAGGCTGCACTCACTGGCTGAGTTCAGACAGAAGAGGGATCATCGGACTGGAAGCTCTGGCAGGTATGGCTAGCCTGGTTACCCGTAGTGAGAATGGAGAGGGCCACCTGCCCAGCTACACAGATGTTTCCCAGGACAACAGGAGGCTGTGTCCACTGACAGTTCAGACAGAAGTGGAACCACTGGACCGGAAGCTCTAGCAAGTGTTGCCCACCTGGCTACTAGTGGTAAGGGTGGGTGGGGTCTCCTGCCCTGCAGCCCGGATGTTTCCTGGGACAACAGGAAGCTATGCCTTAAGGCTGAGTACACACAGAAGCAGGAGCACTAGACCAGAAACTAGCAAGCATTGTCCACCTGGCTATCCAAGGCAAGGGTGGGTGGGGTCACCTGCCTTGTCATCTGGGTGCTTCCCGGGATAACAGGAAGCTGCACTTTCCAGCTGAGTTCACAGGGAAGTGAGTCTGCTGGGCTGGAAGTTCTAGCAGGTGTTTCCCATCTGGCTATCTGTGGGGGTCATGGAGTCACCAGCCCTGCTGTCTGGGTACTTCCAAGGACAACAGGAGGTGGTGGCTGCCAGCCAAGTTATGGCAGAAGTGGGACCGCTGGACTAGAACCTAACATGGGACCTTGTCCAGTGAGCTGGGTGGAGCAATCTTACTGCTCTCAGGCACCAAACTGCGACCTCTGTTGGGGCTATTGTGCTGGTGATGGTCTGCTCTGGGGCCAAAGTCTTTTAGAGTTCCCCTTGCACTTTGAGAGTTGCCTCCAGAAAACATCTGCCTCAGTCTAGAAGCATGGTGGGGGGCCGTGGAGTGGGCCAAAGGGATGATCTCATTCCCAGTCTTGCATTTGTCCCTGTAGGCAGTGTGTATCCCCAAGAGGGGTCTTACTCATCCTTTTCCATTTTGGAGAGGTTCTGCTGACTCTACATTAAGCCCAGACAGGGTGGTGTCCTGCTTTGCTCCTTTCTGCTCTCTGCGTTCCTCTGCTGCCTTGATGGATTCTGATGTGGTTGCTCAGATGATCAGCCTGCAGGGTCAGTGTTCACTAGCCCTTTTGTTTCCTCTAGAAGTAGCACTTGTTAGCGGCTTCTAGTCTGCCATTTTGGCCTTTCCCCCAAAAAGGAAATATCAACTACAAATCAGATGACACTGATCAGTTTTATTAATTTTACTTAGTCATGTAGCTAATGTCCTAAGGGATCTAATCTTTATTAGAAATCAAGTCATCAAATGTTGAGAGTCTAAATTGTCTTTATTATTTAATTTATCTGAGAGACCTTGATTTTGTTGGTAACAGGATTTAGGAGCAGTACCAAGACTGATAATTGGTATTCCCAGAGTTCTAGTTTTGTGTAGTTTTTACTATTTTGTTTTGGGTAGCTACTTCAAGAAAAATTCATAAAGTAGAAAAGTTTTTCTTTTCAAAATACAAATGTCTGCATTTTGTATTGGATTCCAAATTTCCTTTTAAACTATGACCTCATGCAAGTTTGTATTCTTCTGATGGGGGGTCAAAGAAATAATGATCTGAAGAGATACAGTGCCTCTGATTTAGTAATTCACATCTTTGCTTTGGAGAAACAGGTGGCCTACGGAAATCATAGATTGATACAGACTCAAAGGAAAAAATTTGTGCAAGTAGGTATAAGAATCTTTTGAGATGGGGAGCTATGTAATAATTCTGAGGCACTGGTATTGGGGATCTAAAATGGGAACATAAAGAATATTCATATATTGGAGATACATTTGGGGAAAAATATTTCAGAAATATATTTTCTTTTTCAGTATTAAAGAGGAACTTTTAACAGTCATATAATCAAGAGACAGAATGTCTGCTTTTCTTCCAGAGATAGTACTTACTGGGTTCGGTATCACTGACAATGACAACTTGGTCAGGGTATGGGGTAAAGGTAATTGAAATAGCAGATGGGTAATTGGACACAATGACTTTTTTTTTTTTTTCCTACAATGATCTTTACAGTACTTTTGTAGCTTAAGATTCTGAGATATGCATTTTTTTCATTTGATGCTATAAGCTACTGAAGATAAATTAATTGTTCAGATTTTCTTTTTTTCTTCATAAATGTATTATTTTCTCTTTACTAAGTAAGACATACTTTTCCAAAGAATTTAAGAATTCCTAGAAATGTTCAACAAAGTGAAAATTTCACTGTAGTTTTGCCACCTGTACAGTCAGGTATACTCCAGCTAGTTTAAAGGAAAAAGGAATTCCTTTGAAAACATTAAGCAGGGTGAACTTACTCAATAAGCGTACTGCTAAGGCCCACAGTGCTTTCAAAATCTGAAAAAAAATAATTTGTAGGTTGAAAGATTTTTATTCCATATTAATATATCTTTATACCAATGCAGTCATAAAATATTATTATATAACATATACGTGTGTGTGTGTGTGTGTATACTATGGAGGAAGGGGCTGGTGAAGGCAAAAGTGCCTAGGATCCACTAAAATCCTAAAGAACAGAGGCTCAGGCTTGGATTGCGGGTGCTCAGGCTTGGATTGCGGGTGCTCAGGAGCTCCAACCCCAGCTAAATACACACGAGCACTGCTCCAAAGAAATCTCACTGTGACTGCTGCTAGCACAGGTATCTCTGCCTACACTGCTGATGCTGGGCCTCAGGGCAGAACCTCTGCCCCCACTGTCTTGACAGCTGGCAAAGGCGTCATTTCTCAGAATGGGTTGCCAGATGGATTCTTTTTCTGAGCTGAAGTCTTGAACAATGGTATCAGAAAAGCCTAGGCCATATATTTGTTCTGTATGTATAAGGAAGACTAAGAAGTGGATTTCTAGCATCCGTCTTGGTGATGTGTGAACTTGTAAGGTGGGATGTTTCCTTGACGTAGGAGAGATGTTCCAAATGTTTTGGACAGCCAAATCCACCAAACAAAAATAACTACTGCCAACACATTGACGTATTTGCATTTAGACTTTCTGGTATGCTAGGTTTTGTTTTCATTTAATGCTTTAAAAAAAAAGCTATAGCTGTAGAAACATGAACACTTACTGTGAGATAGGTATAGCTAACATTGTTTGAATTATCTATTTTGATCGTTAATTAAAAATAACAGCATTTGGTGATAGCCAGTATTGTCATTTTCCCATTTTATAGATGAAAAAAGCAGACTTAAAAAAGGTAACTTCTTCACGGAGATAAAGTTAAAGAATAGTAAGATGGAATTTTACACGGAGTTTTACCTGCTACACAAACCATAGTCATAAATGAGATATACAACTTTTAAATACAGCTTTTTACATTTAACATTTTGGTATAAGCCATTTTAAACTCTTCATTAACGTCTTTTTAATAGTGACCTAACATTCCATCAAATTAGTTAATGCAATTTATTCAAAGATTCCTCTATTGTTGAATATTTAGGATGTTTCTATTTCTTTCCTACTTTGGTCATATTGTGGTAACTTGTGTATATAACTTTTTTATACATTTAGGATTATTTCTCTAGAATGGAAACCCAAAATTAGAATTACTAGATCAAAGAATATGAAAACATATTTTGAGAAGCCAATGTCACACTTATTTAATGATGAAGAAACAAGCTCATTAATTTATTCAACATTCGACATATTTATTGCATGCCTCCCACATGCTGGCTGTGGTACTTGTAATATCATGATAAATATTTGACAGTCGTTTGTCTAAACAGCATTATTGTATAGTGGGTATTAAAATAGGATGTGCCTGAAATGAGCATCTTGTGCTAACCACATATGGTGAGAATGCCTCCTAGATTTTCTGGGACAGGGTAGGAACACTTTTAGAGTTCTTAGAAAATACTCTTGGGAATGTAGGAAAGTAGCATTCAAAGCAATCTCAAAATAGCATCAAGTATGAACTTTTTCTTCTTTGCCAATTTGTTAGATGAAATACTGTTGATCATTGTTTATAATGGTTATTTCCTTGAGTATTAATGAAGTTGAACATTTTTCATATGTTTATTCATGAATTGTTTCTTCATTGTGAAGCATCTTTTAAATATTTCTCATTTGATATTTAGTATTTGTACAAAATAGATTTTGGTATATTGCCTTTGTTGCAAATAATTTTATATCTGCTCCTATTTTTTTTTAAACTAGGGAAGTTTTTATGTAGCCCAATCTGCTATGCGTTTTCTTTATAATTTCTTCTAGCACTTATAAGCTTCAAAAGTAGAATTGACCCCTCCAAAAAAGTGTGAAAATTATCAATTCCATTTTTCTTTACTTTTTATTTTGTATTTTATTTGTATTTACTTCCATAATACATCTGGAATTTATATCCCTGTCTAATGGAACATAATTTATTTTATTCTAAAAGGATAGGCAACTGTCTCAACAATCATTAAATACTTCATTTCTTTTTTATAAATTTGTGGTGCTCACTTTATTATACATTGGGTTTAGGTTCGCTATCTATATGCAACCTTGGAGTCCTATGCCCATTTATATCAATTTCAATTGTAATAAAAATAATTGTTAATTTTTCCCCACCAGACATCTGAAGGAATTATATTGTCCCTTTAATAATTAGTGCAGTGCTTGGCATATGACAGGCATTATATATTTGTTGAATGAGCAAATGCATAAAATTGAATGTTTCTGGGATACCCATGTTTTCCCACTAATCTGTAAATCACTTTCTCAGCCATTTCTTCACTGTGTTACATGTTATGTCACAAAATATATTTTATCATTAGAGCAAAACATTTTATTAATATTCAGAATATTCTTTATGATCTAGAATACTTTCTTCAAATGAACTTTGGAAAATTTTAAGAGCTTCTAAAATTACTTTCATTAGAATTTTCATTGGAATTATACTAAAAATATAAATTAATTTGGAAGGAATTGATATTTATGCTGTAAATATTTCCCCACTTACACGTGTTACAGTTCTTTACTTCTCTTTATAGCTTCTTATAATTTTCCTTACAGAGTTATTCATAATTTCTTTATTGATTTTGTTGTTACTGCTGTAGTAATTTGGATTATTATAGCTGCTATTGGGAGCTGCATTCTTTTGGAAATTTTGTTTTCTATTTTTTGCTATTATATAGAAAAGCTATTGCTGCAAATTTACCTTGCATCCTTGAACTTTGAGTTATTTTATTAATTCTAATAGAATTTTTTTTTTTTTACAGTTTTTCTGTTGACCTGAAGGCTATGTTGAGAATGCCATTGTCAGCTTAATTCTACTTTGCCTTTACAATTAGGGATGGAAACTGAGCAACAACTATAAGATTTTTAAAACCTTTGGGAAATTAGATTTAATTTTAACATTTATCTTAAAAATAGTTTAATCTAGATTCTAGTAGCTATATGTGAATAATTTCCAAGACACATATTTTAATGCTGGACCTATTAGGGAACAAATGTATGGGTTCTCAGAACCCATGAAAACCTGTTGTCTTAGTTCATTTATATTGCTATAAAAGAACACCTGAGGCTGGATTATTTATAAAGAAAAGAGGTTTATTTGGCTTATGGTTCTGTAGGCTTTGCAAAAAGCATGGAATGAACACCTGCATCTGATGAGGGCTTCAGGCTACTTCTATTCATGGTGGAAGGGGAAGGGGAGCCAGTGTGTGCAGAAATTACAGGGCAAGAGAGGAAGCAAGAGAGAGCAAGAGGGGAGGTTCCAGGTTCTTTTTAAGAATCAGCTCTTGTGGAAACTAACAAAGTGAGGACTCACTTACTCTCCCCGGAGAGGGGCATTAATCTTTTCATGAGGAATCCACCCCCATGACTAAGGCACCTCCCATTAGGCTTCATCTCCATCATTTGGGATCAAATTTCAACATGAGGTTTGGAGGAGCTAACGTCCGAATCATAGCAGCCATATTGCAGAATTTGCTGACTTACATGGCATGATCTCTCCTTGATCTCTTCTAAATTGTATCTCACTCAGCTTCTGCCTTTGCTATAATATCCCAAAACCTCTCACTGATGTGGGCCCTTAACCTGGAGTTATTCAGGCTATTTGGGGTCAGCACAAGGCCCAGGTTTCTTCCATGGGGTAAGATGGAAAAGACAAATAGTCAGCTCTGACTTTAGCTATATCCCCATCACACCAGGATCCTGGGGTAGAAAAATAAAAAGGATGTTATGAAAACCTCATTCAGGGCTGTGTTAATTTGCTTTTGTATCATGGTAAAGAAATACTCGGAGCTGGGTAATTTATAAGCAAAAGAGGTTTAATTGGTCCATGGTTTTTCAGGCTTTACAGGAGGCATAGTACTGGAAATCTGCTCCTGATGAGGTCTCAGAAAGCTTCCACTCGTGGTGGAAGGCAAAGGAGGAGCAGGCACATCACATGGTGAGAGGGGGAGCAAGAGAGGGAGGGGAGGTGCCACTTTCTTTTAAATAACCAGATATTGCATGAACTCAGAGCAAGAGCTCACTTATCACCAAGAGAGTGGTGCTAAGCCATTCATGACGGATCCTCTTCCATGATCCAGTCACCTCTGATCAGGCCCACCTTCAACATGGAGAATCACATTTCAAAATGAGATTTGAAGGGGACAAACATCCAAACCATATCATTTTGCCCCTGGACCCCGAAATCTCATGTCTTTCTCACATTTCAAAATACAAATCATGCCTTTCCAATAGTCCTCCAAAGTCTTAACTCATGCAAGCATTAATTCAGAAGTCCCAAGTCTAAAGTCTCATCTAGAAATTAGTTCCTTCCATCTATGAACCTGTGAGATTTGAAAAAACAAAAAACAAAAAACAAAAAAAAAACTAGTTATTTACTCTCAAGATACAATGGTGGTATAAGCATTGGGTAAACATTCTCATTCCAAAAGGGGAAAAATTGGCCAAAAAGGGGGGCAATAGGCCCCACACAAGTCAGAAACCCAGCAAGGCTATCATTAAATCTTAAAGCTTCAAAACAATCTCCTTTGACCTCATGTCCCACATCCTGGTGTGAGGGCTGGACTCTCATGGCCTGAGGAAGCCCTGCCCCTGTGGCTTCTGTGGGCGCAGTCCACACGGCTGCTCTCCTAGGCTAGAATTGAGTGCTTGCAGCTTTTTCACGCTTAAGCTGCAATCTACTGGTGGCTCTGCCATTCTCAGGTCTGGAGGTCAGTGACCCCCTTTCCACAGCTCTACTAGGCAGTGCCCTGGTGGGGACTCTTTGTGGGTCTCCAATCCCACATTTCCCCTCCGCATTGCCCTAGTAAAGTTTCTCTGTTAGGGTTCTGCACTGGTGATAGGCTTCTACTTGGGCAACCAATCTTTCCTATACATCCTCTAAAATCTAGGTGGGAGTGGCCAAGCCTCCTTCACTCTTGCATTCTGTGCACCTGCAGGCTTAACACCATGTAGAAGCAACCAAGGCTTATGGCAGCTTGTGCTCTTCAAAGTGGCAGCCTGAGCTGTACCTGTACCTGAACCCCATTGAGCCATGGTTAGAGATGGAGTGGCCAGGATGTGGAAAGCAATATCCCAAGGCGGATCAGGGCAATGGGGCCCTGAACCTGGCCCCTGAAACTATTCTTTCCTCCTAGGCCTCTGGGCCTATGATGGCAGGGTCTTCCTTGAAGACTTCTAAAATGCCTTTGAGACCTTTTTCCCATTGTATTAGATATTTGCACTTGGCTCCCTTTTAGTCATGCCAATCTCTCTAGCAAGTAGTTGCTCTGCAGCCTGCTTCAATACATTTTCTCAAAAATGCTTTTTCTTCCCCTCTGCCACATGGTCAGGCTGCAAATTTTTCAAACTTTTACACTCTGCTTCCCTTTTAATTGTAAGTTCTAACTTTAAGTCATTTATTTGCCTTGTATCTGATTTAAGTTGTTAGAAACAACCAGATCACATATTGAATGCTTTGCTGCTTAGAAATTTCTTCTGCCAGATACCCTAAGTCATCAGTCTTAAAGTTCAAATTTCCACAGATTCCTAGGACATGGACAGAATGCAGCTAAGTTCTTTGCTAGGGATTGAGAAGGGTGACTTTTATTCTGATTCCCAATAAGTTTCCCATTTTCATGTGAGATCTCTTCAGCCTGGACATCACTGTCTGTATCTGTGTCAGCATTTTCGTCACAACCATTTAACCAGTCTCTAAGAAGTTCCAAACATTTCCTCATCTTCCTGCTTCTTCTGAGCCCTCCAAACTCTTCCAACTTCTGCCCATTATCCACTTCCAAAGCTGCTTCCATATTTTCTGGAATCTCTATAGTAACACCCCATTCCTTGGTACCAATTTTCTGTCTTAGTTTGCTCTTGTGTTGCTATAAAGGAATACCTGAGGCTAGGTAATTTATAAATAAAAGAGATTTATTTGGTTCACAGTTCTGTAGGTTCCATAGGAAGTATGGTGACAGGATTTGCTTCTGGTGAGGCCTCAGAAAGCTTCCAATTATGGTGGAAGGCAAAGGAGAAGCAGGCACATAGATGGTGAGAGAGGGAGCAAGCTGGGGAGGAGCTGTCACACTCTTTTAAACAACCAAATATCATGTGAACTTGGAGCAAGAACTCACTTATCACCAAGGGGATGTTGCTAAGCCATTCATGAAGGATCCTCCCCCAGGATCCGGTCACCTTCCACTAGGCCTCATCTCCAATGCTGGGAATCACATTTCAACCTGAGATTTGGAGTTGACAAACATCCAAACCCCATATCAAAGGCCACAAAAGGAATGGATACAGGGACCAAAGAAGGCACTGACCTATATAGAATAAAGTGGAAGCACAATAGGAGGCCACCTCAATTTTTTTGGAATATTCTGCATTTTAATTCTAAACAATAATGTTCAATTCAGTTTAACACCCAGAAGTTAGCATAGAAATTCAAATTTTCTACTAAAAGAAAACTTCTGTGTCCTAATTAAAGAAAATATCCTATTTGGTCATTTATCATGAAGATAATGATAAATGTTAAATAACGTCTTGTTTGCATTAAGTCTGTGGGATGTATATTTAAGGTGACTATACACTTCATTGGGTTTTAGTAAATACTGGTTCTTGCTACATGATGGGAGCTGACAAGTAATGAATGACCCCATAATGGGAACAAAAAAAAAGTCTGAAAGACTCAGGCTCACATAGGACAGTTGATCTTTCTGCATCATAAACTTTTGTCCTTTAGACTTGCACAGTTATCCAGTTTATATTTGATGTATCTATTCATTGCTATATAAAGTGTTACCCATCTTGTGTATGCATTACGGGTATTTAAAAAAATTATTCAAGGGCTTGTTTGGACACTATGGACTATATGAGACTATGTTGGCCTTTGTATGATCATATTTTATTTGCAAGGTAAACTCATCACCTTTGCAGAAGTAATGTCAACTAAAACATCCAGAAGAGATGTGCAGTCTGTTCTGTTAATAAGGACAGGATACTGCCATCTACTCTGTACAACAGAGCACAATGCTTAGATTTGGGTGGATTTGAATAAGATGAAAGATAAATTATGATTTTGTTCAAGTGTTAAAATAAAACTAAGACACTTAAGGACCACAAAAATTTAGACCAAAGTATCTTGTAAATTCTACCTGGTGAAAGTTTGATATAGCACACATATGACTTTTCTATATTATTTTCTGTTTTGAGTTTAGTAGTAAGCAGATGGTTTGTATTTTCTTTAGTTGCAACTAAGTGATCAGTTTCATGATTTCTCTTACTATGAAACATTTTTTTTTTTTCTTAACAGTTATCTTAAAAGCAACTCTGGGTCTACTGGGCTCAAAAAATGAGAAATCTAAAGAAAAACTGGAATTTTTTTTCCCCAAATTAAATGAGTCCTGGTATAATTTAAAGCCTATTCTTTGTAGTTTCACCTGCTTATATTGTAAACAATACAGAATGATGAGAGACATATGATAATATGAATGAGAAAATTTTATATCTCATCTGCATTATTGACATTACTAGGGGAATGTTTCTTTCAAATGAGGTACAATGGTTAAAGAACAACTTTAATCCAATGAGTTACTACATCTTTTGACCAAATAATATGAAATCATTTTATAAAAGATAGTAACTGATAGTAAATTTACAATTTGAAAACTATTCCTGATAATAAAATAGAGAAAAGAACCAGGTAACATTTTTATACACATATTGAATTATATATAATAGTAAATTGTTTTATAAATAGCATGATATATAGTAGTAAAATGCCCAAACTCTGGAACCAGATCAGTGGTTTTAAATTCAAATACTACTCTTTACCTGTGGGACTCTGCCTGAATTACTTCACCTGTCTTTGCCAAATTCTCTCTATATAATAATAATGGTACCTCCCTTATAGGGTGGTTGTATTGGGGGTCCCCAAGACTTCCTTTAGGCTGATCGTTTTACTAATATATCAGTCTGTTATCATACTGCTAATAAAGACATACCTGAGACTGGGTAATTTATAAAGGAAAGAGGTTTAATTGACTCAGTTCTGCAGGGCTGGGGAGGCCTCAGGAAACTTACAAATATGATGGAAGGGGAAGCAAACATGTCCTTCTTCACATGGTGGCAGCAAGGAGAAGCACAGAGCAAAAGGGGGAAGATCTTATAAAACCATAAGATCTTGTGAGAACTCACTCACTATCACCAGAACAGCAGCACTGGGTAACCACCCCCATGATTCAATTACCTCCCACCAGGTCCCTCTCACAACATGTGGGGATTAAGGGAACCATAATTCAAGATGAGACTTGGATGGGAATACAGCCAGACCATATCATCTAAGATACAGAAAAGCTGTATAATCATAGTCATGCTTTATTATAGTGAAAGTATACAAATTAAGAACAGCAAAGAGAAAGGTTCATGGTGCAAAGTTTAGGAACAAACTCCCAGCTATCCTCTCCCAGTGGAGTCACATGGAGGTGTGATTAAAGCTGCCAGCAAAATGATGTATAACCCATGAAGTGTGGTAAACCAGGGAAACTCGGCCAAGCTTTGGTTTCTAGAGTTCTATTAGATGTCACTCACATAAGCATGCGGCACTGGGTGATTCAGACACCAGAACCCCTTCCCACAAGCAAAAATAAATGTTCATCATAAATCACATTTTAGAATAAATATATCTGATCCAACTGAAACAGCATAGCCTAAGGCCTCATGCATACAAAACACTCTTATCAGGTAGACTCTTCCAGGAGTTCAGAGGTTTTCTCCCAGAAGCTAGCTGAAGGCTAGACTTGAAGAGTCACCTTTCTTTGTGATGGGCAGAGTTTGAGGAACTCAGGCCTGCTGAGTTAACCCTTTCTTGCTGAGTAGTTATGAGGAATAAATGAGTTAATCCATGTAACTTAATATAGTGCCTGGCATAGGATAGTACTTGGCACACTTAAGCAGCAAACAAGGATCAGCTATAATTTATTCTAGAGGGGCTCTATGGGCTGAATGAAGCTGACTAATTTGGGATAGAAATAAGAAATAGCTATGCTCCATGAATCTTGTGATGATGATAAATCCCTAAGTTTGAATGATGGGCATTATAAGCATATTAAACACTTTACCTATGGGTGCTTTAGTAAGAAAATTTCCAGTAAACACTAAATCCTGACTTCTTTCCATTTTGTTTTTTGCAGAGCCTTGAAACCAGCGAAACAATAATCAAAGAGCAGTTCTGTCAAAGAAAACAACATAAATCAGGTACAAGAGTTATTCTCAACACGTAACATCAACACATTGTATTCATTTAAACTGATGATTAATTCGAGCTTATTAACAAAATATTTTACAATAATGCCAGTTAGGTGTTTTAGCATATGTGTGACTGCATGTTATAGATGACTGGCCAAATTTTATAGATAAATTAATTTCTATAACTACATTAAACCAATTTTGAGGGTTTTAGTTAGGCCAGGCCTAGCCTAGGCAGAAATGTTAAGAAATTAAGAAATTAATATTATTACTTATTATTAAATTAATGCATATGCTTTATTTGGGAAACACTCATCTGTAAGGCGATTTTATAGAATTGGACAAATCAGGCAGTACTTACAGTGCAGTAGAGGAGATTCAGTAGATATCAATATATAAGTAAAAGCTGTGATAAATGCTATGATGTAAAATAACAGAATTCTATGGGATAAAATATTGGGAGACAAAGAATCTACTGTGGATTGGGTAGACAGAGGCTATTTCTCTGGAAGATGACATTTAACCTAAGACCTAAAGTTTGAGAATAGAGTCCCAGGCAGATGGAAAAGCATGGAACAAAGAAAATAAATGAAGAAAAAAAAGAAAGAAAATAATTGAAAGAAGAATAGTGTGGCTACAGCAAAGTCACAGAAGGGAAGACAGATATAAATGAAGCCGGGTTGAAAATAAGATGAAAAGCCCAGCCCCATAGGTCCTTAATATCCATTGTAAGAAGCCTCTGAACTTGCTCTGCTTGCATTTCTGTGTGATGTCATTTGGTCTTCTCTCCTGGTCCCCTGAATATAGATGCTTTCGAATCTGTCACCTGACCTCACCTTACCCCAACGTGTGTGTGTGTGTGTGTTTGTACTTTTATTTAACTTAATATTTCCTGAAGTCATTTTCAGGATTATAAGGATTATATTGGGAAATCTTTCAAAAGTTTACCTCTTCGGAATATGCATTTTAAGAAGTTTCTTTTGTACCTGAGACTGGCCTGCTTTTAGGGAGCTTGACCTATTTTATGGCTATGAGCATTAAACTACGTTAGATAATTTTCTAGAATCTAGATAATGCAAGCCAGAAAAAATCTGATTGCTTCATTGGTTTATTTTTTTCCAGCTGAAGATTTTTCTTGACCTTAATTATATGGTTAATTGCCTCAAATCCTGATTATACTTCACATGTGGAAATATAGCCTCAGGTATCAAGAACAACTGGAGCAAAAGCTTCCTAAATAATTTTCAACATTAGCATTAGTAATACTGGTTTTCTTAAACGGAGAAAAACTACACAAATTGCTGTTTGCATCTCAGTTAATCTGAATCATATTTCTTTCCTTTGAAAATGCTTATTCTCTTTGATTTATAAAGTTTTATAATGGAGGCTTCTGAAAAAGTCTTAAAGTAAGGCAAATGACTTGGGGTAATGCCTACTTTAGTACTTTAAAGAATGATTTGATCTCTAAGAAATAGCTATGTTCCATGAATCTCACTCTGTCACTCAGGGTCTCACTGTGTCACTCAGGCTGGATTGCAGTGGCGCAGTCATGGGTCACTGCAGCTTCGACCTCCCAGGATCAGGTGATCTTCCCACCTCAACCTCTCTCAGTAGCAGGGACTACAGGCATGCACCACCATGCCTGTCTAATTTTTTGTAGAGATGGAGTTTCAGCATGTTTCCTAGGCTCGTCTTGAACCCCTGAGCTCAAATGATCCACCCATCTTGGCCTGCCAAAGTGCTGGAATTATAGGTGTGAGCTACCATGTTGGGCCAATGATTTGATTTGATATAAAATGTGGAGATTTTGTCTTTGCAGCACTAAAAGTCTGAAAAACCCAGAGTTGACTTATGCTTATTTTGGAAGAGAAGTTTTCAGCATATGTGTTGCAAAGGGCATCGACTTTTTTAGACCAATTCAGCATCTTCCAATTAAGTTGACTGTTATTAAAAACTGAGACAAACATCACAGAATTTCCTAGGATTTCATAACTTACAGACAAAACGGCTTGTTTCATACCAGAAAGACAAGAGACAGCTGCTTTTTAATTACTACTCTTGCCATTTGCTTTCTACTAGAGATGTGTCTCAAACGTGGAATCTAATTAGAAATCTTAATTGAAAATGGATTCTTAAAAAAAGAAAAGAAAGAAAATAGACCAACATTGAAACTTAAATGTAGGAAGAAAAACATCATATTCCAGCCGGATTGAATAATCACCCATCTGAAAATTAGTTGGCATCTGGGGAGCATGTTATCTGACACCAAATTGAACTTTACTGTTTCCTCTTTCAGGAGGAATTTTCCAAACCAAATCATCAGGAGTCTTGTAATCTGTAAATTATTGTTTTCAGCGATTATATTTTTCTCAGAATAAAAGCAATGGTGAATTTTGAAGCCTGGGTTAAATCCCAGCTGCTTTACTTGTTTCTAGTGTGACTCTGGGCAAATTTTGTAACTATTCTTAATCTCAGTTAACTCTTCTCTAAAATGGGATTTGCAAATCCTGTTTTTTCAACATTGTCACTGTCTTGTTGCTCTCTTGACTGACACATTGACTGGTATGTAGTAGCATATCTGGATATAGCAAGTTCTAGAAAGGAAGGGAAGGAAGTTAGAAAAAGCAAGGAGGCTAACTTTGAGAACATATATCTAAGACAATATTGCAAATACAAAACACTGAGAAAGTGCTTATTCTGTACACTGCAGGCAAAGACTTAAAGGCACATTCATTTATCCTTTTATTAAAAGTATTTTTTTCTTGTAGATGTTCTAGATTCTGCTATCCAGATTTAAACTCCAATTAGAGGCATAGTAACATATAATTTCTGAATTACAGAACTTTGCATGCTGCTAAGCTTGATAGATGCTCAATTAATATTTGATTGATTGAGTGAAGCTATGAACTAACAGTGCTAGGACGCAGATAGCCCAAATTGTCCTATTCTCTGGTTTCCAAACATTGTATCTAACATCTAGAGTAAGAGAAATTACGCTTCTCTGTGATTTTTTTCATTCATTGATAGTAGAGATTCTAGCCAGACTGAATAATCACCCATCTGAAAATGTGCTGCTTCTGCATGCACTGCTACCATCAGATTGCCAGTTTGCTATTATTTGTGTATATTCCACATTACTACCTTTTAGTCTTTATTCACATTTTTAAATCCTCCATTGTCAATATTCTCTTCCCTATTTTCTTTCCCATTCTTCTTCCTTTCTTCTTCGTTTCACTCTTACTCCTCTTCCTTCCTTTTATCTACCCTCATGTTTTTGATGCAAAAATTTATTAAATTCTTATAAAAATAATTGCCTCCATGAAACTGTCCTAGATATTTCCTGAGATAATGATCTTATCACCTTTGTTTTTTTTTTTTTTTTCATTTGTTTGTTTTCAGGCACTGTCCTTTGATCCGTATCTGTGAAAACTGAGCCTGAAACACAGCCAGTGAAAGTCAAGCCACATAATATGTGAATGCCTCTTTCCTTCTATCCTCTACTCTACCCTGTTAACCTTTCCTAACAAACACAAACACCAAGGGAATGTCCCACTGGCAAAGCTTGCAGCTTCCTTCCACACTGCTTTCTAGGTTACTGGTGGAATGAATTTAGGCTGTGATCACCAGGCTGCAGCCATATGAGTTGTCTGAGTCAGGCTGGCTTTTTGAATGAGTCCTTAATTTTTGTTCCTGCTTTCCTGAAAGTCGGGAGCCAGGCTCTGCAGCACAGTGAGCTAGGTGTCTTAATTCCCAGGACACCTGTCTGCATCACTTTCCTTGTGGCCTTAACTTACTTTGAGTATTTCTCCCTGATTTATGACTTGGATATACACAGAATGCTGAGAACTGCTCTTCCACAGAAGCCTGTTCTACTGTTTCTCTATCAGCCACATCAAACCCAAGGGAGCCTCATTTTTATTGATGTGTATTCAGATCAAATTGAAGTGTATCAATTAAGTCGTGGCGACTGGGACTCTTGGCTCCTTTATAGATGAGTGAATATTTCTGTGCCAGTTTTATCCTTCTTACTGCCTTGTCAAATTGGTTTGCTCCTTTTTTTATTCCTGCAATTCTTTTCATTGATTTCACATTTGTTATTATCAAAGCTTTCAAATTGTTCCTCTCTTAGGCTGTTTCCCACTCTCCTGGCCATATTAATAATAAATATAATTAAAATAAATAATACCATAATATTTAATGACCACTTCTAAAATATTTTTTGTTTTTATTCACTGTTTAAAATTTGCATACAGTAAATTTTTCACCTTTTGGCATATAGTTCTTTGAGTTTTGACAAATGCACACATTTGCGCAGCCACCACTACAATCAAGGCACAGAACACTTAACATTATCCCACAAAACTTCCCTCTTCCTGTCCATTTATGGTCAAACTCTTCTGCTTACTTACTGGACTTTTTCTATACCTATAATTCTGCCTATTTTATTTATGCCATTAAAATAGAATTATACAGTACACAGCCTTTTGAGCTGGCCACCTTTTACTTACATATTGTGCTTGACGTTCACCCATTTGTCTCTTTATTCCTTTTTAACTTTATTTTACAGGTTTATCACTGTAAAATTGTCCTTTTACTATTTGAAGATCTTTAGGATTGTTTTGGATTTTTAGTTATTTTTTAAAAGCCACTAAAAGCATCTGTGTCCAGGTTTTTGAGTAATCAAAGATTTCATTTCTCTTGACTAAACACCTAGAAGTTAGATTGCTGAGTCATACTGTAGGTGTGTATTTAATTTTATAAGAAACTACCAGACAGGGGCAGGTATGGTAGCTCACGCCTGGAATCTCAACACTTTGGGAGGCCAAGGTGGGAGGATTGCTTGAGCTCAAGAGTTTGAGACCAGCCTGGGCAACAGAGTGAAACACTGTCTTTAAAAAACAAAAACAAACAAACAAACAAAACTAGCAGATATTTTCCCAAAGTAACTATACTATTTTGCATTCCCACTTGCAGTGTATGAGAGATCCATACATTGGAAGGTTGGTTAACACCCTTACCAGAGATTGGTATTGTCAGTCTTGAGAATGATTGATAGTTATTCTAATATGTATGTAGTGATAGTTCTCTGTTGTTTTAATTTATATATTCTTAATGACTAATGACACAACATTTTTTCCATGTGCTTATTTAGCATCAATATATCTTATATGTTTTCTTTGGTGTAGTGTCTATTTAAATTATTTGTCCCTTGTTTTTTAGTGAATATTTTTGTTTTCTTATGGAGTTTCAAAAGGTCATTAAATATTCCATATTGAAATTCCTGATCACATATAAGTTTTGCAGATATTTTTTCCAATGTGTAGCTTGTCTTTTCATTTTCTCAACAGTGTCTTTCACAGAGTGGAAGTTTTCAACTTCAATAAAGTCAATTTTACAAATGGTTTTCTTTTATGGACTGTACTATGTTTTGTGTCATATTAACAAATCTTTACCAAGGTCTATAGAATTTTCTTCTATATTTTCCTGTATAAGCTTTATAGTTTTAGGTTTTACAATTAGATTATTAATAGTGAGTTGATTGTATAAGGTCTGAAATGTGTTTTTTTGTTCTTTTGCACATGGATATTCAATTGTTACACTATTTATTTAAATAATTATTTTTTCTATCCATTGTATTGCCTTTGAATCTGTAAAAAAATAATTGATTATGTATGCATGTATTGTCTCTGTCTTATTATTCGGTAACTATTCTTCTTCCAAGGTCTTGTTATTTTTTAAATTAAGTAGTTGAGTTCTCTGATTTTGTTCTGCTTTCTCAAAACTGTTTTTGCTATCCTTTCTTTGCCTTTCCATATATGGTTTAGAATTAGCTTTTTCTTGATATCTACTAAAATTCTTGCTTGGATTTTGATTTATTTATATTCAATCATCTATAGATCAGTTTGGACAAAGTTGACCTTTTACCAATAATGAGTCTTCTAATCCATGAGCGCAGTATCTCTATTTAAATAGATCTTATTTTATTTCTTTCATCAATGTTTATAGATTATAGCACATAGATTCTATATAAAGAACAAAACTGAATGAAATTTTATGTTCTTTATATTTTATATTCTATATGAAGAACATAAAGAGCAAAACTGGAGGAATCACATTACCTGACTTCAAATTATATTACAGAACTATAGTAACAAAAACAGCATGGTACTGGCATAAAAACAGACACATAGACCAATGAAACAGAATAGAGAGCCCAAGAACAAAGCCACAGACGTACAGTGAACTCAGTTTTGACAAAATTGTCAAGAACATACACTGTGGAAATGAGGCTGGAAAAACTGTATATTCATAAGCAGATAAATGAAGCTAGATCCCTATCTCTCACCATATACAAATCAAAATGAATTAAAGATTTACATCTAAGACCTCAAACTATAAAACTACTACAAGAAAACATTAGGAAAACTCTCCAGGACATTGTTCTGGGCAATATTTCTTGAGGAGTACCCCACAAGCATAGACAACCAAGCAAAAATGGACAAATTGGATCACATCAAGTTAAAAAGTTTCTGTTTAGTGATGGAAACAGTCTATAATATGAAGAGACAATTCACAGAATGGGAGAAAATATTTGCATACTGCCCATCAGACAAGGGGTTAATAATCAGAATATATAAGGATCTGAAACAACTCTATAGAAAAAAAATCTAATAATCCTATCAAAAATGGGCAAAATATTTGAATAGACATTTCTCAAAAGAAGACATACAAATAGCAAACAAGTATATGAAAAGGTACTCAACATCACTTATCATAAGACAAATGCAAATCAAAACTGCAATGATATATCATTTCACCCCAGTTAAATGCTTTTTATCCAAAAGACAGGAAATAACAAATGCTGGCAAGAATGTGCAGAAAGGGAACCCCCATACACTGCTGGAGGAAACGTAAATTAGTACAATCACTATGAAAAACAGTTTGGTGTTTCCTCAAAAGACTAAAAAGAGCTACCATATGATCCAGCAATCTCACTGCTGGATATATACCCACAAGAAAGAAAAACAGTATATAGAAGAGATATCTGCATTCCCATGTTTGTTATAGCACTGTTCACAATAGTTGGAAGCAGCCTAAGTGTCCATAAACAGATGAATGGATAAAGAAAATGTGGTACATATACACAATGGAGTACTCTTCAGCCATAAAAAAAGAATGAGATCCACTCATTCACAACATGGATGGAACTGGAGATCATTATGTTAAGTGAAATCAGGCAACCTCAGAAAGACAAATATCATATGTTCTCACTTATTTGTGTGATCTAAAAATCAAAACAATTGAACTCTTAGACTTAGAGGGTAGAAGGATGGTTACCAGTAAGCTAGGAAGAGTATCTTTAGGGGCAGGTGGGGATGGTTAATGTGTACGAAAATAATTAGAAAGAATGAATTAAGACCTAATATTTGATAGCATAATAGAGTGACTATGGTCGATAATAACTTAATCGTATATATTAAAATAACTAAAATAGTGTAATTGAATTATTTGTAACACAAAGGATAATTGCTTGAGGGAATGGATGCCACATTTTCCATGATGTCATTATTTCACATCATGAAATAATGAGGTTTTGATACCTCATAAATACATACACCTACTATGTACTCACAAAAATTTAAAATATAAAAATTGTTCAAAACCATGAGAAAACAAAGGAGGAAAATGAAAACTTCGTTGTATTAAGGTTAACTTCTCCAAATTTTAACTCCTTTCAACAATTTTCCTGTTTAGCTTATTTTTTTAGAGTCCTTAGGTAGCTTGCTTATTGTATTTACTCCTACTCAGTGTGAAGTATAACCTTTAGCTGCCCTGATGCATCTTGGCTAGAAATAAAACAATTAACAACTTTGCATGTATGAATTCAATTCTCTCCAAAATTAGATATTACCATTTTCCCAATTTATTATAAGGGGGAATAAGGAACGGTATGGCTAAGTAAATTGCCCAATGTCCCAGAGTAAATGAAAAGGCCTAGGCTGTTTGGATCCATAATTGGTCCCAACCACTTTGCTGTACCTCTCTCATGTTGAATTACTATGATGATAAATGCTGTATGACATGACGGATCCAGATGAGCACTGCAGACTAACATAGTGTTAATGAATACAGGAAAGACTCCAAAACAATAAAAAACAGCCATTCAAAAACAAACATATTAACTTGCCTAGAGAAGGGAATAAAAGCTTGTCAAGAAATTATCAGAATAGTTCATGAAGTGGGAAAGAATCAGTGGGTTTTAAGTAGTAAACACATTCAGGGGTTGGGAGGGTGCATAGGGAGGTATGCAGAAATGAGTTTTATGTTGGTTATGCTAACTAATTACAGGTTGAAAGCCAGTACTCTGGCAAGGGCAGAATGTGAAAGGAAACTTTTCTACTTACAACAATAAACTCGATATAGTAGGTGCTCAATAAATTCATATGGCATGAATTAATCATGATATTTACTCACTTCTGACACGTAGGGTCAAAACAATCCTAAAAGCTAGTGATCTTTTACTTGAGATTAAGAAGATGGGAAAGGAAGAAGGAAAGTCTACACATGTTGTTTTTTTCAGTGTTCAGTGACATAAATCATATCATACTTTTACACAAAATTTGAGCTCCTATCCTTCTACTACCTCAGTGGCAAGCCTTTATATACCCCAGTTCATCACAGAGAATTAACCCGTGTTTCACAAGGCATTTGTTAAATCAGTCCATGATTTCCTCTAGTCCCATGAGTTGCTCAGAGAAATGCTGAATGAATTTGCAGGTGGAACAATGGCCTGGAGCTTCATTGTTTACTCTATTTATTCTTGTAGATATTCCACCCAGTTCGAGTTTAGCAGTTAAATTTTTATTTTTCATTTTTTGCTCTTATTCTCACTGTAGAGCAGTATTATTGAATAAATATTTTAAGGTAGACTGCGTGATTGTGTATATATTGAAGAGTAAGGAAACTGCTTGTGGTAAAAAGAATTAAGATGCATTATGTGTATGCAGTAGACAATAGGGAAAGAGAAAAGTTAGTTATGTCATATTATATTCTTTGCAGATAACCTCAGGCACTCTATGAACTTCTCTGGAGAGCTAAAGTGAAATTACAATAATCATGTATATATATTTTTTCTTGCCTGCCATAATAAAAAGCAGAAGATAAAATTTTAATTAAATTCATTATCTGTCTTACTTTGAAATGTTAAATTTCAAAATAAAATGAGTAATCCATCATCAGAAACTATAGACAATTTAGTCAATACTAATTTGAACCTGAAGTATCATCATAAGGAATTCAGTCAGCTCTAGGAATTAATAATTTGTGATGATGTCTGTATTAGAAATGTCCTCAGGATATAATCAAAGCTTCAATTTTAGTTTTGCTTTAGCACATGTATTTAACTCATCTTGGGTACATGTGTATGGCTGTGTGCATAAGGATTTTGAAACGTCTGACAGTGCTGAGGCCACATTTCTTTAGAGTCCTCTACTTTGGTGCATGCGAAAAAAGAATCTCCAGCCAAATTCTAATTTTCTTTATGTATTTCTGCTTCCTGAGATAGGATGCTAGAAGTCACTGTATTTGGAATTTTCAGTTTGTTTGAAGAAAAGTATCAGAAAAAAACCTGTCACCTTAGGTGTGGACAATATATTATTTTCCTTTACTTAGATTTCCAGAAGATGTCAGAGAAAGGCACTGAAAAGTCTTTATCCATCCAGCAAACTGTTATATAATGCTCGTGTTCCATTTTTTTTTTAAACCGTTGTTGTGTGATAGCAATTTTATATTTTCAAGTATATTTGGGGCTCAAGGCTTCACAATATTTTGTTAAGTAGGCAAAATCCAATGTGTCAGGTGAAGTATTTATAGAAGAAAAAGTTTCCATGAAGTTTGTCTTTTTGAGAACATCCTGTGAAAGTTTCTATCCTTTAGATGACATGTGAGAAGCAACCAAAAGTGTCACACACTGAACAGCAGAGTAAAAAGCTCACATCAAAACAAAAGGCCTCTTTAATCCCCGTGTGGCCACTGGTCAGCTGGATACATGAAAAACTCTTCAGATTTGTCTCTGAGCCTTGGTGTTCCCATCCTTAAAGGAGATGACTACCAGTTTCTTTATACCTCTTCAATTCTACCTTCTGTTGAAACATTTTACCCCCGTATTTTAAAGATTTAGCTAAGCCCTTTCAAAGAACAGATGGAGATTCCATCAAGCATGTGTTCCCATCTTCACTTTGTAATTCTTCAGGATGCTTTCCCTTTTGCTGAATGACACAGAACAAAATCTAACGAGTCAGATGGCTGACTCACTGCATTCCCAAAGTGGGTCCATGTGCTTCCCTTCAGGACATCGGGTCACTGTTGGAAACTCTTCAAATTCTGGTTCAGATCTGATACCATTTGAGTTATCACAATTAAGGGTGCCTCGTCGATGAGTTCATGTCCTTTGCTGGAACATGGACAAAGCTGGAAACCATCATTCTGAGCAAACTATCACAAGGACAGAAAACCAAACACCACATGTTCTCACTCATTCGTGGGAACTGAACAATGAGATCACCTGGACACAGGGTGGGGAAAATCACACACAGAGGCCTGTCGGCAGGTGGGGGGCTAGGGGAATCATAGCATTAGGAGAAATACCTAATGTAAATGATGAGTTGATGGGTGCAGCAAACCAACATGGCACATGTATACCTATGTATCAGACCTGCACGTTGGGCACATGTACCCAAAAAAGGGTGCCTTGTCACAGAGATAGACAGAGCACCCCCTTCCCTTCATATACATTACTCTTATCCTAATTTGAAACGAGTGAATAACAGAACTGATCTCTGATTTACAATGAACCAAAAGCTCAGTGCTTCTGTTTGTTCAGCTGAGGTCTCTGCCTTGCTGCTTTGTGTGCTGTCCTTTTAACTGTCAATATTTTGCCAGTTCCAATGATCATGGATTACTCACTGTGATTTGGAATCGTTTCTTGACTGGGATTGTGATCTCCAAAAGGCCATCCTATAATTTAAAGAAGCAATAAAAGAAACTATTATCTCTTTGTTAAGTAACCAGAATGCTGGATCTGGAGAACTGGATGTATCCAATCATTAGAAACTATTTTGAGGCTGGGAGCGGTGGCTCACGCCTGCAACCTTAGCATTTTGGGAGGCTGAGGCAGGCAGATCACTTGAAGTCAGGAGTTTGAGACCAGCCTGGCCAACATGTTGAAACCCCATCTCTACCAAAAATACAAAAAATTAGCCAGGCGTGGTGGTGTGTGCCTGTAATCCAGCTACTCAGGAGGCTGAGGCAGGAGAATTGCTTGAATCCAGGAGGCAGAGATTGCAGTGAGTCGTGATCATGCCACTGCACTACAGCCTGGGAGACAGAGTGAGACTCCATCTCAAAAAAAAAAAAAAAAAAAAAACAACAGCAACAAAAAAGGGAAACTATGTTCAAACACCAATAGTTTTGAATCTTTATTCTTGATGTTTTTGTTCTGGCTTGTCCACAGAAAGTATATTTGCATCAAGAACCAGTAAAAGAACCAGAGATGAGTATGTCACAAACACACAGGATACTATAAATAAGATCATAAATACACCTATCGTGTTTTGATTTTCACTTTTCTGTCTATGGGTTGTAGTACTTGGATATTAAATGCTACATTGATAGGTTATACTTTTTTTGGGGGGGGGAGTTAATTTTAAGAATTAAGAATAATATAAATAAAAACAGCAAATATAAGATACATGTCTTCTAGTCCTCCTCCTTTTTTTCTATCCCTCTGCCCTAATTTCTTTCTCAAGAAATAATAGAAGTTTGAAAATTTTTGTGTGTGAAAAGCAGGTGACATATAGAAAGAGAAAGGGCTCTAGAATTGGAGACTCCAGTACACATCTGTGTTTCTCCAATTAGTAAGTGGATCCTGGAAGAAATTACTTTGTAATCTTTAGTTTTTTATCTGGAAAGCTGAAGTTACTGAATACATTTGTTATAAGGATTAATTTAATGCATATAGAATGATAACATAGAGCATGGCACATAAACGTCCTCAGAAAATTGTGGCTACTGTTGACTAAAATGAATTTCACAAACAGCAGTAAAAATAGAACTCTGTGGAAATTATGGATGGATATTAGTAGCACCTCTCCTGATTTGGTATTTCCAAGGAGGAAAGGGAAGTGTGATGTTCTAGTCAATGGTATTTTATAGAATTGATTCTATCTCTGGTCTCCCTCCTTCTCCCTCTGCATGTTTCTATGTGACACACTAGTTTGAACTGCAGCGTGTCCTAAAACCCACATTGCTTTTAGTGAATTGTTAAATTCTGGATGATCCCACTTTGATGACATTAAGACAGTAGTTATTGTGAGCTGTGCTCTAACTGTCCTTGCTAACCTCCAACACATTCCTAAGTTTGGCATGCCATGAACTGGCTCTGTTTAGCCCCAGAGGTACTTTGGTCTGTCCTTGCCAGGGGCTGAGTGGGGTGCCAAGAGTTGGGCAGCAGAGCTGAGGCTGGGGAGAGCAAAGATGAAAGGGAGTGAGAGCTGGGGACAGAATCTAGGCTGGGTCGGGGCTGCTCTATGGCAAGGGTCCATCACAAAGAGGTCAACTTCTTACAGAGGATGAGAGGGAATGTGAGTGGCCAGCACTAGGGAGAGAGAACTGAGATTATGAGACCCTGGCAGCCTGGGAAGTGCTGATGGTAGGACATGAACCAATTGCTGGAGAGACTGAAGCCTAGGCTAGAATCCAGGACAGCTCCAGTCAATAGTCTAGAAAGTCTGGTTAAGTAAATGTGGGCCTGTAGCCCACATTGGCTTTTTATCTGGCAGAATTCCCTATTCATCTCTTTTGATTTATGAGCCTAGAATCCAAGCGGTCTTCTATGCCTTAATGTGATGCTTGTCAAGATTAAGTGTGCATAAGAATCACCTTTGCTAAAATGTACTTTCTTTTTTTTTTTTTTGGGACAGAGTCTTGCTCTGTCACCAGGCTGGAGTGCAGTGGCACGATCTCGACTCATTGCAACCTGCTTCCCAGGTTCAAGCGATTCTCCTGTCTCAGCCTCGCAAGTAGCTGGGATTACAGGCATGCGCCACCACACCCAGCTAATTTTTGTATTTTTAGTAGAAACAGGGTTTCACCATGTTGGCCAGGATGGTCTCAATCTCTTGACCTCATGATCCACCCGCCTCAACCTCCCAAAGTGCTGGGATTACAGGCATGAGCCACCACACCTGGCCTAAAATGTACATTCTAATGTGGTAAGTCTAGAGTGTGGCTCAAGGTTCTGCATTTCTAATAAGCTTCTGGGTAATACAGATGCTGCTTGTCCAGGGACCATATTTTAAGTGTCAATACGCTTACAAACTGTTACTGTTTGGTCTTGCTAGATCCATGGGTCTTCTCTGTCTGTTTGCTGTCAGTGTTGCTTCCTCGCGGTAAAGAGGAGAACATCACTAACTAGTTGCAGTGTTAGTCTGCAGCTGGAATGGTTGCCTTCAGGATATTTTGTCATACTGGAGCCCTGACAACTCTCATCTTTATTTTTATTGTGACAAAGCAGGTCCTCACTGAATTTAATATTGCTAGCAAAACCATACTGACATCCTGGAGAATTCAATTGTCTCCTGATGCGATTGGTTTTCCTGGGCAGAAACATTTCCCCATCCATGCATGTACATCCATTGCCCTGACGGGAATTATCTTCTGCCTGGTCAGGGGTCTCCGTGAGAAGCCAGCATGCCTTTAACCTTTAAATACATGCTTATTTTTTCAGGTAAAATACAGAATTTGCCAATTTATGCCATTTTCCACAAAGAGAACCTTTCTCCTGAAACTTTATTTATTTATTTATTTATGTTACTTTTGGATGATGTTAAATTAGGATACATTCCTGTTATTGGGCACAGGGACCTGGTTGCAAAATTCTGAATATAGTTGTCCTACAATGATGGTAGCCTTCAAAGTAGTTTTCCTTGTTCCCAGTGAGAGGAAAGGAACAGAAAAGACAAAGGCAAATCCCCATCTGGATCGTGTTTCTGGTTTTACCTTTTCTTGACATTATTTAGCATTTGTCTGATCCTTACTTAACCAGATTTTCTAGGTGTGATCCTATCCATTCACACTCTTATCTTGCAAATTCCAGGTGTGTAGAAGGTTTTTAAGTGATTTGACATTGTGAAATATATCTAGTTTACTAGAATGAAGTCCTGGCTTCAGAAATGTTGTGACATTGTTGTGACGTGAACAAGTTTAATGCTTCACTATTGAAAGTTTACATCATCAGCGTAACTGAGACTTGCTCGGTGTTTTTTTTTTTTTTTTTTTTTTTTGGAGATGGATAGGAAATAATAATTGATTCGGCACTTTATATCTAAGCACTGTTTGGAAACCAAAACAAGGGCCATAGGTGTGTAGCATCATCAAGCATCCAGCACTCCATGCCTGGACATCAGCCCGCACAGGCCAGGAAACCTATTTAACCAGAGGTCCATTCAGCACCCAAGAATATAGCTAATCATGTGATGCCTCACATCCCTGTCATCCTGAGATACCACCTACACTGCAGGCACTTTCTGTCATTTATCTTTCCCTATTGTATTATCCTGTTTTGCTATGGACTTAGTTGGCCATGACTATCTTCTCCCAATCATCTCACTTTTAAAATATAACATAATGTTCATGAAGTCTTCTGTTTCTATGAAAAACAGTCTTTTTCACCTTCCACTTCTTTGGGGAATGTTTTCTTTGTTTCTTTGTCTTAATAGAAACCTGGCTTTATTCTCATAAGGGCTACCTCCTTGCTGCCTCCTCTCATGTAGGCAGGCCACACATCAGAGAGCCCAGAGGCAGGGTTACCATTTTCCTCGTGCCACAAGATGCCCTTTAAGTTGTAATAATCTCATTTACGATTACAAATGCCTAGCTATACATATCTTCACTCCTATTTATTATGCTTATTGTTCAAACTCCTGGTCCTCCAGACTTTTCTACTAGGCACGCAGTCTTTCCCTAGTCCTCAGGCCGTGACTGTGATCCTTCAGGGTGATTTCAATTTTCATGCAAGTTACTCATCTAACACCATTGATGCATAGTTTCTTTGTCTTGCTGGCTCTAGAGACTAACACCACCACTCCATTTCAGCCACTTATTTACTTTGTGCCTGTACCCTGAACTTCTCACTTCTCATCACTTAGACCTGAATACTTCTCTCATCTCCCAATAGATTAAATATATTACATCTTTCTTCTTTAATGGTTTCCCAATCCAGCCTAGAGACCCTTTGGTCACATTGTGAATGCTACATTCTGTGCTTCACTCTTTTCTCACTGCAGTAGCAGGCAAAATCCCAACACTGTGTCCACTATACTGTCCTTCTTCTCCAGGCTGCCGAGCACTGCTGGAGAAAGTCTCACAGCCAGTCAGACTGAGGCCCCCACAAATCTGTGGTCTCCACGCCCTGCCAGATCCATACAACTTCCTTGACACATGCTTGCTTGTTTCCTTACCCAGTGCTCATAGAAACCAGCTCAAAACTCTGCTCCTACCGCACTGCTTCAGAATTTCCTCTCAACACATGACTCTGCCTCTTTTTAGTTCAATTCATAATGACTATTTAAAACATAACAGATATAAAGAAAAACTTTTTTTCCTATTACCCGTTTTAAGAAATAAAACTTTCCTGATAGAGTTGAAGAATACTTGTTCCCTTCCCTGATCACATTTATCATGCCCCTCCTTAATTTCTCTGTAATGTACCTCTTGTGTATGTAGCCTTAAGCAATATATTAGGTTATTTTTAGTGGCAAAATTAGCAATTACTTTTGCACCAAGCTATAGAACCAAAGAGTATTGTTTTACAGTGTTTAATAATGTCTGTAAGTGCCATCGTCTCTCTCTCTGTCTGCCTTCCTGCCACTCACTCCTCTTTTCTCAGTACTTTGTGAAGTTTATCTATGTTGCTTCATAAAATGAAGAGCTCCTCATTTTCTCTACTGTAAAGAATGAATAAATCACAATATTATCTACCTTCTTGTTGATGGACACTTAGCCTGTTTTCAATATTTTATTAGAACTTGATTTGCTATGAACATTCTCCTAATTATCTTTTGATATGCATTTGTAAGAGTTTATCTACATTATATGCTTAGAAGTGAAATTACTTTTTAACTTTACTGGATATCACCAAATTATTTTTCATTGTGTTTGGAGTAGCTGCAGTTTATAAAAGTTTATGTTACTCTAAATCTTCATCAATATTTGAGGTTTTGAAACTAAAATATTTACTTATTGATGGTTATATTTTATATATAATTTGGTTTTAGTTTACATTTCCCTGATACTAGTGAAGTTGATAATCATTTAATATGTTTCTGGGTAATTTGTGTTTAATATATTTGAATTACTTGTTTTTATATATTGATAGTTTTTTTCCCATTGTTTTTACTTTATATTGATTTGCTCACATGATTAATATATTCTGGAAAATAAATCTTCATCAGCTATGTTTATGACACATTTTTTTTATCCTGCTTGTTTTAGATTTAATTTGCCCTTTTTCTAGTTATGAAGTAAAAGCTTAGATAATTGATTTGAGACCTTCTTTTCTGACATAAACATTTAATACAACAAATTTTCCTCCAAGCATATTTTGATATATAGTTTAGTGATTTTATTTTGGTTCAAATAAATATAAATGTTCTTTGTGACTTTCTTTTTGCTTTATCAATTACTTGAAAGTATATTGTTTAATTTTCAAATATTTTGAAATATTCTAGATATGTTTGTTAGTTATTTCTAGTTCAATCTCCTTGTGGTCAGAAAATGCACTTGTTATGATTTCATTTATTTTAAATTTGTTAAGGTTTCTTTTATGAGTCAGCATAGAAGCTGTCTTAGTGAATATTCCATAAGCACTTTGAAAAAATATGTACTCTATTGTTAGGCAGAGCATTTTATAAGTGTCAGTTAGGTCAAGTTGTTGGTAGTGTTGTCTAAGTATTTTATATCCTCACTGATTTTCTGTTTACTCTGACAATTAGAGGAATGTTTGTGTCCTCAAGTATTGTGGATTTGTCTATTTCACTTCTGTCAGTTTTTGCTTCATCTGTTATGAAATTTTTAGGTACATTCACATTTAAGATCGTAATGTCTTCTTGATGAATTAACCATTTTATAATTATATAATGTGCATGTTAGTATTCCTTAATGTGAAATCTATTTTGTCTGACATTGATGTGGCCACACCAGTTTTCTTGACGTTTTGTTCTTGTATTTGTTGTTTTTCAGTATTTTTGCAAATTCAGTCATTATCTGTTCAAATAATTATTCTTTTCTATTTTTTCTTCTAAGATTCAAATAACATATGTACTAGACTGCTTGAATTGTCACAGTCTACTGTGGATCTCTTTTATGCTTTTTTGCTTATCGTGCTTTTTCACTCTTTGTGTTTAAGTCTGGATAATTTTTTTTTCTTTTTTTATTATAATTTAAGTTCTGGGATATATGTGCAGAACGTGTAGGTTTGTTACATAGGTATACATGTGCCATGGTGGTTTGCTGCACCCATCAAGCAGTCATCCAGGTTTTAAGCCCCATATGCATTAGCTATTTGTCCTAATGCTCTCCCTCCCCTTGGCCTCCACACCCTGACAGGCCCTGGTGTGTGATGTTCCCCTCTCTGTGTCTGTTTGTTCTCATTGTTCAACTCCCACTTATGAGTGAGAACATGTGGTGTTTGGTTTTTCGTGGCTGTGTGTTTGCTGAGAATGATGGTTTCCAGCTTCGTCCATATCCCTGCAAAGGAAATAAACTCATTCTTTTTTTTCTTTTTGTGGCTGCATACTCTTCCATGGTGTTTATGTGCCACATTTTCTTTATCCAGTTTATCATTGATGGGCATTTGGGTTGGATCCAAGTCTTTGCTATTGTGAATAGTGCTGCAGTAAACATACATGTGCATGTGTCTTTATAGTAGAATAATTTATAATCCTTTGGGTATATACCCAGTAATGGAATTGCTGGGTCAAATGGTATTTCTGGTTCTAGATCCTTGAGGAATCGCCACACTGTCTTCTACAGTGGTTGAACTAATTTACACTCCCACCAACAGTGTGGTGGGAGTGTAAATTTTTCTTCATCCTCTCCAGCATCTGTTGTTTCCTGACTTTTTAATGATCAACATTCTAGCTGGTGTGAGATGATATCTCATTGTGGTTTTGATTTGAATTTCTCTAATGACCAGTAAAGATGAGGTTTTTTTCATGTTGGTTGGCCACATAAATGTCTTATTTTGAGAAGTCTCTGTTCATATCCTACGCCCACACTTTTTGATGGGGTTGTTTGTTGGCAACCTACAGAATGGGAGAAAATTTTTGCAATCTATCCATTTGACAAAGGTCTACTGTCAAAAATCTACAAGGAACTTAAATGTATAAGTCTGGATAATTTCTATTAGACTATCTTCAAGTTCACTGATTATTTCCTTGCCTGTGTCAAACCTACTGGTTAGCCTGTCAAAGGCATTCTGCATCTCTGTTATTATGTTTTATTTACATTTCTAGTATTTTGGTTTTATTCTTTCTTATAGCTTCTATCTCTGCTAAAATTCCCCATCTGGTCATGCAACTTCTCCACTTTTTCCACTAGAGTTTTTAGCATATTCCCTTTCTGTTAGTTCTAATACCTGGGTAATATCTGAGTCTGGGTCTCTTGGTATATATGTACATATTATTTTTTTGCTTTTGCTTTTGACACTTTTTCATCCTTCTCCTCTTCTGCCCCACTTTTCCTTCTCTTCCTCTTCTTTCTCCCTCTCCTTTATCTTCTTCTCTTCTTCCTCCCCTCTTTATTCTACTTTAATATTAAATTGTGCTTAGAGTGCGGTTTAGATGCCTGGAGACTGCTCTCCACTCTCCACTCTCTACTTTAAGCTTTCTTGGAAGTTTCTACCTGAGAGAGGTTCATTATTTGTGCTTGCATGCCCCCTCTGGTGGGAGGTAGCCTTCTGTCACCTGTTTCTTGGTGTCTCAGCCTGGTGGCGGGGGCAGAGGCATTCTCTATCGTCATCTTTCATGCTTGGTTGTAGACAGGCCCGATGTTCTTGGGTCTTGGGGTGGGACTTTCTCAGTGATCCGATCACTCTATAGTAATAAAGGATCAGAGGATCTCTAGTGGTGTCATCCCAGGAAGATTTACTGCTCCTCCCTTTCTAATTTCAATGAGTCTTCACCTAAGGTCAGCAGGGTCTGTCATTTTTGTTCTGTAGGAAAGAGGATCCAAGTGGGTCTTTGTACTTTTCCTGCAATTACTGCTGTTCCCCTTCAGCAGGCATGTACCTCAAAGGGACACTTTCTCCAGGCACCCACTCTGCTTCCAATCATTCTCATGGGCATTTGGGTGAGGTCCATAAAGAAGACCCTTTAGTCAGTGCAGAATACTCTTGAGTAAAGGCTCTCAGGAGTGTTATATTCTCATGCTAGCCCACAGATGACATTATATATTTTGGCTGAATTCTTATTACCAGGTTTTTTGAGGTCTGATATGGTTTGGTTGTATCCCTACCCAAATCTTACCTTGAATTGTAATAATCCCTATGTGTCAAGGGCAGAGCCAGGTGGAGATAATTGAATCATGGGGTCAGTTTCCCCCATACTGTTCCCATGGTAGTGAATAAGTCTCACGAGATCTGATGGTTTTATAAATGGGAGTTCCCCTGCACAAGCTCTCCCTTGCCTGCTGCCATGTAAGATGTGCCTTTGTTTCTTCTTTGCCTTCCACCATGATTGTGAAGCCTCCCCAGCTGTATGGAACTTTGAGTCCATTAAACCTCTTTTCTTTATAAATTACCCAGTCTCAGGTATGTCTTTATTATCAGTGTGAGAACAGACTAATACAGTGCCTGACATATCTTCCTACCATGCTCTGCTCCATGGAGACATGTAAATTTCCTTAGGTATCCAACTAGTTGGTTGCCCTGAGACCTCATCTGTTTTACTAGTTAAGGAAAACTTATGATTTCATGCATCATTTAAGTTTTCCTTGAAGTTAGGGTGGGAGTCATTCTTTTATATCTTTGTACATCCTAAATGGAAACTGGTACCTTCTATGTGACAAATATATTTTCCTAGTCCGTGGTTTGTTTCCTCACTTTTTATGACATCTTTTGCCCACAGAACATTTAATTTTAAAGTAGTCAGATTTATTCATCTTTTTATTTTTTTCTTCTCTCTCTTTTTTTTTTTTTTTTTTTGAGATGGAGTCTTGCTCTGTTGCCCAGGCTGGAGTGCAGTGGCATGATCTTGGCTCACTGCAACCTCCGCCTCCCGGGTTCAAGCAATTCTCCTGCCTCAGCCACCCATATAGCTGGGATTACAGGCACATGCCACCACGTCCAGCTAATTTCTGTATTTTTTGGTGGAGATGGCATTTCACCATGTTGGCCAGGCTGGTCTCGAACTCCTGACCTCATGATCCACCCACCTCAGCCTCCCAAAGTGCTGGGATTACAGGTAGGCGTGAGCCACCGTGCCTGGCCCATGTTTTTCTTATGGTCTATGCTTTTGAAGTTGGGTTGAAAAATCTTTTTCTACATTGAGTTCATAAATATGCTTTTTTATTTAAGAAAAAAAATAAAGCCATTGGTAAGAGCATCATCAATTTCAGATCATGCATCATTTTCTACTCACCTTCCTTTCTTTAATTATAGTGGATTGTACCACCTGGATTTTGCCTTGCTTGTATCTCCTTAATGTTCAATTCTATTTCTCTCTCTCTCTCTTTTCTGGCCATGTTACTTCAGCATTTAAATGTGCTTATGTATCCCAATTATTAAAAAAAAAAAAAAAGCTATTTCTTAACTCAGTGGCCTTATCTGCTTGAGAAATATCAGCTAAGTAGAGTGATGACACTGTTCCCTCTGTTCTTCCTACCTGCTGCTCCTCCCATCACTGACCATGCCTTTTCCAACTAACTTCTTTTCTTGTCCCCTTAAATATTTTTGCACCTTAAGATTAATTCCTCAGCCCTCTCTTCTTCTCACTATATGCATTTTTTTAGTGACTTCATGAATTATTTGGTTTTAACCATTAGCCAAATACACTTAACCAAAGATACTTCTCTAGACTTAATATTTCTCCAGAAAATTTAGACCCATGTGTGTTTCTAAGGCACCTCAGAACAACATGAGTAAAACTAAATTAACTATCCTTGACTAAAATTCCTTTTATTCTCTCCTGATAGGTTAGTGGCTTGTAATTTACTAGGTAGCATGATCTTTCTCTTTTGCATGAATTCACCTCTGATATCACATCTAATTCTATCACCAACATCAGGTAATTCTATTTAATAACTTAGAATCTAGATTCTGTTCTCTAATCATATACTTCTATCTTGGCTTAACCCTCATTATTATTTTATTTTCCTTGAATATTAACCTCTAAATAGGTTGCTTTTCTTATCAAGCTACCACCTTTCAGTACAGTCTTTACTTTTTGACACTGTAGTGGATTTTCTAAAATTCACGTATGATCATGTCACTCTCTTGCTTAAGTATATCTAATGTGGCTTCTTTCTGCTCTCATAATTAAGCTTATTCTCTCTAGCCTGGCCTTCAAGCTTTTTCTCTGATCTCCGCTTGTCTTGCTAGTTTTTCTCTGGAAGCAATTCTCATCTCAGATAAGGAATAACCACCACCATACACACAAAAATCTAATGGACAACATGAGGACAGTGCTTAATAATAGTATTTTATTCAGCATTTTTGCTAAATGAGTAGATTATAGCTGCTCTTGCCACAGGGGCCAAAATAGGTAAATGAATAAGATGATGAATATGTTAATTTGTTCCACCATAGTAACTATTTTGCCATATATGTGTATCTTATAACGTCATGTGCATATCTTAAATATACACAATAAAATGTATTTATTTTAAAAAAGAAGGAGACTCAAAGTTTTCAAATTGAGTTCTAAGAATGTATTTTTAAAGCTCCATGAGAGAAAAAGTGAAGGCAAGGAGTGAATGACGGGCAGGGGGTTAATAGGGCTTGTATTTCCCAGCCCACACCAAACAGAGCAGCTCTGCTTTTATCTGTTTTACATATAAGCCATTATATTTCATATGAAAAAATTTCATTGACAGGATAAAAAACATTAGGAAAACCAACATCTTGGATTTAGCCAAACTGAACTATTTGCAATTCTCTGACTTGTCATATTCTTATTTTCCCACATCTTTCATTCCTGCTGCTCCGTTGGCCTAGAATTGCCAGGACTCTCCCCTTCACGTAGTTCACTTCCTGGAGCCTCTTCCATGCAGTCATCCTGGATTTATTTGAGCCCTTATTTGGTGCTCTTTCCTTCTGCCCTATACTCTGATAATATCCCTTTCATGGCAGTTATCACATTCCACTGTAACTATTCATTTGATTTCCTCCTACTAAGACTGAATTCTTTTAAAGGCCAATCCTAAGTTAGTTATTTCTGTGTGCTCAGTGCCTTGCACATGGTGACTTCTTAATAAATGTTTGTTTATACAATAAATGGATGAATAGATTTATCTAGTGCTTATTGGAATCAATCTTGTTGCTATGGGGAAATAAGAGAATCAAATTTACGTTCTGACAGAGTTATTTTATTAAAAAGCAGAGGAAAAAATGTATATCTATAAAGTAGAAAATAAACAGTAATAAATTATGTGAGATAAGTTACTAGGGGAACTTAGGAGAGCATGGTATTGCTTTCAGCTGAAGAAAGAGAAGTCATCATGGATGAGGTGGCACTTAAACCTGGCCCATAGAATTTGAAGGTATGTCAATTAGGAATGTATCTGAGGATGATAGAATGGAATGTAGAAAGCCATTGGGTGTAATGTGACCCGTTTCTTCTGCATATTTGATATCATAGGTTGTCATCAACTCAACTCCATAACTGGCTCAGAGAGAGTTTTAAATTTTGGCTAGAAGCTGATAGGGAATACCAACATTAGAGAGTTTCTTTCTTACTTGTATGCTGCTTCATAGGAGGAAAAATTGATTAAACTCTTGACTTTGTGCATTCTTTTGTTCATGTCTCAGAATTTCTGTTCTGTCAAGAATCAGCCCAAATAAATACACACACATATAGATAGGTACATAAATTAATAAAATGTGAAAGAATCCATGAAGGAGGGAATATATTCCCATAGTAGTGTTTACTAAGTGTTTGTGTCAGTTTGGGTCTTTCAGAAACAGATGCCAAGATGAAATGAGACATGCAAAAGATTTATTGGGAGGACACTTGAGAAGGATAAAGGTGAGAGAGCAGGGTGGGAGAATCTTCAGACTGTAATACACCTGTATGACACTTCCACACAGAGACGGAAGGGGGAGAATTACACAGGAAGAGCCTCAGACTATAGTACAGCTTTAAGAAAGTCTTGGCCAAGCTGATGGGGAGCCCCAGAACAAAGATTGCTTGTTAGCAAAATCCCGCAACAGGCAGAAATGGCCTGACTATAATACTTCTGCCATGTGTAGGCACTTGGAGCGATCTAGGAGGCACATGGCTTCCCTGAGGACCTTGGAGTATTCTGCAGACATGGAGGCTCGAGGCTCAGACACCTGTATTTCTCACAGCAGGTCTCTTGATGAGACATCTGAGTGGTGCACCCCATGGTCCCACAGTGTGCATTCCCTAAAGGTTTAACTCATCTATAGATTTTATGTCTGTGATTTATTCACAAGAAATTTATAAATAATTGTTTTAGGCTACCAAACATCTTTACATGTAGAAGGCATTTAATGTCTTGCTGGGGTTCTTTGTTTATTTCTTGTAAATTTGTCTAAGTTCCTTGTAAATTCTGAAAATTAGGCCTTTGTCCGACGGGTAGATTGCAAAAATTTTCTCCCATTCTGTAGGTTGCCTATTCTCTCTGATTATAGTTTTTTGTTGTTTTGCTGTGCAGAAGCTCTTTAATTAGATTTTATTTGTCAATTTTGCTTTTGTTGCAGTTGTTTTGGCAATTTCATCATAAAATCTTTGCCCATGCCTATGTCCTGAATGGTATTTCCTAGGTTTTCTTCTAGGGTTCTTATGGTTTCAGGTTTTACATTTAACTCTTTAAACCATCTTGAGTTAATTTTTGTACAAGGTGTAAGGAAGGGGTCCAGTTTCAGTTTTCTGCATATGGCTAGCCAGTTTTTCCAGCACCATTTATTAGATAGGGAATCTTTTCCCCATTGCTTGTTTCTGTCAGGGTAGTCAAAGATCAGATGTTTGTAGATGTGTGGTCTTATTTCTGAGGTCTCTATTATATTCCATTGTTATATTTGTTGGTTTTGGTAACAGTACCATGCTGTTTTGGTTACTATAGCCTTGTAGTATAGTTAGAAGTCAGGTAACATGATGCCTCCAGCTATGTTCTTTTGCTTAGGATTATATTTGTTATACAGGCTCTTTTTTGGTTCCATATGAATTTTAAAGTAGTTTTTTTCTAATTCTGTGAAGAATGTCAATGGTAGTTTGATGGGAATAGCATTGAATCTACAAATTACTTTGCACAATATGGACATTTTCACAATATTGATTCTTCCTATCCATGAGCGTGGAATGTTTTTCCATTTATTTGTGTCCCCTTGTATTACCTTGAGCAGTGGTTTATAGTTCTCCTTAAAGAGATCCTTCTTTTTTCAATTGTTTAAAATAGCTTGAGAAGGAATGGTACCAGCTCCTCTTTGTACCTCTGGTAGAATTCAGCTGTGAATCTGTCTGATCCTGGGCTTTTTTTGGTTGCTAGGCTATTTATTACTGCCTCAATTTCAGAACTTGTTATTGATATATTCAGGGATTTGACTTCTTCCTAGTTTAATCTTGGGAGGGTGCATATGTCCAGAAATTTAACCATTTCTTCCAGATTTTCCAGTTTATTTGCATAGAGGTGTTTATAGTATTTTCTGATGGTAGTTCGTATTTCTGTGGGATCAGTGGTGATATCCCCTTTATCATTAAACTAAGCTTGTGAAGCTTAGTTTGGCCAGACATGAAATTCTGGGTTGAAAATTCTTTTCTTTAAGAATGTTGAATATTGGCCCCCAGTCTCTTCTGGCTTGTAGGGTTTCTTCTAAGAGATCTGCTGTTAGTCTGGTGGGCTTCCTTTTGTAGGTGACCTGGCCTTTCTTTTTGGCTGCCCTTAATATTTTTTCCTTCATGTCGACCTTGGAGAATATGGTGATTATGTGTCTTGGGGCTGATCTTCTAATGGAGTATCTTAGTGCGGTTCTTTGTATTTCTTGAATTTGAATGTTGGCCTGTCTTTCTAGGTTGGGGAAGTTTTCCAACTTGGTTCCACTCTCCTTGTCTCTTTCAAGTACTCCAAACAGTTGCAGGTTCAGTCTCTTTACTTAGTCTCATATTTCTTGAAGATTTTGTTCCATATTTCTTGAAGGTTGTGTTGGTTCCTTTTCATTCTTTTTTTCTCTAGTCTTGTCTGCCTACCTTATTTCAGCAAGATAGTCTTCAATCTCTGAAATTATTTCTTCTGCTTGATTTACTTGGCTATGGATACTTGTGTATGCTTCACAAAGTTCTTGTGCTGTGTTTTTCAGCTCCAGGTCATTTATGTTCCTCTTTAAACTGTTTATTCTAGTTAGCAGCTCCTGTAACATTTGATCATGGTTCTTAGCTTCTTTGCCTTGGGTTAGAACATTCTTCTTTACCTCAGCAAAATTTGTTGTTACCCACCTTCTGAAGCCTACTTCTGTCAATTTATCCATCTCATCCTCCATCCAGTTCTGTGCCCTTGTTGGAGAGGTGTTGCTATCATTTGGAGGAGAAGAGGCACTCTGGCCTTTGGGGTTTTCATCTTTTTTTTTTTTTATTGATTCTTTCTCATCTTCATGAGTTTGTCTAGTTTCAATCTTTGAGGCTGCTGACACTTGGATGAGGTTTCTGTGGGGACATTTTTGTTGATGCTCTTGTTGTTGCTTTATTTGTTTGTTTTTCACTAGTCAGGTCTCTCTTCTGTAGGGCTGCTGTGGTTTGCTGGAGGTTCACTTCAGGCCCTATTCATCTGGTTTGCTCCCACAACTGGAGATGTCACTTGAGGAGGCTGGAGAACAGAAAAGATGGGTGCCTGCTCCTTCCTCTGGTATCTCAGACCTCAAGAGGCACCGATCTGATGCTAGTAGGAATGCTCCTGTATAGGGTGTCTGATGACCCTTGTGGGGGGTCACCCAGTTGGGTGGCATGGGAAGCAGGACCCATTTAACAAAGCACTTTCGCTGTCCCGTGGTGGAGGGGGTGTGCTGCACTGGAGGGAAACCTGCTCTTCTGGGCTGCCTGGATTCTACAGAGCTAGCAGGAGGAAAGACTAAGTCTGCTGGTTCACAGAGACTATTGCCACGCCTTTCTCTAGGGGCTCAGGCCCAGGGAGATCAGAGTTCTGTCCCTGAGCACCTGGCTGGAGTTGTTGGAGTTCCTGTAGGGAGGCCTCGCCCAGTGAGGAGGGATGGGTCAGTGTCTGGCTTGAAGAGGCAATCTGGCCGTAGTCTGCCACAGCCTGTGTGCTGGGCTGTGGAGAATACCTCTCGGGACCCAGTCGTCCAGCCTCCCTGGCTTCAGCAGGGGTAAAGTGTGGCCTGGAGCTTCAGTGATAGCTGCCGCCCTTCCCCACTGGGAGCTTAGTGTATTAAGTAGCTAGCAGCTGCAATGTTGGCTCCTGCCCCTCCTCCAAGGAGCTCATAAGGTTTAGACAGCAAACAACAGCAGCAGTGGTGATGCCGCCCCTCCCCCCAGAAACCTGGCTGACTTAGGCAGATTCCAGCCAAGTGGCTGTTGAGAATCTGCATGGCTCTGTGGTTGGGACCCTAGGCCCCAGTGGCATGGGTTCATGAGTGGGAACTTCCGATCTATGGGTTGCACAGTTCCTTGGAAAAAGCAAGTTTCCCCAGGCTGAATAGCACACTTACTTCCTGCCTCCCTTGTCTGGGTATGGGGGCTCCCCTCCCCGTATGGCTCTCAGGTGGGCAGCCACACCACACTGCTCTTCCTTTTACTCTCTGGGTCATGCCAGCCACCTATCAGTCCTGATGACAGAACTGGATACCTCAGTTGCTGGTGCAGGATTTGTATGCTCTTTTGCTTCTTTTAGATGAAAGCCTCTGATCACCACTGCTTCTAGTTGGCCATCTTGGCCCCACCCCCCCTCCCCCAAATAAATTCCTGTACTTTTTTTTTTATCTTAAAGGGATAACTATGTAGGGATTTTTTAAACATTTCATTAAAAATGATTTTAACTAGAAAAAAATTAAATTTGTGGTAGGAATGGCAAGTTTCATTCTTATTGAAAGGACTTTTTTTTCCCTTCATATTTTGGTCATGATAAGCACTCACTAAGTGAGAGCACAAAACAAAACAAAACTAAATGAATAAAAGTTTTTAACTTCCTATCCACTACTGTTGAAAACACTTGTGTTTAAGTATCTTTATGCTAACTCCCCTTTTCCCTGCTTCTTTTCCTAAGATAGTGCCACTTGTGTGAGGAAAAGGGTCTCACATGACCATGTGGCATGGGACAAATGGAACTCATTTGTCTCATGTGTTACTGGGTGGATATTTGCTTTTGTCCATTGAGACACAGCAATCCTGGCCCAGTCACTGCTCCCCCATCTGGCTGGAGTAACCTGTAGCCTAAGCTTGTCCAACCTGCGGCCCCAGGATTGCTTTGAATGTGGCCCAACACAAATTTGTAAACTTTCTTAAAACATTATGCCTTTTTTTGGTGATTTTTTTTTTCTAGTTTATCAGCTATCTGGTAGTGCATTTTAGGTGTGGCCCAAGACAATTCTTTTTCTTCCAATGTGGCCCAGAGAAGCCAAAAGATTGGACACCCTTGCTGCATAGATTGTCCTCTCTCATGCTTTCTGACTAACTAGGCCTCATCTTGTCTCTAGATGGCAGAGAAAACCTACTGAGTTTTGGCCATATCCTCTATCTGCTTCTTGGCCTAGAAAGCCAACACTATAACCTCTGCTGCAGGGTCACCGTATCCCTTTTATCAGAGACATGTGCTAGGTCTCAGCTCAGCTTCCTTTTTATCCACACTTTGAGAGCCAGTAGTCTTTTCTCAGGCTTATCCATGAGTGAGAGGAGCAGAGGGAAATGCTGGGTTTAAACTGAGGCCCTGTCCCTCTGCCCATCTACTTGATGGGCTCTCTTCCACCCCCGGTAGAAAGTTCAATGTTTCCACAGGGACAACCTGAAAGATGGTTCCTCCTATATTTGCAATGGAGACAGGACATCCACTTGCCATCCACCAGTGAGTTCTCCTCCCTTCTGGGATTTAAAGTCCTAGAGAGGAGCACCACTCCCTGAACCCTGACTTGGTCTCCCTCACCTGTCTTTGTCTACCTCTGATTCCAACTTCATGGATTTCAGGAGTGTCTTCAGCTCATTATGTAAAAATTTTGGAATTTGACCATCCAGGTACATCACCATAGTTCACTAAATGAGAGGTAAAGGATTTAGCACATCTTGTTTCCTCAAACTTGTTTTGCCATTTTTTACACTGGACTAAAAAATATCACGTCTCGGTCTCTATAGATGATTGTGAGGTAAAGACTATTGTAAATAAGTTGCATTATTTAATATTTGCAAAGTGATTGCCCTCATTACAATTTTTTACATGTAATCACTAAGAAATCTGACACCTCTTTTTGCTCCTTTCATCTTCTGTACTTTTTATTTTAATCCCTTTATCTTATTTCTTTTAATCTCCATTTCCTTTTTTAAAAAAAATCTCAAATTTGATGAGAACTCTGGTATATGACACTGTCCCTGAAATATGCTATTAAACAGGAACCATAACAACTAAGGGCATTCTCCTTAACACCAATCTCCTGTACCTGCAATTTGCTGGCAGAACACTATCTTGACACGAAGATGCTATTTGATTTACCTATCACTGGTGAGTGAACAGTGCTGTACTAATGTTGAACACATCACATTTGCCCCTTCATTATGTAATGTCTCCAATTTTTCGATGTGTGTTGTTAGTCTTGTCTTCCTAATTAATAATAACCTTCTTGTATGATTTTATGTGTCTGTCAGATTGCCCTTTATAATGTGAGTGTACAAAATATTAACAAATATCTGTTATTGTAGTGGTCAGTGAGAAATATTGTTCAATTAAATATAACTGAACTATAACTACCAATCATCTTTTGTCCCTGGGGGAGGGTGAGAGAACCAAGAGTATTTTCTGAGTATGATGACCATTCAGCTTGTACCTCTTCTGAGTAAGATAAAAGATGTGAGAACTGGCCTGAGTAGAAATATGCTTAAAAGCTATCTCTTTTAAGTATGCTTGTGGTATACAACAACCACAATCTATTATTGTGAAAAAATTTTGCAAGTAGGCACAGAAAATAAACTGCTGTATGTTATCATAACCATAGGTAAATGCTCTACTTAACAGCTAAAAATGCAGTTACTTTCTTGAGCTTTGTGACTAATTCCTTCTGAAGTGTGTACTTGGATAACAAGTACCAAATCTTCAGTTTGTCCTCAGTGAAAATAAACAGAATATCAAGAGGTTATCTCATAATTCTTGTTTTGTATATTTAACTTCATTCTCTCTAAAATTGAATTTATTTTCACTTAGCGAATTAGTTTTGCATGGATAGTATGCTTAAAATGGGACCACATTAATGAGACTTTGTAGACATCTTACGTCAGTCTTCTCCTCCCATCCTCAAATTATACAAGTGCACATATACCGATAAACAGAATTAGATATTTATTTCATTAATTATTCACCGATAGTGTGCTGAGGTGTTATTTTGCTAGGATTCATCATACTGCCTCCTTTTCACATTTGAAGATGACTGATCAGGATTGTGGGTTGAGTCTTTGGTCAAGAAATATAGAGAAATTAACAAATTATATAGTCCTCATGTCCAAGTCACACATGCCTTGCAGTCTGCTACAGATATTATCTCACTATTAGCATTTGTCATAGGTCTTTGGGAGAACGTGGTGCTATGAATGTGTGTGTTCTTATCAGAAAAGACTTCTAAATTTAATGGTAAAAAAAATTAGGAAGCATGATCGCTGTTCAAGCTTTATTATTAATTCAAAACATAATGTTCAAATTGATGGATTTGGTCTAATTGATGGTGCAATAGCCTTCTACCCCCAGAAATATTCTTGATTGTATCCTTAGAAGCCAATATGTATTTATCTATAATTTTATTATACTATTTTCTAAAAATTCAAGAAGCGTTTTGAATTTAATTTCTGCCAGATTTTTTTAAACTAGAGCTGAATTATAAATGAAGCCACTTTACCAAGAACTGCAAAGAGTGAGGCTGTTGGTTTGTGAAGTTTGAGACATTATTAGTATTATAAACCAAACTTGATTACTGCTATCTCATTAAACGGCATTGGGCAGACATTTAAATATTTTTATACATTTTAATTCAGCTGGTAACTTGATTTAAAACAACATTGATTTTTTAAAAAATTTATTCTTGGTCATATATATCATGTTAAATATAAAAATGAATTTGTAAGTATTTGAGGCTGTCTGTATGACAGGGTATTAAGTTCTTGGAGAGTCTTTCTTTCCCCATGCTAATTTTCATCAATTTTCTATTGCTTTAATTTCCCCTTGAGCTTTAGCTTTTTAGAAGAATGATTCATTCTTTTCAGCATATACCATGATCATTAAACAATTACACCTTTATCAAGTAGAGCAGCAAAAGACTCCATGGATAATAATGAGGTTGGAAACTCTCCTGTACAACCTGTTGGCTCATCTTGGAAGAAGAATGTCATGCCAAATTATTTTTTATGTGGTCAGTAATAATGTTCTAACAAGGGTGGATGGAGAGATGAGCATAAAGGGCAATTCTAATGGAAAGAACGATAGTAATATTCACCTTGCCAAAACATGGTAATGTCTTGACAAGATGCTACATGCTCTTGCTGCTAAATTAGGTTTTATACTAAGTTAGCAGCCCCTATAGCTATCCACTATCTTACAGACTGAACTAGAAGATAAATAATACACCTTTCATGTTTTAGAAATCTTTCATATGACTATGTAATAATTGCTTTGAGAATACCTATTAAACCTAGACTTTATGATGCATTAACTGTGTGGAATGGTTCTGAAAGTATGAGTGGAGTAGGCAGGAAGAAAGTTTATTTGAATGTAGTTGCAGTCTCTACTTACCTTTACTTTTTAGCTTTATACTGAACTCCAATATGACTGAAATTTTAACTTTTGATGTTTCCTAGGTACAGAATTTCAGAGTGGGATATCAGATCTTTAGTGTGAAGATACATCTACATTAAACCAGGAATCACTAGAACTGACATTTGGACAAGAAAATTTGGAAAATTTTAAAACTGTGAAGGTTGATCATGGAAATTAAAGAGGAAGGGGCATCAGAAGAAGGGCAGCACTTTCTTCCTACAGCCCAGGCCAATGATCCCGGGGACTGTCAGTTCACAAGTAAGTATGTGTGTATCCCTCCCTGTTTTTGCATCTAAAGATGCAAATTGGGCCGATGAAACTTACACATACATACATGCATTCATAGATTCATAGGAACTTCGGTTCTAATAAATGGCATGAAATTACCAAAGTATTTTTCCTTTGCACTATTTACCTTGGTGGCATGAGTGTATGATATGCCTCTCATCTTTTATCTTGGGTAAGATAGATGATAGTCCATGAAATGGTTAAATATCAAATAACAAGATTAAATATCTTGAATATATATTAAGAGCCTAATGAATACTTTTTAAGTATACCTTCTAGACACTAATACTTTCTAAGAATAACTGGCATTTATATAATCTTATATGGGAATTTTTTTATACTGTAGAAATTCTCTCTTTAAACCCAAAAGGTACTTAAGTTGAAAGCATTAAGAAAAAAATTGTTACACTAGAAATTTAGACTGTCACTGCCATACCAGAGAGCACTAGGCCACAAATATAGAGCCAGTGGAGATTTGGCCAAGTTTGCATGTGAACATTAAAATTGGTTTTGTATTACTCAAGTAAATAAAATCATTGGAAGAATTGTATGTTTTCTTTTGTATTTAAAATTCTAGGGTTTGGGTTTTATTGTTTAGCATGAATTATGCCTTTTATGCCTTTTTCCTTTCTTTTCAGAAGATTCCTGTAGTCCAATTATTTAACACTGGCAAATATATGCCTAACCTTCTCTTTTAATTTACATTATAAAGCTAATCTTTAGAAAATTGTATTGGTTGGATGCGTTTTTGAGAAATCTGATTGTCAATGTTGAAAGCAGAGTTAATTGCTAATGACCTTTTAAAAAAACGCAGACATTTCAAGTTCACAAAAACCTACCTAATGATTGTCACTTTAACCTCTCTTGAAAAATCTAAAATTGTTAACCAAAGCAATTGCTAAATGTCAGCAGGAGAAAAAATATAGTTACTGTGCAAAAATAAATAATAAATAACTGTGAATAAAAAGCAGTTAATTTTTATACAAAAAGGTGATTCTTAAAATATATTAGTGACCAAATGCCAGTAAATTTAAATAGTATCTGATGAATGCACCAGCAAAAATAAGCAAGGAAAGGATTTGTATAATACTCTTTCATTTATTGCCAAATAGTTTACTTTTTCATACATGTTAGTTTTGCTTCTTTGGCCACCCTTGAGTTGTAACAAATGGCCTCCCGTTCATACATCCAGTCATCCACTCTTGTTTAGGAAGCTGCTACACTGTGTGTGGATTTTAGGCATCTACCCATATCACTTCCCACAATGTGATCACTCTACCTTCTAGCTGTTAGATGGTTCCATTTCTGTACCTTTGTCCCCAGACTCACTTTCACTCCTAGCTCATCTTAAATTATTTAGCCATCTTGTTATATTTTTTAAACATTGCTGACCAAAGGAATGGAAACATTTTACAAAATGTTGGTTTGAGCTATTAATAAATTAGCAGAATAACCAGCACTACAATGTCCATCATAACCTAGCTGAAGATACCTCTTTTGTTACTGATTTACTGTTTACAGCAGGTTAGAGTGGCTTGGAAAAAAAATCCATTTAAGAGAGTATTTTGGTAAGGGGGTTCTTTATGAAGGATCCACTTCTGTCTACATTGCATCCAAAAGAGATAAACACAGTTGTGAAATATGTTTTATGTTTGCCATGGCTTACAAAAACATTTCTTGGTTTCTTTATAACCATACAGATAAAATGACCAATCAAATCTTAAGTCACATCTAGTTCTGCAACAAATATTATGCCCTGCCCTGAGAACTGATTATTTATAACCCTGATAAACCAAGTTTATTCATTCTGCCAAATACTGTCTTTATTCATTCTGGTCACAATGAAGCATAGTAATATATATTGACATATTCTTGATAATTCAATTTTTTAAAAATCTGAATTTGCTCCTATTATTTATAGGTATCCAGAAGACTCCAAATGAACCGCAGTTGGAATTCATCCTTGGTAAGAAATTCCATCTTATTTATATCAATAAATATAAGAATTTGTGTAGTAGTTTGCAAAGTATAGGTAGATTGCTTACATCAGTACATATTTGACAAATTTTTATGAACATTGTTCTATTTTTAAAATTGTTCTATAAGGTAGGTGTTATTTTCTCCAAATTTATAGGAATTAACTTGCTGCCCAAGGATACAGGGTTCAGTGATGATAGTTTTGCCTCTCAACCAGGTCTGCTGATCTCACATTCCATGCCCAGCACTCAGTCTAACGTAGTGACTGCATTTTGTTGCTAACCAGCATTCCTGCAACTCTGTTTGTCTAATTTTCTATACCTGGACTGGAGACTGGCCACCTATAATTTCTCTTTGTGTTCTTTATGGCATTTCCAGGATTCTTGCCCATTTCTCTCGTATTCAAGAACATTCCCTGACTCTTCCATATTGATTTTTGTGAAAATGCCAGTGACATTTGAGAATTTAACTTTCAATCAAGCTTTGACTTGTTTAAGCAACTCTAAATATCTGTCACATGTAAAAATTTGTAACTTTGTCCAAGGATGAATTAAAAGTGTGCATTCTGAGACCAGTCCACTACTTAACTAATGAGTGGAAACTACTTTATATGTGAATTAAGTATGACTGCAAAAATACCATTAGGAAATTAGCTACAAAGAGGTACTTAAAGTAAAAATGTGGTTCATATGAACTATATAGACTGGTCTTTTTTTTTTTTTCCTGTCATGGTTCTGAAATATTTCGGAAAGACAGTAGTATTTTTATATTTTATTTTAAACTAAGTTTTACAGACTAATACATGCACATATTCAATTTCGTATACAGAGACCACATATAGTATTATAGTATCAAAATCTTTACATATTAATATATATATTTTCTAAAGTTTTGGGAGCAAATTGAGATATATATATATACTCTATACTGGGTTTTAGTGGTTGGAATTTCTAAGTATTTTAGGAACATGCATTTTTATTATTTTTTAAATTTATATTTTTTGCTGAAAATATTTTATTTTAAAATATGACTTATTGAGACCATAATTGGTATGTAATTCATTTTTTGAACATTATTTTTAAAAAATATAGCTAAAAATTGTGCTATAAATTAAATATTAAAGATTTTTAAATTTTTCCAGGTATTCAGAAACAGGCAGAAATGTGAAAAACTCAAGAAAATTTTATAGTATCAAAAATGAGGCTATTATTTTTTTCTCCCTCTCTCTCTAGAGAGTTTTCAGATTGTATCAGATATAAAAAGAATGTGTTTTAGGAAATGGAGCTGAAGAGCAAAAGAAAGGCTAGGCACTCTTCACTCGTACAACTTGAGCTTTCATCTGTCCATCTTTCATTTTTAAGAGAAGAAACTCACTTTTTACCTTTTTGACAGCACTTCTGAAAAGTGAAGTTTCATTAGAGTGATTTGATATATTTCCAAGCACAAATAAAGCTTTCTTGTTTGCCTGCTGGAGAAAGAGGGAATCTGAAGCAGCAGAAGCAATTAGGGTGGCAATTGTTAGGCAAATGTGGTGGCCAGCCTTCAAGAAATGGCATACTTGAACCAAATACCTGTCTTCTAGTGCAATTAAGAGAATCTATCTTGTTCAAAGACCTAACTATGCTGTTTGTTTAGAAAGCCAAGTAAATTTCAGTAACAACACCATCATCACTTATATTTCCAGATTTGAATCAAGAATTAAGAGATTAGCAGCTGCAAGAATTTATTCATAATAATGTTCTACCAGTATAAAAAACTTCAATTTCTTTTTTTATATATATTTTTAAAATATACTAAGAAACAACAACAGATAATTTTATCTTGTCAAATGGCAAGAAATGCTTGATGAGCGAACACAAGTTTACTAAAAAAATATTATTTCAAGTCATCATGGAACTGTATTGTTGATCCTAGAAGACACAGTCCCCAAACTGTTAGGTTCCTTAGCACTTTAAGATCTTCAACTACACCATTTCTTGAAGAATTTTTTAAAAACTACTCTTTCAAGGGTATTACAGATAAACCCGTGGATGTTTTACTGTCCATTTTTGTCATTTTTTTCTTTGAGATTTTTTAATTCCACAAATCCTCCGACGTCACCTATTATTGTATGAGTAACTTCTATTCATTTCCCAATGAAAGAATAATAGCTTCTTAAATATTTTTATCATGTTTAAGGGTGTGCATATTTATTTAATCAGAAGTAAAACAAGAACAAATTCTAGGAAAAAGAAATTCAGTAAGGAAGAGGGCTTTTTCGTCTAATTTTAACTAAATCTTTGATATTTGATTCTCTACTCTTAACCAAAGTATTCAAATTATTTAGGAATTTCAATGACCTTGCTTTCTAAATTAGGAAAACAGCCACACCAATCAATTTGCTAGGTGCCATATTGCTTTGTATAAGTTATTTTCCATCAAGGATTTGTGTCTGCTTTGTGTGCTGCTATATAATAATTATGTCTTGCTGAAGTTCTTCTGCTTATTGAATTCCTCTACTGAAGTTCCTTACTTATTCAAATAAGTAAGGTAGGAGGTACTTAGTCAATTGAGCAGCTAATTGGCTAAAAGTGTCTTGAGCACAAGATAAGCATGTACTGAAAAACTGAGTATCTCTTGTCCATTGTTAACTGTATTTCTAATGGTTGATTGCATTTAAATTAAATAATTCACCCCTACAACTGCGACTCTGTTTCCTCATATTTTGTTTCTTTGTGTTAATACTCTTTTTATTTTCATAAAGAAAGAAATAATTAAAAACCTAAGAGAACACTGAGTTTGTTTATGGTTTAATAAAATTGTTTTGATTTCAATAAAGCTGACATTTACGAAGAGGGATCATTTCTTAAAAACTAAGAACATTTCTTTATGGAAACAATTGTGGAAAATGTATAAAGGAGACTAATCTTGACAAGTATATAAAATACACTTCTATGAACTACTTTAAGGTTTTTCTCCTGTTAATTATTCGCCTCCACTTATTATGTCTAGAGTCAATAGAATGCTTATGAGAATATGTCTTCATATTTTTGTATGTACACCACATATACTATAAATCCAAAACAATAGATACTAATACCTATTAAATACATAGGAAAGAATGGCATGCATATGTTTGCATATGTGTTCCTTGTGTTCTTTCCTTGACGCTCTGAAGTAATGTTCTTGAAATTAATTCCTTGATGGCTAATACTCAATGCAAGCCAAATGACCAGATATGGGGTACAATAAAATATACATTTTGTACATGTCAACAAGCTTTGGGGTTGATTGTGATACGAATGGGGGCTTGGAAGCTAGAGTGAAAGCATTAATAAGCACAGGTCATTTATTCATCTAAATTATATTGGGAGAGGCATAGAAAGCCTGTATATAAAATCATTTCAGATAGTGTTAAGTTCTATGTAGACAGAAAGACGAGGCCACTGGATAGAACATATCTGGGGGAGAGGCACTTGACTTGGGCGAAAGAGAGACTACTTTAGATATAGTTTTCAAAGAAGACCTCTAGGTGCTTATGCAGGATATAGATACTAATTTGGATATTGTTCATATTGAGCCTAAGAATTGGGTGACTTTCCAAGTAGGAGGGGACAAGCTATACTAGACATTGAAATGACACATAATAGGGTTCTTATAATGGGAATACTGGGATCGAAGGGTAGTAAATTAGGTTAGTGATTTGACCAGGAATGAAACCAAGTTATACGTTGTTCTGGTTTCAAGGTAAGAAAAAAAAAGCCACAGTGAAAATGGCAAGATAGTGGAGGACCATTTGCTGGGCTACTGGAGTCCCAAGATCAGAGTAGGACAATTGCAGGATAGACTAGATGCTGAGCTAGTGAGATCTCATTCTCATACTTCTTGTATTGTCCCCTCACTTTCACCCTTACCTAAGCTGCAGCTATCTGAATAATGGGATCAGGCCTGGTGATTGGATGCTGCTGAACATCTAGTGAGTAAAGGATGGAGAGACATGGGATTTGAAGCCAACCGATTGTTAGATCTTTTGCCTTTTGTGGAGCTGTTTTATTTTAAGAATCCATGTATTATGTATAGAATAATTTTCTTTGGAAAAGTTTTTTCCTCTTAAATTTAAAATGTGCTGACTCCTTCACCATAGGTTTCACTAGCACATAAAATAGGAGTAACCTGTGATTCAAATTGTTTAACAGAGCCATTATTTCTTGGTTTTCTCTAAAATGGGTAAATCTACATTAGCTGGTGTAATTTTATATTAATATAACAAAAATTATCACAAAAAATAAATAATAGGCAATGTGGAAACACATCACAATTATATCTAGAATGTGGCCATCCATCATACATTTTTAGACATATTTAACCCTCTTTTTCCTGTTTCACCATCTCATTTCCTGGCTTTTCTTCTATGTCAAATTCAGGAGGGATGAAAGAAAGTAAAAGCCACTGTATTTCATCCCCAACTCAGAGTTGATGAATATAAGCTATTATTTAATTTTTAGAGTGAAACATACATTCATAAGATAGGATATTAATCAGTCATTAAAAATCATTTATCAGAAGGATATTTCATCACACAAAAGAATATGAAAGTTTTAAAAGCAGGATAATATGCACAATATGGCCTTTATTTAACTATCCGTGTCTGTGTGTGCAAGATAACAAGATTGGAAGGTGTGTGTATCTTCAGTCATGGTTCTCACCAGTTGGTAGAATTTTCATTTCCTTTGTTATGCTCTTCTATATCTTGTAAGGTCTTTGCAATGTACACATGTAAATTTCATAATCAAGTGTTGTTGTTTTTAATAAATAACCTGAATGCACTGAAGAAGAAAAATGGCATATCTTAAGTAAAATTCTACTTCTTGCCTTTAATTTACTCTAAATAGAATTAGAGAAATTAAACTACTACTCTTGAAATCATTAAAAAAACAGTTAACAGCTAACCTATTTCCTAGGGTATCTAAGAATATTAGGGATTGCATAAAAATTTTATGAGAAAGCGTAGTCACTGAGGCTAACTAAGGAAGACTGACTAAAGCCAATTTTTGAAGAAAGGAAACAGGATTAGAATAATTAGAGGAAAGGGGAAATTACATTCTAGAGTAGGAGAGCTGTATGAGCAGATGGTTTGTGTTTGGAACAAGATGAAAGCTCCAAATTCAGAACATACAAAAAAGACACACAATAAATCATTATTTATTATACAAGCTACATATAGAAAGGCCCGCCATCTTGTATTTCTAGAAGGAAAATGAAAACAGTATTCTCCTCAAATAGGATTCCTGATTAATCTACATCCTGATCCTTTGGGAAGAGTGGTAAGTACATAAAAAATACATAAAGGTTTTTTTTTTTATAGGAAATTAACTTCATATTCACTCTGTAAGCCACCACTTGTAGAAGGTCTGTTTTTTTTCTATGGAAGCGGATGATTGTAAAAAGTGTCATGTGGATATGCAATTCAGTATACATCTGTACCAGGTAAATGATGTGTACCGTCCTAGAGTTTAATGATTAAAATTCAGTTTTTTCACAACAATATGTACTGGTACAATGACAAGAGGTCCTTAGGTAGGTTAATTCAAATATTATCGTGGCTATAAATAAGGAGTGCTTATCCTCTTTGGTGGTTAAGGCTTTGTCCAGGAGAGAGCTGATTCTAAATACTTTGTCTGTTAGGTCATGTATTAAATAATGTGAACTGATTTTGGATTTTATATATGCAGGTACTGTATTTTAGTAGCCCATTTAGGGGAAAAAAAAGATAAAATCATGTGATCAGTTTTCTGTGCTCGGCATTTAAAAATGTATAGAAATGTGCCCCAACTGACAATCTGCACAAGAAAATGTCTCATCACTTTACAGACACAGCATTTACAACTTGCAAGGGCCTTCATTAACCTGAATGTCAGGTCCATTCATACTTTATGAATTGCTATAAATCAGGCATTGTTTTATATGTTTTTCTAAAAGGAAAAATCATAAGAGGCCCAACTTATGAATTATCTTCTATGTTCACAATCCTACTCTCTTGCTGGTCTGTGTTCTATAAATGATTATAGAGCTCTGACTTTTTTAAAACTCCAGTGGGAGAATGGAGGGTTTTAGGATATCTTCTTTAGTATTTTTGCCTTTTACATGGCATGCTAGCTGAAGGGAATACCAAGCACAGAGGTATATTTTTGCATTTATTCTATTGATAAAACTCTTACTTCACCACATAGGATGCAATAAGAGAACCAACGGCTAAGAATTAAACAAGGCCTGTGCTTGCCTTATTTTATATTTTGCTGCCTCATTATAAGTTGATTGACATCCATTTTCTTGATTCTGTTTTTTGTTTTTTGTTTGTTTGTTTCTTTTTAGATAAGGTTTCACTCGGTCACCCAGACTAGAGCACAGTGGCATAATCATAGCTCACTGCAGCCTCCAACTCCTAGGCTGAAGCAATCCTTCCACCAGCAGCCTCCCAAGTAGCTAGGACCACAGGTGCACATGACCATGCCTGGCTAGTTTTTTTCATTTTTATTTTTTGTAGAGAGGGGGTTCTCACTATGTTGCCCAGGTTGGTCTTGAACTCTTGGGCTCCAGTGAATCTACCACCTCAGCCTTCCAAAGTGCTGGGAGTACAGGCATGAGCCACCACACCTAGCCTTCTTGCTTCTTATAGTGTAACACATCCCTTATAAAACATTGAATTTCCCTGAACTACCATTTTCTGGGCGCCTTCTAATGACAAGTCATTGTTCAAAGCCCTAGGAGGACACAGCAACAACTACCATTTTTTCAGCATCTATTATGGGCTTAACTTTACAAACAGCATGTCATGAATTTCTCACCACAACTCTACAGGATAATAATATTAAAAGTAACTAACATTTATTGATTGCTTACTTGTTTGCCATATGCTGTTCTAAATAATTTACATATATTAATTACTTCTTATCATTTCATTATGAGTAATTGCTCTTTTATCATCCCTGATTTCTATGTAAGAAAACTTAGAATTAAACTGGTAAAGTAGTGAGCCTAAGATTTGAACCCAGGAGTCTGAGTTCATACTATAATATCTCTCCCATATTATCATTACTGGACAGATTAAGAATCCTAGATTCTCAACGGTCTACGTTCTAAAGATCTTACAGAAGCTGAATGATGGAGTCAGGATCTAAGCTGAGTTTTGTCTGATTTGGAGGCTCCTGCTTTTAACCATCAGGCAATATCCCCCTCCTCACTGATTTGTACTTCCTAGGAGTTTTCAGGAGGTGATGAGGATAAACAACTTTAATAATGTCAGGCAGATTGTGGTAAGGGCAAAATAAAGGCATAAACCAAAAACTATGGAAGCGCTGAGCAAGTATAATTCATTGTAACAATGGCATCAAAAACAGCATCTCAGAGGAAGAGGCATTTGGACCAAGTCTTAAAAGAATGAGCAGGATTTCAGTTGGTTTAGGAGGAACATGAGAGAATTCAGAAAAACGAAATAGAAAAATACATGAAATCCTAGAGCTCATTTTCCAAGGTGATGCATTTAATGCTCATTTACATTTCTCTCTTTATTGCTTATAATTCCACTGTAAAATAAATTAAAGCTCTAGAAATTCTCTTGCAATATTCTATAATTGTTGCATGTATATCAGAGACTCATTTTAAAATTCTAAATGAACACAAGTCTTTAAACATCTTTATTGCCACCAAATTATATGTAGGTATCATGAAGTATTGAGTCTTACTGCCTCTGGGGCTGTGCTAGATGAAACTCAGAGGAGGCTCAGGCCATGCTGAGCTGGACAGGGAGGATTTTTTAGGCAGGCTGTGCCTCTAATTGCCTACTTATATAGACAATAATTTTCCCATTGAGCCTTTCTTTGAGCTATGTCAATTTTGAGAGCATCGGATAACTAGCAGTACTTTTGAGGAGATATTTTTCAGAACAGGCATTCACCAACAACTCAACAACAAAAATAAAGACAACAAATAGAAATGGATTTGCATTCCAGGCTGAAACTGAGCCTAAGTAGGGAGGCAATATAGCTTCCAACTAAGAACTAGGAGTATGATGCCAACTTGCTAGTGTTTGAATCCTATCTTTGCTACTCTATAGCTATAAGGCATTAGAAAAATAGCCCAATGTTTCTGAATCTCTATTTCCTATCTGGAAAATGGGAAGGATATTACTATTTACCTTATAAAGTTCTTGTGATGATTAAATGAATTAGCGTAAGTGGTTGGTTAACTTATGATTAATACTTCCTTGAATAAATGACTTTATCACACTCAAAACTTCCTTGAGCAGGGAGTCTAGCCACTGAACTTTTGTGCATAGTAATTGCCATCACTTGCTGAACACCTTCTAAGCACAAGGCATTAAACACTTTTGACATTTTCTCCTTTGTTCCTATTACAGGCTCAACAGTTGCCTCCCATTACCTATGTTTCACAGACAAGTTCATTCACTTGTGTGAAGGCCTATATCTAGAATGTAGAGCAATCTGGATTTTAATTCCAAAGGCCATGTTCTTTGTGGTCTATGATTAAAAGTACAGGAATGGGAAAGAGAACAGCAATAAAAGGTTATCTAAGGCCTACATGAGGTTTTTGTACTTCTGATATAGTTATTTAATTGAAGGAAGAGAAAATGAACCAATTAGAGCTTCTTTACACATCTGTCGGGTGGGTAGTGGTTTTCTGGTGACCAAGATTTAGCATGTTCTGCAGTTGGATTGTAGCCTGTTTTTAGTGACACTGGTTTAAATTCACATTTGGTGCACCCCGCAGATATGAGATATGATACATCAATTAATAAATGAGAAGTATATAAGACCTCAAACTTTTCTCTCCCACTTCTCCTTGCCAGGACTATATCATTTAACTGAACTGTTGTTGACATAAAATAGATCTATTCTTCTTGTCATGTTTCTTTCTAAGTAATACATTGTAGGAACTTTTTAATTAAGGGATATCTTTAATCAGGTTTAACTTCACAGGCTTAAATTGATTATTCAACATGGATTAAGCAAATTATTTATTAGTTATTTTTTCCTAGATGTTTCCTTTATACTTTTTTTTAATTTGTCTTTCATCCATGACCAACATATCCCATACAGTTTATTTCTACTTCTTTGTGGTTTACCTAATTACTTTCTCCCTCCATTGTCTAATTACTGAGAGCATTGGTCACTGAAGCAAGTCCCTCTGTGCAGCATCTGTTGCTACTTAGGGGTAATTGAGGAATCAGGACTACCTCAGGGCTTTGTTTATCAGATGCTTTTGCTTTCTGTAAAATCAAAAGCCACCAGGGTTGGGAGAGAGAGAGGTCCCCTGATGTTGCTGTCTGTGTGCTTGAAATTTGTCAGTCAGTCTTCTTGTTGAGCAGATGGCATCCAAATGTATCTTAAGTCACTTGGGGACCACGCCATGGGGACATGAAGAGACCTAATGGAGTGCAATTAAATATTAAAGATAAGTTCTCTTACATTTCTATTGTACAAAACAGTCTTTGCCCCAAATGCTTCTTATTTGAGCTTTTGTAGTTGGCAAAGGCAATGTTATTCCTGTTTTGTAGTGGAAGAAACTAAATCTTTGAGTGGTTAAGTGACTTGCCTGCAGTGGCATTTCTGGTAGAAGAAAGCCCAAAGCTTAAGTTCTCTGTCCCTTACTCCTCCATCAGCTCTACCAGTGACAAAGAGATTATTCTCAGCTGTTATCCACAGTGATAAGGTGGCAGAAGTCCGTTTGAGCATACGGGTATTCCCAGGTCAAAATTTGCTCAAATTTAGAATGTCAGTTTTATCCCAGTGCAAATTACTTTTCCCTCTAAGCAATTCCAAGGCCCACAGCTTTAGGTAATATTTATAAGCCTTTGTTTTCAAAATGTGTAACTCTTGCTCTCACTTTTCCACAGAGCTTTCTACTTCCATATTCAACTGGCTACCAGATAACACCACTCGCTTGTTTAGGAGGTTATCTTAAAAATTTTAAGATGGCCAGAACCTGAGTTTTTAAATCTTTACTTTTGTCCCCCCAAATATTGTATTCCCCCATGGTATCTATCTCCATAAAGCACACCACCATCCACTTAGTTACTCAAATCCCCAAACCATAATGCCTTCTTGATTCTTCTTTTTCTCTAACCTTACATTAAATCCATCATCAAGTCCTGTAAGTTGTAGGTTGAAAACATATTCTGAATTTCACCACCCCTTTCCATCCCCACCACTGTCCTTCAATTCCAAGCCACTGTGAACTCTCACCTGCGCCAGCAGGCAAGTCCTCGTGAGTCTGTTTCTATTCTTGTCCCTGCTCAGTCTCCACCTGATGGAAAAGCCAGTCTTCTAAAAATGGAAATGTAATTTCTTTACTCCCCTAGTTAAGATCTTCCAATGGCTTCAATTTTACTTAGAGTAAAATCAAAATGGGTCTTAAGGAGCAGGCCATTCTCACCTTACCTTGTGTTAATTTTCTAGCTCACTCTCTATCAACCCATGGGGCTTCTTTCTGCTTCTCAAATAGGTCAGATGTTTGGGTCTTCATACTTATTGTCCCCCCTTAGCTGGTTCCTTGGTATGTTTTAGGTCACAGCTCAAATGCCACCTCATCAGAGAACATTTGCCTGATCTACCAGTCCCTAACACTCTCAAGTTTATTACACTGTTTAGAATTCTCATTGTTTTTTAAAAAAATTTCTTGTCATACTAGACTATAAGCACCATAAAATGGGGAATTTATTTTCTTGTTCAATGCTGTGAAACTGTCACCTAGAATCATATTGGGCACATTTGGACGTTCAATAAATATCTATGGGCTGATATGCATGAATTCCATTGCTTTATCCTCACACATTTATTCATAAAATAAATCAATATATTTATATATTCCCTTGAAATGTTTCATAATTATTGCCAACACAATTATTTGTAAAAAGTAATCCATTTTAAAATTTCAAATGAATATTTAACCTTTAAAATTTCATTGTTTGCAAATGAATATATTATATTTTAGAGAAATAGAGTCTTTTGGCCTTGGGGTTCTTTTAGAGAAAATTGACAAGAAGAATCAGCTTATAGGCTGGAGGTGAACAAGTTGAGTTCTATAATTAGACTGCGTATCTGTTGACTGCATACCTGTGTAGAATTGGGGAGCCAAAATTATTGCAATGTAACCTGAAGATTCCTATGTTATGACAGCATCAAAGAAGCAACCAATCTTCTTGCAGAAATGTTTTTAAGAACAGACATATACAAATAACAACAAGAACAGACAACTGAAATAATAGAAATAGACTGACATAAGGAGATTTGAGCTTAAATTTTAGCTTACAACATGTGCCCGTGAGGGAAGTCAGGGCCAGGCTGGTATTTGGACTGCCAGCCTGAGAGAGCCTTTGGATCCTGATACCGCCTCAAAAATCCTGAAAAATTCATCATTCCTGGGTCGTTTTGCAAACTCAATCAGACAGCATTCCTAAAGCACTAAGAATAGTGCTAGATGTATAAGTGATTCTCCAATGGTATTATTCTAATTATTATCTTGGGTTAATCCCTTTCTGTCCCTGAAACTCTGATTCCTTATCTGTGAATTGCAGATAATAATTCCTATTTTGCAAGTTGTTTGAGCTAATATAGATGAAATTGAGAAGTATATTACTAATACATTGTTAGGAATTTAATACATTTTTTCACACATTTTATTTAATTGGATCCACACAAGCACTAAGTGAGAATAAACATAATTATCATCCCCATTCCCAGATGAAGATACTAAGACTCCGTAACAAACCCAAAATCACACAGTCAGGACTGAATCTATGGCCCTCAACTTTTGGCAATTTGGAAGGCAGAGCAAGTAAGAACTGCCAAGAAGACCTTAAACAGAAGGGAAGGTGCATCATATTCTCATCTTGCCTAGGCTACAGTGCATCCCGGAAGAGGTTCTTTTTAATTTAATTTGAGTAGTGTAAACTACTCTTCTGTTCTGAAACTTCCTGTATGCCTAGGGCTCTGAAGCTTTCTACTTTGAGCTAGCAGCCACTCTGCTGAGCTTTCATTTGAACTGCTCTCCCTGGAGATCCCAAATATTCTGAGAAGTATGCTCTTTTTTCCTTCAAACACTGATCCTCTTAGAACTACTCTTTCCCACGAAGTTGTCTGATCTCGGTTGCTTTCACAAACTGTTGAATTGGTGGATTTTGCTCCAAGTAATTAGACCCTCTGCTTTCCAGCCAGCCCAGATTTACTTTCTCACTTATAAACTCCTCCTTCTCTTATATCCTGGATCACTAGTCATTTCTAGCTTTAGCTTATCTGTATGAAGCTTGTTTTATTTCCTGTGAGTCAACTATCTTATGACAGAAGAATCGACACCCTCAAAGCCCTAGTTAGTCAAATGAATATTGAGATTGTCTTTTGCCTACACAGAATCACACATGATTGATGACTGAAGCGAAACTGGAGTTATCTTCTTTAAGCACTTCAAAACTGGTTCTTGCCCAAAGGATGATCTAGATGGAGACAACAAAATGAGAAGCTCATTATGCCCCTAGAACCATCTATTTTTCTCATTCTTCCCTATTCCTCTTACTTCCTAATCTGTCTTTTTATGTGTCTTCAATTTAATAATTTAATTCTACTGGTAAAATATTTGGCATTTGAGCAATAGCACATAGCCATTAAGCCCAAACAAATTTTCAGGAAAAAAAATTACTTAAATAATTTTTAACCTTAATTTAGACATCATTTCCTAAAATTCAAGCCCTTAACCAACCACCATCTGCACAATGCAATTCTCCTGAATATTTTGGTTTGGGAAAGCATGCTCAGGATTTGGTAAAACCCAGACCATGAGTCAGTGTGTTGTATGGGAAGTCATCTGGATTGAACAGCTGCCTCCCTGTCGGCTTGCTACCTCCTGCCCAAACAAATTCCCTCAGAAGACTGTCAACTCCTCAAGACAACATTCCAGGCCCCTATTTTCTTTATTCTCCCTCAAACTCCTAAATACCTGCCTGACACTATTTTTTTTATTATACTTTAAGTTTTAGGGTACATGTGCACAACGTGCAGGTTAGTTACATATGTATACATGTGCCATGCTCGTGTGCTGCACCCATTAACTCATCATTTAGCATTAGGTATATCTCCTAATGCTATCCCTCCCCCCTCACCCCACCCCACAACAGTCCCCAGAGTGTGATGTTCCCCTTCCTGTGTCCATGTGTTCTCATTGTTCAATTCCCACCTATGAGTGAGAACATGCGGTGTTCGGTTTTTTGTCCTTGTGATAGTTTGCTGAGAATGATGGTTTCCAGCTTCATCCATGTCCCTACAAAGGACATGAACTCATCATTTTTTATGGCTGCATAGTATTTCATGGTGTATATGTGCCACATTTTCTTAATCCAGTCTATCATTGTTGGACATTTGGGTTGGTTCCAAGTCTTTGCTATTGTGAATAGTGCCGTAATAAACATACGTGTGCACGTGTCTTTATAGCAGCATGATTTATAATCCTTTGGGTATATATCCAGTAATGGGATTGCTGGGTCAAATGGTATTTCTAGTTCTAGATCCCTGAGGAATCGCCACACTGACTTCCACAATGGTTGAACTAGTTTACAGTCCCACCAACAGTGTAAAAGTGTTCCTATTTCTCCACATCCTCTCCAGCACCTGTTGTTTCCTGACTTTTTAATGATCGCCATTCTAACTGGTGTGAGATGGTATCATTGTGGTTTTGATTTGCATTTCTCTGATGGCCAGTGTTGATGAGCATTTTTTCATGTGTCTTTTCTGCCTGACACCATTTTGTGCATTCACTCGGAGTCCAGCCATCTTGAGTCCACTCCCCTTAGCCATCCACCTTTGGTAACTGAAGCCCTGACTTTCCTGCCACCCTTCCTGTAACCTTTCTCCACCAGCTACACTGGCCTCATCTTTTGGTTCAGAGGTAGGTCAGGGAAGCAGCCCCTCCCCAATAACCTATGTGCACTGCTGAATCCACTCATGGGCCATATGCTTGTACTGGACAGAAATCCTATTGGCTCCCATATCAGTGGTAGTTGTTCAAAAAAATGGTGCCACCTCAGCTCCTGGAGAAAGGGTGGTAAAAGGCTTAATTAAGGTGGTTCCTTGCATTTCTTTTTCCGCTTACTTCTTCAGCCTAATCCTAACACTACAGATTTCCATGAACCGACTCACAATATTGCTTTTAGTATTCAGGGGGACCTGCTTTCCTTCTTGGAATAACATTTTCATCCTTTCTTAAGCAGCACATATGTTCCCACTGAAAAGAGCAGCAGAAAGCTGCAAACACTTGTTGTTTCCAAAGTGGAACTTGGATTTGGAGCATGCACAAAAAGAGCCAAGTCTGAATGCAACGATAGGCGGTGCTAGGCCAGCTTAGAATTTATGGCATGAAGTGTGGGATATCACAACCAGAAAAGATGCGGGCACAGACTTGTTTTTATTTCAATTGCTTGAGGATGGAGTCTCAGCCACCTAGGTAATATTCATGAAAGCAAGACAAAATAGGATTTTCTGAGGACTGACCTGAGAAGCTAAGGGAGCAGGGCATAAGCTTGAGAATGGGAGTCTTCTGGTACTGACAACAATTATTTGAACCAAATTTTTTCTTTTCATATGCAAATAAGCTGTCTGCTGTACAGCTGGTATCTTCATTTTTCCCAGCACAGACAATCCAAGAGCATTTCCCAAGAGCACCATTGTTCCAGGCAGAGGTTGTGTTGTTTTTCTTTCCCTCTTGATTCTTCAGTGACACTTAAATTGAGAATTGGTACTGGGTGTGAAGTTTATTTTAGTATCAATAATATTCCCAGCTAAAGAAGTGAATTTTATCTTCTCATCCATTTTTTTTTTATTTAAAAGCCCAGCACATTTCTATTTAACACACACACAGACACATAAAATAATGGTGACATGTTTTAATATTGTTGTGTTATAGGATGGTAAAAAAAATAACAAACTTTATTTCAGGGCTTATTTCCCAACAATCTGAAGCTAATATTTTACTTCAAGGAAATCAGTTTAATTTACAAGTGAATCAGTTGTAAAGAAATTTAGGAGCAATGATGCTCAAATCTCAATGTGGCAAGAATTCTAAAGCAATATTTCTACAATAAAATCTCTTAAATTCCCTCTTGCAAATTATTACCTATATTCCTCAATAACTCCGTCATCTGTTTTCTCCCCATGGTATTAGATTCATCCTTTCCTCAAGTTTTATTTGGATTCTATTATCAGAGGGTTGAGAGTCTTAAAATTCTTGTTGCAAAGCTAAATCACCATTGAATATGCAGACAACCAGACAAGCAGAATGACATTATTGAAAACAAATTAACTCAGATTGCTGAATACTAAGCTATTGGTTAAATAAAAAGATAGTATTTATCCTTCAGCCAGACACTGTAACCACAAATATTGACTGGCTGGTTAGTTAAAAATATGAATGTGGAACTAATGGAACTATGAGACAGCAATAGGCATGTTGTTCTAGATGTGAGCTAACACAAGGAAAGGGTCTAAGGCCAATACTTCCTGGTACATATTAAGCATTTAGCAAATTATGCTTCCTGCCACACCTCACCTTCTTTGCATGTTTTATGTATTATCTTTAATAATAAAAACCCTAAAATATGGAAAATATTAGCATTTTATGATTGCAAGATAGGAATACTAGTATCTAGCATTATTTCAATATGCCTAAGAGATTCTTGCATTAGGATGGCTTTATTTATTTGTCTGTGTGTTTATTCACTCATTTAGTTTATGTGTATGTATGAGCTGATTCCTTAGGTTGATTTCTTTTCTTTCAGTCTTAAACATTGAATTGCTTTTATCCGCTGACCTTTTAGAAACCTAAAATTAGTACTATTATTTTCCCTTATATGCGTATTGTCTTTCTTGGAGAGAAAGACCCTGGCTTTGAATTTGGGACATTAATTTTTAGAACTTAGTGCCTTAAAAGACAGAAGAAAACAAACTAAAAAAACCCACACATTTTCTAATTTTTTAATGCCAACTTTTATACATTTGTTCCTATTTTTCCAACAAATATCTCTTATGTTGGCAGCGATGCATGGTCCTTTAGGAAGTGCGTGCCAATTAAAATCTCCCACACAAAAGTTAAGGAGAACATAACACATTTTTGTTTTGTTTCTATAAAGACTTTAAAACCAGTGAACTGAGGGGAGAAGCTGTGGTTTGTTAAGAGCAGTGTGTGCTTGACTCCTAGAGTCCCAAGTCTTATAAAATATATGAGTGGTGACTTTGATAACCTCGTCTTTCAGAGTGATGAGAGTAACACATATGTTGGAGAGGAAATATGAGATGGCAGAGAAGAGAAGAAAAAAGAATAATGTCAAAGGAAAATTATAAAAAGCAGGCTTGCCCGATTGAAAATAAGCTAAAATGAGAGGAAGGACAAGATGAGAGCTACTCTCAATGAATTAAAGACTCAAAGATTTTACAGAGAATACAGAAGAAAGATGGGAGGATATATATTCATGGCCATAAATCAACTCAGCATGATATAGAGACATATTCTTCTAAGAAATAACCATAAACAGATAGTAGTGAAGAGAGTATTTCCAACTGCTTGTGCAATTCTCATTGTGTGGATATTAGTATAGGCAGGGACACTGTACATTCTGTCATTTTACTATATATAATTGAATTATCATGGATTGTAGTGCACTGAGCCTAGGAAGCATCCTCTTCTGAATGTACTCAGGAGATCTGAGCTGGAGAGGTTGACATCCTAGGCTTCAGAAAATTGCTGTCTTAAAATTCTTGAGGGGAAGGAAGAATAAAAAACAAAAAAAGGCAAAGGAGATTAAAAATAGAAAAGCATATTATACTAATAAAGTAATTAGAGGGGCTATTAGGCTTTTTAAGTGCTCTATATATCTTTTAATGTATGATATAAACTGATTTAATCTAGATGTAATCACTGGTATAGAATGTTAACTGTGAAACCATATAATGGAGTCCAATAATTTATTGGACTGGAAACATAACCTAAATTGGCTTATCAGTTGATTAGTGGAATCTAATTTTCTGAAGTACAAAGAGGAAGGACATATATGTGACAGTTTTGAGAAACCTGAACAAACATTAAGAATTTCTGAATAAAAAACTGCCCCCTAGGCTGCAAAAGTCTTTTGCACATCCTTAGGGAAATGATGTGAGATAAGAATGGTGCTATTGAGGGAGGTGGGAAGCCAAATGGTATTTCCCTAAAGCTCTGGGTTTTTTTGTTTTGTTTTTGAGACAGAGTCTCACTCTGTCACCCAGGCTAGAGTGCAGTGGTGCAATCTCAGCTCACTGCAATCTCTGCCTCCCTGGTTCAAGTGATCCTCGTGCCTCAGCCTCCCGAGTAGCTGGGATTACAAACGCGCATCACCATGCCCAGCTAATTTTTGTATTTTTTGTAGAGATGGAGTTGTGCGATGTTGGCCAGGCTGGTCTCAAACTTCTGACCTCAAGTGATCCGCCTGCCTGGGCCTCCCAAAGTGCTGGGATTACAGGCATTAGCCACTGTGCCTGGCCCCTGTTTGTATTAAGGCCACTTTTCTATTCTAGGATGCCAATGTCCTCTGTACTCTGGCCCTTTTTGCTCTTAACAGGCATGGATTTATCTCTCCCATTTCTCCTATGCAGTGTCTGTAGAGGGCATAAGAGGTGAGCTTTCATTAGATTCGAAGGTATGCTTCTATCAGACTATATTGGGCTCTAGCTGTAACATTTAGTTTTAATTGCAAGAAAAAGAAGCTTTATTAGCATCCATAGTCTTCCTTTTTGATGAAGGAAATGTACAGAGCAGAGAAGCAACTCTTTCCCTGACCCTTTGGGACATCTCAGTAGTTAAGCAAGTGCTCCCCTGTGGGCCATCATCCACTGAGTAATGGAACCCTAACCTCCTAGTTAAACCCCTGCTTAAAGGGTGAGTTGACCATTTACATGTAGCACATATGCTGGGAGAGAGAAAGTCAAGTTTGCTTTCTCCATTGTAAGTTTCTCATTTGGAAGTACCTCATTAGAGGTGAAAATTACAAGTGCAAGTGTACACATCTGATTTCACAGAAAGCAGCATATTAATGATGCCTCTGATTTTCACAATTAACACATGATCTAGTAAAGAGCTTTTAAAAATGTATATTTAGCTATCTGAAAATAAGGTGAAAAAAATCACAGGTATATATTTAACAAATGCTTTTATTGAAAAAAGAATAACTTTATATAAAATTAGGACCAATCTGGAATATCTTGAGCATATGATTAGTATAAAAATATAGGATAGATAAAATCCATTTTTTGTGTTAATGCACAGTATAACTATATATTAATGTCAATAATAATTTAAAGGGACTCATATATTAGCATTCTATATACATTACCTTATTGTCTTTATAGCAAATTTATGAAGTACATTCTTTTACTTCCATTTTGCAGATGCTAGAATAGAGATTCAAAGAGATTGAGTAATTCATCCAAAGTCATATATAGCTCTCTCAAATAAGGTTTTATCTTAAGTTAAAAAAAATTTCTTTATCCTCCATACACTATGGTATGTGGTTTCTCCTCTAAGTCTAAATTTCCTTTGGCTAATTTTGAGTACAGAATTGTAGAGATGTGGAAATTCTTGTCATATCCCCCTCACTGATTCCCACGCACCTGTGGCCACTGCTTTGTTCTGGAAGAAAGAGGATAAATTTTGTTAGATTCCATTAACAATGAATGGCAAGAAGAGAGATGAAGTAAGAGTGAGGCAAGAGAAAAGACCTCACTTCACAGAAGAAAGTTTTCTTAGGGGGAAAGAGATGGTCACTTGGGGTTGACCACCAATTCACAGTGCCTCAGTGGTTCACACCACCACTCTCGTGAAAGCCTGGGGCAGGCATCTGCTTGTTGACACCCCCCTTGTCTAATGTATGCTTTACAACTACTTGAATTCGAGCAGTGTTGCTGAACTCAAAAGCACCTGAATGAACAGTTGTGTTCTACTTCAAATTGATTATTGCTGAGACTGAGCTCTCTGATGTGAATCAAGAGGTATTTTTAGGCTTCCAGCCAAAATTGGTTGGAATGATAGAAATGATCATGGACTCAATAGCCTTCACCTGATTTTGAAATAATGGCCACAGGAAACAGAAACTGATATTTTATAAAAAGCAGTATTTTGGTATAGACAGTATCTTTGATTTCACAAAAATCCTGAAGAGTCCCACCTTTTAGCTCTGGACTCTCCAGTGAGAACTACTGGAGCAGAAGAAAATCTGTGCCCTCTTCCTAAGAGGCTAGGTAGTAGCTGTAAGCGTCAAGACTAGAATTTGGCAATTTCTATTCCTCAGAAAAACTTCTGGCCAAATCTATCAAACAGATGTATTTTGTGCAGCTGTTCCAGTGTTCACCTGCACAGTGACTGGGGATTTCAAGCTTTGGAGAAATCCTAAAATCAAGGACACAGTGGGCCTTCATTTTTTCAGGCAATGACTTTGTATAGAGGTTCCATCTTATGACATAGTGTAAGCTTTCCAGTTTGTTCAGTGCCTAGCCCTCCCTGGACATATTGAGTCTTTATTTGTTTATTATTTTTTGAGATAGAGTCTCAGTCACCGGAGATATTGAGTCTCTTTATTTATTTATTTATTTATTTATTATTTTTTGAGAAGGAGTCTCGCTCTGTTGCCCAGGCTAGAGCACAATGACGCAATCTCGGCTCACTGCAACCTCCGCTTCCCGGGTTCAAGCGACTCTCCCACCTCAGCCCTCCGAGTAGCTGGGATTAAAGGCACCCACCACCATGGCCAGCTAATTTTTGTATTTTTAGTAGAGATGGGGTTTTGCCATGTTGGCCAGGCTGGTCTCGAACTCCTGACCTCAAGCAATCTGCCCTCCTTGGCCTCCCAAAGTGCTGGGATTACAGGCGTGAGCCACCGCATGTGGCCCCCTCCATTTATTTTTATTATTATGCTTCCACTGAGGATTTCCTTCTCGTAGAGTGAAAACTGCCTGGCTCCTGTACAAATATGAGCTGGGGATGCCTGTAGGCATCTCACTCACAGCTACTCATAGTAGAATGTGAACCCTCATGTTACTAGTTACCATAGCAAAAGTAATCAGGAAATAAAAAGTCACTTATTGCTCTTTATTTTTTTTCTGATGACAAGTCACAAATTATGGTTTAAAAATATATTCCTTCTGTATTATTATTTTTCCCACATTTCAATAAAAAATACACTGGATACAAGCACACTAGAATCCCCATCTATCAACATCCTGCATATTTAAACTCTTCTGAGGTCTAAGAACACTTTTAAACAATTCAATACTAAGCAAAGCCATTAAGAAGGCAGAAATTAAAAATCTACTGATGAATGAAGGATTGCAGTAGCATTTGTTTGTTACTGACCATTAGATTGAAGTGGGTAGAATTCTTAAATAAACAAAACGAAACAGAAGCAAAATCCCAAAGCATTGCTTTCTTTTAGTCTTCTGAGCTGATGAAGGCCACAGATGCAGGCCACTCCTAGAGTAGAATTATATTTGGTTAATGAGCAGTGGTAAGTATAGCTGGAAGACAGATATAACTTTTTATTTATTTATGAGACAGAGTCTCATTCTGTCACCCAGGCTGGAGTGCAGTGGTGTGATCTCAGCTCACTGCAACCTCCGCCCCTGGGGTTCAAGCAATTCTTGTGCCTCAGCCTCCCAAGTAGCTGGCACTACAGGAGTGTGCCACCACGCCCAGCTAATTTTTGTATTTTTAATAGAGATGGGGTTTCGTCATGTTGGCCAGGCTGGTCTGGAATTCCTGATGTCAGGTCATCCTGGCCTCGGCCTCTCAAATTGCTGGGATTCCAGGCATAAGCCACCTCACCCATTCACTTTTTTTTTTTCCTGAAAACAGATTTTTCAGGATTCTTTATTGGCTGCTAAATAATTCTCATACGGATTAGATTTTATAGTGATCATATGAGTAATATCTTCACAAAACAATCCAATCACTCATTATTTATCAGCCGTCTGGTGGGACTGATTCAGTATGTACAGATCCATGATGTGAATAGGTTTCACCTTATGAAATGCAATGACTCATGTACTAATTTGGTATTTATGAAGAAATATTGGACCTGGTAACAGCTTTTAAAAAGCTGAGTATGACTGAGTCAATAAAAACAATTTTACACAATAATAAAACACCAGATATTGGTAAATGTTGATATTAATATATATTAGTATGATATTAGTAAACTTTTTTTTTGCATAGAAAAGTCCATTTATAAAAAGGCCCAATTTCCTCACTTCCACCCTGAGAGGTAGGTAGATAGATGAGGCAATTAAGTGTCAGAGTTTGTGACTTACTCAGTGCCACAGAACTAGAAAGCAGGAAATCTGGGAGCACAGCTTAGGAATTCTGCCTGATCTCGGGTTCTCTCCAGGATATCATGCTGCATAAGACTTAGGGTACAGTAAATCCTCTGAGCTGTAGGAAGAAAAAAGTGCAGCCCAAGATGTAACTATTATTGTTTTCCTGACAAGATGTAACCGTATTGTTTTTAGATGTGGAATATAATAAAAATACAAAGCATCATCATTATTTTTATCAGTATTAGGGAATGTGCAAATTGGGTTGGACAGAACATTTCAGTGTAATAGAAATTTTCTCTGTTTTTATGGGGAACGAGGGTGAGAGTCTCTCTGATAAAATGGAGAACAGCTGCTCATTTCTGGGAAATAACCACAGCCCACAATCAAGTCTGATAAGAACTCAGAAAAGAAGTGACTTATTTTGAGCAAAGGTGTCATGAGCTCACAAGGTAAAAGATGGGGCTACAAGCAGAAAGTGGGCAAGATGCCTGTATTTGAAACACAGTGGCCTCAGCTTTAAAATTCTGATAGATATATGTCAATATCAGGAAACGGAAAAAGAGCTGTTTACTGTAAGCAGAAAACCAACAGTTGAATTTTATGAGCAATAAAATTAAACACATTCATATTGCAAGTAAAGGAAATGATCAAAATAACCACCAAAGAACAGTGAAAATCTAAATCTAGCTTTTTCTTTCCTTCCGGTGATACGTTGACATTATTGAAACCTGGCACCAGTATTTTTTAAAACTCTAAGTCTCTTGGGTTGAGTAATAATCGTGGTGTGGCGGTGGGTCTTCCAAAGAGAGGTGCCATTGTGCAGGAGGGCAGGTCGGCATGCCAAGAAGAGAAATGAAGCCAGTGGGGTAGGATGTAAGCTACCAGAGAATTCTAGTAATGTAAATGTGAGCACTTCATGTTTCCAAGCCTCTAGTTCTAGTTCTATGTAAAACTGAAATAATTCAAAGCACCATTTTAAGGAATAGAGAGATAATTAGCAAAATGCCTCAAAAATAGTAAGGGTTAAATACATTGTAGCTATTATGTTTTTTCCATACATGCTTTCATAAGCTCTCTTCTGTTACTAGAGGCATGTGGTTTATATAAGGAAAAAAAAGTATATGACAAAACGCCATACAGAAGCAGCAGGATCTGAAAGTCTGGTAAGAAGTTAAGCAGTTAAATAATTTTCCCAGTGTTGCCTAGCTATTTGAACTGGACTAAAACCAAGCCTGTTTCATTCCGAAGTTCCTGCTTTTTCTATCTCCTTGTACTTCTGAAAGAGATTATCTGTAAACAATTGAAAGGTGATAATTGCATCTATACTTTCCTTTGCTTTCAAGTTTCAGATTTAAGCCATATTACCTTTGTTACCAATGGTAAGGACCTTGCAAGCTCTGACCACAACATACCTTAAATACCTCATCTTTCTCTCCCTTCCTGTTATGGTCTGAGAAGTGGGGTAGGGATGGTATAGAACCCTGCATGCCCTCACCATGAAATCAAGGACCCAGGGCTACTTCCCCCATCCATAGCTCCAGCCTGCAGCAAGCCACCAGCCGAATTTAACTTGAACCACCTCTAGTGAGGGCACTTTACATCTCAGCAACTCAGCTGAAGGGAGTAAAATTATTATTTCAAAGGTGGGAGGCGAGGGTGGCGGGGATAGAGAGGAAAGTCGATTCAGACTTGCTTAAAAGGAATATTTTTCTGGATTTTTCTTCCTCAAATTGGGGGAATGATATGTGAGAGGAGAAAATATTCAAGTAAATATGGTATGGTGGCGAGGGTCTGTAATATGAGCCTGGTGTCTCAAGGGAAAGTTTTTAACTTTTGTGGCCCCTGGGCAAGAATTAACCCATCTCCTCCAGGCTTAGCTTGAATTCCAGACCAGGGCTTTAAAAATCCTACCTCTGCTTCCTCTTCCCCTGCTTGTGTGCTGTTGTGGTTGAGAAACTGCTCTCCTTGTTTCTGTTGGTGTGTATTACTGTGGGAGGCCAGTTCTAGTGAATACATAGGTAAGGACCAAGTATGAATTCAAACACTTGATCTAATCCAACCCATGTCAATAAGGAACACCAAAGTTTCCCAGATATGGCCCAAATCAACTTTCACATCCTCAAGGAGTGTGACTTAAAGCCCAGGGCTTAATGGCTAATTAAAGTCACTGAGGTTTCTGAGCCATGTGTGCATAGTCACGCATTAGAGCTGGGATCTCAGACCAGTAAAGACTTGCATGAACTGCAAATGTGGTCAGTGGAAATGAACTCTCAATTCAGCTCCACAGCACGTGACTTCCTATTTCTGTAAGGTACTTCCAAGGGACTTCCTCTGTAAAACCAGCCTGAGCCCCAGGAGATTTCCTTCAGTGCTGTAGCTAAGTTCACTTTCAGCCCGGCGCAGAAGTTTTCCCTGAGATATGGTGTTAGTTTCTTTTCTTTCTGTCTCCTCTGCCGTTGCCAGCATGCAAGGATCTCGTGGCTCCTGTCCGTGATCGTAAACTGAATACACTGGTGCAGATCTCCGTAATCCACCCCGTGGAGCAGAGTCTGACAAGATACTCCAGCACCGAAATTGTGGAGGTGAGATGCTGTGTGCCTACATTAATCTCTCTCTCTCTCTCTCTCTTGCTGGCTCGCTCGCTCTTGCTCTCTCTCTCCCTCCCCCCCACCCCCGCCCCATCTCTGGATTTGAATGAACAGCTGAAATAAGTTAGTTCATAGTCTGTAGCAATGCTGCATTACCATCCTCTGTCATTAAGAAGCACATACCTGAGATTATTAAGCAATGCATTGGTAATTTACTAGAACGAACAAATGACAAAATAACTTGTCTTTTTTTTTCTTTTCATACAAAGAGTTTATTTTTCTCCCAAAGATAGAAAAAAAAGTTCCCACTTTAAATTCTCATATAGAGCATAGAATAAAGAAAAACAACATACAGACTTTAAATTGAAATAAATATTTATTTTGAGGAAAAAAAAGAAAGTTGTACAGTACCCAGAGAAATTTTAAACATGTTAAGGGTTTTTGCTTTTTTTCCCCCCGGTATTCTTTAGTCTGTGGAAACTTTATATTCTCTGTTGTTTGTCTGTCTTTCAACTTACGATGTTTTTCAGGGAAAAGTAGATGATTAATTTGACAAACTATGTTTTTAGGCAAAAAGTATAAATATTACTCATCAGATGGGAGGTTTCCTATTTACATTTATTATTACTAATATAACATTCAAAATGTCAAGAGGAAACTTGTTATTGTGTTGGATCAGATTCAAAAGAGGAAGTGTTTCCCTTTGGATTATTTTGTTCTGATCACACATTTCACAACCTTAATGAATGAGAGATACTTATTTAAACATCTGGGGCTGGAGAAAGTATAATCTACACTTCTTAAGATTTGCTTGTTTTTCTTAGACTTGTGAGCTGCATATGTTTTGAATGAGGAGTTTCTCTGTAAGAACCTAACTAGCCTGCCCCAGACCTGGCTAGCTCAGGGCTGACCGCCTGCTTTGATGCGGTGGTGGAATAAATGATTCAGACTGAACGGGAGTCATTTCTATAATGGGAATGACCCAGATACTGCATGTAGCCCTGAATATGCCCTTTGGAAACTTTAGGTTCCAGTGTTGGTATAATATATAGTTAATGCTATAGTTGAATTAACAAAAATAATCTTATTCATATGAAAACATCTTAACCAAAATTGTAAGTTATTCATTTTATATAAAAAAGTTAAAAATTCTGTTATTTTAAAAATGTTGCCAAAATTTACTTATTCACTCATTTAATTTTGATTTTTTCTTAATTTTCATTTTATTGTGATAAAATACACATATTATAAAATTTACCATCTTAACTATAAGAAATGTCTTATTTTGGCACATTTTAAAATATTGTACTTGAACATGTTTTGCTATTTTTAGTTGTTTTATTCACTGCCCGTTCCAAAGTGTCTGATGCAGTGCCAAGCAAAATGTATTTGTTGAATGAAAGAATAAATGAATGAATTACTTGGGCTTCCAGAAATTTCCATAGACAATTAGTTTATAGAACTCTAGCAAACATCTCCATGATATTCGGCAATATATATGTATAAAATTTAATGCTGGATGTCAGCTCTAAAAATGAATTCTGAGGCATTGAAATATCCTGTGCACTGCATCCTGAGCTAGTAATTTTATAGCCTCAAATCCATCATATTTAGAGTTTCTTTCATTAGTTTTCAAGTGATTCTGAGGAAAAAAAAAATCATAGCTGAACATCTAAAAACAAATGGACACTATCAGAGCATGATTTTCAATTGAATCATTACAGAAAGGAAATAAATGGAAGCATAAGATTACCACATGGTTCTTTCGGAGAAAATAGCTTCATTTTAATTTGATGAGTCAATATCTTAGATTATTTGCATAAATTACAAGTTATATTTATTAAGTGTATTTTAAATTAACTAACCCTAAAGAAGGGTTCTGTAGATAATAAAAATAAACTTTTTCAAGGCAGCTCTGACAATGATGCAGGTTCATTTACTATCAGCAGTTGTATCACTTCCTTAAGGCCCTGGGCCATGTTGTTGCCCAAGAGCAGGATTTGACAATTCAGATCTCTTCTAATAGAACTATTTCCTTGAAAAACAGACTCAGGCACACTTTCTGCATTCTCATGTGTCACTTGCGTGCTGCCAACTACAGTTGCTGCCTTATTGAATCAAAGTTGTCTGCTTGTGCTGTTACAGGGAACAAGGGACCCACTGTTTTTGACTGGTGTCACATTCCCATCTGAGTATCCCATCTATGAGGAGACCAAAATAAAACTAACAGTCTATGATGTCAAGGATAAGTCTCATGACACCGTAAGTACTGGTACTTCTTTCTTTCTTTGGGAAAAAGTTATGCTTTTCCACACGATTGGATTTTTTGTGTAACTGACATTTTTCAAAGAGGATATTTGCACCGTGTTCATGATTGTCTTATGTTTATCGTTTGTTGTTTTTTTCCCAAATATGTTTGTCTCGTTGCCAAATTGGCAATTGGTTAGGAGCAAAAGTTTTTGGAACAGATTTTTCTTTTTCAGGAGAGCTGACTTGATCTTTTGGTTTACATTTTGTTGTTGTTGTTTTCAGCAGAGTGGTAATATTGTGGGTAGAAAGCAAATGGAAATTAGGCAATATTTAAAACTTTCTTGATAGTGTAATTATTCTAAAATAGGGGATTGACAAAGTGCTCTACTTTTACAATGTATTGCATACCGTATAGAGAGAAACTGACTACATTTTTCTTGATGTTGTTACTGGCACCAAAGCAAACAGAAGGTAATTGGAAACAGTAGGAAGAAACGTTAACTGCTCTCTTTTCAAGAAGGCCAGGCAAAATCCCAGTGGTCTTTTGTCCTAAATTCTTCAATCTTCCTAACTGGTCTGCATATTCCTCCAATTGCATCATCCTTCCTGGTTAGGCACTATAGAGGACACTCTTAAAATTCTTGGACAGGAGAAAATGCTATTGGGGAGGTAATGAAAAGGGGAAGGCAGTTCTCTCCTTTAAATTTCTTCCATTAGCATGAATTTGTATGTGTCTTCAAGGCAGGGAGCTATGAGAGACTTGAAGGTCAATATTGTAGCATGAGGCAGTAAACTCTTTAATGGCAGGTGGACCAGTGGGTTCCAGGAGAGTTCTGGTTGAAGCTAAGGGATGCTGCTGGACCTGGGGAATCCCACAGTGCCTTGTATAGGGAAAATGTCACTTTGAACTCTGCCCTCACTTCGGCATTTCTGTTTTGCTCATGACTTTCTCTTCTTTCCATTCTTTACCACAAAACTTAGTCTAATAGTGGGAACATTTAATGGAAAAAAATATTCTATATTGAAGGGATTTCTATGCATCTTAGCCCCAGAAAAGTTCATTTCTTTAAAATTGCAGAACAAAGACTCAAGTAAATGCACAGCATATGTACATGGAAACAAAACAGTTGTGGCTATCTGGTACAATTCTTAAGAAGGCAGATTCTGAGCCATATTTTCTGATTCCGTTCCATATACTGGCTTTGGGAGAGGAAATTCTTGGTTCCCTTGTTTCATCTTTTAAAATATTTACCTAATGGGATTGTTGTAAGGATTAAATTAATTAATATACGTAAAGTGTTACTGACTGTTACAGAGTAATTAATAAGGGTAAGTTACTGCTATTATTGCTGTTATTGTTTTGGCAGCTGCCTCATGCTTTCTTATAAATAGTAAAAATCAATTAAGGGAGTATTAACCAAAATAATTTTCTATATTTACTAATTTTGTTTTTTCTCAAGTGACCCTACATTTGCTGTTTATTACTTCTTTGAACAAAAAAGGTAAAAATTTGGGTTAAAACTGGCAACTGAAAAATATTTGCCTGGGAGTTTTGTCTTTTCCTTTCCAACTTCTTTGGTTTTTGAGGTAATGTGAAAAAGGAGTAGACTGCAGCTGGGATATTTAGACCAGCTTTGATAAATTATGCCCAGAGCTCTCACCCACGGTTTTTTGTTGCTGTTTTTGTTTTCAACCTTTTGCCAGAGGAGAGAGAGAAGTGGAGGAAAAGGTGAAAGAATCATAAAGTTGGGGAGGAGGGAGATATAGTTCAAGTGGAAGGTGGGAGTGGGTGATGCAACTGTGCAGAGAAATGATCAGGACAAAAGGAAAAGCAGAGGAGAAACTATAGGATTTTACGTTCTGCAAAGCCGCTGATTAAATTTAATTCTCCAACAGTCCGAAGACATAGGGTGGGGCATGGAAAGGGCTGAGTTATAGGAACACTGTGCTACAGAAGTGAAAATGTTGCCCCTAAATTCTTGGGTTTGTGAAGTATTTAGAAGTATCAGAGTTAGAAATATTACATGCCAAATGTGTTTCTATCTCCTTCAATCTCCTTCATTTAAAATGTGCATGAATGTTAATGCTTTGGAGATAGACAACTAATGTACTCATTAATTATGCTTTTTGTTGACTTTAGTTCTGGAAACTAATTATTTGGGGTCTTTTAAAGACTTTCTTCCTTGATCAGAGGTGTTATGGCGTAAAAGTATGGAATGAACTGGAACCCCTACTGTGAAGTAAGACTTGTGAAATTTGAACATACTTAAGAAATACACCCAGATTGCATTTATCAAGCACTGTTGATTAAGGCATAACCTCTTCCTTAACATAGCTTTGGTGATGGAAGTGTACATAGAAACACAGTAGATTAATATGCTAATAGTTCCTATGGACATGTGGTCTTTATCTTTGCCCCTTTCTTTCATTTCTTAAGTTTTTCTTTAAAGTGAATGATGGAGGAAGGCAGCAAGTGGCTTAAAGTACAGCTTATAATTATAAGCACTTAACCTAAATATATTAAGATCATAATATTCTAAAGGCATAAGAGATGAGATGGTGAATATTTGTATGTTTTGGAAGGTTAATAAATTGTGTGCATGTGTTTTAAGATAGTTTAAATATTTGGTCCTAGCAAACCATTGATCATACTAGACTGATTCAGGACGATCAGATCTTCTATATTGGTTGAATACTAATTAGTTGAGTCAGATGACTAAATTGCTTGTGTTTTCCTATTGAGCTTATTACTTGGAGATAACCGGTGAAATAAACACGTTACTTTGCCATTTCATATCATTTGCATACATATTTGTACTAGATGTTTTTAAAGAGAAATGATGGCCTTTTCTCTGTGCTCTTGATGCAGATGTTACCTCACTAACTAGTTGTTCTTGTGCTCCTCTAAAAAACTGGATCTAGGATTGATTATCTTAGTAACTTCAGCAGAAATGCAATTAATCATCATAACAAATGAGAAGAGTCTAACTGTTGATTCAGCATAACTATTGTTTCCTTCTACTACATCCTTCATCCTTCCCATTCACTGCCATAAGTTGGCAGACGGATACAGAATGCTTAGCAGGTGGGGGAGGGGTGGGGCATATGGAGTGAAGGGTCTTTATGTATTAGTATTAGAGTGATCTTTTGATTATTTTCCTCACTATAAGGAAATTATTTCCTCAGGATGAGCTGCCATAACATTCCACTGTCTGATGGCAATTTTAAAGCCTGAAATTGAAGCCCATGGCTAGGCTATGAGAACCCTAGTTCGTATAGTAAAGTTGATATCTTCTGGATGTATACTAATTTTAGGCTTTATTTTAAAACTGCTGGAAACTGAAACTTAGACAAAAGTATTTTCAGGACATCATTTACAATGTTTAGCCCTAAAGAGTCAAGCTGTGGGATTCTGAGTCTTTCATATGTTACAGCAGAAACTTAAAAGCAAGAGGAAATTGGCTGGGCACAGTGGCTCTGTAATCCCAGCACTTTGGGAGGCTGAGGTGGGTGGATCATGAGGTCAAGAGATTGAGACCATCCTAGCCAACATGGTGAAACCCCATCTCTACTAAAAATACAAAAATTAGCTGGGCGTGGTGGCACACGCCTGTAATCCCAGCTAGTCAGGAGGCTGAGGCAGGAGAATATCTTGAACTTGGGAGGCAGAGGTTGCAGTGAGCCAAGATTACATCACTGCACTCCAGCCTGGTGACAGAGCGAGACTCCGACTCAAAAAAAAAAAAAAAAAAAAAAAAAAGCAAAAGGAAATTTAGAAAGGAAAAGAACATCACCATAAAACTTTGTCTCTTTTTCCCATTCATCCCATGCAACATGGTGCTGTGGAAGATATTGATGAGTAAGCCTCTTCCAACACCCTCTGAGGACAGCCATCAAATCTGCAAACATATATTAGGTCACAAAATTATTTTTATTTTTGCCCATGGTAGAAATTTGAATTTCTACTCTATTTTGCAGAAGTATACATTGACACCCCTCTTTTTGCTCTGAAAGTAATAAATGTTTGTGGTACCATCAGCTTGTTAAATTCTTTGCTTATAGGACAGAAACTGGTATCCAGTAGACACCGAGCGTTTCTCAGGGAAGGATGTAGTCCTAAGACATTTTTTTACTGCCAGTTACTAGCAACCCTGTATTTGAAACTTTCAGAAAAAGTTATCAAGATTGGATGTGCATGTTACCTAATGTGTGTTGTGTTATATGCCCAGGGCAGTTTAGTTCTAGAGCAGTTCCCTAGACAGTAGTATCCAGTTCATTTTTTATGTTTTTCTGTGTAAGATAATGTTTTGCATTTAATTTATTTTTATTTCACTTGATTTTCTAAATTGGCTTCTTAAGAAGCTTAAGTCTAACTATACCTGTTGAGATACAAATTCTGATAGTTGGCTTTCTTCTTCATCCATAAGATATGGTACAGTGGGTAAGGAAAAATAAATTGAGATTGTTTACAAGTATATGCCAAGCACTATGTTTAATATGTTTTATATATATATATATATATATATATATATATATATATATATATATTTTTTTTTTTTTTTTTTTTTTTTTTAGACAGAGTCTGGCTCTGTTACCCAGGCTGGAGTGCAGTGCCACGATCTCGGCTCACTGCAAGCTCCGCCTCCCGGGTTTACGCCATTCTCCTGCCTCAGCCTCCCGAGTAGCTGGGACTACAGGCGCCCGCCACCACGCCTGGCTAATATTTTTTTGTATCTTTAGTAGAGACGGGGTTTCACCGTGTTAGCCAGGATGGTCTTGATCTCCTGACCTCGTGATCCGCCGGCCTCGGCCTCCCCAAGTGCTGGGATTACAGGCGTGAGCCACCGCGCCCAGGCTGTTATATGTTTTTTTTAATCTCCATAAAACTCCTTTGAGGAAAGTATAATGCCCATTTTAAAGATGAAAAAATTGGTATTCTAAGAATCTAAGGAGGCCGAGTCTGAAATCCTTTATTTTTTTCTAGGCTATGTTATGGTACATATATTGTCCATAGGATTTCTCTCACTTTTATTTCCCCACAGTAGTATGGCACTTTTATTTCAATTGATAGTTTCAAAGCACTTTTTTTATTTTTTATTTTTTATTTTTTTTGAGACGGAGCCTCGCTCTGTCACCAGGCTGGAATGCAGTGGCTCAATGTTGGCTTACTGCAACCTCCACCTCCCAGGTTCAAGTGATTCCCCTGCCTCAGCCTCCCGAGTAACTGGGACTACAGGCGCCCGCCATCATGCCCGGCTAATTTTTTTGTATTTTAGTAGAGACGGGGGTTTCACCGTGTTGGCCAGGATGGTCTCATCTCCTGACCTCGTGATCCGTCCGCTTCGGCCTCCCAAAGTGCTGGGATTACAGGCACGAGTCATCACACCCGGCCGCATGTTTCTTTTGAAGCTTACAAGTTGATCAATTACTAAAACAAGGTCAGTATTCAACCAGAGGAGAAAAACCTATATCCAAAATTTTTAGGCACTTAAGCATATATAACTAATTGAAACTGTCCAAATAAATTTTATAATGAAGTGGTCAATTATTCATGGAAAAAAAATAGCTGTTATTACCGGTTGTGAAATACCTGAGTTTATGTCTCAAACTTTTGCTTTTGTTCCATAGGCCTTGTTTTTTCCTTTTTTAAAATGTGTACTACGTGGTTCCCTCAACCTGCTCATTCATTCAGCCTCTGCCTTTTGAAATGCTTCTGTCTTCATTGTGACATAGTTTGCAAAGGGAGTTACAGATGTCTTGTAGAGGGAGCTGAGGCTTCTAAAATGTTGCTACCCTTTATAATTAAGTTCACTTTCCTTGTTGATAAGTAGGATTTATTTACAAAGGACATAATTTTTAAATTGAGATATAATTTATATGTAACAAACTGGTCAAATCTTAACTGTTCTGTTCCATGAGTTTGACAATTGCGTATGCCCATGTCACTTTCATAAGGCAAGATATAGACCATTTCCATTTTTCTAGAAAGTTCCCTTCTTTCTCCAGCCAATTACCACCCCATACAACCTGAGGCAAACACTTTCCTACAGATCTGTTTTGTTTGCTGTTGAAATTTATATGAATGAAATCTTATAGTTTTGCACTGTTACATCTAGTATCTTTTCTTCAACGTGTTTTTAGATTAATTAATTTCCTGCATGAATCATTAGCCCATTCCTTTTTATTGCAGTCTGTTGTAGTGATATATCACAATTTGTTCATTTACTTTCTTATTGATGGACATTTATGTTGCTTCCGGTTTTTGACAATGATGAATAAAACATCTATGAACATATGTTGACAAATATTGGTATGAAAATGTGCTTTTATTCTTCTGGGTAAATACTGAGGAGTATAATTTCTAGAGTATAGGACAGATTCATGTTTAAGTTTCCTAGAAACTGTCAAATTATTTTCCATATTGATTACATGACTTTTTACTCCTACTCCTAGTAATTTGAGTTCCAGTTTCTCCTCCAACACATGATATTGCCAAACTTTTCCACTTAGCTATTTTAGTGGGTATGAAGTGGTATCTCATTGTGGTTTTAATTGGCATTTTCCTGATGACTAATTATGTTGAGCACGTTTTCCTGTGCTTACTGGCCATTCATCTGACTCTTTTTGGAAAAAATGAAGTATCTAAGTCTTTTGCCTATTTATTAAAAAAAGGGTTCTTTTTCTTCTTGAGTTCTCAGAGTTCTTCATACATTGTGGATACAAGTGCTTTTGTTGTATATAAGTGTTAGAGGGTTTATTAGTCTTTGGCTTAGCCTAATAATTTCCTTAATAATACATTTTGTTGACAAAATTTTTTAATTCTGATTAAGTCCAGTTTATCAATTTTTTTTGCATTCATGGTTAATCCCTCTTTTTAAAAATACTGTAGTAAGAACACTTAACATGAGATTTAACCTCTTAAAAAATCTTAAATATACAGTACAGTATTTTTAACTATAGGGATAATGTTGTATAGCAGCTCTCCAGAACTTATTCTTCTTGCATAATTGGGACTTTATACTAATTAATTAGCAACTCCTCATTTTTCCCTTTCCCCAGCTCCTAGCAATCACAATTTTACTCTCTGATTCTATGAGTTTGACAATTTTAGATACTTCCTCCTATAATTGGAATAATGTATGCATCCTTCTGTGACTAGCTCATTTCACTCAGCATAATATCTTCAAGTTTCATCCAGGCACATATTATGGGATTTCCTATTTTTTAAGGCTAAATAATATTCCATTTTATATGCCACATTTTCTTTATCCACTCATATACTGATGAACGTTTAGGTTGTCTCCACATCTTGGCCATTGTGAATAGTGCTGCAATGAATGTTGCAGTGCTAATATCTCTTAGAAATCCTGCTCTGTTATTTTGGATAAATACCCAAAAGTGAGATTGTTGTATCCTATGGTAGTTCTATTTTTAATTTTTTGAAGAAAGGTCTGGGAAAAGTCTGTCAACTCTCGGATTTTGTTTTATTTTGGTTTATTAAACTTGGTTTCCTGATGAGTTAAACAAAAACTATTATTTTTATAGTTCGCTTGACTTCTCAGTGTTAGAATGCGGGTAACAGTCTCTAGCAACTTTTAATATTTTAAGCAGAAGCAGAACTATTACATATCGATGTTATTTCTTTTAGCATTGATGCTACTATCCATACATTTGCATTTTCATTTCTGCCTCTTTCATTTCCTTTTCTCTGGAATTTACATATCAAAGTACATTGCACTCTGCTGATGCTCTTCACATTGTTTCTCCCTTTCTGTCATGTTCCTGTCCTCTCTGTTTTACTATTATCTGCACTCACACAGTAGTTGTTCTCTATCATCTCTTCAAAAACTTTGTTTGCTTTTTTGTTTTGGGCTCTCACAACAGAGGAAAGGATAAGCATTGACACTTTCCACAAGGAAATAATGATGTTTGCATGGAGAAAGACTGACTTTTTGATGGTAGAAACGGAAGTAAGTTTAATTATGAATTTCTTAAAAAATAAACTTTGGTCATGAAACTAAAAGGAACTAGAAGAAAATGTGGGGGAAAAGTTCTGTCACATTGATCTGAGCAAAGATATTTTGGCTGTGACCCCAAAAAAATAGGCAACAAAAACAAAAATAAACAAATGAGATTGCATCAAAGGCTTCTACACATAAAAGGAAGCAATTAATAGCATGAAGAGACAACCCATGAATTGGAAGTATTTGCAAATCATACATCTGATAAGGGGATAATATCCAAAATATGTATGTAACTCAAACAACTCAATAATGAGAAAACAACTCATTTAGAAAATTGGCAAAGGACCTGCATAAACATTCGTCAAAAGAAAATATACAAATGGCCAACAGGTATATTAAAAAAATGCTCATCATCACAAATCATCAGGGAAATGCAAATTTAAACCATAATGAGATATCACCTCACACTTGTTAGAATGGCTATTGTCAAAAAGACAAAAATTAAGAATGTCAGCAAGGATATAAAGAAAAGTGAAACTTTGGCCAGGTGCGGTGGCTGTAGCCTGTAATCCCAGCACTTTGGGAGGCTGAGGCGGGCAGATCACGAGGTCAGGAGATCGAGACCATCCTGGCTAACACGGTGAAACCCTGTCTCTACTAAAAATCCAAAAAATCAGCCGGGCGTGGTGACAGGAGCCTGTAGTCCCAGCTACTTGGGAGACTGAGGCAGGAGAATGGCATGAACTCAGGAGGCGGAGCTTGCAGTGAACTGAGATTGTGCCCCAGCACTCTACCCTGGGCGACAGAGCGAGACTCCGTCTCAAAACAAACAAACAAACAAAAAAAACCACACAAAACAGAAAAGTGAACTTTTGAACACTGTTGGTGGGAATGTAAATTGGTACAATCATTACAGAGAAAAACACTATGGCGGTTTCTCAAAAACCATATTATCTACTGCCATATGATCCAGAAATCCCACTTCTGGGTATTGTTAAAGGAAAAACTTCAGCCAAATTAAATTTAAAGGAGTTTAATTGAGCAATGAAAGATTCAGAATCAGGCAGCCCCCAGAATCGCAGCAGATTCAGAGATTCCAGTGCAGCCACGTGGTGGAAAAAGGTTTATAGACAAGAAAACGGAGGTGGCATACAGAAATCAGAAGTGAGGTACAGGAACAACTGGATTGGTTACAGATCGGCCTTTGCCTTATTTGACCACAGTTTGAACACTCAGCAGTGTATGATTGGTTGAAGTATGGCTGCTGGGATTGGCCAAGACTCAGCTATTGTTGCAGACACATACTCCTAAGTTTTCAATCTTGTGGTTGCAGTTCATCCACAAGGACGCAAATATAGGACAGAGTTCTTCTCAGGCCGTATTTAGTTTGCTTTAACAATTCCTCCTTTTTGGTCACTTTCTCAATTTTGAGAGATTGACCAAAACTTTAGTCATTAATGTCACTATTACCAGTGTAAACCCATCGGAAACAGTAGACCAGTGAGTGAGTTTTGCAAAGGTGGGAGCAAGGACTTGAATAGAGGGTACCTCCTTACGCTGAAACATCCTGTTTACAGGAGAAAAACCAAACCTGGTCTGTTCTAGGATCTACGTGTCTCCTTAAAGTCTTAGTTTGATTATGTTATATTTAGCATAAGTGACTCCATTTTGGTTTGGTTTGGTCTGTTGGGTCCTAGTGCATGAACTCAGTCCAAAACAATGGCCTCCCATAATTTTTTTTTTTAATTTCCCCTTTTTGGTCAGGTTTTCACTTAGGTGAGAGTGTGCAAAACTCAGGGCCTTGGCACCACTCTCAGTTACCATCATTTGGGGTTTTCAGCCTCGGCATGTCATTCATAAGTTAAATGTCTTCAGGGTCTTACATTTCTTTCAGCTCTTGTCATTCCAGTTGAAAAGATACCATTTGACATTTTAGAGATGGGTACATATAAACATTTAAAATATTTGAGAGAATACAGCACACCAGGGAGATTATTTTTACAACTATCAAGAGGATAATACTAAGTTTGGAGTATCCTCCTTACCCAGGGTCCGCATAAACCAAACCACCTAAAACCAAATAAAGAATGATGTAGATAAAGAGTCTGCTCGCTTAATTAAGTGGTCTTTTTGTTAATTCCCTGCAACTGAATTGCTATAATACCCAATGTTTTCTCCGTAGGTCATAATTGTCAGCAGCTGCCCAGATACTTTTCTGTTTAGCCAACTCTATTATTTAGCATAACTTTGACAGGAGAATTTAAAGTCTGTTGTGTAACTATAGCCTTTACAGTAGAATCTGCTATAGAGCCTATCGTGAGGGATACATTTCTAATCATTGCCTCTTTTACTCCAACCATGGAAAATAGACCTAACAAATGATGCCCTTCTAGAAGAGTGAAAGCCTCCTGGCAATGTTCTTTTTAACCCATGATGTGGGTTAAGAGGAGTGAACCAATGTTCTGTTTCTGACTGATTATGAGGCAACATATGTACCATTAAAGTTTCTCACCTATATTGGGCTTTCATCTTTATCAAAGTATAAGGTTATCCATGTATAAGGTTGGCTGCAAAATCCTTCACAAATAAAAGTATATGCCATAAGTGCACATAACAGACCCCCTTTTCATTTCTATTGTTCATAGAGGCATAAACAAGGAAAAAATATTCAAAGATAAGAGTCTTAAGATAGTAGAAGTCTTTATCCATGATCTTGGGAAAAACTGTTCACATCAAGGATCCCATCTTTTTCTGGGAAGAAATTTTCCTGGTTAGCTTTACCTAAAGGGGTTCCAGTGGGTATACAGTTCCAACAGTGTGCAGGGACCATTCTCAGTTGTGAGATTATAAACCAAGGTTCACAGTCCTGAAGTTTTGCTGTAGTGTGGATGTCAAAGACAGTCTTTCTCTGATATTCTCAGAAGATTTGGTCTTTGGGTTCTAGATTGTGAAGAGGTTGACTGTCCTCAGTGAACCATAAAAAGCTTTCTTTTTCTGCTGAAAATACACTGTAGCATAATAATTTACTTTTATAACATCAGCCCTCTTCCATGGGAAAGCTTTTATACAATCAGAAAACATGCGTTGAAAATGACAATTGAATAAAATCCCTTCATAAAATGTTTAAACGGCCCAACAGGCAACCAAATGTACCTGAAGCTTTGATTGTTTTCTCAGGAATATGGGTTGACAAACCAAACATTGGTTATAAACTATTTAGGAATTTATAAGTCACTATACCAATATATTCAATTTGGACTCTTTTATCTTTTCTATGATGAATCATGGCATGCAGAACTTTTAATAACAATAGCTTTAAGGACTCAAGAAAGATAAGGTGGCCATCCTCCTTCTCCAGGAGTACATGGTTTTTTTTGTTTGTTTGTTTTTGTTTGTTTTGTTTGTTTTGTTTTTTGTTTGTTTTGAGACACAGTCTCACTTCTTGGCCCAGGCTGGAGTGCAGTGGCACGATCTCGGCTTACTGCAACCTCTGCTTCCTGGGTTCAAGCGATTCTCCTGCCTCAGACTCCCAAGTAACTGGGATTACACATGCCGGCCACCACACCCGGCTATTTTTTTGTGTGTTTTTTAGTAGAGTTGGGTTTTTGCCATGTTGGCCAAGCTGGTCATGAACTCCTGACCTCAGATGATCCACCCGCCTCGGCTTCCCAGAGTGCTGGGATTAGAGGCATGAGCCACCATGCCCAGCCGAGTCCATGTTTAACACTGGACTTTGTCCTCTTGAATACCAGTTGTTTCTGCAATTTAGGTGCCTAGCACTGGTAACTGATGGGTTATTATAGGTAATTTGGCTTAGACCATGGAATTTATTCAAATTGTATATCAAAACAATTTTAGTATTGGCTGATTAAGTATGAAAATCTGGCAAAGTATTTTCTTGGTATTCAAATAAATAATTTTTGTTCTACTTGGGTTAGCAGTTTTATAAACCAGTCAGTCTGGTTTATATTCATTAAAGTTTCAGGAATTCTTACCAGTCCAAATGATATGAATTTAAAGTTACTAGAAACCTGTATTGAAGAGTGCTTTTCAGGGTCCTTTCCATTCTTTCATGAACCTCCTAAAAGACACCATATTCTAGGATTTTGCATGCTTGTGAAGTTTTCAGAAACTGCATCAGCATTATGCAATTAACTGTGGAAATGACTCTAAATAGTCGTAGTTAAAGACACAATTGACAAGGCAATTTGGTTATTTCTGTGGTCTACAATAACTTAACATAGTAACTATAATTATGATACCATATACTCAGACATATTGGAATTTTAGAAATCCCATTCAATTTTGGAAGATATTGATAACATACACTAAAATAGAACATTAAACATTATGTTTTATTTTGAGAATGCTCCCCATATATCTAAATACGTCAAATAATCCTATTTACCTCTCTTTTGAATGTTTTAGGGGCCCTCTGTAGCATCTCAAAGTTATAAGTCAGAAAAGATAATGTTGAAGCTGAAATTTGATTTTGGGAAGCCTATCAAATATGTTAAAGGTTTAAAACACTTGATACTATGAAATAGAATTCCAGGTTACCATAAGTCATTCATTTAGCCAAAATGATGACTCAAAAATTTTTGAAAAGGCCAAAACCTTTACTCATTGATAGAGGGAAGACTCCGCTTTCCAAACTCTTGCCTTTCCCTTCTTTTTCTGATAGTTTATTCAAAGGGAAACAAAAACATTTTTATTATCTTCTAATATTACATGAAAATCTTGTTCAAGAGAAAAAGCCAAATTTCACCCTTGCATTAGTCTACTATTTAATGTTATCCCCAATTTTTAATAAAACCTTATAGATAAAATGTATCTATCTTAATCAGTTTGACCGTATGGTGAGATTCTCATAAACATTTTATAATTCTTTATAATTCCTGTGAAAGAGCAGATCAGTGCTCTAAGAAAGGTCTGTTTTGTTTTTATTCCAATGTTCAATTTACAGAAAAACTTAATACCCCTTTAACTTTAGCCAGTGTCCACACAGGATTTCTTTTTACAAGATTAATTTTTACAAACCTTTCACAACTTGTTCAAACTTTTAGTGTTATCTTTTCTAATTTAAAACAATCCTTTCATCCTCTAGGCAAAAATTTACATCCCTATGCCTTTTTATAATCTTTTACCAAAAACACATTTCACTCTCCTCAGACATCTTGCATGTAAAACTATGTTTTCAGTAGTCTCAATTACATGTTATCATGGTAACTCTTAGCAAATTTTAATCTTGGTAAAAAATCTCATAAGTTATTTTAATTATGTACTAGGTGCAGGTGAGGTCTGACTCTTTCCAGTATAGTTTGGGATGTGGCTCTCCACATGTCCCCATGCCTTATCTAGACTCTAAGGCTCCAAAGTAAGTAAATTGAATAATCTTCAAAAGCCAAACATGCAGTTTATGATCTTAAAGCATTCAACAAACCTAATATCTGATCTGCTTAATTTAGACCAAATGGCTTTATTTTTACTAACAATCTTAAAAACTTATTTCCCAAAGATTAAAAGTCACGTAAACTAAAAGGCATTACAGTTTTTATTTTTCTTTCAAAATATTTGATCTAAGTGCTTATTTTTCTTTAAGCCAATTAATTAGAGCTCTTTTACGGAAACATTATACACATGACACATATATAACTACACTGAAAGAAGAAGATCCAGTAGTTGTAAGATTTTTCATTTACCAGTTTCTAAGTTTCTTTTTTTTTTTTTTTTTCTGAGATGGAGTCTTGCTCTGTCACACAGGCTGGAGTGCAGTGGGGCAATCTTGTCTTACTGCAATCTCCACCTCCCAGCTTCAAGCAATTCTCCTGCCTCAGACTCCCAAGTAGATGGGATTATAGGCACCTGCCACTGTGCCCAGCTAATTTTTGTGTTTATAGTAGAGACAGGGTTTCACCATGTTGACCAGGCTGGTCTCGAAATCCTGACCTTGTGTCCACCTGCATTAGCCTCCCAAAGTCCTGGGATAACAGGTGAGAGCTACCTCACTGGGCCTCTAAGTTTCTTAATTGGATACTGGCTTTAGGGTGGAGTCCTTGGAAACACAGGCTTAGGAAAATATGCAGTTTCTACAGCCTAATATAAGGCACAGCTGAAAGGCAAAATAGATCTGCAAAATTGAGGGCCTCATTTTTACATTGTATCCTGGATCCCCAAAAGGAGAAGATAGTGCAATTCTTTTACTGTGCATTTTATTGCATGGCAGCCCAAAGCCAATCAGCCTATTTTTTAATTAGCCCATCCCTAAAAGTATATTTTCTACCTATTTATTGTACACTAAATTAAAGCTCTCTCAAAATGCAAAGCAATCTCTAATACCTTCCCAAGTCAAAAACATCAGATAACTCAATACAAAACAGAACAGAGCCTTAGACTCTGAGTGGGATCTATTCATTTTCAATTCCTAGGGTTCCATGAGGAAAACAGGTTTTTCCCAAAATGGGTTCTGTGGCTCCTCCTCTGTTTTTTCTAAGGAGACCCGGGCTACTAGAAGTTATCTTAGGGCCTCTCATGTGTGCATTAAGAGTGGCAAGACAAATAGAGAAAAATAATTTAGTCAACTGAGAAGGAAAAAAAAAAACCCTTTTTCCAGAAAAATAAGATCTAAGAAGAGAAGAACATAGGCCTTTTAAATATACCTATCACTTGGATAGCCACTTCTAATTAAGCTGACTTTTAACCATAGCACTCCTTTAAAAATGCTCTTAAATTTATTGCCTGGCTTTAGCCATGCCGAGTGGCCAATATTCCTGGATTTTAAACTCACAGGTGAAACCTGCAAGCCTCAACTAAGGTTATAACTTAACCACAAGTATACAAGATATCTTCAAAGTGGTGGTAAGCAGTTTTTATAAAATCTAGAATCTTTAGAGGTAGCTCAGAGGAAGGAAGATTTAAGAAGAGAACTTGGAAGTTGTTTGTGGAAGGGGAAGAGAATCAGCAAATAATAAAGGTCGCACAGACATTAACCAGATAGTTTTCATTCCCTAAGCCAGGATTGAACCTGGGCTGCTGTGGTAAGAGCACAGACCAAGAGAAAGTACTGCCACGTGGTTACAATGTCATGCTCCCAAGGACATGACTGACCAGTTTGCTGGGCCATCTTGAACAGCGGGCTTATGGGGACCTAGGCTCACATTCTATCCTAAGGTACCCCTCTGTATGATAGAACAATACAGAAAGACACACAAAGCACACCAGATTCACTACAGCTCAACATTAGCCTCATGAATCCTTTTTCCCATTAATCAAAACTTAACAGAGGATATAAACCATGATTTTTACCATTCATCCAACCGATTTGCACAGAGAGAGGCTAGAAGTGTGACTGATAAGAACTTTTACCCTTTTGTTGGCATATCAGGTATCTGGGTTCCCTTCCCTGAGTGGCCCTAGTGACCTAACCCTGCTTGCCACACTATATAACCTTGGAGGCCAAACGCAACACAAAAGAAAATCTTTTTTTCTTTCTTTTTTTTTTTTTTTAAATGCACTTCAGTGCATTGTTGTTCATTTGGAATGTTCCACTGTAAGTTATCTTTAGCAAGATTTTACCCTTTCTGTAAGACTTTGCTGCCTCCTGGGCCTAATGTATACGCCAGAAAGAAATGAGATTTTTAGAAATTAAGGACCCCATTTTTATCTAAAATATTAGCTTTTTCTCAGGTTCCCTTGATGACTTAGCCAATGACATTTCCTACCTAAGCATGCAAGAAAAATGAAACAAAGGGGTAGAGCACAAAAATCCCCACGAATTTTTAATGGACAAATTTTTACAACCACTGCAATATTACCATTTACTACCAGTTTCTTTCTGACCCAGTGGGATGTAAGAGGCCTCTAACTGGATCTAAGCCAGTTAATTACCGGATCAAATCACATCCTGGACCCAGTCCACTTTCTGTCACAACTGTCAAACCCAGTTTGGAACAAAAATTTGCTCAAAGAAACTCAGAGAGCTCAAAACACAAACCCGTAGAGCTCTGAAATCCGAGAGAGAACTTACCCACGATCCCCAGCTGCTCTGAGAGATCAATGGATACAAGTGGGTCCAGAAGGTATCTTGCTTGTTCACTCAGTGCTCCTGGGGGTCGTTAGAAGGTCTACTTCGGACCTCACTTCTGACACAATCTATTAAAAGAAAAACTTAAGCCGAATTAAATTTAAAGGAGTTTAATTGAGCAAGGAATGATTTACGATTCGGGCAGCACCCAGAATCACAGTAGATTTAGAGAGATGCCAGTGGAGCCACATAGTGGAAAAAGATTTATCGACATAAAAAGGGACGTGGCATACAGATATCAGAAGTGAGGTACGGAAACAGCTGTATTAGTTACAGCTCGGCATTTGCCTTATTTGAACGTGGTTTGAACACTCAGCAGTGTTCAAGTGGTTGAAGTATTGCTGCTGGGATTGGCCAAGACTCAGCTGTTGTTACAGGTGCATACTCCTAAGTTAGGTTTTCAGTCTTGTCTACCTATTAAGTTAGGTTGCAGTTCATCCATAAGGACTCAAATATAGAAGCATGGAGTCCTTTTCAGGCCCTATTTAGTTTTCTTTAATAATATATGTACAAAGAAATTGAAATCAGTATATTGAAGAAGTATCTGTACTCCCATGCTCATTGTAGCATTATCACAATAGATTATTCACAATAGCTAAGATATGGTAGCAACCTAAGAGTTCATCAATGGATGAATGAATAAAGTAAATGTGGTATATGTACACAATGGAATACTATTCATCTCTAAAAAATAAAATTCTGTCATCTGTGACAACAAGGATGAACCTGGAAGACATTATGTTAAATAAGGCAGGCACAGAAAGACACATCTGCATGGTCTCACTTACACGCAGAATTTTAAAAAGTTGAACTCATAGAAATAGAGAAGAAGATAGTGTTTTTCAGACACTGGAGGAAGAAAGTGCAGAGAAGGGGAGATGCTGATCAAAGAGATAAGCTTTAGTGATCTGTTGCACAGAATGGTGACTATAATTAGTAATAATGTATGGTATATTTCAAAATTGCTAAAAGAGAAGATTTTAAATATTCTCACCACAAAAAAGTAACAACTATGTGAGAAGATTATTTAATTATCATGATTTAATTATTCCACAATGTGAACATATATCAAAACATCACATAGTATATAGTTGTCAATTAACAGTAAAATTTTAAAATAACATAATTTATTTTCAAAAGTCAATAAATAAAAAAATACACAAGTAAAATCCCTTGGCTGTGGGAGAATGGATGCTTGACTGAGAGGTATTTCATTGTTATTTTATGAAGGCAAACAGAATTGTAATTTTAGTACTTTCACACTTACATGTCTACAAATGTGTAAATTACAGAAAAATTGCTTAATGTAGCTTAAAATGACAATATCCAGGATTAGTTTTCTCTTTTCCAATTAAATATAATCGTTCGGTAAGACCATTTCCTATTCTGTATTCAGAGGTGAACAAGTTGTTATAACTAATCACTAGGTACAGAAGCATACTCTACCCTGTTTTTCTGTAATGGAATGCTGGCCTAAGTTCATACTGAGCTCTACCTCCACTGAACATTCAAGAGTGGTTTTTTTTTTTTAAGGTTCAGTATCACTGATCATTAGAGAATACAAATCAAAATCACGATGAGATACCATCTCACACCAGTCAGAATGGCTATAATTGAAAAGTCAAAAACAACAGATGCTGGCAATGTTGCAGAGAAAAAAGAACGCTTATACACTGTTAGTGGGAGTGTAAATTAGTTCAACCGCTGTGGAGGACAGTGTAGTGATTCCTCAAGATCTAAAGACAGAAATACCATTTGAGCCAACAATCCTGTTACTGTGTATTTACCCAAAGAAATATAAATTGTTCTATCATAAGGATGCATGCATGCATGTGTTCATTGCAGCACTATTCACAATAGCAAAGACATGGAATCAACCTAAATGCCCATCAACCATAGACTGGATAAAGAAAATGAGGTACATATGCATCATGGAATATTATGCAGCCATGCAGCCATAAAAAAGAATGAGATCATGTCCTTTGCAGGAACTCGTATGTAGTTGGAGGCCATGATCCTTAGTAAACTAACACAGGAACAGAAAACCAAATACCACATGGTTGAGGGTGGGAGGAGGGAGAGGATCAGAAAAAATAACTATTGGGTACTAGGCTTAATACCTGGGTGACAAAGTAATCTGCACAACAAACCCCCATGACACGAGTTTAACTAAAACCTGCACATGTATCCCCTGAACTTAAAAGTTAAATAAAATAAAAATAAATTAAAGGGCATTATAATCAAGAGATATACAGTCATGCGCTGCATAATGATGTTTTGATCAATGATGGACTGCATATGCAATGGTGATTCCATAAGATCAATGGTGATCCTATAAGACTCTAGTACTGTAAGTGTACTGTATCTTTTCTGTGTTTAGATATGTTTAGATATACAAATACTTACCATTGTGTTACAATTGCCTGCAGTATTCAGTACAGTCACATGCTGTACAGGTTTGCAGCCAAGGGGCAATAGGTTATTTCATAAAGCCTAAGTATGTAGTAGGCAATACTATCTAGGTTTGTGTAGGTACACTCTACAAAGTTCACACAATGACAAAATCTCCTAATGACGCATTTCTCAGAGTCTATCCCCATCATTATGCAATGCATGACTGTAATTCATTGGAATGTAATTTAGTGAAGTTGTTACTAACTAATTGAGTTAATACCTGTTTTTTCTAAGGTATTTCTTTTGTCTTAACCCACATGTACTGGAATTCTTGAACATTTTTAGAAGCTATGTCAGATTGGAAACTTACTGATCACACTTTTCTTCCCAAGATAGCTAACTCATCCAGAATTTGAGTATAAGTGGATCTTGAGGTCCTCAGAGCTGAGACAACTTGAGACAACTTGCTCAGTCACCTGTTCAAATGTCTGCAGGATGGTTGGCCAAGTGCAAGACATCACATGAGCTTCTTGACAGCTGCACGATGGTAACTTAATGAGACACAACAGTTTTCTTGTGAAATAGCTGGACATGCAGAGAGGTCACATGAATAATAAGCTCACACCTGTGTTCCCGCCACCCGGATATTATTCAAAGCACAAAACATCATAAATAAAGTCAAGGTCCTCTATATCCCCCTTCTCAATCTCCTCTCCTTTCCCTCCTGCCTGTGCAACCACTGTTGTGAATATTAATGATTATCCTTGAAGCTTATATTTCTGAACTATTACTACACATGTCCAAAAACAATAGATTTTTTTTTCTGGTAAAAATATGACTTTTTTTTCTCTTATCAGTGTTTGAATAGTGAGCAGTTTCATTTTTAAGCATCATGGGATACTATTGAGAGGAGTGGTTGAGTTAAGTTGCAAGGCAGATCTACTTTGAGCCTATTGTGTCCACAGATTGGAATTTTGACATGTCCACATAACTCTGTTTTGATGGGTGTCTGCTCAGAAGATGTTAGGAAGCTCATGATAAGGAAGTAGAAATTTAGGCAGTTAGGTTTGACCCACAACCTCATAGCCTAGGTGGTAAGCAGTTATTCTTTCAAGCACCTTTTATGGGTATTGTAATAGAAATATTTGAAACACTGGTACATAAGCAGTATGACTGTGACTATATTGGGAAAAAAAGAAAGCTTCCAAAGTATATTTTATGAGGACTAGGTAGGTTTAATACTAAAACCTGATGAATGTTTTTTTAACAGCTATAAGTAAATTTCAATTAAAAGCATAGGTGCAAAGATTATAAATGTAACAGTGTTCAGTAGGATTAATCTATGAAAAAAATTATACTCGGACCAAGTAATGTTTAATTCAGGAAAGCAAAAGTGGCTTAATATCAGTACATCTATCAACACAATCCATTTTGTTAATAACTAAAGGAGAAAACTCATTGCTAAGAGGCATTTAATAAATCTCATGGCCACACTTACTAGAAAAAGAGAAATATAAGACTATAGTAAAAATAAGTCCTTAAAAGGTAATATAAATATTCTAAACAATTAAATGCTTAAATTATTTCTGCTAGACACTAAGTTAACCACTATCATCATTATTATTCAATATTTTCTCGGACTCTGTAGGAAAGACGATGAGAAAATTATTTAAAATTTGGGAGGAGTACACAAAATTATTTCTGTTACTATGATTGAAATATCTAGACAGCCCAAGACACCTTGGTAAATAAAGACCTAATGTGTTCATTTAATAAGTTTGTTGGTTACAGGTAAATGTATTTGTAAATCAATGACCTAATTTTTTATATATAAATATAAATATATATATAAATATATATAATATATAAATGTATATATTTATAGTATATATATAATATATAAATATATATATTTATAGTATATATATAATATATAATATATAAACATAAATGTAAATATATATATATATGTATATGTGTATGTATGTTTTTTGTTTTTTTTGAAACGGAGTCTCACTGTCATCCAGGCTGGAGTGCAATGGCACCACCTCAGCTCACTGCAACATCCACCTCCTCGGTTCAAGTGATTCTCCTGCCTCAGCCTCCTGAGTAGCTGGGACTACAGGCACCTGCCACCATGCCCAGCTAGTTGTTGTATTTTCAGTAGAGATAGGATTTCACCATGTTGGCCAGGCTGTTCATGAACTCCTGATCTCAGGTGATCCACCCGCCTTGGCCTCCCAAAGTATTGGGATTACAGGCGTAAACCACTGCGCCAAGCTGAAAAATATAAAATATTATTGAACAATATACAATAAGATCTTTACAGATGGGAATACATTTCTGTTGAAAGAAAAGTACAAATAGAAACTGTCCCAAATTCAATGCATAAATTTAACATAATTTTAAATAAAATCTCAAAAGTATTTTTTATGGAGAGGAATGTTGGGAATTAGATACGTTTTTTTCTTTAAAATTATGGGTAAATATCAATATCCAAGAATAGCCAAGGAATTTTAAAAATAATAGTAAGACTTACCTGATCAGGCATTGAAACATAACATAAAACTACAATCAAATTTGCATAGTTTTTTTAATTGTAATAGACAAAAAGAAGAGTGAGGAAAAATATTGAATCCTGAAGCAGACTGCAAGATTCATGATAATTAACTATGATTTTGATGGTTTTAGTTAATAGGTAAAGAACGGGTTATTTAAGAAAAAAAGTGCAGGTAAAATGACTATCCTTCTAGAAGAAAATAATATTACAGTTTATTATATTCTATGTGTAAAAATGAACTTCATTTGGATTATTTAAGTGTAGAAAATTAAACTACACTACAACTTCTGCAAGTTAATCTGAAAGACTATTTGTACAATCTAGAGGCAAGGAGTAGGGAAAGTTTTCTTAAGAAGTCCAGAAAAGACATATATGGTAATTTATGACTGTATCGTAATCTAAACATTTTATATGTATGGCATAAATAAGATGAAAATTAGATATGAAAAATTATTTGCAATTCAGAGGCTAGTGGGTTAATCTCTATAATATATAGAGAGTTCGGATTTCAGAAAGGTCAAAAATGGAGCAAAGGATTTGAGGAAGCTCTCTTCAGTAAAACAAATCCAAATCAGTAAAATAAAAACAAGAAACATGAAAAAATGCTTTGTCTTTTATTAGAAACACAAAATTAAAATAGCAATGTGATTATCAATATTCACTTATAAGACTGGCAAGAATTTTAAAAACCATTGCTGGCAGGATGTGAGAAAAAGCGTACTCTCATACATTGCTGATTGAATGTAAATTTTTGCATCCTTTAAAAAAATCTGCCAGCAATTATTCAAATGAAAATAAGTGTACATTTTGATCCAGCAATGTTACTCTTAATTTTGAACCTCATAGAAACAAAACACCAGGACTTAAAGATATATGGAAAATCGTGGTTGAGTATTGCTTATAATGGTGAAAAATTAGAAAGAATGAAGGCTTATCAGTAGGGGAATGTGTGAATAAATTCTGATGCATCCACATGAGGTGATATAATGAAGCCTTACAAAAAAGAAGGATGTAATAAATTGGAGCTCTAAAAGCAGACTTCGAAGAACCACAAAATATTGCATGATTGGGAAAAGCAGGATGTTTCAGAAATAGTATTTAACATAATTCCACTTTAAAAAAACTAATAATGAAAAATGTATTTAGGTATGTTTATTTTTGTTTACATTTACATGATATATATTATATGTGACTATTATGAGTATGCAGAAAAATATGGGAGGATACATACAGTAGATGAAATAAGGAGAAGTAGATGAGGAGGTGAGGGAAAAATAAAGAAAATATGAAATAATAGCATAATAAAACACTTATGTTAATAGCCTTTCTGAAAGATTTTATTATTTCTAATAAAATAAATATCATTTAAAAAGAAGAGTGCCATTCCCATTACTTCTACACAAAATACATTGTCCTGAGAGAAGTGTCTCTTTTGCATCTTGAAGATTCAATACATCAGGATTGCCACAGTTTCCTATGGGAGGGACCGTTTTGAGCAAGTGATAGCCTGGAGAAATACTGATGGGTGTGAGACAGGGCTGTCAGTGCCTAGGGATAAGTGAGGGGCCTGCTCAACGTCTGTAGAGAATGAAGCAGCAGCTGAAAATATTACCAAGGTGGGTCGGAGCAGAAGAGGAAGAAAGTGACAGCCATTTGCAATACTTGATGAAGCCCCAGGGAACTCCTTGAAATAACTAGGGGAAACTTTAAAGGGAATGCGAAGATCTGCAACAGCATGTAGGAGCATGATCCTTTGCTATGTTTTAGTCAGTAAACAGGATAAGTAATTCATGTTTCACAGTGGATCTAGGAGCACTTATCTTTCTCCTGCTAACGCCAGTCAAGTGATCTGATAACTGACCACTGGGATTTGTGAGTGAAACTGGGACCCTGAACTTAGAGTTTATTTCTGCCTCAAGTTATTTCCCTGGACTCTGAGATATTTACTTCATTCTTACGACTTTCAAGTACTCTGCAGTTGTCACCATTTGCCTAGTGGCTTAGGCCTCCAGCACCTGGCTGGCCAGCTCTACCTGGTCTTGCCTACACAGTAGCATTCCTGGCACAGCTGTGAGTACAGGTGGATGCATATGAACCCTCAATCTGATGGTTGTGATCCCTTACACAGTGCCTGACGTGGACACTGAGGACACATGTCTTGCATGGCTTCCCATTACTGCTTGGCTTTGCCAAGCTGATATGTGATATATTGCCAAAATATTTCTTCTGACTAGAAAAGAGCAGAAACTAGTTATTTATAAGTAATATAAAATGTTAGTCTGCTTTGGCTAGGAATAGCTTTTAATTACTGTAAGGTTTTATAGGCTGCACAGCAGGAACAAAAGGACGTTTTAAAGAAACACAGGCTTTCCTTGGAGTCATGTGAATGGAATGATAATTGCAACTAGGTTGGGGTTGGTATTTAAACTCATGTGAAAATTATTTTTAAGCTTACTGAAAAAAGTTATGTGTACCAAGGCAGAAGGTGATGTCACATGCTGAAAAATGTTAGGGGACATCTGTTTCCACATCACAAAGAATTTCTTCTTATATTGCCATGAGCCTGATTCCTTCAGTTTCGTGGCATTAAGTAAAGCTCTCTTTGAAGATGTGCTCATTGAGAATGGAGCTAAATGCTGAGGTTGCAGCTGCTCACTATACCATGTCCTAAGGAATTCATAGTGTGAATTCACAAGGATATTGGTCTTTCTTACAAACTTGGGTAATGATGATAGAGACAGCAGCTTTTGGAAAGCCCTAGATAGAGTTGTATAGGAAGATATGGGGCCTATAGTGATATTTAAATTTTATGTAATGTACTGATTTTTAAAAAATTGCCATTTTGGGTTTTTTGAAAAGGGCACTGATAGTTATATCGGCATTTTGGAATATGAGGAAGCAGCTTCCTAAGAAAATATTAATTGGATAGGATTTAAGAATAACAAGAGCTAACTCACCACAACCCGCACCCCCTACCCCACTCAGGGAGTTTGAAACATATGTTAGCAACTACTACATTTGCTTTTCATTTTTGAATTTAAGTTGAGGCATAGTGAAATGTGCATAGCTGCTTGTTGTGGCTTCATAGCAACAAGGGTAGTGGGACCTCATGTTGGAAACTCTGGACATGTGGTTGTGTATTCACACATACACAGTGTTTTAATTATAAGCATGTGCATTGAGTGATATTCACAAAATTGTATGTATATGTACATTAAGTAAGGCTTTAAACTTTAAATCCTAGGCTCAAGTTCATTTGTAGCTGAGAAAAGCCAAAATAGTCCTAGGGCAATGTTAATATTCAGAGACATATTCTCCTCTCTAAGGAGAGAATCTTTTCAATTAATGTAGGCTTAAAGACAGGAACATGTCTTTCAGATTCTGTTTTATTGCCTTCCCATTCTGCCTTCCCTAGCATACATGTGGAATAAATAGTTGCTTGCCCTTGGCATTAGTTTGACTTTGAACTTGCAACCTACACAAGTGTCTGAGAAAAGATAATACCAAACTGGATATGAGCTATTACAATAGACTGTAAGAGGCACTTGAAAACCCCACCAATGGGTGCCCGAGCAAGGTTTTTAAACACTGTTATGGGAAAATCAGGCTCACATAGTGTTGGAAACAGCTGTACCTAGGGGTCAAGGCTACAACTCTGTTTGCTCACAGATTCCTTCTCAATCATGATGGCACACTGAAAGAACATAAAATTTAGAGCCAAAAGTTCTAGTCTCAGATCGGCTGCTTACTATGTGACTTTGGACAAGTTATCTTTTTTGAGTCCCAGTTTCTCCAGCTCTAAAATGGAGACTTCAGCACCTGCTCTGTCGACTACTGGAAGGAAAATAAGACACACATGTAAAAGTACTTTGGAAACAGGAAATACAATAGTAGTGCAATTATCAGCATTATTTACTACAGATATTTTTCTTCAACTCAGGGATTCTTTCCTAGTGACACTGTGTATTTCCAAGATAAGATTTAGCAGTTTGACGGTATCTGACTCCAAAAGGTTGCTTATGGTCACAGTGTATTGATCAGGCTGGATATGTTACATATGTTTTTGTCAGGGGACTTGTGGCTGGGTGCAGAGCTTATGCTGGTGCACCAGGGTTGTTTGAATTTGAAATCTATGAAGAGTAATGAATAAGTACTTATTTTTTCTGTATTTATTTTAGTATTTAATTACTCTAATACTCTGCATTCTGATAGTCCAACATTCATTTCTTGAGTATTTTTTTGAAAAGAGAGAAACTGAAAAACATGATTACTGCATATGAATGCTCATATTTTCCATCATAATAATGTCATTTTGATACCTGATTCTCATTTCTGCCTACATTACAGATGGCAATATGCCTATGGTTGTGTCTTCTTGAGCCACACATAAGAAAGAATAAGGAGAGAAAAACCCCTCTTCTTCCAGATTCACTTTCGAAATCATACTTATTTGAGCAGCATGTTACCTTGTCCCTCTTTTTCACTCTTCTGACTCTGAGTCGTCATCCAGTTTGATATTTGAGACATCATTCAAACTGCTCCAAATGAAAGGCTTTTGTAGGATTCTTTGACCTTGGACATGGCAGAAGGTAAAAGCAGCAGATAAGGATTTTTTTTTTTTTAACTTTCCTCACAATCCTACTTTGCTTCCTTCTAAGACATTTGTCAGAAAAAAAAGATCAGCAAAATGTTTCTTCACTAGCCTGAAATTTACGAATTTCAGGAAAAATTCGTGAAATGGACCAATGTTTAACCAGGTTAGATTGTTTGGAGCCACCTAAAATTTGTTTTAAAAATTTTTTTTTTCCTGTGAGAAAAAAATAACCAGTTAGACTCTTGGAAACATTAAAGATGAAATCGAATTAAGGCTTAAGTGCCATTACTTAAACATCAAATAGGAGTATAAGTGGTGTTAATGCATGAAAAATTAAAGGAAATGGTAATGTAACATTATGGCTATACATAGCACTTGCAGCAGTGTTAACTCGATTTGTGACATTACATAAAATAGAGAACAAATAAATGATTTAAAACTTCATTAATTACAAATAATTTGTACAGAGAGCACCACATTTGATCCTCAATAGGGACCTTGTCGTATTACCATGTGGATTAGGCAACTGGAAACTGAATTTGAGTAATTTGCTCAAAATCAGATTGAAATGTGGGCCAGATTCAGAGTTTTCCACCATGAATCCACTGAACTATAGGAAGTTTCTCAGGAACAGTATTAAGGTACATAACTCCATTAATAATTTGAGTTGGGTGATGATTTCCACTTAGCTCATTGCTGATGATAACCATACTTGGAGATGTGGCTAAGAGCGGCCTTTTAAAGTTGAATTTCTTAAGGAGGGAAAGGGACTCACTTTTTGAAGTGTCCACAGGTGTCTAGAGTAACTGTGTTAGATAACGCATCAAGCTCAGAGAGTCAGTGGATCTGAAAACACATGCCAAAATGCTCTGATGACCTTTCAATTGTTCCATTTTGATAATGCTACCTTACATTGCTGTGTAATAGCTGTCATCATTACAAGAAGTCAGTATCATTTGGTGCCTGTTTTAGGTTAGCTGGGTTATATATGTGACTTCAGTGTAGAAGAACTGACATCTGAGAGGAACAAAGCCATGTTTTCAGGTCATCATGAGATCTTATCCCAGGATGCTGATAATATCAAGATGAAAATAGTCAGGTGGGAAGAAGAACTATATATCTTCATGCTATTTCCACTAATTGAAAGTTCCTAGAAATTATATTTGCTACACTAGGTTTCAGTTGTGTCACAATTTACTAATTTACTTAAATATTTCAATACTTATTCCATATAAAATGCTACCATGTATTAAGAAACTATAAAGAAATGACATATGCACAGGCCTCTTTATATCAATTTGATTTTCATTATAATAAATTTGACCTGCAGATGGATATCCATGTAGAAATATCAAAGCAATAATTTGGAAATAAGTGAATGGAATGAAGATACAGTGACAAGATTTTTATTGTCTAGAGACGTCTGTCTAATAGTAGCTTAAATAATTAGGCTTTATTTTTTCCCTCACGCAGCAAAAAGTCCAGGTGTGGGCACTTGCTGTTATTGGGTCAGATTCCTAATGATATTATCAAAGGCCCAGGATTTTTCTCTTTCCACTTTACCATGCTAATCATCTTGACCTTTAGTTCACATGCTTGTCTCTCACTGCATAGTTGCAAGATAAATGCAAAAGTTCTAAGGCCTTATGTTTGCTTTATAAGCCAGGAAGCAAAGGGGAAAGGAGTAGTACCTCTGATTTTGTCCCTTTTATTCAAGAAAGTACACCTCTCTTAGACTTTTTTCTCTAATTTCATTTGCCAAAATTGTGTCCCATGGCTACCAATAGTAGCAAGGAAAGCTGATAAAGCAAGTATCTCTACTTCCAAACTCCTTAGAGTGGGATGTGCAAAAAAGCTGGTTGGAAATGACTTTTTTATTAAGCAAACAGCCACAGGGTTTGGAATAAAGATTTGGGAGGCATCCTTACAGAAGTGATCTTTGAAAATGACTCGAGAAATAAACATTGAAGGAGAAAATGATCAAAGAACCTTGAGAAATACTGACACTGACATATGGAGAATGAAAAGATCAGCTTTCAGTTACAAGATTAAGAGTAGTAAGAAAAAAAGGGTGGGGGAGGGAAGCAAGTAGTGCAGTGTCCTGAAAAACAAATTATGGAAGAATTTTAAGACAAAGAGGAAGGTTGGTCAGTGTTGACTAGCTCCACAGAGCTGTCAAGGAAGATGAAAAAAAAATGGATTTATTGATTGGGAGGTTGCTGGCCTTTCAGAAAATAGGTGCTGAAAAGAGATTAGAATCTGAGAGATTAAGGAGTGAGTGATTAGACCGTATAAGATGGGTAGCAAAAAGAAGGAAGAGAAAAGGAGTGTGAATGAACACACAGAAAGGTTGTATTAGTTTAGGGTGTTTAAGTGAGGGTTCCAGAACGGAGAGCTGGAGATCTCTTGGTAATTGTTCCTACCTTTACTAGAAGTCACTGCTTTTATTTTTTAAGTTTAGATTATAAAATTTCTTCTACAGTATTATATACATTACAGTTCCTTCCTTGGATCAATTTACCAAATGAGAAATAATAAAATGCCTCTCTTAGACCTACCTCATTGAATAAAAAACGGAATTGATAATTATTTTTCATGACATATTTGGAGATTCTGGTTGGGAGTAAATTGTGTTATATGAAGATCACCAGTAATGTGACTTCCTTAAGAAGCATGAAGAAATTAGTGTTGTCTAGTCATTTCTTAACATTAATAACAATATCAATAAAAAGATGATTTTGATGAGCTTGACAAAACTGAAGGATCCAAAGTAAATGTAATTTAAAAACTCATGTAGAATAATGAAAGAATATATCCGAAGTTACATTCAATAGTGGCATATATGCTGTTTCCCATACCATCTCAAAAATTTGCAATATGGAAAGCTCTCTCCCACTTCTCCCCTTCTAAAAAATCTTCTCTATTCTACATCTTCCAAAATGTTTACCTATCTGGGTAAGCTTTGCTGAGAAATCTAGATGACTGAAAGAAAAGTTATAAGAAAAAAATTATAGCATACAAAATGCATCTTTGCTTAGAACAATGGCCTCTATGTGGTTAAGAATGTGAACTGTGGCTCACCTGAATCAGGGTTTATATCCAGACTTCAACACAATTAATTCTGTAATCATGGGCCAGTTACTTAAGCACTGAGAGCCTTACTTTACTTATCAATAAAATGGGGAATAATAAGCGTGTGTATTACGTAGGGTGGTTGTAAGGACAAAATGAGATAATTGTTGTCCCATTTTATCTACAAACGTGTTCAAACACACCCTAAACTAAAACAATCTTTCTGCATGTTCATTCACACTCCTTTTCTCTTCCTTTTTTTTGCCACCTGTTTTATATGGTCTAATTACTGACTCCTTAAGCTTCTGGTAGAGTGCCTGTCATACCGTGGCTGCTCAATGCACGACAGTTTATATTGCTGCTGTTCTTAATATTATTACATGATTTTTATTTATATTCCAGTACTATAATTAACTTTGGAAAAGTTGCTTTTTGTTTGTTTGCTTTAACAATAACCACAGGAAAGCTCTCAACTGGGAATATAGCCAAAGATAATATTTCCTAAATGACTCTTTATTTATATTAAAATGTTCTATATTTATATTTTAAATATGTACTTGTCTTCATCCTTACCACAGGAACAAACTCTTAGTAACACTGCTCTGTATCAGACACATTTCTCTAGGCCTTACATATTTGCTCATTTAATCTTCACAAGAGTACTAAGACATAGATACTATTAGTGTCATTCCCATTTTCTAGATGAGGAAATTGAGGCACAGAGAGGTGAAGCAGCTTTCCCAAAGTCACAAATCTATGAAGTAGAACTGGATTTGAACCAGGCCATTTAGCTTCGGAGTCTGTGCTCTTCTTAATCATCATACTCTAAGATGACTAGAAATGACATAGTAAATATTATTTATTGTTCAGATACCTATTATATTTTGCAAGGAGTGTTTTTAATTATATATTTTAAGTCTCAAAGGGAGCAATTCCAACAATTTCACGAAAACACACTTTTCTCTCAATACTTGAGATTTATAATCTTAGGTTGTCAGAACCTTAAAAGGTCAAATGTTGTTACTCTATTCATCTCAAACACTTTCTGCTTTATGAAAGGGCACCAATCTATTCAATAAAGATGCAAAAATAGAATTTATGACACATACAGGACTTGGCTCTTCAATCAGAGCTCTTTCCACTATGCTGCATAATATGGAGTTGGATTTTCAAAATAGTCATTGTTAGAGCCTGCAGCTATTTGAGACTGATTTCTATTCTGGCATAGAATATAAATGATTCAGTTTAAAACCATCTGTATTTCAAGTCCAGAAGAGAAGTGCACTACATGCCCCTGTGTGTGTATGTATGTATGTATTGTGTAGGCAGTTATAGAAGGTAGGTCATTGGTTCAAGGCCTAGATTGAAGTAAAATGTGCTTAATCATATGAATTCCTATTTGTGAGACTAGGAAGGCAGCAGGAGTCAGTGTAGTCAAGATGCTTTAGTTTGACTTCCAGTACTAGAAGACTGAGCTAATTACTCCTTCCTAGAGAGGAGACACTTCAGCTGATGATGGAAATGGAAAGGATGCCGTCAATCTTACTTTTTGCACTTGAGAATGTGTGAAACTGCTCTGTCAGAGGCACACATTTCTACCAGCTGTCAGAAGTCGTACTGGAAATGAAATAAGACCTTGGGAAGAGAGATGTGCCCATCATTGAAATGCTTCCCAACCCTCTCTGTCTTTTCCATTGTAGAACCCAATGCATATGATATTTTCTGCTTTTATTTTTACCTTCCTCTATGCATATAATGATTGTACTTATTTATGGGGTACATGTGATATTTTGATACAGGCATAGAATGTGTAATGATCAAATCAAGGTATTTACAATATTCATCACCTCAAACATTCATCATTTCTTTGTGTGGGGAGCATTTCAAATCTCTCCTAGCTACTTTGAAATAAACAGTAAATGATTGTTAACTATTGTGCTGTTGAACACTATAACTAATTCCTTCTATGTAACTGCATGTGTGTATCTATAAACCATCTCCCCTTCCCAGACTCTGGTAACCATTATTCTACTCTCTACCTCCATGAGATCTATATTTTATCACCCATATAGGAGTGAGAACACATGATATTTGTCTTTCTTGCCTGGCTTATTTCATTTAACGTAATGACCTCCAGTTCCATCCATGTTTCAGCAAATGAAAGGATTTTATTATTGTTAATAGATGAATAGTATTTTATTGTGTATATACACCACATTTTCTTTATCCATTCATCCACTAATGAACACTTACATTGGTTTCATTATTTTGGCTGTGAATAGTGCTGTGATAAACACGTGGATGCAGGTATCCCTTTGATATACTGATTTTCTTTCGTTTTGATAAATACTAACAGTAGTGGACTGCTGGTATGGTACTTCTATTTTTAGTTTTTTTTTTTTTGAGAGACTTCCATGCCGTTTTCCATAATGGCTGTACTAATTTATATTCCCACCATAGTGTATAAGAGCTCCCTTTCCTCACATATTTGCCAGCATTTGTTATTTTTTGTATTTTTGATCATATCCATTCTCACTGGGGTGAGATGATATCTCATTGTGGTTTTGATTTGCATTTCTCTAATAATTAGGGATGTTGAGCATTTTTTCATATACCTGTTTCAATTTGTCTTCTTTTGAGAAATGTCTACTCAGATCCTTTGCCCACTTTTTAATAAAATTCTTTTCTGTTTTTTGTTTGTTTTGCTATTGAGTTGTTTGAGCTCCTTATATATTCTGGATATTAGTCCCTTGTCAGATAAACAGTTTGCAAATATTTTCTTCCGTTCTACAGGTTGCCTCTTTAATCTGTTTATTATTTCCTTTGCTATGCAAAAACATTCTAGGTTAATATAGTCCCCTTTGTCTAATTTTCTTTCTGCTGCCTGTGCTTTTGAAGTGTTAGCCATAAAATCTTTTCCTAGACCAATGTCCAGAAGTGTTTCCCCTGTGTTTTCTTCTAATAGTTTCATAGTTTCGAGTCATATGATTAAGTTTGTAATCTACTTTGAGTTGATTTATGTATATGGTGAGAGATTGGGGTCTAGTTTCATTCTTCTGCATTTGGATATCTGGGTCTCCCAGCACTATTTATTGAAAAGGGTGTCCTTTCCCCTAGTGTACATTTTTGGTACCTTTGTTGAAAGTTAATTGGCTGTGAATTTGTTTCTGGGCTCTCTCTTCTGTTCCATTGGTCTATGTGTCTTTTATACCAATACCATGCTGTTTTGGTTGCTATAACTTTGTAGTATATTTTGAAGTCAGGTAGTGTGGTGCCTTCAGCTTTGTTCTCTTTGGTCAGTGTTGCATTGGCTATTTGGGGTCTTTTGTGGTTTCATATGAGTTTTAGGTTTTATCTTTTTCTACTTCTATGAGGAATGTCTTGGTATTTTGATAGGGGTTGCATTTAATCTGTAGATTGCTTTGGGTAATATGATTATTTTAACAATATTGTTCTGATCCATGAGCATGGGTTGTTTTTCCATTTGTTTGTGTCCTCTTCCTTGTTTTTCTTTGATGTTTTGCAATTTTCATCATGAAGGCTTTTCACTACCTTGGTTAAATTTATTCCTAGGTGTTTTTTTGTTGTAGCTATTGTAAATGGGATTGCTTTCTTGATTTCTTTTTCAGTTAGTTATTTTGTATAGAAATATTACTGATTTTTGTGTATTTTGTATCCTGTAAATTTGCTGAATTCATTTATTAGTTCTAAGATTTTTTTTGGTAGAGTCTTTAGTATTTCTATATATAATATCATGTCATCTACAAAGATGGACAATTTGACTTCCTCTTTTCCAATTTGGATGTCTTTTATTTCTTCTTAATCTTTCCATTTCTTCAATGCATAGCATTATATTATGTAGACATAAATTTTGAGGAATCTAAAGTCTTAAGTACTTTTATCAAAATGATTTATTTTAAAGGAAAATCTAAAGTAGTTTTAGGACTCCAGACAATCTCCACAGAGATTTATTGTGCAATGGTTAGTGTGCTTCATGAGAGTGGGTCAGTATTCAAAACATACTGCTGGACACTGTCTCTGGCTGGTAATTGACTATTACAAAGACATTTATTTATATGTGGATGATAGACATTGGTGATGACTTGGGTTTGAGTATTTATTGGCTGTCTGTGACCTTGAGCATCTAACTTCCCTATCAAGTTTTCTGTTAAAGGATCTATAAATGAGAGTATGCATGTACATTCCAATACTGTTTAAGCAAGCAATATGTTTACTACAATTGGTCTACGATTGATATATCAGTATGTTCTATCACAAGTTCCCTAGGCATGTGACCTAATCTAAGGCAATGAGGCACTCCCTCTACTAGGATTTTTTTTTTTTTTTTTTTGAGATGGAGTCTCACTTTGTCCCTCAGGCCTGGAGTGCAGTGGCACCGTGTTGGCTCACTGGAACCTCCGTCTCCTGGGTTCAAGCAATTCTTCTGCCTCAGCCTCCCAAGTAGCTGGGATTACAGGTACCCACCACCACACCTGTTATTTTTTTAAATATGTTTTTGGTACAGACGGGGTTTCACCATGTTGGCCCGGCCGGTCTCGAACTCCTAACCTCAGGTGATCCACCCACCTTGGCCTCCCAAAGTGCTGGGATTACAGGCATGAGCCACTGAGCCCAGCCTTTTTTATTTTTTTTATTTTTTTATTTTTATTTATTTATTTATTTATTTATTTATTTTTTTAATTTTCGAGACAGGGTCTCATTCTGTCACCCAGGCTGAAATGCAGTGGTATGATTACAGCTCACTGTGACCTTGACCTCCTGGGCTCAAGTGATCCTCCTACCTCAGCCTCCCAAGTAGCGGGGGACTACAGGCATGCCACCACGCCTGGCTAATTTTTGTGGAGATGAGGTTTCATCATCATGTTGCCCAAGCTGGTCTTGAACTCCTTGGCTCAAGCATTCCTCCCTCCTCAACATTCCAAAGTGCTGGAATTACAGGCATGAGTTACCACACTCGGCCTAGGAATTTTTTGTTTTTATCCTGGAAATATGGGGGGATGAAGCCTCTCTTAGAAATGAGGTGAGGCTCTCAGAAGTTATTTTGATGTCTCTTGGAAAGAATCTGAGAATGTTGCCAACAAAGAGAACAATCAAAACCCCAAGAGTGCAGCAGATCTAGGTGTGCCCACACAAGTGTAACCCCTGGATACTTTAGGAGAGCTAACAAATTCTAATGTTCCCTACTTTTTCAACGTTTTTCTTCCTTTCCTCATTTTTTGAACCCTTCCTCCCAGTTCCTCTTCTTCCTCCTTCTCCTCCTCCTCCTCTTACCATCATGTGTAGAGAAATGCCCAAGCTCCTTACCCCAAAACACTAGTCTCTTCTTGAAGTGATCCAGGCTTAACTCGGCAAATGTCTCCTTTTACTCTCCCACACTCACTTGGAATCCTGTGTTTCCCCCAAGGGCTTGTTCTTCCTAGATGATTGGGCATCCTATCATGTGTCTGTTTTTTGCAGTCACTCTTTTCTCTTTCACTGATTGTCTTCTTACACTCACCTGCCCATTATTTCCTGTGCAACTCTTTGGGAAACATTCTTTGATTTTTTTTTTTTCCTATTAATTTAGGTCATCATTTTCTCTCATCCCATAACAGTTTATACAAACATACATTTCAACACTGAGTACTGGGTAGTTTGAACATTATATTTCCTTGCCTGCCTCCTTAACTGATATGCCTTTGAATCACAGGTAGTATCTGTCACTGCTCTGTAGCTTCGGTGTGCCTCAAATTATGTGGTTTATGAAAGAGATATGCACAACTTTTGTTTTGTGAATGGTTACATGCTATTTAGATATCAGTTATTATATAGATGATGAAAAAGACATTATTATTAATATTTAATGACTGAGGGAGTAATGATGCCATTGCCCAAAAAGTTGAATATTGGAAGAAAATGAAATTATTATTTGGTTTTAGAGACACTGAATTTTTCATTGTGATACTATTTTTTTAAAAAAATACAGAATTAAACTCAATGTTTGGAACTATAGATACAGAGAAGAATCATCACTTGATGGCAAACCATTTATTATTATAATGATAACTTTATTTTACTAGGTTAGTTTGAAGACATATAAGAAAAGAATCTGCTATTTTAATGTCAGTAGCTCAGGCAGTGGCCTTTATTTTAATGAGTTATTTTATATTTGTAAATTATTCCTATTATTTGATCTTGGAGAGCTTACACGGTTGCAAAGGCAGCATGGCTTAGTAGAAAAGTTACTTCAGGCAACGGTGAGCCTTTTGGATGTTTGTGTTTCTTAATACGGAGGGACAGGAAATACACTGGGTGATAGGCACATTTGTTCATTCAAAAGTTTGGCATGTAATATTTCCAACTTCCTGTTTTCTATACCCATGGTTTATTGCCTTTGCCCCAAGATTAAATTCATAAGGAAAACCAGAATCCTTCCAGCCCAGGGAGCATATTAGAATCTGGCCAAATAAATAAACTGCATACAATTGCATAGCAGAGGTAGATCTCTAACCTTATTCTAGTGTCAGAACTATGAACCTGGCACAATTCTCAAACTTTGAGTCTGGCATCCCTTGTGTGACTGGGGAAGATGTATTATGGATGCATGAATTGCGGACAATAGAGCATAATGTTGAGAACACAAACCTTCGTGACTATCAGATCTAGATTTGAGTCTTGGCACTGAGAGCTACTAAACCTGTGACCCTGGGCAAATTCATTAACATTACTAAAGCTTCAGTTTCCTCTTCGTGAAATGGAGACAGGAATAGCACCCTCTAGACAGACTGATAGTAAAACATATTAATAAAGAAGTATCAGCCCTTAGTAGAGTCCATGCCATACTAAGAGTTCCATATGTAATTGTTTTTATTACTACTGTACATCATCTAACAATATTTGTTAGTAACTGTGTGTGAAAGCTGAGGTAGGTAATTAGGGGGAAGTCTAGGGAATTGTGTCCTAAAAAAGTTTACTGTATCATCTTTAACCTACTTCATCTAACAGGTAAAAAGAACATAACGAAGTCAAATTAGATTTTCTCTAATGACTGGCAAATACACACACACACACACACACACACACACACACACACATATTACATGTATACATACACACTATTTATAGCCCCCACCCCTGCTGAGGTTCTGGGATTGGCTGCTTTCCTCTCCTGCCACAGTTCCTGTCTGGTCCTGCAGCCCTACTTCTGGCTTCAGCTCTCAGCAAGTTTTTAGTACATATGGTTCTTCCCCTTAACCCTTCCCAGTAGGGGTGAGCAGTACTGATCACATTCTTTGGGTACATTGTTTGGTGTTTCACTAGCACTTCTTGCATCCTTTGACCTTCCTATGGCTCTATAAATGGTCCTTTCCTTTAATCCTCTTCAGCTAAACCATTTTGAGTTCACCATCTGTTTCTCTTCAGGCCCTGACTGATACAGCAAATAGGACTTGCTTTTAGCCAGTGAATATATTGGTTTGTTACATAGCATTTTGCTGACAGAGATACTGACAAACTTTCACTCTTTCTTTCTTATTGACTATGTCTTATTTATTTTTGCATTTCTGGGTCTAGAGCAATCCCCAACACATTGTATCCCTGTAAGATGCTGTAAGAAAATCTTTGTTCAGTTGAACTCAAATTCACACTGAATCCTCCTATTTTTATTCCATCAGGCACCATGCATGATGATGTTAAGCTGCACATAGATTATTGGTGACGATTTGCCTACGTAAACTAAAATAGTCATTATATAATCATGTTTCACTTTATTTCTTCTTTTTAATTTATGTGATTTACCTTAGTTATTCTTATGCTAAAACTCAATGCGTCTTTTAATTTAGAAATAGCTGCCTCTAATAATATTTTATTAGAGCCATTTATTCTTTAATATTTTATGCAAAATTTATGGTTGTCATTTTTTAATGTGAGAAAACACTTTTTTTTTTTTGTGAGCAACAAGGCTGTTTATTTCACCTGGGTGCAGGCCGGCTGAGTCCGAAAAAGGAGTCAGCAAAGGGTGGTGGATTATCATTAGTTCTTATAGGTTTTGGGATAGGCGGTGGAGTTAGAAGCAATGTTTTGCAGGCAGGGGGTGGATCTCACAAAGTACATTCTGAAGTGTGGGGAGAATTACAAAGAACCTTCTTAATGGTGAGGGAGATTACAAAGTACATTGATCAGTTAGGGTGGGGCAGAAACAAATTACAATGGTGGAATGTCATCAGTTAAGGCTATTTTCACTTCTTTTGTGGATCTTCAGTTGCTTCAGGTGATCTGGACATACATGTGCAGGTCACAGGAGATATGATACCACCCCCAAAAATTGTTGCTGCCCCAACACTTTACCACCATTTCGTTTTGAGAAAACGCTTTTTAAAATTATTATTGAATTAAGGTAATTATAAGATCAATTTGTATAATCAGGATGGAAGATCAAATCAAAGTTACCCTGAGTAAGTGAGGGAAAAAAATTGGTTATTTTGACTGGCATCAATAATTTGGAGAAAAAAAAATTGTAAAAATTTAATATTTGTTAAAAATAGTGGCATGTGATCTATAGTGATGCTTTGTAGTTTTAAGCCTCACTGAATCTTGGCTGCTTTTGCAAGGCACATGCATTCTAATGAGCTGCTGTGTGGAGTGACTAATGTTGTGAATACACATCGCATTTAATTGATGTAGCCACATGTCTGAAATAAATGTTCCTTGTAGTGTCAAGTGTAAACCTCTCTAGATTCCTCAATGTGCATTGCCCACATCTGAGTGTAAAAGAAGGAATCTAAAAGCTTAAATACTGCTGAAAGGGCTGCAAATGTTCACTTCTTTGTATTCCACCTATTACTTATGAGTTGTTTTTATTTCAGTAAATCATTTCTGTGGAGAAGCACAAATAATATTCTTCTTTCACTGCTAAAGCTCACCATTCCTTCTTCGTGATCTCAGTTGATTTTTGCATCTGCATTTATCTAGATTATTGAGAAGGCTTAGCTCAGTGGGGATCAAACATGAAATGCTTTTATTTTTTACAAGCCCTTGCTCTCCTATTGTTTATGTCAAATTCCTCCTCCCAGCTGACTAGGAGATCTCTTAACAAGATCCTAGGCATATTCCATTACTTTCAAGGCATTTTTCATTACTCAAATTCTGCCCAGTTGAAAACTCTAATTTCATGTCTTTTATAAAACTTTCCTTTCCAATGCCGTGGATCAGACTTGGGGTCCCTTGATCCATGGGGAAGTTGTATGACTTTTTGTCTACTCCTCCTATTCTTACCTCACTTGGGAGCCTAGGGTAGGACTGGTTGGCTGACCTTTAAATATGTTCTTTCTCTCCATTTTCTTGTGTGGCGAGGTGGGGAGAAAGAAAAGGGAAAAGGTACAGTTAGTTGTCCCTTGCATGACTGGTGCTGTTGTAATTTTCTTTGTTGATTGCTGCTGCCTCCCGGGCTCACTAGTTGCATAGCTGATTCTCTCTTGGGGAGCACACATGAGTTTGTTGGAGGGCTCTGTTGGGGGACTTTCCTTCTGCAGTCTCCTGAATCTGATCCTGTTGGCACACATGGATTGTGTGCCTCTTACTACTTGAGGCTCCTCGCCTGGTGAGTAGTCCTTTTCTGTGGGATCCATCCATCTTTCTTCCAAGATGCCCACTTAACTTTGAGAACCAAGTACTGGAAGTACAAGTTGCAATACTGAAATCACCTTCCTTTGTCTTTTGTCTTTTTAAAATTTGCTTTCCCTTGGCTTAGATGGACACAGGGAAGATAAAAAATACCCTGCACAAATGGAAATCACTGAAATGCTAGAACCCCAATATCTATTAGGGATTCTCTTAGATCCCTCTTAATTAGCGTGTTAGACAAAGGGTAGGTTTTACTTTTCGTGAGGCCAAGAGTCTATTGCAAGTGTCTATGGCTTTTGATGACCTCTTCAAAGTCTTCTTTCTCATTTTTTTTTAAATAAACAAGTAAGGAAAGTCAGGAGGCTAGAATGACATTAATTCTACTTCAGCTGTCTTAGAAAGCTCTGAAGATGAGGGACCCTATTGTTTGCAGTTCTCTTTAGAATATGGGGTACTTTTATTCTTTCTGTTCTTAGCATTACACATTAATCACCATTTTGAAGCAAAAGGAGAAGTCCTATTGAAGATTTTGTTGCTGTTTTCTCATATTCCCAAGCACAGAAATACCAGAGAGAGATGTTAGAAAGGAAAATAATGAAGTAACAAAGCTATATTGCTTTTCTAGAATCTTCCCACCCTCACTCTCCCATCTTCTGCTACCTCTACTCACAAAATTCTGTTTCCCAAATCGATGGAACAAGCCCAAGGATGGGAGCAGCTGGCATGAATTCCAGTCTGATTGCTGTGTGAGCTCAGCAGCACACTGTGACTTCACCCTTTCTCCACTCAGATCATCCATCTTGAGGAATGCAGATGAACCTACCTTCCCCTACTTATCTTTCATGGATGTTGGAAGACAAATGAGATAATATCTGAAAACCTTTGGAAGAAATGTGATGTATAAATCTAGGGCAACATTATATATGAGACACCACCTTAATCATTCTTTTACCTGCTATAAGAGGAGATGACTTTGTGCTCTTCTAAATGTAAAAGAAGGATCACTGGACTCAATGAGTTTTGAAATTTTGGTTCTGCTTGGCTTTGGGCATCTATTTCTTTAGACAAGTGACATTATCTCTTTACAAATACTTCCATATCTAAAAAATGTGCAGCAAAATAACATTTACTCCTCAGAAGCATGTGAGGCTCAAGTAACACAAGTGGTAAGAGAAGTCTTTAAGGCCTAACACATTAAGGAATGTATCTGAGCATACATATATATAAATATATACACATGTAACAATAATATAGCTCTATATAATTATAATATATCCTTATACTTTTTGGCATGTGTATACACACACACATATATATATATATTTGTTTATATGCCCCTTTTTGTGTTAATTGCATGGCATAACTGGAGGAGTAGCCCTTGAAATTTTTAAAATTGATATTTATAAATGAAATAGGCTATTCATTGCAATTTTTAAATAATTTGAAAACTTGTCATGTATGCACACATATGTGCGTATGTGTTTAATCAGACTCTCACAAGTAACTAAAACTTGATTCTTAGCTCTAACTCTGTACCTTCCCTCTACTGATGGTTCTTGAGCTAAATGGCGCCAAAGGCATTTAGAGAATAAAAGTACAGGGAGATCACAGACTGCATTCAGAGATAAATTACTTTTACCCCTCCACATTATTTTTGTTGCTGTTATTTTAAATGTTTGATTTAGGGGGTACATGTGCAGGTGTCTTACAAGGATATATTGCATGAGGCTGAGATTTGGGCTTCCATTGATTCCGTCACCCAAATAGTGAACGTACTAACCAATAGGAAGTTTTTCAGCCCTTGCCCTTCTCCCTCCTTCCTTCCGTTTGGAAAACTCAATGTCCATTGCTCCCATCTTTATGTCTGTGTATACCCAATGCTTAGCACCCACTTATGAGTGAGAACATGTGATATTTGGTTTTCTGGTCCTGCATCAATTCTCTTGGGATAATGGCCTCCAACTGCATCCATGTTGCTGCAGAGGACATGATTTCATTTTTTTATGGCTGTGTAATATTCCAAGGACCCTTCACACATCTTGTAGGCTGCACTTTCTTCATTTCTCTCCTGTTTCACATTTCTATTAAACAGCCAATCATCTAAGTTCTTACCCTTATAACTAATTATTATACTTTTTATCTTTATTGATTCCCAATTTGGACATAAATAATTTTTAATAGTATTAACTGCCCTAGCCCACCCTCCCTGAAAATTTTGATAGAATTTATGTAAGATACCATATCCTTTTCCTTTTCTCTCTTTCTCTTTTCTCTTCACAGTGTGTTTTGTTAAATCTGCCTTGTTAAAGCACACTTACCTTTATTCCAAACTGAGTCATAATCCAAACTGAGTGCCTCAAGGTAAGGGGTTAAAGAAGTGAACAAAAGACATGATATATTTGTTTGCACCTACTCCCTGTTCTTCACACACAACCTGAATTTTTGGGGGATGCCTTCTGAGTTTCTCCAGCTGAGCTGAGTTGGCTCCCACCCACGCACCCTCATGAGAGTTTTATTGTCAACTTAGACATTAATTCTCCCATAATCTCTTCCCAGCATCCCAGTTCATAGGGATCTCTCTCTCTCCTCTAAACTTCTCTAACATCTGTGTCATACTTATGACACCTGTCATACATTACGGTTGTTTGTGTTCATGTTTTACTTTTGCACTAGAATGTGTCCTTCTTACTGGAACTAGCCATGTCATATTTACTGTTATATCTCCTACAATGTGAAGAGTGATTGTTTAAGCAAAATAAATGTGTGGCAAATGTTTGCTGACATAATAGATTTATTATTTATAATGTTTGATAATTACTTATAAAATTAATTATTTTCATTCTTTTGTCTACTATCATATATATAATATTGTGATAATAAAAGGTGACAATATCCACCTATAAATAAGGTAGAAATGGTCATTACAGACCTTGCAGAGGGATCAGACACTAACAAACCAATAAATACATGATATAATTACAAATTTTAATCAATGTTATGAAGAAACAGGATTTCATGAGAGAAATTAACAATAAAGAACCTAATTTTATATAGGATAATTAGAGAAAGCCTCTTTAAGCAATAATATTCAAGTGGAAACTTGAAAGAAGGCCCTTAGCATATATATTCACTTACACATCATTGGCTGAAATCTGATAGCTAAATCTAACTACAAGGAAAACTGGGATAATTGCCAATCCTAACAAAATTTGGATTATTACAAGTAAGGAAGAAGTGGCGAATCGACATAAAGTAGGGAAATAGCAGTGCCTCTCCCACCTACCAGTACTATTCCAGGCCCTTTTCACAGATTAGGCTAGTTTCAGATATTAGTTTTCAAAGATTAGGGATATAAGTAGGGCCACTTCATAAAGGGTTTTGAAGATATTCTAATTTAATTTTATCTAACTTAGGAATCTACTGAGTGGATTTAAGTAGAGAAGAAACATAAACCTATTTGTACTTCTAAATGATCACAGTAGCCATGAAGTGCAATATAGTTTAAATGGGGATGGAAGAAAACAGAACAGATGATGGTGGGTGGACTGGTGTATTGGCAGTGGAATGGAGAAAAGGGGTTGGATTTAGATATACCTAGAAGGGAAAATCAAATGGACTTAGTGAACAATAGGATAAAGTAGCTGAAGTAAAGAGAAAGCATCAAGGATGACACTCAAAGAGCAAACAATAGCACATGCACACAAACAATACAAAATAACATGTATATAGATATGTATATATAAATATTTGCCCTTGGTGAAATTCAGCTCTTACAACAAAAGTACTGATACAGATTTTGAGTCACTTTGGTAGGTTTCTGTATTCGTATGACAATTAGAATCTACTTTTTCCACCTAACATGTTATAAATGATAATCACTATTTTTGTGAATTGACATAATTAAATGGCATTCCATCATTGTAGTCACCATAACCATCATCTTGACTATTATGTAAAAGTATGGTTTTCTTTCCTGCAGTGTATAGCTCTCTGACCTGGATCCTGTGGGATTTGCAGAATTAATATAGATATTACACTCTCCCTGAAATGACCCAAATTCTTCACAGCCTAGAGAGGGATTTTAGCACTAATTATTTTCAGTGTATTAGTAACTACACTTGTCTTTGTAAAATGAAGTAGTCGTTGGAAATAAAAACGTGTGATATGTACGTTCAGGGTAACCTATGAATTTCCCAGGTCTCAACTGTGTTTGCTTCTGCAATGATGATTTTGAACCACCTTGACTGTTAACATCTTTCTATGCAGCACAAAACCCAGATAGTTTTAGGTAACCACCCTCTTCTCTGGAACAAAACAAAGTACTAAATAATGTTAAAAGTCTTAAGTGAGCAAGTTTTGTAATTTGACCCTGGTTTTATATCTGCCAGATTGGCTACTCATTTACCCTTATAGATAGCAGTCTCTGAAATGGTTCATCATAATTACTGGTTGTGTGTGTATTATATTTATATGAACATTAGAATCAGAAATCATAGAAATGTTAACAGAATTCTGATCTCAGGGTCTATAATGGGGGCCATTTTATGGTTAAAATTACCTAAATGTTAAAATTATGCTATTTCTTTTAATATTTCTTTAAAGGCCCTCTTATATATGAAATTTAACTCAAAAACATATTGTAACATTCTAGTATAATTTTTAAAGCTTTGAAGTTCTTTCTACAATCAATATCATGTAATAATAGTTTTCAGAAGTTCCATTTTTTTAAATGGGCACAGAAAACAAACCTAGAGAAAATGGGATTAAAGTTCAGCATGATCGGATAAACTTTGACATGAAAAAGAATTTCCTGATTTCCTGCCCAAAAAGGTTATTTTAACTCTATAACAAGTTATTAAAGTAAGTATGGGATACCAAAAGCTAGACATCCTTGAAATAATTGAATCTGAATAGCATAAAGCATAAAGCTAGATACAGTCAATGTGTTATTATCTTCTCAACATTACTTATTGATAATTGTGGCAAAAAAGGAGAGGAAAGTACTTAATATATTTTAGAAAATATGTAGAATTTGTTATCTGATAAATAGTTAAGAATTTTGGCATTTTACTGCTTTGTTTTTCCTTTGTTACAATCAGTGAAAATAAAGGAATAGGAATTTGGGAGGGTAAAAATGGGACGAGGTTTAGATGATAAAAATGTAAGAATACTTGAACGAGGGAAGAACTGAGAAGTGTAAATTGGTAATAGTAATACTAATCATCTTTCTTAAACACTTAAATTCTAGGCATTTATAATTATTTAATCTTTGTGACAACAACATGAGGGTAGGTACTGTTATTATTGTGACTATTTTTACAAGAAGGAAACCTAGGCATGGTTAGATTAATTGCATTGCCCAAGATTGCAATTAGTTGTTTAGTGGAGCCTGGATTTTCCAAGGCCGTTTGGCTCCAGAGCCTGTTTTTTTTTTTTGTTTGTTTGTTTGTTTTTTGCCAGTGTTCTTTACAGTCTTTTAAAGAAAGGGAAGAAAGAATTCTGTGGCTAGACTCTCAAAGGTTATTTCCTGTCACAATGGACAATATGATATGTACCAGCAAACAGCTACTTTCTATACAGCTCCTCCACAGGCTGGGATCATTTCCTGATGATTTCTGAACTAATTTTTCCAATAGCAGCCAGACCCAGTATTGCAGTACCTAGGTCAGAATAGCCCTCTAAAACACGGAAAGTATCCGAAACAGCAAGATGACTTGCCACATTGATTGCTCCAACAAATAAGGACTTTCAAGTGGCTCTAAAGTAGCCCTCTCACCACTGCTCAGTTGAGACACAGCAATGTTGCATCTAGGCATATACCTGAGGCATTGTTAAGCATACAGCTTCCCAAGCCAGCTGCTGAAGGGTTTAAAGTGTGGGCATGTGCATTTGTAACAAGTATTCTAGGTGATTGTTATCGTGGGAGGAATTTGAGAGATACTGCTCGACATGGCTCTCAACCTTGGCTGCATGCTGGAATCACCTGGGAGTTTTTTTTTTTTTTTTTTTTTATAAATCACTGATGTCTTGATCCTACTGTCAGATATTCTAATTTAATCATTCCGGGGTATAGCCTAGGCGTAGCAGTTTTTTAAAAGCTCCTGGGAAGATTCTAATATGCAGCTAAATTTTATAATCTCTGTTCTAGAGTAGAGCTGTTCATCCAGTGTTCCTGGAACATTGCTATGTTAGAAATTAAGAAGTTTGCAATCTATTGAGATTTGAATCTTCTCAGCCCTTGGGGTGCTGGGTGTGCTTGCTGAGGCAGACATGGCTGGTCCTCTTTCACAGTCTATTAGTAAACTTTTCTCTTTACCCCAGTGCACCCTATAAATATTATTTTCTAGGTCTACCATGATGTAAAAACAAAATGGAATGCATACCTCTAGAATAAAGCCTATGTATTTTTAAAAAATTCCTCAGATAACTGTGATGTTTAGGCAGTATTGCCACCAGTCTCCCAGAATTTCCTTGCAATATTTTTTTCATATTAGTATAAAATTTCAAGAAAACTAAAGGTTCATTAAAATGTAATATGTAGATAAATTGTATGTTCACACTGTTAAAGCAGTTGATATGAACAAAATCTCTACATACATTGTAAGAAACATATCAAATATCCCTCTACCTACTATTAATTGTAACATTTTACCATATTCACATTAGTTTTACTTTTAAAGGAAGATGTAAAGAAACATATCAAGTCTTTTGTGTGTCCTTTCTTGATCCTATTTTTCTTACTTCAATTCAAAAAATATCAACTGTCCTCAATTTAATTTGCATTATTCTATGAATATTTTACATCTTTCACAAACATGTATATCCACAATAATGCAAATATGTTATTTTCTGTGGTTGTCTCTGTATTTGAAAATAATTACAACTAGTTAAGAGGTCAAGGATTTACTATAGACAAAATAATAAGATTTACTAGAGGCAAAAGCACAAAATCATAAAATGCTAATGCCAGAAAAGACTGTGAAAATCATCTATTTAATACCCATCTTATTCAGTACTCATGTTGATGAATATGAGGACTTTCCTAGATAAAGATGAGGCCTCTCCCCATAATCTATAGGTTTCACTATTTCTGAGGTTTGTCTGAGGAGAAAAGGGAGGTTTGAGTGTCTGCCCTCCAATTTATCCCTACGAAAGTGGTAGAATTGCCATGTAAATATATGGGAAAAAGGTATTTTTTGTCACCATATTCACACTCACACTCAACACTTCTGTGACCAGATGTGTGGGTTTTCCACATCAAACAATTCTCCCAATCCCTGTGGACATCAACTGTGTGTTCAGCAATTTAATTCTAAGACTAACCAGTGCCGTTAGCAAAGACCCCACAGGTTAAGGGCTCAGTACCACAAGACTGCCCCTCACTTCAGATGCTAATCACAAGTAGTGGGTCCCTAGATTATTCACAATTTCTGTCTGACTTGGCTACAAATCAGAGATTCCCGCCATCCCCTTCTAGTGTTGGATAATTTCCTAAAGTGGTTCACAGAGCTCAGAAAAGCAATTCTACTTACTATTGCTAATTTATCACAAAGGATATTTTAAAGGATACAGCTGAACAGCCCAGATGAAGAGGTAAATAGGGCAAGGTCTGGCAAGATCCTGTGTGCAAGAGCTTTTGTATGTGTAAAGTTGGGGTGTGCCCCCTCTTGGCACATAGTTGTATTCACCAGCCTGGAAGCACTCTGAACTCAGTAGTTTAGGGTTCTTTATTGAGGCTTCATCAAGTAGGCATAATCAATTTTTAACTCAATGTGTAATCCCTCACCCCTTCCTGCAGGATGAGGGCTGGGGCTAAAAGCTCCAAACTTGTAACCATGCCTTGGTCTTCCTGGTGACCAGCCGCCATCCAGCATCCCACCAAGAGTCACCTCATTAGAATAAAAGACCCTCTGATCACCCAAAAAGTTCCAAGGAATTAGAAGCTCTATGTCAGGAACTGAGGCCAAAGACCAAATAAAAGGACAAAAGATGCACCTAACACTTCTATCACTCAGGAAATTACAAAGGTTTTAGGGTTCTGTGCCAGGAACTAAGAGCAGAAACCAAATATGTTATTTGTACTACTTCACAACTGAAACCTTACTAACTCAAGAGCAACCTTTTATCCTCCCAGCTCCTCATCACTCCTGCAGGTCCTGGTCTTTGCTCTCCTGCTAACCAGGATCCCCAACCCTTGAGTTCTGGATGGAAAGCTATCCAAGCTTTCCTCACATTTCCTTCTCATATCATTTCAAACATTTATATAAGATTTAGATTTCTCCCTTACTTGACCCCTGTCTCTGAGAAAAGTAGGCCACACATCTCTGTACATTCTCATTCTTACACAGTTGAATTACCCTTTCTTATTTTCAAATCAACACTCACTGCTCTCCTCTCTCCCTTTTATCTAGAATGCCTTTCTCCCCTGGCAAAAGTTTTACCCCATCTTTAAAGGTATTCTGCCAATATCACCTCCTTTGTACATTTTCTAGATTAACTAATATAATCTTTCTCTTTTGAACTTGTATTGTAATTTGTACCTTCTGTCCAGCACTTTATCATTTTATACATTGTAAACCAATTGTGTCATCCTATTTTTTGCCCTTATCAATATGAAAGATTTGGGGAGGATAAAACTACATAGTTCTAATTTTTTGTAGCCCCAGTAGTATCTATTGGAGTATGTGGCATTTTAAAAATAGGTAATCTTATTGAATTCTGTTCATTTCTCTTGAGGTTAAGAAAAGACTCAGTAGTTGAAGAAGTGATCAAAGCTATCCTTATGTTAAAAAAAAAAAAGGCTTCTCTCCATGAAATATATTGGCCTATCTGAGGATCAAAGCTTTGACTTCGTTCATCTCATGCTCTGATAAGCTGAATTGCTTCACAAAGTTTGCATGATTAACACTGCCTGCCTTAAGTGCTTTAGTCTTGCCAGAAACTGGTAAATTTTGAATATCCTTTGTGTTGTTATATAAAGATTCTCTGTGCAAAAGTAATTGCTTTCCTCAGCTAAGAAGGTCATGACTTTTCATAGTAGATAAGAATATGTGCTTAATAAATAAGCTGACCAAGTCTATTTTAGTTTCTATGAAACATGCCTGTGCCTACTTTTTTCTTCATTGTTGATTGTGGGTTTAGTGAGTGCCAGTTATGATGTAGAAATTGTATAAAAGCATAGCATTGGCATGGGTTTGATTTGTCAGAAGTCAAAATACTGAAATATCTGAATAAATAAATTAATGACCTGTAACATCACTTCTATCCTTAAATACATATTCTGGTGGGGGGAAAAAAAAGAGCAAATCTGCATCTCATTCAACTTCCTGATTTCTCTCTGTTGTCCGGATGTGTTAGATTAAATACGACCACAGATTCTTTGCAGCTCCTCCTATAAAGAGGTGGAGTCTATTTTCCCACTCTTTGAAACTGATCTGTCCTTGTGACTTGCTTTGATAGAATGCAACAGAAGTGATATAATGTGGCTTCTGAACTTCTATTTTAAGACGCTTTGCAGTTTTTACTTTTGCCTTCTTGGAATACTTCCAGAATCATATAAAAAGTCCAGGTGAAAGTTTGCACAGAGAGAGAGCTTCGCAGTTTTCAGGGCCATGCCAGTCATCCTACTGAGGCCCTAGGCATGTGAATGAAGCCATCTTAGAGTCCCAAGCCCCACTCGAGCCACGAGCCACAAGCTATCTGAACCCCATGAGTGAGCCCAGATGAGACAAACATAATTGCCTAGTCAACTCACAGAACTGTGAGAAGTGATAAATCACCATCAAGCCATTAAGTCCTCGCTTTGTTATACAGAAATAGATAACTAGCCGTATGTTAGTTAGGTATATTTAGCTTGTCTCCCTAATCTCTGGAATATGCGAAGGCAGAATTTTCCATTCACCTTTCCCCATTATGGCAAAGCACATAATAACATCTAAAATAAGCTCAAAATAAAGGTCATTCCAATGAAAGATTGGACCTTGCTAAGTTTCAGTTTTCTAACTAGTGAAGTAAAGCTATTGGATTAAATACAATTTAGGATTCTCTTTGTTCTACCTCCCATAACACCAGCTCATTTTGTTAGATGAATTCTCTGGAAGAATTGGAACTAATGATTCTATTTTATTTTTTGTCTTCCATCTGAATTGTTCTGGCCGGTTTATTCCTTAAATGCCCAAGATAGATAAAAGGTACCGAATGGAAATAGACAAGAACTCCAGGTCTGTGGGGGACACAAGAATCTTCCACTCTGCTTTTCCTGTGAAAATTCTGTTCTTCCTACATATAAATGAGCCGTACTCATCCAAACCTGTGTTTGAATTGCACATAGTTATGGGATAAAGATCTGCTGGCACATTCAGGAAGATGATCTGTGCTTCTACTGAATTTTTAGGTGTAAGAGTCAGCATACACATTTGCTGAGCCCATGTCCCAAGGCTCTGAGAAGGTTCGTGGCACAAGATACCCAATATGCTAGATAAAAGGCAGATTGTGACTTTGCTATTTAGATTTGTCTGCTTAGGTGGTTTCGGCTATTGCATTTGAGATCTTTGCAGCTGACTGGTTGTATGCATTTGACTTGAATTTTTATGTGCTTGCTAGATGTTTTAGGTTTTGCTCTGTGACCTTGAACGGCATTATGTCAATTAAATCACACAGTGGGGAAATGACTTAGACCACCAAGAGTTATTGAACAAAATTTCATTTAGCATTGGGAAAAAATTGTTGAAGATAAAAACTCATAGAATTTTGGAATCAAAAACATTTTAGAAACCATTTAGTGAGGAGAGTGGGACTCACAGAACAGGGTGATCTGCCCAAAGTCACTAAGCTAGGTAATGGCATTCTGTGCAACTTTAAAATAAACAAACTCTATACTATTTGCAAATGCTATTAGAAATTAGAGAAAGATCTTGGGTGCTGTGATATTATGGGCAGTGCACCAAAAAGCCAAATATTCCTTTGTACAATATTTATCTTCAAGGACATGGACATAAGTGGCTAAGCAAAGGCAGCAATCAGATAATCCTAGATGCAGTTGTATATGCATCTGTATGTATATATGTATATGCACGTATATATACAGAGAGAGAAAGAAAAAGTAGTTTGCCAGGGCAGAGATTTAGTCTGATTGCCACCTATGGAAGGCATGGAGAGTCTGAGAAGAGAAGTTATTGCTTATGCTGACCTTTTAAAAACTTCTGAAAGCTTCAGTCCCACAAAACATGGTCCAATCAATGTCCTGGAATCTGACCAGTTGGATCATTCTCTCTTAGGGGAATGGAATTTTTTCCTCTTTTCTTGACTTAGCATTTAGAAAATCTAAGGGGAAGAGCCTAGCGCTCCCCCTAGAGGCTAATATTTATGCTTGCAACTTAGAAAGCATTGCAATATAAGGTTCTGTTTTCAAAGTCTTGAAACTTTCCTGAGGAATATATTATCACGCTCTCTATTCATTACCTGTAGACGTTTTAATAAGATGAAAGTAGACTATTCACAGCTGCGCCTCATTAATAAAAGGTTGAAGACATCGTTTTTTATAATGGACTTTTAAAAAGTACGCATTTAGTGGCTTTTTACCTTTTAATGCTTTTTACCTTTTACCTTTTATCCTCGGTGGTAGCACATTGGGCTTCTATGTTCCAAAATACAGATAATCTCTAAAGTCAAGTGACAGGAGTTTAGTTATATGGGTAGTGAGCTGAAAAAACACCACCCTATATTTCTAAGTGACTATATTTGTAACTGAATAGGCCACTTGTCATCAGCTAAAGTTTCCATGGATAACGTAGCATGTGACTTTTATAGGATATTGCCTCCTACACAACAGGCTGTATTCAGTAATAAGTACAGGCAATTCGGATGCTGTTATAATATTTACCATGAATTTCTCAAGGCAAATCCTGATAATATTCAGTTTATAAGAATGAGTGTTTACACTTTCATAGGTGTTTAATTAACAAAATGTAATTAGAGAGGTGGAAGGGTTTCTGTTTTTCTCATTTCTTACTTTGTTCTCTGTTAGTGGTGTGCCATAAACCCCCAAAAGGGAGCTGAAGTATGATCCTATTATATTAAAGTAGCAAGTGAATTTGTTAAACTCCTGGTAAGACATGTACACATATGGGTTGGGAATATTTTTGGTGTAGAAAAGTAATATATATATATGATATATATTAATTTATAATTACAAATATCATTTTCACATCATACAGAATATGATAGGTACTACAGATATAATTGTACTTTTAATCTATGTGTGTGTGTTTCAGTCTTGAGGACCTGGAAGCAAATGAGGAGAGAAGAAGGAAAGTTGATGTATTATTTTTGTAGCCTTTGTTTTCACTTTCTTTTGTTGTCTTAATACTGCCAATTGTGGAAGAAAGCCATTTGGGAAGTATTTGTGGTGCTTTCTTCAACTTGATTAGGCTTTGCTGCCAGGGCCTTCGTTGTACTATACAGGAATTCCTGTGATTTTCAGGAACACAAAGCGGTCTTTAGAAACACATTCGCTGGGCAGACAGGAGGGAAAAACACACTATTTGGCCAACCAGAGGAAGAAAGCTCATGTCTGGAAAATTTTACTGAACACCCCATCAGGAAATTCATTACTTATATTCTAAACAGCAGCTTCCGAGATCTGTTTTTATATTTATAGAATATCTGGCAGCAAGCAAATGTAAAAGAGAGCTATATTACATTTAGTATTTTGCTTTTGCTTTTTCAGTTCCACTTTTAAAACTATATAGGAAATAATGAGCTCACAAGTATTGTTTTGGCATTCTTCAATGTGCTCACATTTAACAGATCATGACCATTTATTATACTACAAGAATAACAATACATTTTAACCCCAACTCTTAATACTATTAGAAATTATTGAAATTGAAGAGCCTTGATGTGAAAATTAAGCTGGGGCTTTGTACAAAAGATCTGACTTTAATAGCCATGTTCATCTTGGCCAACTTATTTATTTTCTACGTTTCTTGACTGGATATGTAGAGCATTTAGGAGAAGAATTTTATTCAGTGTCCAAAAGGAAGTAGTTTCTATGGAAAAGGTGCTATAAATGGATTTGATAACTGAGTCCAAGTCCCAGGTTTTTCTCTTATCAAGTGATTAACAAAATGTTACCCTTTCTGAAATGGGGACAAAAATGCTTTCTCTAACAGCCCCTATAGGGTGATTGAATCAATCAGGGTCCATCAGGGAACAGAAACCACGCCAGTTATTTGAACATAGATATTAAATGTAAGTAACTGTTAACTAGATATAAGATTGTTGTTAATAAAATCAATGAAAGGGTAAAAGAGAACTACAAATAATCACAGAAGTGGCAACTGTAGGATGCAGCTTCCAGCTCTAGAGGTAGGGAATAGAGAGAAGACTTTGGAGTTATTAAAACTTAGATCTTGGAGGAAAGGACTAGTAGAGCTGAAATTTATCCCACTAATGGTGAACTTGGACAAGACCCATAGACCTGAAATTCATTCTGCAGAGGGAACATGGGTCAGGCTAGCTCTAGTATCTCTGAAAGCCATGCAATAGTACTGCAAATGTTGGAAGTATTGCAAACTGGTTTCAGCTGCTATTACAGGAAGGAGCAGCTGCTCCTTGGGCAAACAAAACAGCTAGGGTGATGCTGTTAGGAATAGCAGGCAGTCAGCTAGCCCATAGGAAAACAATATTTCTTCTTTCTTCACCAGGCTTTTCAGTTTCCATCTGGGCTCCCTGTTAGAAGAGCCTAACATAGAGCCATCAGAGTCAGGATAAACATGGTTTTGAGAGTCTCAGCCATAGCATCACAATGAAGTTTACAGAATGGACAAATAGATTTGGAGCTGAGAGATAATTTCTTGCACAGCTTTATGTAAAATGCTTTCCAATGTAGACAAAAGTAAAGTATAATTTTGCAGTGTAAAGGTAGAATTTTATTTTCATTAACATTTTTGCTCTTTTAAATCTTGGAAAATAACAGTGGCTTAGACATTCTTAAATGACTTCTGTGTTGTAAAATATCTTACCAATAGCAGGGTACTTGAAATTTACACCACACGAGGCCTTTTGGTTGAGGCTCAATGGTTTATGAATAATATACTTATTCTGCTATAGTAAAGTAAGGATTAGAACATTAATGCAGAATGAGGTAAACCTAGGGGAAGGGGAAATGTGGTGAGAATTTGAATTACATTAGTATTGGTGGTGTGTAAGGAAAACTGATGTAGGTCTTAGTTTTTTGTTTTACCAAAGAAAATAATTGGAAGAATGATCACCAAGAAGAGAGAGGTTGAATATTATGCATTATACACTCTGACTTATCTTTAAATTATCATATAGAAGTGACAACTGCAACATGGACAGCAATTATTGAAGAGAAAATGGTACAACAATGATTCGATTTCTATTTTTTTGCTCAAATAAAGCAAGGACATACAATATGTTCTTGAAGTACCATTACAAATTACATCTCTGAACACTCAGAGAAAGGCTAATAGTGCAGACTGTTCTTAATAGTGGAAAGCAACATACAATTCAAGTTCTTCAGCCTCATATCTCATGGTAATTTTCTTTCTTATGTCTTATTGCATTCTAAGCGCCGAAGAGGTAGCTTTGATTGTGGTGATAATAGTCTGTGTCCTAAAGCAAGACTATTTTTAAGGCAATAGAGTACCTTTTTAGAAAACTCTTTATCTCTGTCATACATTAAAGAGAATAAACAGATATTCAGTGGTTTGATAGTGGCAGTAATGATGGATTTTTTTTTTTTTACAACTTATCTGACAGTATTGGTTTCAGAAAGATCTGGAATTACTTGAGCATAAAATTCTTGCTTTGTCTATTTTAAAAACTATAGCTGACAAATAAGCTCATGTGTGATTCTTTGATTCTTGGGGAGGGAAAGAATCTAAAGATGTGCCTTTTATGAGAACAGCTCTTGATATTACATTCAGATAGTGATTAACATTCTTCCTTTTCACAAAATTTCTGTTTCAAAGAGAAGAGTATTTTGTGGATATATAGGAAATCTTCATAAAATATTTTATTTTCATAAATTATTGATGTCAAAAAAGGCCTGTATTTTATATTAAACTGAAACATTCTTCACCTTTGCAAGAAAATGGAAAAGCTGATCAATGAGATTCTACTTACATCTAAATCATTCTCCAGTTTCAAACTATTTGCTAAGAGAGTGGTTGGACTTTGATTCTCTTAGAGGACCACTTAGTGCTAAGCTACTATAATAAAGTAGATCTTTCTTCCTAAGCATCTAACTTACAAAGAGAGAGTACTACATGCAATACAGACAAAAATGAAGCATCCCTTTTACATTATCTTTCTTTCCACTCATTTGGAAAGTAATTCATAATATTTCTTTTATCTCTCGTATATCAGTTGTCCTTATTCTCTGGGGGGAAATAAAAAGAAGTATGCTGACAATGACCTATCTTCTGTGGTGTTAAAGTTTATACAGTATCTAAGTTAAGACAGATTGCTGATAATTGACTCAAGTTAATTTATTTTAGCTTAGATTGTAAATAAATGACCATTGCCATGATGATCTTGGCTACTAAACAGACTATGTAGCAGTATCTAATAAACAGGCAAATGTGATAGAAATTTGGAAGAGAAATAAGAAATCTCTCTTTCCAAAGGAGTGTAAAAATACTGGAAAACTAACATCTGCTCCAACACTCTTCCTCATTGGTGCTGGCAAGGCTGAGCTGTAAATACCAGCTTCCCATAACATCATCCTCCAGCCCCCTGCACTGAGCTGGCTGCGAAGTGCCTGAAATCACTTTTCCCTCCAGCAGAACAGCTCCTGGGATTAGGCACTCACTGAACTTGATATCTGGGGAGTCTTATGACAGATAAGGTTTTGCTCTGATAACCTTCTGTGGCTATAGAGGGAAGGACTCTTCCTTCAAATTGTTCACTAGGGACATTTTAGACAATCATTGCTCTGAGTTGAGCCTGTTCTAGTTTGCAGCCTTGGAGCAATGTTGCTTTAGATTAATGTGTCACCAAGCTCTTATTGAGAAAGAAGTTCTTTTATTTCCTTATAGGCTGGATTTGCACTTGTCAATTGTGTGGATGAAGAAAAGAGGTTAGAGAAGGGGCCTCCCACATACTGATGATTTTTAGTGTCTCTTCACCATCTATATCTGGGGAGAATTGGAGGGGCAGGAGGGAGAAGCTGGTGCTGGAACTCAGTAATTAACCTGATTTGAGTCAGGTTTAATGACTTCTCTGTTTAAGGTAAAATATTCTGGAAAAAAATATTTTCCTTAAACAAGACCAAATAGTAAAGTGACTGAATGGTGGATGCCTTACTCCCTCAAAATGGCAAAGGTCACTGCATTTTTATCTCCTGCCAAGCCAATCAATAATGAAAGGATTGATTTAGAGGCTTGTGGAGACAGGCTCTTCAATGACCTTGTTGTAGTAGCAGGGTTAGGGTAGGGATCTACCATGCGCCCTCTTCAGCTCTAATGCCGTTGTCCACTTCACCCCTGTATCATAAGCAAAAGCTACAAGAAGCATATTATTTGCAAGATGGAGCTTATAGTTTATTTTTGTTGATGGTGGTGATTTTGTCAAAATGTGGTGATGTTTATGCAGTCACATAATGGCACTATGAATTTTGTTTTATAATTACATAGCAAAATTTATGGATGATCACATTTACATGTTCTATCACGTTTCTGACAATTATAGTTCATTGCTTCCTCATCTCTTTCCTTCAGGGTATCAGGAAATTATTGTGACTTAAAATGGGAATCTTTAGCTTTGAGGTGGGAGCAGTTTGACCCATTTCAACATTTTTATGAGAATTTGTCTCCCTTCTCTGAACCACCTCTGCTGCTATAGATGCACCTAAATTCAGAAAAAAATATTTACCTAGTGCAATCTCTATCTCATGAATGCTTTTCTTTTCAGTCTTTTATGTTATCAGAGAGATGTCTATAGAAAAGTTTACATAGAAATTATTTACTCAAATATTTTAATTAATGAATTTTTAAACTATTTTTATTGAAATTTAATTTTTATTTTGATATTTCCAAGTTGGAAATTAAATGAAAATAATAGCATCTTTTCTAATTCAGTTCAGGATCAACAGATTAACTTCACTGTGAATTTTTTGACCCCTGAGGCAAGTGTTCAAACCAGTATTGACTTGGCTTCTTCCAACCTTCATTTTATGTGTCAGCTGTGATGCAATACTTCAAGTGCTTCATAAAGATAAGGGCTGCACTTTTCCCTCAGAGCACTGGCCAAATAATAATCAGGTAATTGGAATGTATGTAGCACTTTCATCTGAAAAACTCACTCCTCAGACTTTTTTTATGTTATCCCTATTAAGAGGTTGGTTGAAGAATTTTGGGTCTGGGTGGAGGGAACATAGTAAATATTCAATAGATGTTTAATAGGTTGACATCATCTTTTATTTAAGTCTTGCTAGGTTAACTTGAAAAAAATTACTATATGAACTTACAGTTGAATGACATTAAATGTGATGAAATAAAATGAAACCAAAACTACATCTTTTTCTTATCATTTTAAAGATACGGTTGGTTATCTAGGCATCCCAACACAACACATTAGTTAACAGAGAGGTTGTTTCAACATTCTTATAAGGAAGGACTGGGCTATATCTACTCAAAGCAAAATGGAAAATTAAAGCAAATAGAGAATATCAGTATGCCTGGCATCTTCACCTATTAAATCTGGATCAGTCATGAAATTGAACTGGGTCAATAATAGGATGGCTGGTGCCACTAACCCCTAACTCCTGTGTCATCACGGAACTGGCTCTACCTCTTAGAATGTCATTATTCAACACTTTTATTCTACTCAATATTGTATCTTTATATAAAATGTTGAAAGATTCTGATTTATACCAAACATTTCAGTTATCTAGATAGTGTAGGCTTTAATTACTTAATATTTACCTAATTTGATCTATTTTACTGAGTTGTTAGAGCCATAATTGCATTTAGGAAAATTTATCTTTTTAAGTAGCTCTCAAGCCCTCTGTTTCAATTTTTTTGTAGTATTCTTTCTCTTTATTCTTGGGCATAATTTACACTTTTTGATTATCATTGTTCACCTAGATAGTACCTCTTATCTCTTATTTATTCAGATGCTATTTTGTTTTATGAAAGAGACTTTTATCTTTTTCCACATTATCAATATGTCACTTTTTCTAGTCTAATTTCATTTCTCTTATTTCTTGTTATTTCATATTTGAAAATATTTTGCCTCTTTGATTTCCTTTCTAAGCCTTCTTGTTCCCAAAGTCTCCTTAAACTATGCAGTGATAGACAGCAAGAGTCAAAAAGAAGAAAAGTGAAATGGAATAAAGCTAATGACCAGTTTATCTTAAGTTTTGATGCTTGGATTTAATTACAAGCCCACAGGGAAGATCCTCTTGGAAACGAATGAGAATGTGTTGTTAATGTTTTAGTTCATAAATCCCTAGGCTGCAGAGACCATGTCTACTTAAATTAAGTGCCCAGCTCAGCACCACGTAAGAGGATGATAATGATGTACAATAAATTACAGCTACTTCTACCACTGTGTGTTCCTTTCTACAATGCCACTTCCTTGTTGTTGTGACTATATATGCATGTCTTAATGAGAAAGATTTGCAACTGCCTGTTTATATCAGCAAACTGAGGTGGACAGCTGGGACAAAAAAACAGTTTATCCAAAAACTGCCACAATTAATGAAAAAGAGAAGATCTAGAAGCCATTTTTTCAAAAGTTCATTTACTGGGGTAAGAGTACACTGATGAAGGTGAAATACTAGCAATTATAGGGAAATGGACAATTATCAGCCCTACATGCATGTAAGCATAAACCCTCTATTTTCTTTTATTATTCTGGTCCTTTTGATCATTGTTAAATTAAGTCAAATGTTAATTACTATAACTCTATTTTTTTGTTTTTACTCTGAAGACTGTTGGAAAATATGGGAATTAAACCACTTAACTTGAATGAAATGAATTGATGATCTAGCTCTGCTCGGATACTACGCTCTCTAATTAATGTGCTATAATCCATGTTTTGGTTTCCCACCAAGTATGTGCTTGTGTCCATGTGTACTATTCCCACTTCAAAAAACCATGCACATTGAGTGATATAACTACACCCATTTAACCACACACATGGAATTTGAGAGCTGCCTTTCATACCTCTCTGAATGCATGGTATACACATTTCTTTAATTTTGTTGTCACTGTCTTTCAAATGCTTTATTTTTCGACAGTATTTTCCCCGTGGTCTTAATTTTAAATTAGGGAACAATTATCTGATGGTGAATATAGATCCTTTTCATAAAAAAAAGCCTTCTCTTTCTAGAAATCTGTCACCTTTTATGTGTCTCATCATAGAATTTGATTAGTTATAAATGTATCTGCTGCTATATAATGTCTTTTATTTACTAAAGAATAATATCATGCCCTGTAATGCATAGATTCTTCCATAAAGATATTTTTATTGTGTATATTTCCCCAAATAAGAATGAGTTAGGTGCACTTTAAGGTTATGAAGTTGTGAATTTAAGACTGCACAGAAATAAGCAGAACCCAGCAAAGGTAGCTTAGAATAATTTGAGAAGTGCTTATGGTGCACTTCTACCCAAATCAAATGAGATGGTAGAAAACCAAGAGAACAATGTATTATTTTAAGGTATTCATTTAGAGAAAATACTGTTGTGTACTAACTACATGACACAAAATGTTTTAAAAAGTGGAAATTCAGGATCATTTTATACCTGATATATATTAATTCTTATTTTAAGTTCAGAGGTACAAGTGCAGGCTTGTTACATAGGTAAACTTGTGTCATGAGGGCTTGCTTACAGATTATTTCATCCCCCAGGTACTAAACCTATGTCCATGCATTATTTTTCCTGATCCTCTTCCTCCTCCCACTCTCCACCCTCTGATAGGCCCCTGTGTGTGTTCTCCTCTATTTGCCCATGTGTTCTTCCATATACCTTTACATTTTAAAGAAAAACGATTAGCATTTTGAGTGATGGGCCCTTATCATATTGTCAAGTAATATCTTTAAGTTCACTGAAAAGTGTACAGCTGGAAAAAGGTTGATTTTTCTTGTTGCATCTGATAACTTTTCCCATTCATGTAAATTTACACCTTATAGGAGTATATCACTGTCAACTCGGACTTTGCTGAAATACTTGAAAACAGGCATGGTGGAAAAAGGAAAACTCACCACACATACATTTTCCATTATAATGCTGATCTCTGAGGTACTAACCCTTGTAGTTTGGCTAAAGGGCCTTTAAAAACACTTTACATTAAAATATACACATAGCATAAAATTTTATTTTAAAAATATACATATGTCCACAGCTTCCCTTGTTTAACAGCCTGCATCTGGCTACGGCACCCTGCTTCTAAGGAGACTAATGCTCTCTTCCATGTGCAAAGATATCTCTTATTTCTGTGGTTATTTCTCTTTAAATCCGTGCTCTTCTTCACAAAAGAGCAGGACTATTTTAGATGGTATGAATGGATTCAAACTAATTTATAGCTATTATTAGAAAGATAACCAAAACACATTCAATATTAAAAGTGGCTGAATGGTGACATCTTGAATGCACAGGAAATCTCAATGATAATAACTGTTATTATAGTTTAGCTTATTACTTAGCAAAAGTGATACTTAGTGAGCTATTTATGGTCCAGAAATGATAATATTAATATTTGTGCTAATTTTGTGTTGAATTTATATAGTGGCTTACTGGTTTCAATGTGCTTTCACATATATTATCACTTCTGATCCCCTAAACAAAGGAGTGGTGTAAAAAATGGTTTTTCTATTTTACTAGAAACTAAAAAGGGTCAAAGAGATTTAGTGGTTTGACTAAAGTTACGATTAGTTAGTGGCTGAGTTATCACTAATAGCTAACTATTAAACTTCATTAGCATTCCAGTTGATGAGGAGGAAAATAAATCAGAAGGTAAATAAAAGTAATCATAAAAGGGATGATTTTGAGCTATTGGTCATTAGTCTGTTAGATCAGCTAGGATTTCTGATTATGGAATTCATGTAAAAAGAAAAAACAGGCAAAATTGCAATTCTCCATTTTGGTAAAAGACCAATTTAAATTAGTTTGATTTATTAGAAACTCTCGGGGTTTTTTTTTTTAAGCCTTAACAGGTATAGAAATTTATGTGAATTCAGAGGCAAAGAATATTCTTATGATCCATTAGATAAATGCCCTATATCTATCTACTCCTTCATCTCTAGAGAATCAATATCTTTGTCACTACAGTATACAAAATCCACCCCTTAGAATGCTTTGTGTAGTCTACTCAGTCCTTGAGACCCCTGGTAATTTACCAGTCAGAATATCAATTTCAGTGGGACCTCTTTGCTCCACAGGAATGAACTGAGACCATAAAATTGTTTTACATCAGCTCCTATGCTGGTAATATTCAAATGTCTTCTAATTAGCATGTTTGAGTTGACAGCACATAAATGAAATCCTTTATCTTCTTTTTGATGATGATTCTTATACTGAAATTGGAGGATGGATGAAATTTTAGTTTTCTCTTAATGATGTTGATTTGTACTTGATTCACTTGAAGTACTAGTCATTCTTTGCTTTGCATTTCTCCACTAATAACAGGGTTTCTATCCAAATTTCTTTATGATAGCATTCACTTACAAAAATGGTTTATAGAACCTTTGGAATGAGGCCACTAACTATTCCAGTTTTAAACGCATCCACATAAGTAATAATTTATTCAGTATTGGTACTTGCTTTTTATTGGTAATTAAAATGATCTGAAATCAAAATGAGAGTAATAAATAAAGCTCCGTTTCAGAGATTAAGGCAGTAAACAAGATAGTTCAGACTGCTATTAAGGAACATGAATGCTTTTTTGGGAAAATTTCTTTATACAAAATTTATGAAGTCTATTTTGAAATTGTTACATATTATGAAAATGCTTGCATTCTGATAGTTCTCTGTTATTTTAATTTAACTCCTTGTGAAAATATGCAACAATTCTTGTATTCTGGAACAAGAGGCAATCTTGTTTCTGGTGTGGCTGAAGCTAAGATTCTTTACCTGAAAATATATTTCTCCATCCTCAACATAAAGTGCTGCTAAGAGAAACTGAATACCTAAGAGTTGAGAGATTGGGGAAAGTAGGTGGAGAGGGCTTGCAAAGGTAAGGGGAGGGTACTCAATATTAATTTCTTTTATTTCTCAATTTTGTTTAGGACTGGGCCAAAAATTAGATGTAGTAAAATTAAATTGTGTCAAGTTTGTGGTTAACCAGTACTCTATTTGATTGTATATTAATGATTAACACTAATAAAACTCACTTTTTTCTGAGGCAATTATTTGTATTTACTCTTCCAAGATTTAACTGTTTAATATGGTAGTGTACTGTAATACAATTACTACCAATTTCCTAGTGCTTTCCATGAACCAGGTCCTGGGCTGTATGTATGTAGTGCATTTAAATGCTCGCAACTACTCTGGGAGGCTCTATTATTTTTATTTTACCCAAAAGGAATCTGAGGATTAGAGAAATTATAACAAATTACCACAAATTTAGTAGCTTAACACAACATATATGTATTACCTCACAGCTTCTCTGGGCCAGGACTTAGTCTTAGCACAGTCCTCTGCCCAGAGTCTCACAAGGCTATAGTCAAGGTGTTGAACGGGCTATGTTCTCATCTGGAGGCTTAACTGGGGAAGAATCTGTTTCATTGATCACTCCCCTTATTGGCAAGATTCAGCTCTTTTTGGCTGTATGACTGAAGACTCCAGATTTCTGCTAGCTTTTGACTCGTCTCAGATCCTGGAGGCCACCTGCAATTTCTTGCCATATGACCCACTCCAGAATGGCTACTTACTATATCAAGTCCATAAGTACCAGTTTGCTGGCACTAGTCTGCTAAAACAGAATCTTATGTAATGGAATATAATCGCAAGGTGACATCCTATCACCTTTGCCATTTAATATAAACATCATGAGAGTAACATCCTATGACCTTCGCCATAGTCTAGGTTAGAAGTAAATCACAGGTCTTGCCTACCCTCAAGGCCAGGAAATTATACAAAACGGGAACACTGGGTATGGGGTTGCCGGGGGAGTCATGAGAGCCACCCTAAGATCTCTCTGCTGTATTAAGTAAATTAACCAAAGTCACACAGCTGCTATGATTCACAGCTAAATGTTACTCAAATGCCTATGTATTAACCACTGTATTTTTTCATCTCAACAGAATGCAAATATAACTTTATGTCTGTGCATACGTTGCTAGGTTTTTTTAAGTATAACTTAAGTGATATAATTTTTATATATAGAAACTTTGTTTATTCTAATTTACCCCTTAAAATATGTGCATGTTGCATCATGTCTGTTTAGAAACATAATAACCATAATGTCAAATTAGACATCAAATGGCATTTACATAAAGAGGTTCACTTTTGCTTTATATAAAATGTTCAGTGAAGTCAAAGGAGAGATGAAAGTGTCAATTCCAATCCAATAAGCATATTTTTATATTCACTATAAGTGCATTGGAAACTGTGTTGTGTTCTTCTGTTAAAAAGTTTAACTTAATTGTTATCATCATAGTGTCCAGTAGAATAATGGCAAATGCATTATGAGATGCCCTTTAAGTTCCTGGAGAATGATGTGGCTATGAAGTTTAAGCTCTCTAGGTCCTTTCTCAGAACCAGATATGATAAAACAACAGATCTACAGTTTTTTTTCTCCAGATGGTACTTAAAGACCTGTTAGAAAAAGCTCCTCTATGATTTTTTTTGCCTACTCTAGAGGCCTGCTCTAGGGGCTTTAATTTCTTCCTCTTTAGTCATGTCACTGATTACCCATAGAGGGGAAGAATAAAGCCGAGGTTCCTCCCCACTGGCAGGCTAACGAGAAGGACCCTGGCTGGTTATGGTGGCTCATGCCTGTAATCCCAGTACTTTGGGAAGCTGAGGCAGGAGGATTGATTGAGCCCAGGAGTTCAAGACCAGCCTGGGCGACATAGTGAGAATCTGCCTCTACAAAACAATTTTTTAAAAAATTAGCTGGGCATGGTGGCACACATCTATAGTCCTGGCTTCTAGGGAGGCTGAGGTGGGAGGATCCCTTGAGCCCCGGAGTTGGAGGCAAAAATGAGCCATGATTGTGCCACTATACTCCAGCCTGGGTGACAGAAAGAGACCCTGTCTCTAAAAATTTTAAAGAGAAAAAAAAGAAAGAAGTACGTTATATGGCATCATGTTTTTTAAAAGGGGAACGTTGTTACACAGTGAAGAAAAATGGCTGGCTCTCATCTCCACAATTGCCTCTGCTACCTGCTACAGCATCTAGTAAGATGGGGAGCAAGAGATCCTAAAACTAAGCATTTCTGACTTTTTCATGTGGAAATTAGGCCACCTTTTCTATCAATGAACAGATGGAGAGGCCTCCATGGTTATTTCCCTCCCAAGAGACACCTTATGTATTTCTAGTGAATAATTTCAGTTAGTAATTGCTCTCCATGCGATGTGCTTTTAGTGGTATTAAATATACCCCAGTTTGGAGAGACTTTCATTTCTGTAATATGAAAACAACACAGCTTTTCCTTTAGAAGACAGTCTTGTAGCTTAGAAATAAAAAAAAATCTTTCTTTGTAGCCCCCTGAGGTATATCTATTCATGTTGCTAACTATAATTTGTTCCTTTTTTCAGTTTAATAATTGCTTTTTAGTTTTGTGTGAGCTACAAATAAGAGGAGATACTTATTATTTTTAATACTACATCAAAGCATGAGAAAATAAGAGATCTATACAATGAGGAATAGATGAATAAGCATCAAAACTGCCTTTTTTTCTTAGGGAGAGAGAAAAAAATGGTAAGGGAGAAAAATTCTGAATGAAGTTCAGAGTCAAGCATTCATTGGGTCACTTGAGACATAATTCACTTTTCTGTACAAAATAATGTCTCCTTTCAGATTTAAAATGTGGTAGTGAAAATGAATGAACAAGAGGGTGCTAAACATTATTGTGTGAGGGACGTGCTTTCCACCAGACCCCTGAATGCTATTCAGCTGGCAGACAATGATTGGGGTCTACAACCTAATCCTGGTAAAAAGAACCTATCCTTTTAAAGGGAAGAATAATTGTGTTCTTTATTACTTTTCATATTTCCAGGGCCCAACATAATTTTTATACTTCCTGATTATATTCTCTGAGCTCTATAGAAAAAGAGTACTTGTGCTTCTATGTGCTTTGTATATGAGCCTAGGAAAGCAGCACTTACAATAATCTACCTTAATGCTTTGTTTTGCTTCTCCTTTTGCACACAAGCATGGCTATTAAGTCTGTATCAGTCAGAGTCCCAGTAGCAAACAGACGGCACTTGCAAATTAGGATAATTCCAGGAGGGTTTATTTACAAAGGGACTGTTTGCAAAGTAGAACCACAAAGAATAGTGCAGTAACCTGGTTTAATATTGGTAGAGGTATTATCACTCCTAGGTCTAAAAGGAAAGGGAGGGAAGAGTTTCCAGAAAACTGAGAGAACTGAGTAGAGAAGGCCAGCTTGGTCAAGAGACACAGGTTCTTGACACAACTAGTCAGAAGCTACCCAGCAGGAAGACAGCAAAGGGCAGGTATGTTCCGACCTCCTTCTCCCCTCCTGGACCCTCCGTTCTCCCCTCCTGGACCCTCTGTTCTCCTGCTGGGACCTACACTGTGGAAACTCAACTGAAAGTCAGAGGACAAGGAAGCCTGTTGAGGTAGTTCACAGAGCCCGTGCTCCAGTGGCAGAAGGCAAGATGGAAAAGGGTGGAGTGTGGGATCTGAAGGAACAAGTAGAAGAGCGCTTGGCTCATTTGGCACCAATTCCAATATGTGAAAATTAGAACCAGGAAATGAAAGTCTTTAATGGCTTGTGATAATCATAAGAGATAAAAATATATAGATAGCATATTTAGTACACATGAGGAGTTTAGGCTTTGAGAACCTTGCTTTATTGAATCTGAAAGGCAGGAAAAACAAAAGCCAACTCACCCATTAGTTGGGCTTATGTCAAGGTAGATGAGCAGATTTCCATATAGCAGCAATATTATTGTTTTTAAAAGTTGCCTGGTGGCTCACGCCTGTAATCCCAGCACTTTGGGAGGCCGAGGCGGGCAGATCACGAGGTCAGGAGATCGAGACCATCCTAGCTAAAAAGGTGAAACCCCATCTCTACTAAAAATACAAAAAAAAATTAGCTAAGTGTGGTGGCGGGCGCCTGTAGTCCCAGCCACTCGGGAGGCTGAGGCAGGAGAATGGTGTGAACCCACGAGGCGGAGCTTGCAGTGAGCCTAGATGGCACCACTGAACTCCAGCCTGGGCCACAGAGCAAGACTCCATCTGAAAAATAAAATAAAATAAAGTTGCCAAGTACACTTGGATAGGCTAGTCTGTCATATGGCACTTAATCACATAATTTTTTAAAGTCAATTTGTTACATATACATCAGTACTAGGTATAGGGGTTCTGTGTAAGGGAAAGTTTCAGACACATACCAAGAGTATTAAAAGCATTTGCAAAGCAATACAGGCAATTCTGGATTGATATAGTTGAAATCAGATATGTAAGTGCTGACAAATCACTTCTAGAGTGCAAAATTGGTATAATGATATTAGGTACATTTTCAAGAAGTAGTCTCTTAAAGATATACAATTATATACTCCTTTTTCCCCTCACTTTGTCATACTGCTTTCAAATATGAATGTCTAAGAGACGTGAAAAAGACACCATAAAAAGAGACAAGTTGTAGAGAGAGGAAGAAATATGCAACACATATAAATTGCAAAGAACTAAGATTCATTATATACATAAACTATATAAATATATATATAAAATATATATAAAATATATAATATATATAAATATATATAAAATATATATTATATATAATATACATAAAATAATATATATAATATATATATAATGAATAAAGGATGCCTACAAATTAAGATGAGATAAATAACTATAGGAAAAAAAAAGAACAGAACATTTGAACCAGCACTTTGCCAAAGAGAAAAATCAAATGGCCAGTAAACATTTGGGAATCGACCTCATTAATAATCAGATAATTATTAATTAATAATACAGTGATATATAATTACATATCAATGGTTGGTAAAAACTCAACATCTAACAATTTCAAGTATAGATAAGGATGTAAAACTTTCTTATGGTTCAAGGGTAAATAATATAACCATTTTGAAAAACAGTTTTGCATTCCAGCCCAGTTATAGATGTAATCTCTAAAGATGCAGCAATTATTCTCTAGGGTCTGTACCCTAGAAAGTGATTTACACATGGTCTCCAGATACACATGCAAGAATTTCATAGCAGCAGTTCACTGCAGCTAATAAATGACAATAACCTAAATAACCATCAAGAGGAATAGGGATAAATTGTAGTACAGTCAGGCAATGAATTACTATCTGACAATGAAAATAAATGTACTTTAGCTGTATGCAACAACATGGATAAATCTAAAAGAAATTGAGTTAACAAAGAAAGGCAAAGGAATATATATAGTATTTATGTATTTTACATAAAGTTGAAATGTAGAGAAAAAGAAAACCCACACTGTTGTGTTTAGTGGTTCATTATTTGGTGGTAATACTCTAAGGAAAAGAAAAATTATTACAAAAGGACAATGATTGTCTCTAGTGGAGAATACTGGGGTTGTATTAGGAGAAAGTCTCAGAAAAGAGGTTTTCTAGTTTGCCAATCAAGTTGCATTTTTTTCTAAAGGAAATGTTGACACAGGATCCTTTCAGTGCCACTTGGCCAACCAGAAATCTCTGTGGCTGGCCAGTGGCGCCTCTGCCTGGGGCCTTGTTCAGCTCTGTGCTCACTGCTGGGCTTTCTCTGCCCACTTGGCCTGCTGCAGCCCGTGACTGGGCCCAACGTGCTACAATTGGCTTCCGCCTTGGGCACCAGCATCTGGACGAGGAGGGGAATCACAGCCATGCCCAAAACTCAAGAGATTCCAGCAACTGCGAAGCCCCAGGGGGTGTTATTTCTCTCTCTTCTTCCCCCAACCCCTGGTGTGGCAAATAGTGGGGGCATATTACAGCTTGTTCATGTTACAGCTCACGTTTGTTCCTGCCTCCTGCAGGGCAGTGAACAGAAACGTGTTTGGTCCCGCCACCCGTGGCTTGGCGGATAGGGGCATGTTACAGCTCTGGCTCAAGGAGTCCTAAGGTCTGGGCCTCCAGAAGTGTGACTGCTCTTTTTGCTCCCTCTGCCTGCAGCACAGTGAACAGAGGTGTGTGGCCCCCAGCGGTATTTTCTCCCCCACTACCCCTCAAGTGGGAGGGAGGGTTACAGTATTACAGCTCCTTTTGTTCCTGCCATGTGGCAGGTTCCAGGCTCTTGTCTCATATCCAAGAGGAATGAGGTACATGGACAACAGAGAGTGAGCAAGGCAGAGAAGAATTTTATTAAGCAACAGAAGAAAAGCTGTCAGTGGGGAGGGAACCCGAGAGTGGGTAGCCCTCTGTGTGAGAGGGAGCCCAAAAGCAGATAGTCCAATGGGTAGCTGAGTCTGGGGTTTTTATGGGATCAGAATGGAGGAATGCATGCTGATTGGTCCATGGGCAGGCCTGGAAAAAGCACCATTTGATTGTCTAAGAGACACCACGGAAGTTCTCACTAGGTCGTGGACTGTACCAGAACCTCAGCCTGGTTTTCAGGCTTCAGGCTGTCTTTTTGCTTAAGTTTGGGTTTCACTGGTGACCTGCCCTTGTCTGGCGAGGAATTTGTCTGTCTCCTGCCACTATCAGTGGTTACACATTGGTGTTACTTTGTGTTTATTCATTAAACTCTACCTATGTGAGTATGCAGGTTTCTTTCTGATAAAAATAAATCAACCATTTTTAAAAGTCAACTGACTAAAAGTTAACTGACTTTCCTCTATGTTCTGCCCTTTGATGATTGACTCTGCCTATCTCCTAAGGGTGCTTAGTGTCACTGTTTTTAAATTTCAGATTGCATTTTATTATTTGAGAATCTAGCTGTAAGTAATTTAACAGGAAATGTGAATATATGTAAATATCCATTAGACTTGCACCAGTATTTCTTCCCCTCTGGTACTTAGGAAGCAAAGACATCCTTAAGGTATACATGGGAGATTTGGGGTTATGAGGAGTAAAATAAATGCTGGTATTAATGGCTAAATTCTAAAAGATAAGATAATTGAGGGAGTATAATGAAAAGTAAACCCAAGGTATTTTGGACTAGAAAAATAACAGGACCAGAACTGACGTTAGAGAAGAAAAGCATCCTCCACCCCAAGTAAATATTAGGAATCAGTTAACTAGATTTTTGTTGTTGTTGTTGTTATTGCAAGTTTTAATCTGAGTCACTATTAATAAAGAAAATGGGAGAAGTGAAGAAGCTCTCATGGAAATGGTGAAATTCCTTTCTTTTTATAACTCCTCCAGCTGCTTTGGGAATTTGTGGATACTCAGACTTTTTTTTTTTTTTTTTTTTTTTTCATTTTTCCCAGGAAGTAGCAGACAGAGCATTAAGCAGCCTGCTGAGTTATAGGCTTTATTCTTAGGAGGTCTTAGAAGGCCAGAATTCTAGCTGGCTTTCAGGGGAGTGTTTGCCCCAGATGTAGATGCTCCCTAATAGATTTATCCTTTCACTATTTAAAAGTAGCTCACCATCAACACATGAAAAGGCAACCTATAGAACTGGAAAAATATTTGCAAACCATGTATCTGATAAGTGGCTAATATATAAAATATGTAAAGAACAACTCAATAGCAAAACAATAAAAAATAAAAAACAACAACAACAAATAATTCAGTTCAAGAAAGGGCAAAGGACCCGAACAGACATTTATCCAAAGAAGACATAGAAATGGCCAAAGGTATAGAAAAAATTGCCTAGCTTCACTGACAACAGGGAAATGCAAATTAAATCCACAATGAGATATTACCTCACACCTGTTAAATTGGCTATTATCAAAAAGACATGAGATAACAAGTGTTGGCAAGGGTGTGGAGAATAGGGAACCCTGTGTACTCTTACTGGGAATATAAATTGGCCAGCCAATATGGAAAACAGTATGGGGGTTCCTCAAAAATTTAAAAATAGAACTACCATATGACCCAGCAATTCCACTTCTGGGTATATATCCAAAGGGAACAAAGTCAGTATCTCAAGGAGATCTCTTCATGCCCATGTTCATTGCAGCATTATTCACAATACCCAAAACCCAAGACAGGGAAACAATCCGAGTATCCTCTGATGGATGAATTAATAAGGAAATTGTGAGAGAGCTATATACACATATGTACACATACATACAAGTATATGTATTTGTGTGTATCATACAAGTATATGTATGTGTGTATATGTGCGTGTATACATATATATGGTGAAATATTATTCAGGCAAAGAAAAGTAAGAAATTCTGTCATTTGCAACAAAATGGATGAACCTTGAGGGCATTATGCTAAGTCAGACAGAGAAAGACAAATACTTTATGTTCTCACATGCGGAATCTAAAAAAGTCAAACTCATAGAAACAGAACAGAATTAGAATGGTATTTGGCAGGGGCTGAGGGGAGGAGGAAATGGGAAGATGATGATCAAAGGGTACAGACTTTCAGTTATAAATAAGTTCTGGGGATCAAATGTGCAGCATAGTGAAAATAGCTAACAATACTATATTGTATAATTAAATGTTATTAGGAGAGTAGATCTTGAATGCTCTCATCGCACACACAAAAAGGTAACTAAGGTGATGGACAGGTTAAATAGCTGGTTCGTGGTAATCATTGCACAGTGTATACATACATCAAAACCTCAAGTTGTGCACAGTAACTGTATTTAATTTTTATTGTCAATTATACCTCAATAAAGCTGGAAAAAAAATGAACTCATTGGACCAACTGAGTTAATGTAGTCCAATACAAAAAAAACAAAAATAAAAAATAGTTGAATTCAGTACCTGTAATAAAGACAAGACCATCCAGTTAACTTACACTGTTGAATTATATGATATTTATCTACAAGTCTTTCTTTCCTTGTATATATGAGAACCCTATTTTGCTATAACATCATAACATATAGGTAATATATTGTAACAAAATATACTATTATTTTTCCTTTTTAATTTCTGCAAAACAGAATATGAGAGATAAAAGCGAGAAAGGAAAGATTTGGTCTTTTAGAAAACATTCCTTCGTTTTCAACGAATGCATCAATTGTTTCAGGCTTCTCTGACTTTAATGTACTTAGGGATCACCTAAGGATTTTATGAAATGAGGATTCTAATTCTGAATTCTAATCCAGTGGTCTGGGGCAGGACTTAAGAGTCTGCATTACTAACAAGCTCCCAAATGATTCCAGTGCTGCTGATACAACAATCTCGTTTTAAGGATCAGGAAAAGAGAGAACAAAGCATATGACCCCAACTAATTAAACCAGACAAGACTCACGTGGCCCCTGCTCAGCACCTGTGATCGGAGTGGGTCCTAGATTGGCTCTTCCATGTAATCTGTCTCTGTTTTATATATTTTCATTGCAATTGCATGTCTGCGGTTTTAGAAGGTTTTTTTTTTGTTTTTTTTTTTTTTTTTGAGACGGAGTCTTGCTCTGTCGCCCAGGCTGGAGTGCAGTGGCGCGATCTCGGCTTACTACAAGCTCCGCCTCCTGGGTTCACGCCATTCTCCTGCCTCAGCCTCCCACGTAGCTGGGACTATAGGCACCCGCCACCACGCCTGGCCTTTTTTTTTTTTTTTTAATTTTTAGTAGAGACGGGATTTCGCCTTGTTAGCCAGGTTGGTCTCGATCTCCTGACCTCGTGATCAGCCCTTCTTGGCCTCCCAAAGTGCTGGGATTACAGGCGTGAGCCACTGCGCAGGGCCCCATTTTAGAAGGTTTTAAACAAGAAAGCATTGTCTAGGCACAGATCTGTTATGATCTAATTGTGAGACTTGGGACCAGTCATTTAACCACCAATAGCCTCAGTTTTCTTAACTTTACATGAAAATGGTTAAATTAAATTACTTTTAAAGGTTTATCTAGCTCAAACACCCCTTTTCCTTTTTTAAGCAACTTTTTTTTTAACTATATATGCTTTTTTTTCCCCCTTTAATAAGTGTACTCATTTCTCAAGGACATTGAGAACTATTTCTCTCTTGCTTTATAAAAGCCTTTAATGCTTTTCTATCCCATTGCTGTTTTCATGAATATTGATATGCCCATGAAGGCTACTAACTTAATTATTATTACAAAATCTGTACTAAATGTCTAGCTGTAGTTACCTCCACCTTTGGTTTTATTTTAAACGGAAAATAAAGCCAAGAATAAAGGGTCTCATTATAGTGTCATATATTTTTTCTTTTTTAAAAAATAAAATCATCTGAGGTCCCTGAAACATGGTATAATATAAGCACAGATTGTCATGTTAAATAGCTTGGTTTGGAATAAGCTATGAAATAAAAATTATGCAAGACAGCTGTACTAAAAATTAGCTTTTCTTAAGAAGGCTACATTGTCTGTATGGAAAATACACTTAAGGAAACCTCTATTGGCTTAATTGGAGCACATTTTTAAAATTCCTTAATGGATGATTTTCCAAGTTTAGACTTCAACACAGAAACCCTGGTTATGAGCCTATTTATGGGTCAGGGGATGCACTGACAACCTTAGGTTTTCCCCCTCCACCCCCCACCCCCCCAGCTTTGTGGTACATTCTGTAAGAGTACTTTTCTAAACATTGCCTCATAATATGATCTGTGGCCTGTAAGGATCACAATTAGAAGCTCCAAAGATAGAGAAAATTTTGAAGCATTCAGCACTAGCTGCCAGGGCACTTAAAACTGACCCTGGAGCACAAATATGTCATGAGACTGATTCTGGTAAACCAGATTCTTGGCGTGCATCTTTCCCATGGCCAAAGTTTCCATTGGTTTTAAAATAATTCCTTAGCAATTACTGGGAATCTGATCGAATAGATAGTGCTTGTTACCTCTCAAACAAATACGTAAATTCTATTAAGCTGAAGCCTAATTAAAATCATTGATTTCAGAGACACGGTTTTATCATATCATCTGGCATGTGAGAGGGGGGATGATTGTATTTTCATACTATTGATTGCAATATACTTGTATTTCACGAAGATGTTTCTGGACCTGATCCCTATGCCAGTTGCAGCCAGGTTCACAGTACACGAGGATCCCAGTAGATCTGGGTCCCAAACACTTCCATGCAGTTGACTTCTCCAAAGTGATGCCACAGTGGTATGCTGGGGCCTGCTCTACTGTCCCTGGAGAGCTGATCCTACATGTCCCTTTCCAATTCTGTGGTCAGCGATCTCAAGCTAGTAGCTGGAAATGGGCCAGGTGGGAGTGTTTACGCCACAGAAATTGCTTGCACTATGAATGGTAGCTTCCTCCATCCTTGTCCTTTAAAAGCCAATTGTTAGTTATCTGCACACCACTCTTCTTAAAGACAAAATACCCATCCCACTTAGATTAAATCCCTTGAATTTCCTTGCCTGTGGTTTTATTTGGTCTGTGCAAATAAAGAGCAACATTATCTGAAAATGTTTTTAAGTTTATTTGTGACAGCATCAAAGAAAAATTCACTTTAAGAAGTGAAAAAAATGAAAGTACAACTTTTGATAGGACAAATTTATGAAAATACTGCTTGCTTCTCTTGTTCCTGTGAATGGACATTGCTTAGTGCACTTAGATTTAAGTAGTTTCCTCTAAAATGCCTGAACCCATTAGCTCCAATTTAGTTCACTTCTTTAAGCCCCGAGGCAGCAAGAATACTGAGTGTAAACCCACTTTACGCACAAAACATACATTATAAATGACAAATACATTCCAACTGTTAAGAATTTTAAATGTTAAAATTCAAGGTTTCAAATGTAGTTTCCCTGAGACACTAAAGTCCTTAAACATCCCAGGTGATGTATTTTAAAATCTTTTGAATGGCTTAAGGGAACAGGAACATTTTGACATTTGTTGAAGAGTTATCATTTAATGGAATTGAATTGCTTCACTGAATATGTGTGTGTGTGCGTGCGCGTGTATGTGTGTGCGTGTGTGCACATATGCGTGTGTGTATGCATCCCTGGTTCTGACAGGCAGTTTACTTTGTAAAACAGAAAAACTGATAAGAAAGTAAAAGACCCATCTCACAGGCAGTTACCACTCTTGCTCCAGTGCAGATGAAGAATGTTTCACAACTTTAACTTAAAAAACCCAGAGATGGATTTTCAAGATATTTTAATCCAGGCCCAATGATATCCAAAATTATACCCAGATAGAAAGATACTTCTCAAAATTCCTGTTAATAGGCCTCTTGGTGCTAGAAAGAAGGGGTTTGTTTTAAAATTAAAGGGGCTCTTCTATTTTGTATTCTTCCACACATGCATCATTATTTGCTCTTCATGGGTCTTTGAATCATTGCTTGCTGATATGATTCAAATGCAGATAAGTAACAATGAAGATATTTTCTATATACTGCTGCCACAAGTGCCTGCCAGAAGAGCTGAAGCCATCCATAAACAATTTTATTCATAGAGCTTTCATTAGTAATTACAATTCTGTTATTATCACTCAGTTTGTTTATAAATTTTTTCCAGAGAATTGAGTTTCCTCATGTTTTAAGTTAGAATGCTTTTTCTGAATGCTTTTTCTGAATGCTTTTTACTTCATAGGCTGTGTTGCCCTTTAATATTTACAGTGTAAAAAAAAGTGTAAATAGTGGAATATTTATTATTTAGCACTAAATTTATTTAAATAATTATTAATCCACAAGTGTCCTTGTGACTAGTTGAGCATTATTAACCTCATAGATGAATGTAATTATATTAAGAGGAAATTTATATACTCACTTTAATTCTCTGTCAGTATTAAACTGCTTTCTATAAATATTTGGAAACAACTCAAGGCTACCCAGTAATTATTCCTCTAAAAACCTGCATATCTAGCTTGACCCTGACTCTAGGAAAAAGTAGAGGAATGATGATAAATAAGCTCTAATTTGTAAATGGCTCCTAATTTCTTATCCTTCCACACTTGACCTCCTGCAGTCCGTTCTCCACACATCAGAGTAATATTTTTAATGCATGACAAATATCACATCACTTTTTGGCTTAAAACCCAGCTAGAGTTTCCCATTGTAATTGTAACATAAACCCAATGTTCCCAGAGCCCTGCCTTTCTTCCACCCAACTTTCACTTCTTTCCCCTTTTTTCTCTTTGGTTTTTCAGCCACTTTGGCCTCAGTGCCTTTGCACTTGATGTTGCATTGGCCTAAAATACTATTCTCCCTGAGTTTCTCTGAGCTGGCTCCTCTGCGTTATGCAGGTCTGAATCAAAGTTACCTGCTCAGGGAAACCCACCTCAGGGACAGCTGTAGGTAAAGCACTCCCACCTCGTTACACTGTATTTTATTACCGTATTTTAATATTTTACTTTCTTTACACATTTTGATATTGTCCATGTCTTCCTGATGCTAGAATGTAGTTCATAAAGTGATTATTCCTTGTTCATGACCATATCTCTTGTACTTAAAAGGACAGATCAGCGCATGCAAAGGCATGGAGGGAGGTGAGAGCAAGGAAAGTTCAGGGAGTCTTAGTGGTTCAGGCTGGCTGGATTATTGGGTGTCTGTGGTAATCATCACATCCACCTCTGAAAGAGACTCTGGAAAGAAGCTGTCTTAAAAAGGGTAAGATTAATGTAATGCTGAGACCCACCATGGCAGTGTTTCTCAAACTTTTGGTTTTAGGACCCTTTTACATTCTTAAAAATTATCAAGAATCCCAAAGAGCATATGTTTATACAGTTATATTAACTATGAATATTTTCCACAGAAGAAAAACTCCAAAATTTTAAAAATATTTATGAATTCATTTAAAATGGCAAATAATAAACTCATTATATGTTAAATAACACATGCTTTTGAAAATTTTGTTTTGGAAAACCAAAAAAAATATACTGAGACAGTGACACTGTTTTATATTTTTGTAAATCTCCTTAATGTCTGATCAACAGGAGAGACCTGCATTGTCATGTCTGCTTCTCTGTATTCAATCTTTTGTGATATCTCGTGTCTTTTAGCATATGGAAAACTCCACTGTACACTGGTGAAGGAATTAGAGCAAAAAAGGAAAATACCATTTGAATATTATTGTGAATATAGTTTTGACCTTGCAGATCTGATTGGATCACACTTGAGAATAATGGCTGACTTATGGTTTGAAATGTAGGAAATCGATCTCTCAGCTGCCATCCACAAGGACTTAGGTTTCAGTATGTAGTTAGTTTATTGTAGTAAAGAAGCTCTCAACATAATGAAATTTTGTTCTTAATTTTGTCAATCTTTTGAAGCTTGAAATACTTTTTTTTCTGTTGAAACGCTGTACATTTCCTTATTTTCTTCGTCAGAAGAGTTCATGACATTTAATTTAATACCTTTGCTCTTTTAAAACAACACTGAGTTAGCCATGCAGTGGGCCACAGACACTGCAAAACAGTGTTTCTTAGAGAAAAGCGTGGTTCTAGTGCCTGTTTAGAATGCCACTATCACAATTCCCTCTGTTTCAGGAAAACTGGGATCTTTGCTTTAACTTCCCTCCGCAGTCTTTGTGTAGCAGACTTTTGCTGTGACTTCAGCCCTGAGTTTAGGCAACATAGGAGAGGGTTAAATGCATTGGTTTTGGAATACAGCAGATTCAAGTTGAAATATTCCCTCCTCCACTTACTAGCCACATAACCTGGGAAGAAAGTTAACTTCTCTTTGAGTATTATTATTTATTTTACAGGTTGAAAGTTAAAGGTTGAGCCTCAGTTTTCTCACAGGGTTGTTTTGAGAATTAGGTAGAGCGGTGAAAGAGAATGTTGAGTGATTAGAATGGCCCAGTTAAAGGAGTGTAGACAAGTAGGGCCCTGGAATCAGCAGTTTTTAAAACTTCTTCAGGTGATTCTAAAGTGCAGCCCATGTTGAGAACCATTGATTAAACTATTAGATGCTTTGGTAGAATTCTATAGAGAAAGAAACTATTGTGACAGTAGAATAGATCTACTGCAGTTATCCCAGTTTTGCCTGGACACAAACAGGACTCTTCGTTGGAGAGCTACCTTGAAAGCCCCTCCACTCCATGCCCATATACTTTTTTTTTTTTCGATTCATGTAAATACATACTTTGTAGGCTGATTATGTAAATCAATTAATTTGTATGGGGGGTTTGGTGATCTTCTTTTGACTACAGTTATCAAAGTCCAGGTTGTCAATGATCTGGAATACATAAGCCGTATCACGATAGTTTTGTTTTAAAGCTACTTAGAAATTATTTAGCCTTATATTGTTGGGACTAATGACTTTCAGTGAGCAACAGATTAATAGACGTGTGCTTTTGTTCATATTGCTGTTTTCTGTCTAATGGCTCGTTCATTAACTCATGACTATAGTCTTAATTGGGGGCTGTTAATACCTAACGATGGTGTTTTTGAGTCTGGTACTGTGATAAATTGTGTCTGTTTCTATTCCCTGAGGCTAATAGATATTTGCTTTTTAAAACTCTAATTAAGCAGCCCTAGGGAAGACAAAGTCACCATCAGTCTGGGCTCTGAAGAGGCACACAGCCATGGAAGGGGCATAGATTTTGGAAGGAGACTGTTTAATGTCTGCAATTTGCTAATGAAGTGGCCCTGGGCAAATTATCCCAGGTTCCTGAAACCCAGTTTTCTCATCTGTAAAATGGGCAAAGCAATAATAATGCAACACAGAACTACAATGAAATAATACAAGTAAAAAAAGACATGCCCTGAAATGATTAACCCAAAGGTTAAACAGAGTTATTATTTCTTTGCTTCCATTATTCTTATATATCAACTATAAGTTTTACAGTATTTCTAGGGCAGAAAGTTTCTAGGGTAGCCTATCACCATCCGGGTCTAATGCTGAGGATAATGGATCGAGCATAATGATTCTCCACTTTTTATAATGATGGTACAATTATTTTTGCTTATTGAAGTGGTAGAGAAAGAGAGGAAATGGATGGAGGCAGTGGTGGAAGTTTGACCTGATAACAACTGTTAGTAGAATACATGAGCTTTGAATTGAGCTCTACGTGTGTTTCATATGTTAATAATATCCTCATGTGAGGCTTTGGGAGTCAGCAGGAATGGAGTTCTCAGCTTATAAAGAACAGTTGTTTAGCAAGTTATCAGCTATTATCTTTAGTGCCTATAAAACACATTTTTAGATTGTGGCTTTCCAGTGCGAAGAGCTCCTTTATTTCTATTTGTAAAATATGTAAACATCCCTTACCACTTAAAGGAAAACTGTTGTCTGTCCTACTTTGTACAGCTTTTTAGAGGTTTCTCCTTCTTGCTTTAGTTAAGTCCACAGGACCGGACTTGGCTCGTAACACATAGTGCAAGAAAACCGACGGGGTCTGTACAATGCTAGTGTCCCAGCCTACTGTTCATTTCAGGAAGAACCAGAAATAAGTACTATGGAGGACAGAATCTCTTATGTTTTAGAAAAGCTATAAGGAGACCTCTTTGACTTCCATGAAAACAAAACCTCTTATCTGGCATCTCTTATTTTCAGCAGATCCTGTATCTTTCAGTGATTCTCTGATAAAGGAAGGTGATGTCTACAGATATTGTTGCCATTCAGTATTCTTTCACCTGCTTGTAATAGATCTCTATAATAGTCGGAAAGGGAAGTGGAATAAAATGTGGGTAATGGCAGGGATACTCAGAATTATATGACTCTGGAGCCACATTTGCAGTCACTATTAACCTAAAGAACTACATGAGTCCTGTATGACTGGTAGAATTTAGTATAATGGCGCATTCATATAGAGAAATTAGAAGTTTTAAAGCGCCACCAATTAAACATAAAGAGACCCATGTGACTAGGAGCTGTGGTGTGAACATCACTGCTTTAGAGAAATGGAAAACATCTAAGGTTAGAGCATCCAAACTAAAAGAGTGCTTTTATTTGTCTTAACTAGTATTTCTTTTTGGCATGGAAGCCTATAGAATGAACTTGTATACATAATTTGGTAGAGTGTGCTTTGACATTTGAAAGATGATCGCATTTAGTGAGTAAAACCCAAGATAGCATATCCCACTCAACAATTATTGTTTATCCAAGTTGGTTAATTGGGATTGTGTTTAGGCTGCAGAGTAAGCTCTAGTCTTACCAAAGGAACCACCTGTCATTATGCATTTGTAACCAGTTTGTCAAAAACGTAACTCAACAGACAGACCAATATTTAAATGGCATTTTTTCCTCTCCAGTTACATATAACCATAGTCTGTTGAATATCATTTTTCATCCCTTGACCGCATGTTTGGAAGATTTCTTAGCTTACCAATAACTTTTCTGGATATTAAGGAGTTCGGTTTGGGTAGGATGTGGTAGGTGGGACAAGCACTGCTCCTTCTGGCAACACCTAGAAAAGAAGCTAGGCTGATTGCAAAAATCACATGTTTGAAAGCACCGTTAAGCTATCAGAGCAAAAATAACTAGAGAGACCAAATTTCCAGAGCAAGGAGAACCTTTCAACGCTGAGCTATCGGGAGCCATGATTTTTGTCTAGGGGTATTTGCTGACTCTGAGAGTGGACTGAGGAGTAGGCCTTTGCCTAGACAGAGAGCTGCTGCTTGGAGAAAGAGAAATCAAAAAAGCTTTCAGCAGTTGTATTGGATGAAGTGAGAAATGGAGACTTCAGGGGCCTCAAGTAAGTGGCCATTTTTTTCTCAGAAGAGACTTGGTGAACTCTGACACTTTGCAGAAGGCTGGAGAACCAGGTCAAAGGCTTCCAAAAAGCAAAGTGAAAGTCCCCATAGTTTCACAGTGCTTGGGAAACTAGAGAGAGAAACTGACAACAGGCAAGAGATGCCCTAGGGGGAGTGCTGAGTTGACACTGAGAAACTAAAAAGCCGTTTTTCACCTGGAGGTATTCACAGAGTCTCCCTGTGGCTAGAAGTCTGAATATCAAGGTTTTGCCAAACAGAAGGTGGCAACTGGCAGGCATAACACTCAGCAGAGATTTGGGTTTTCATGCATAGTTGGAATGACAGTTTTGGAGTCCAAAAGAGATTCAAACTCATGGCTGGTCTCCCTCTAAAGACTTTTGTCAGATTCTGAGGCTGTGTCAGGTATAATGTTAAAGAAGTATAGTGGAATGTCTTAACAATATCCACTTTTTCAGGGCTGAGAAGCAAAGGCCAGTCAGGCTGTTGGTTGAAAACACAGAGGGCCATACCAGATAACACAGGTAGACTTAGAATCTTAGTTGGCTAGGGCTACGCATAAGTAATACCATAGACTGGGTAGCTTAAGCAACAAAAATTTATTTTCTCACAGGTCTGGAGTCTGCAAATCCAAGATCAAGGTGCTGGCAAGGTTGGCTTCTCCAAAGCCTCTCTCCTTAGCTTGTAGACAGTGGCCCTCTTGCTGCCTCTTTGCATGGTCTTTCCTCTGGGCAGAGCTTTTCTGGTATCTCCTCTTTTTCTTACAATGACACCAGTTACATTGGATTAGCACCCTAACCCATGGGTCTCATTTTAAATTAATCACTTCTGTAAAGGCCCTATCTCAAATAATTACGTTCTGAGCTACTTGGGAGTAAGGGCTTCAATATATGAATATTGGAGAAACACATTTCAGCCAATGACACTGAATTGTACCAACAATTCCAGCCCAGCTCTGTCCCAGATCAATCTCTGACTTGATTGAAGAGTGACTCCCTACCCCTCACCTTACCTGCCATTTGCCTCACATAAAAAGGGGGCACCTGTCTGCTGGAAGGTATCATCTGGAGCTTTTACAGTGGCTTGACATTAAAAAAAAAAAAAAGATCTGCTGGGCGCTGTGGCTCACGCCTGTAATCCCTGCACTTTGGGAGGCCAAGGCGGGCAGATCACAAGGTCAGGAGATTGAGACCATCCTGGCTAACATGGTGAAACCCCGTCTCTACTAAAAATACAAAAAATTAGCCAGGCGTGGTGGCGGGTGCCTGTAGTCCCAGCTACTGGGGAGGCTGAGGCAAGAGAATGGTGTGAAACCGAGAGGCAGAGCTTGCAGTGAGCCAAGATCGTGCCACTGCACTCCAGCCTGGGCGACAGAGTGAGACTCCGTCTCAAAAAAAAAAAAAAAAAAAAGTCATCATAACCGTAATAATGAACCTCATTTCTATTTCAGGCATGTTTAGGTGCAATGAAGACCTGTTCTCATTATGACCCATTTCACTCATGAGCATTCTTCCAAACCAGAGCTTCTCAAACATTAATGTACACATAAATGAATTGGGAATCTTACCAAAATGAACACTATGATGCACGTGTCTGTGGTAAGCCTGAGATACTGCATTTCTAACAGACTTCTAGAGAATGGTCTGGAGACCATCCTTCTGACCAGCTGTTGACCAGCAGGGGATGAGTATGCACACTAAAATTTAAGGAACGTTTCCTAAAAATGTCTGAGGGCCTTCTAGCTCTGATGATCTGTTAACTTTTTTTGTGTGTCCTTTTCAAAGGGAACCATATTTGATGGCTTGAACATGGCACAATGTGTTTTAAGATTCTTCATAGGACTTAGAGCTAGTTTGTGAGGCTCATTCTTACCAAAAAGTAATCTCATTTATTTTATAGCAATAGTTCTTTACTCTAACTTTGGCTTCACATTAGAATCAAGTGGAGTATTCACCTTAAAAATACTGATGCTTGGGTCCTTCCCTTGGACATTCTGATTTAATTATTCTGGGGTGTGACCTGTGAATTGGCATTTAAAACAAACACAAAACCAAAAACATGTTACAGGCGATTCTACTGTGTTGTCAAGGTTAATAACAACTGTTTTAGGGTAGCACATTTTAAAAACTAATTTTACTAAAATAGTAGTGGGCTTGCTTTGGCCCACTCACCTTAGTTACAAAGCATGTTTCTGGTAAAAATCAGCATATGGTAATAATAGCCCACTTTCAAAAGAATTAATATTTACCCATTGTTAATATTTGAAGGAATATTTCTCAGAATTTTTTCAATCCGTTGAAGCTGGGTAGTTGTCACTTCTTATAGACTAGAAATGTGATTCCATTTTGCCAGAGTCCTCTCCAATTCCTATTGTCTCAAACACCCAGGCCACTCCTTTCATTAATTTTACCTACCTGGAGCCTGTGGGCATGTGAGTTTGTAACACTACCGTTATGATACTGATTTGTGAGATAGTAAGCTAGAAATTCCAAATGTTGAAGAAGAAATGTTCAATGTACTTCCCAGGAATATTTCAGATATAATTTTCATATTGCCTAGTTTTTTTTTTAGATTAACTGAGAGATTCCTTGCATCTCTAAGATTCTGTGACCTAAATCATTTAGGTTTGTACATGCATCATTTTCTCCATGCAAGATTAAAATTAAACAACTAGAAAACCGTTATCTAAGACTAGCTGATAGATTTTAGAAAGCTGAAGATTCTTAGCAATTATTATTAGATGTTTGACTCTTACCATGCCATTGTTATTGCGTATCAACGAAATATACCTTGTCTTCTTAATCTCTTACTCTCTGAGATTGCCAGTGCTTATAATAGTGGCTGAATCATAATATGTGCTTGATACATGTTTGCTGGCCTTAAAATAGTAAATGAAGATTTAATGTTAGCTATGTTGCTTTATTTTCTCTTAACCATATACTAAATAAATCCAAAATTTCATTAGAACAAATCTGGAGGCATTACATTACCCAACTTCAAACTATACTATAAGGCTATGACCACCAAAACAGCATGGTACTGGTATAAAAATAGGCACATAGAACAATGGAACAGAATAGAGAACCCAGAAATAAAGTCAAATACTTACAGCCAACTGATCTTCAACAAAGCAGGCAAAAGTAGGGAAACATAAAGTAGGGAAAGGACACTCTATTCAACAAATGGTGCCGGAACAATTGGCAAGTCACATGTAAAAGAATGAAACTGAATCCTTATCTCTGACCTCATACACAAATCGACTCAAGATGGATCAAAGACTTAAATCTAAGACCTGAAATCATAAAAATTCTAGAAGATAACATTAGAAAAACCCTTCTCGACATTGACTTAGGCAAATAATTCATGACCAAGAACCCAAAAGCAAATGCAACAAAAACAGAGAGAAATAGATGGGATTTAATTAAACTAAAGAGCTTCTTCACAGCAAAAGAAAAGAGGAAATCTTTGCCAACTATGCATCTGACAAAGGGATAATATTTAGAATTTACAAGGAACTCAAGTCAGCAAGAAAAAAGCAAATAATTCCATCAAAAAGTGGGCTAAGGACATAAACAAACAATTCTCAAAAGAAATATAAATGGCCAACAAGCCTATGAAAAAGTGCTCAACATCACTAATTATCAGGAAAATGCAAATCAAAACTACAATGTGATGTCACCTTACTCCTTCAGGAATGGCCACAATTAAAAAATCAAAAAAATAATAGATGTTGGTGTGGATGTGGTAAAAAGAGAACACTTTTACACTGCTGGTGGGAATGTAAACTAGTACAACCACTATGGAAAACAGTGCAGAGATTCCTTAACATACTAAAAGTAGATCTACCATTTTATCCAGCAATCCCACGACTGGGTATCTACCCAGAGGAAAAGGAGTCATATGAAAAAGACACTTGCACATGCATGTTTATAATGCAGAATTCATAATTGCAAAAATATAGAACCAGCCCAAATGCCCATCAATCAATGAGTAGATAAAGAAAATGTGGTCAGCCATAAAAAGAAATCAAATAATGGCATTCACAGCAACGTGGATGGAGGTGCAGACCATTATTCTAAGTGAAGTAACTCAGGAATGGAAAACCAAACATAGTATTTCTCACTTATAAATGGGAGCTAAGCTATGAGGACACAAAATCATAAGAAAGATAAGTAGATTTTGGGGACTTGGGGAAGGGTGGGAGTGGGGTGAGGGATTAAAGGCTACACATTGGACACACTGTACACTGCTCAGGTGATGGGTGCACCAAAATCTCGGAAATCACCACCAAAGAAATTATCCATGTAACCAAACACCACATGTTCTTCCAAAACCTATTAAAATTAAAAAGAACGGAGGATCTAAATTATTCTGTCAAAACAAATGTAAACATCCAAATTTTAGTGTCTTAGCACGATGGAAGTTTATTTCTTGATTATTGTGGTAGGTGGAATTCTAAGATCGTTCCCAAAATTACCACTCCATGGTGTAGCATCCCTGCATAATCCTCAATACTGTGATAGGATAGCATTTACTGTCATGATTAGGTCATATTATATAGCCTAGTTGAAAGAGAGATCATCTGAGGAGAGCCTGACCTAATCAGGTAATCCTTTAAAAGAGGGTGAGTTCTTCCTAAAAACAGAAGTTAGAGAAGATTTGATGCCAAGGAGATTCTCTGTTGCTGAATTTAATGGAGGAGGGAGCATGGCAAGGGCTGCTGGTGTGTGGCCTCAGGAGTTTAGAGCATCCTCCTGTGAACAGCCATCAAGAAAATGAAGACCACAGTTCAAGAGTTGCAAGAAACTAAATTCTGAGAACAGCCTGAGGGAGCTTTGAAGCACATTTTTCTCCAGTGAAGCCTCCAAATGAGGACACAGCCAGCTGACACCTTGATTTCAGCCTCGTGAGATTTGAGTGGAGAATCCAGCCATATCATGCCTGGACTTCTAACCTACAGAGCCGTGAACAAATAAATGGATGTTGTTTTAAGCAGCTAAGTTTGTGGTAATTTGTTACACACCAGTAGAAAGCTAACACAATTATTTAACAGTCTACTACAGTAGTGATGGTTGGCAGATGGCTTTCTTTCATGTGGTAATTTTGGGACTCCGGTGCAGCTCAGCCACCACGTAAAGACTGGACTCCTTTATGTATGGCCATTGGAAGAAGAATGAGACAGTGGAGAGAGTGTACTATATTCACTTTTGCAAAATCCAGCAAACATCATTTGCATGTACATTTCATTGGTGAGAACTAGCTACATGGCTGCACCTGGGATCAAGGGTTCCTAGGATATGGAATCCTGGTTGAGTAGCTTCCTTCCAGAAAATTCATACTGTGAAGCAGGGCAAAACATTTCTGTTGTAGTCAAATTTTAATGTTTGATTATTAAGACACTTATGTGTCTCCTTCCAAGTAGAACAAGTAAATGTGATGATATATTCTAATTTGAGGTACATAGAGAATTAGAGTAACACTTTCTTTTTTCTTTTAAAGAAATGAGACACATTCATTATCAGAGACATTTCCAGGTGTGACAGTTTTCTAGGAAGAGCATCTGGGCTCTATCCCTGCCGAGAGGTGTTCCTCCACTATAACCAATGTCTTTCCCTCTGCCTGCCAGCTGAAACTGTCCAGAGGGAGGATGCTTCTCCCTCACCTACCAATGAGCAGATGCACTTGCATGAGGTCCAGGTGCTGCCAGCCTAGTGTGCAGACCCAGGACAGCATGGCCTTTTCCTTCTCTGGGTCTGGATCTCCAACAGACTCCTAGCATTTCAGGCAGCCCCATTGCCTGATTTTCAGCTACTCACCTGCAAAAAATGGAGCAGTCCTCGCTGTCCTCCCACCCTCAGGACAGCAATACCCATGCTCATTGTAACAAGGTTGACTAGTCTGAGGAGTATGTCTTGCATAAATATGAGCATTAAAGTCCTATGTTCCACTGCTGTATTGGTAGCTGAAGCAGCCTCTTGTTGGGAACAATTAAGATTTGTGAAGTAGTCTATAGGAATTCCATGAAAGAGTGAGAATAACCCACTGTATGCTACCTGGTTTTGTTTTTAAGATAAATTTAGTTTAATTTTGAACTTCTGGGGTTGATAGAGCAGGAAATTTATTTTAGATGAACCTTAAAAAATATTCAAGATGGAATAGGAAACATGGTTTTCTACATGATCACTACCATTAATTGGTCTGCCTTGCTTTATTTGACATCATAAAAGTCTAGACAAAAGGAAGCTGTAAGAATGTTTTAAATTTGTAGTCAGGAAGACATTCTTATGTTCCAGGAAGGGACAGGGAGGGGAATAGTGAAGAAAAATAGAGAGAAGAACTGCTGATAAGACCAAAAAAGGGAAAATGAATTCCTAAGGAAGGCTTGAAATTCTCAGGAGGCATGACATTGTCGGTGAACCAGAATATTCCAAATGCTACAGTGACAGCCTTTGCTTCATCCCTTCCTCACCCAGAGGTCTCATCTAAATCAGTTCAGGCCTTAGTATTTTTTAGTGACATATTCCTCCTTCTCTCTCTTCCTCCCTGTCTCATGGTCCTCCTCCCTTCCTTCCTCTGCCTTCCACTCCTTCTTTCTTTCCTCCCCTCTTTCCTCTTCATTTTCTCTCTTCCCCCCATTTCTTTCTCACACACTTTGTTCTTCTCTCTCTGGGTCACGTACTGTTTGCAGTGCTGAAAAGGATGAAATACAACAATCTGTAGGGTCTATTGTCCCCATGTTAAATAACTGACACAAAGGCTGAAAGGCAACTGGCATGAAGAGGTTCAATAATTTTTCCAAGGTGACTCGGGAAGATTTGGGATGTGTCAAGGGCTCTGATCATGCCACTCTACTATTCAATGCCTTCCCTCATATCCTATTGCCTGGCATACTTCAGTGGAATAAAACTCCACTTCTATAACATGGGAGACAGCCCTCTACAGTAAATGGCCCCAATTTCCCAAACATATGTAACTCCTGCCATTTCCTGCAGGGCCCCAATAGCATCAACAGAATACTTACTATTTCCTGAACACAACTGAGCTCTGGTTTATGTTTGTTTGTTCATTTTTGTTTTGGTTTTTGCATCTTGGTGATTATATTTATTGGAAGAGTTGGAGGAAAAAGTGACATTTAGCTCAAGAAGTCATGAGTTATCTGCAAATCAATTCATTTCCAGAGTGGAAAAATCCTCAGAATTATTTCTTAATATCAAAATGTATGCAGGTTTCTCTTTCAAATGCTTTGTACATTTAAAGAGGCAATTGTACAAAGTCTCCTATTTTCCATACAGGACAAATTCTTTGTGTCAGCCAACTTTCAGTGGAGGGACAACCAGGACAACACCATCTCCCTGGATAATGCGCGTTGGAATACTCAGTTTCATTGATTTACATATCCCTTCGTATGTTTATTCATCAATTTCTATAGTAGCCACAGTTTCTTCTACATCTCCCAACATCATATTTAAATGTTGATCATAAGCATGTAATCTGCCTTGAAGCCATCAGTCATTTCCCATTTTCATGTAAATTTGCTCATCTAGGCTGAGCCTGATAAGATCGAGGGGCTCCTCTGCGGTTTTGGTAGTTTGTTGATGGTCCACATAATCTGCCATATTTCAAATCCTGCACCCTTCCCCCTGAACTCTTACTCTTCCCCCTGAACTCTATGACAGATGCTTGTTACATAAAACTCTGCTTGTTTTATCATATCCTTCCTTGCCTAAAACTCCTACTCATCCTTCAAAACCCAGACCACCTCTTTTGTGAAGCCTTTCCTGAAACTCACAGGATAAAATAGTTATTCTTCATTCTAAATGCCCACAGGAAAATGCCCATATTTCTATTATAGCACTTATTGCATTGTGCTAAATTATTCACACATGTGTCTCACTCACTAGCCTCTGAAGTCTCAACAAGAAACACTGGGGCATTATTCACTGGCACATCCAGTGCTTGCTACCTAGCTTGTGTTCACTGCAATGGAGGGTATATTTTACATAAGAAAAGCATCACTGTTATAACCTATGTACCATAACATCACTAATAGGATAAAGAATATTAATTGTCAAAAATTTTCTACCTTTGTCCAATATTAAAACACATACTTTTATATTAATATTTATGATCCAAATCAAATACTTTATACAACTCTATGTATATTGACCATCTTACCAATTTCTGACTTTTTCTTTTCACTTTATTTGTAAATTTAAGTGTATATCTTTGGAAAATGTTATTTGGCTGTCAATTTTTTAAAAAATTAATGTATATAATAGTACACATATGTGCATTATATGGTGCATGTTGTGAGTATTCATTATATGTATAGCACTTTATACTAATATGTATATATGTAGTATAACAAACTATACATATACATACAGAGTTAGAGGGAGAAACCATATTTATACATACTATGTATAATCCATGCACACACAATACATTGTCCACCACCACTATTTGCGTATAGTTTCCTTGTCCTTTGAGGCCAGCTGATGACTTTCAGATAATGGACTGAATGGTAATCTGGGCCAAAAAATGTTAATGCAGCTACCAAACTTCTAATGCTCTTAGCCAGCAAGTGCTGTGTCATGCAGTCCTGAGTTGAAGAGTTGAGTGTGTTCTACAAATTGTGTTTACTCCATTGGGATCTCTCATGTCATTTATTTTGTGCTTGGATGAACAATTTTGAGTTATAATGACTGACAAATTGTGCAAGCGATAGTGCTGGATCTGTCATAAAGAAATAAAAAGCATTAAGCTAGAAGTTCAAATGCACATTTTATTATAGCTTGCTGCTTTTTTCAAGGACTTGGCAACTGTGTTCAAGATTAGCAGGCCATGAGGAGCTGATTCAAGTCTTTTAATATTATTAGGGGTATTAGAGGCATCCCTTCAATCTGGGAGGATTGACCTGGTATGGTCAGGTATGTCAAGACTTAAGGGATTTGAAGAGAAGTGTGCATAAAGGGATTTTGTTAAAATGATCCCTTAAAATGTTGATCCTTTAAGTGTTTTAGGCTGTTGCTCCCTGATTCTTCCCCTCCAATCCCCTTTCTCTCCAAGTAGACAGGATGTGCTTGTATATTGCTTTATATTCATTTAACTTGTTTAACTCATCTTTATTTCAAATTAAGACATACTAGATATGTTTCTTGTTTTTTCTTATGTTCCCTATCTTTTTCTGAAGCAAGAAAGGTAATCATGACTTTTTTTATTTGAAATGTGTTTTCTTAAGAGAACTGTAGAGTCAGTAGCTGTACATTGGAAGCAGAATATCTGGGGGCATGGAGGCGCACCAAGAGTTTGAAAGGGTCCCCAGGTGATTCTAATGTACAGCCAGGATTGAAAATCACCACTCAGTTGAAGATACATGTCTCTTGATTATATAAGGAGTTAGTGTTTCAGCTAGAACACCTTTTTGGAAAGCTTGCCCAGATAACCGGTTCTTTGACATTATTCCCCCTCCCACAATTGAGAATTACTTTTCCAGTAAATTCAGATGATGATATCTGTTAATTTGGCCCAGAATTCTCAAGTGGGAAAGATATCCTATAAGAAGCATGAGTGTGGGCGCTCATTCAGAGAACATTTTTTAATTAAAAAAATTGACACATAATACATACTTAGGAGGTACATAATGACATTGCAATACATGTAATATATTGTGATCAGATCATGGTAATTAGCATATCCATAATTTCAAACATTTATCATTTCTTTGTATTGGGAACACTCATTGTGCATGCATGGAATTGCTTTCTCTATACCAGCTCTTTCCTGTCCCTGAATGTTGAATGAAGATTGCCTTTTTAGGAGATTAAAGAGATCTGCCTAAATCCTGGATATATCTGTATTAGATAAATAGATGGAGTGAGGTTCCAGGCAGCTCTGTCCAGGAAGTTCAGGAACTGTAACAGCACAGCTTCATTGCACTGCCGCAGGTGTTGCACACAGGTGAATTCATTAATGATTAACCACAGAGTCTGAATTGACGCGAGATGAAGGAAATTGAAACCCAGCACCTGTGCGAGGCTTCTGCACTAGTTTCTACTCCAAAGTCTTACAGAAAATGTTTTTCTCCACAGGTTCGAACCAGTGTCCTACCAGAACATAAGGATCCCCCGCCAGAAGTTGGGGTAAGTGTTTCTAACGTTTCCAGAAGGCACACACATCACTTCTAAATTAATCATTTGGATTTTCTCTGGCCTCCTGCTTGGTAACTGACAAATAAAATTGAATTACATTAACAGGGTGTGGCTCTTCAAGGAGGCACTGTCACATATTTGCTGAATTGCATGGAATTCATTTTTCTGTTGTTTCCTGAAAATCATCCTCAAGTGAATTCATATTTAGTTCAGCTGGCTAGAGATGAGCCTAGACTTTGCCCTGCAGGTAGCTGAACTGTGTTTCAGAGCCAAGATTTCTGGACCAACAGGAGGTGAGGGAAATTACAGATGTGATCTCTACCGCTTCAGGAAGGAGGAAGAGAACCAGCCCTAGGATTGTGGTATTTTCTGTTTCCTGCCACTTAAACACTGTAATGAAGGTCAAAAGAGAGGCAGCCACCACTGTTCAGTCCAATGTTGGAAAATCCTGCTGAGGTTTTCTTGCTGCACTGAACTATTGCCTCTCTAGCATTCAGAATTTAGAGAAGAACAAGAAGGTACTGGGTGCTTTCTGCTTAGACAAGGCTAGAGTAGGCGGTGGCAGCTCCTAAAAGATATAGCCCACAGGCTGAATCCCTGCGATCTGTGTGTTCAGAGAGGAGGAAAAAGACCAGAAGTTAATTAGGTCTAAGAAGCCCTGGGGCTGAGCCAACTGGAAGAGCTATTTGAAATACCCTGAAATCCTACAGGTACTTGACAACCTTCTTCCAGTCAGTGTGTAGGGCACTGTACTAGGTACCATTAATTTTCTCATTGAACACAGCCACTTTCTCAAACCTGCCAAGGAAGGACTCCAAAAACATGCACCAAAGTTTGACTTGACTGAGCAGAATGTCAGTTATCTCTGCAGCTGTTAGTGAAAAAGCAGAGGGAAAAGGGCGATGTCTTGCTTTCTCATGCCTAACACAAGCCTCTCATCTCTTCCTTGGGACTAGTTGAGTAACTGCTTTGACTTGAGGGAGTCCTTGCAGTTTTTCTGCCTTCAACCTCTTGTGCCATTCACTTCTACTACCAATCTCTGTGCTGACTACACAAACCTTCATTTACTTCCTCCAGTGCATCCAGAAAGTTCTCCCCAGCTTCAGACCTCCACAGACACAGGCAGATGGACCTCTGTCAGCCTGGGCTGCTGCACTTCATGGGGAGAGGGCTCCCTTCCACAGCTCAGGGCTCAGCTCACATGTTTCCACTAGTACCACCCTGGGGCCCTGCTTCCAACTGGACCCTCCATCCTAAATGCATACTCTCATCACACCCCTGGCACTGCTTCATAAAATGTGAGACTTTTTAAAGTATTAATATGGGGAATACATTATTCTATCAAGGTGTTCCATTTATTTATCAAGGTTCAAGGAAGCTTAGCTGGTTTAATTTTTTTCTCCTGTGTTCACTGCCTGCCCCGACCCCACTCCACCACTGCTCTTGTGTTGAATCCCCCTTGCTTGAAGCTTTAATGATATTTTGGCCCAGTCGTGTAGATTTCTCCAATTTTTTTCTCTCACTCATGTTCTTGGGAATCCATCTTAATTATTTTAAACCTTGAGTCTCTTTTCTGATTTTATTTTCTTCTACCTCCTCCCACCATTTCCCCCTACGGGCTAGACTTTCTGTGACTCTAGCAACGTGCAGTGGGGAGGAAGCCTAATGTGAGTCCCACACATGTCCTGCCCTTTCTTCTTTTGATTCCTCAGTTGTGGCAGCAAAGAGGAAGGAGTAGGGAGACAGAGGTTTATTCTGGGCTTGCCCCTGGTGAGGGCAAGGTTTTCTTACTGCTAGACTTGATGCTTCTCAGGCAATGGTTACCTGTTAAGAGTCCTCTATGTGGCAGATACTGATTTGCTGGCTCTCTGATGGGCACAGGTATAGATATTTCTGAGGCCCTTGTCAGGTTCTCTCCATAGCATAATTGCCTACCATGGGGGACCTGGCTCTGGGCCCACTTCCTCCACTGCCCACCCCCATTCCACAACCACTTGTTGTGAGATCTACCATTCAAGCACATGACTCCAGGTCAGCCACTTTCTGTGCTGTCCAAATACATGAAACGCACATGTACTTGCCATCCCACATGGAAGAAATGCAGGCTGTTCCATTGTGTGGTTTCCTGTTTCGGCTCAGCCATCTCTCTGCTGATCCTTTCTATGAGTGCCAGCAGCTTCAGGCACTGGATCATATTCAATGATTCTCAAAGGAGAGACAATCAGTTCCCAGTGGAGGTAAACGTGGTTTAGACACCTCTAGGCTTTCTAAGTGATTTTTGGCACCAGACCCTCTTGGCTTCAGCTTTGAGGATAAAGATATTTTCCTGGGGGATGATTAAGAGAGAAATTAGCCACATCTCTGAAATCGGACACCTTCCTAAATGCTGATCTCTCCTCTCTTCTAGCCCTAGCTTTATATTAACTGGATATATTGTGGCTACTTATAGACCAGCGTCTCTATACTGGCTCCTCATCAAGGCGTGTTAATGAGATTGCTTGCCTCAAACACTGAAGGTTCTTTGAACATACAATGGGGTACATTTATTACATTGCGTCTTCATCTTTGAAAAAACTCGGCTATAATTCCTGGACTAAAAGAGAAATCTCAATTGGTATCCTGTGACATGCCTATTTTTGCAATTAGGAACGTACCCTAAGGCAAGTAACGTGACAAACTGGCTTAAAACTAATGAATGGGTTTGTTTTTCTCATGTTATAGAAGTCTTGGGAAAATTGTCCAGGGCTTCAGCTACTCAAAAGTGACTTGAAGCAACCAGACTCTATCCATCTTCCTGGTCCTTCTTTCTTAGAGAATTGCACAAACTGGCCATGGTACCCCAGGTAGCACATTCTGGGTTGAGTGAAAAATCAAGGGCAAAAAGCTCAGCTGGCCTATCCCTTCAATTCTGGAAAACAATAATTTCCTGGGAAATTTCATTTTGTATACTGTCACTTACATAGTATTGGGGAGCGCCTAAGTCCTTAGCTAGAAGAGAATCTGGGTACAATTCTCATTTAAACAAAACTGAGGTGCTATTAGTAATGAAGAAAGGGCAGAAAGTGAGTTAGATAGGCAATCAGTCATGTCTCCACACTCCTGCTAGATGTACTCCATGAGAGCAAAGTCTCTATTTCTAATATTCCTGGCTTTGTGCTTGGAAGCTAGCAAATCTATGAACTATGTATTGAATAAATCAAAAAGCACACCATGATTTTATTTTGCCAACCATTTTATGTATTATTAGAACCACCAGAAATAAATGGGTGGGGGATTCTAGAAATTACTGTAATAATACAGTAGAAAATCTAACAAATTTTGTGACCCATCAGAACTCAAAATGGCAGGTAAGATTTCAGAACTAAAGTTCAAGCACGGTAAGAATAAGTCTAAAAAGGAACAATTTAGCATGCATTGACTTCCTAACACCCTCAGATTACGTGTTATTTTGGAGAGAGAAGTTAACACATGTTGACCACCTATGAAGTACCACTTGTTAATATACATCCTATCAGCGAATCCTCAAAATATTTCCTTGGACACCGCAAAACAGATCGGAGAGTTTAAGCTCTTGGCCGAGGACAGAGCCAGTAATGGCTCTGTCATTACAACATACAAGGGCTTTACTCTTCAAGTACTCTAATTTTTTTTAAAGGAGTTTAGATTTTTTATTATAATCTTTCAAATATGTTAGGTGTGTTTCTTTGCATTCTCAAACAGAATTTAGTGGATGCACCCAAATATTTTCTTGATGACTTAGTCAAGCAAATACTAATATATGCTCTTAGACCTTTTGAGGTATATTCACAAGTAAAGATAAAATTCTGTAATAAATGACTTTACCTTAAAGTGCTTTTTAATGTTTCCTTTGGGCTATTCATCAACTTTTAATAGATTTCTTCCCAATTATTTTTTCTTTTTGATGTATTTTTCAATGTTAATAGTTCACTTGGTCTTTTTCTCTTCCTATGGGGTAGGAAATAATATAACCATACCTGTTATGGTTAACAGAAAAAAAAAAAAAAGTACTGGGGCTATGAAAAGGCCTGCCTGTGAGTTATGTGTAAGAGATGTTGTGTATCAGTCTTATGATAGAAACTTCAACTTTTCAGAGACCTTTTAAAACTTATACCATAGTTCCTATGTGTTGTTTTATGATGATAGGTCAAAATATTATTGATATATTCATTTAACCTCTAAACCAGCAGTGTTCAATGGATATAATGTATGTCACAAAATGCATGCCGCATATGTAATTTTAAATTTTCAAGCAGCTGTGTTTTTAAAAAGTAAAAAGAAACAGGCTGAATTAATTTTAATATGTTTTATTTAACCCAGTATATGCAAAATATTATTCCAAAGTTTAATCAATACAATAAATTATATATTCATATTTCTTTTTTCATACTAAGCATTCTAAATTCAGTGTGCATTTTATACTGAGTGTACATCTCAACTTGGAGTAGCCACATTTTACATGCTAAAGCCAGTGGCTACCCATTGGATAGCACAGCTCTGGAGAATAGTTGAATAAATTTGAGGAGGTCCATGCAAATTGTAATATAAAAAAAAAAAAACCTGTGCTTTGAATACAGGCTTTGTGAGAAGGATATGAATGATGGAGGTTTGGCCAGCTGTGGCCATATGTATGGTGCTGTACCTTCTCTGACCCCCTTAAAGGTGACTGGGGAGCCACAGAGGATCTGCTGCATGGAGATGTCAAATCCTAGTGAGCAGTCTGGATATCTGTGACTTGCTCGGAGTGGCTGCAGGGGCTGGTGGGTTACACTATTCATGTGGACACTCCCTGTAGGGAGAGGCCAGGGATTCTGACAGATGCACCACTTTTTTTCACCCTGTTTGATATTACTCTCCAGCTAGGTGAGAGTGATGGAAATCATGCAGCAAACAATTTAATGATTATCTGCTTTGGGGTTCTTGCACCAGAATAACTGAGTGTTGAGTTGTCATGAGCAGGCAAGAAAGGCTAGAGCTGCATGTCGTGCAGGCAGAGAGTCTGTCAGAAGGAAAGGGAATTGCCACCTGTCCTAGAAATGAGGCATAGCATGGTGGGGATGAAAGAATGCTGGACAGAGAAGCAAGAAACCTGGGTTCTAACTTGCCTTCTGCAGATTAACTAGTTCTGTGACATGTGTAAGCCAGTTTACTCTTAGAGGCCCCAGTTCCTTATCTACAGACTATCAGGGCCTTAATCCTTAAGGTTCTTTAAACATCCTATGTAATCTAATACTACTAACAGCTATAAGGGATCATAGGTAACATTTTCTCAACAATAATATTCATAACTACATAGTACCTTTTGGCCTTTGTATCTTTTTTCATCTTTTTTTCTAAAATTTATTCTAAGTTATATTTCCCCCAAATCTCATATTTATTTTTAAAGATATATTTTTCTTTTTGTAGTGCAGGCATTTCTCATAGACTTTTTAAAAAATACTTTGCCTTTTCCCAAAAGTGTTTAAGCTGCACATTAGATACTTTTAAGGCATCTGACTTCTGGTTATATGATCTTAATCACTATGCAAAGTTCTATTTATGGGAGATGTTTTATTTTCCTGGCTAGATGCTTTCTTTGTCTGGATTTCTTTAATTTTCTCATAGCAATAACTATGAGAAAGATAAGTTATCATAGGCATTTTTTTCAGCAACTAAGGCCTAGAGTAGTGGAGCAACTTGTTCAAGACCGCAGACTTCATAAGAGAGAAGACAGGGAAATAAGAAGTGACAGTGCTTAGCAGTAGATGGTGAGCCTGGGGGCCGGAAGAAGTAATGTAATTGTCCAGATTTTCATTTTTGGACAGAATAACTGATTTAGAGCCACACTTCAGACCTCTGAGCTCCAACTCTAGTGAAGCTTTCCCTTTTTTGTCTTTATTTTCCCCTGATAGAAACAGCACCAAAGGATATTCAGAAAACACTGTCCCTTGAATTATATTTAAAATATTAAAAAATTAAATAAATTATCTTAAATTATATAATTATAATGACAGTGATAGCAAAGATATAATAGCTTTATATTAAATTATTCTTTTACATTAGCATCATGTGCTATAGAGAAGACTCTTCTCATTCATTCTTTTACAATGTGTTCAGTGAGTATTCACATAGATAAAAGATTTATTTTCTAACTTTGAGGGTGAGAGAATCCTTCTTTTATTTATACTGAGGTGAAGAAAACAAGAAACCAGCTCGAAAGTAAATGTATAGGCAATCCCATTGTTTGTTGTTGCAGCATAAAACAATTGTCCTCACATTTTTTGATTTTATTAATGTAGTTTATACAACATGCAGTCCTGATATACAGTTATTTTTAGGATTAAAAAAAGGATAGCATTGGTACCCAAATAATAACTCCTCTTGTCTGACAAGTTTACGAAATGTAATGGTATGATGCCATCGTTATCCAGATTGATTTTTAACAGATTTTATTATTTGTGACCATTTTCATTATCCTTTGAGATCAAGCAAGTGGCTGACAGTTATAATGGATAAACCTGACTCATGGGCATTGTTCTTGGCACACTGTATGCACTCACAGTGCAGCCCTCTGTTCCAGACACTGGGCTCAGCTAGGAGATGGACAAGCCAACGTTCTGCTTCCACAGGAGCTCCTGGTCTGGTGAACAGGAGAAACATTCAATGACTTGCGGTCATAAATTTTACTTGCAGCTGTGCCTTATGGTGAGTCCATAGTTTATGTCTGAAAATAGCAATTCCACCTGTCTCTAGCTGCTACATTCCACTGTGGGGTGTTTGCTACTTTTATTGCCAAAAAGACTGCAATAATCTCATGACATGTGTAGCCAGCTTTATCAATTTTAAAACCACCCATACCTCCAAAATCTTAAAAGGCAAATAGAAAATAATTTGCAATTTTGGAGTTTCATAAAATTTATGATTGCTTAAAAGTTTTCTTTGAGTGTGAATAATGAGTGGGAATTTAATTTAAAAGCTATGATTATCAGTGAAGGAGAAAGTAAGATCGACATCTCTTTAAAATACAAAATGCTAAAATAAAATTCACTACAGCAGTATACGATCTGCATACTATAAAATTGTTTTGATTTTCCACATTTCAGTGAACAGTAGTTTATAAATAGCTGCAAAGGTAGCTTTTCTCCTATATGTAATAGAATCACTTACTTAAAGGCCAGTGTCTATGCCATTTGTTCATTCATTCATTCATTGTCAGTAAATATGTACCAGATACCTACTGTGTGCTATGCAGTGGGGGGTTATCAGCAAACAAAAGAAAGCTCTTTGTAGAGCTTCAATTCTCAATTATTTTTTGGAGAGGTGCAAAATAAATATATAATATGTCAGGTGGTCATAAGTGTCAATAGAGAAAAATAAAACAGGAATAGAGAATAGAGGAGTGTGTATGTGGGAGGGGAGTGTGCTTTCGTATAGGGATGTCTTAGAGAGCATCTCTGGTGAGGTGACATAAATACTTTGATTCAGGAGGATCTCTCCGAGTCCTCTCTGCCCCTGGCTGAAAAGTCACCCTAATTTCTGCATGCTTTGCTGATACAGCTCACAAACTTCCTTCTTTATCTTGATTCACTCTACTTCATCACTCACGGTCCTATCATCAGAGCTTGTTTCCACAAATCTATTTTTTGCCTAATGTTCCTCATCTAATAATTTGGTCTCAGATTTTTCAGGCTTTGGTGACTTTGTGTCTAAACCAGGTCTTTGAATTTTAAGTCAATTAATTGGGTTTATCATTAGCAATATTTGGGTATCTCCTTCAGAACCGAGTTGCCTTTCCTATCCTTTCCTTTCCTTTCCTTTTCTTTCTTTTTTAGAAATGAGGTCTCATTCTGTCTCCTGGGTTGGAGTGCAGTGATGCAATCTTAGCTCATTGCAGCCTTGAACTCCTGGCCTCAAGCAGTCCTCCTGCCTCAGCCTCCAGGGTCACTGGGATTATAGGCATGACAGGCGTGAGCCACCACGACCAGCGTGTTTTACCAAATGTTTGATTTTAAGCCTTTTAGGACCAGCTCATCTAAGTTAAAGATTTTAAAAGAGGGAGAAAAATTCCGACTTGAAGCTTTTCTTTCCTCTGCCTAGCAGTCTCTGAGTGTGGATGCAGCCTTTCATGTGTGAAATAATTTCCTATTTACCTCGAAAAAGATGCCATTACCCTCAAATTCTTTGTCCAGCCTCTCATTCTAGTGTAGCTCAGCAGCAGACCTATGATGAGAGACTGTTCTGGAAGAAGTAGCATTGACTTATTGTGGAGTATTTACATTTTGTTAGGCTGCAGTGGCATAAGAAATAACATGGGTTTGATATTTTCATATTTACTCCTTGACCTTAAGGGAAGAATGAGAGCTCTTTTTCATGTTATTTATCCCATAATATTGTGACTTTTAAGTCAGAAGTAGCCAGGGATATTAGAAAGAGATGATAGGTTTTTTATCCTGGGAAAGAAAAAAAAAAAAAAAAACAATTTGGAGTTTTATTCTTTACATTGAGTCAAAAAGAGTAGAAAGCAGATATTCATAGGTCATCAACACCTAATATAATAGACTAAAAAAGCAATTTAAAAAAATGTAACTTAATAAGTGCCATTTTCTTTCGTGTATTAGAATGAAATTGTCCCATGCTAGTAAAGAAATAACAAAGGAAAAATGCTTTTAAACATTGCTGTGATGGGGGAAAAATATAACATTTCTATTTATAACTTGTACAAAGTCCCACATAAAAATAGCTCCAACTAACAGATTTGCTCATATCTGGAATACAAAGTTGTTGCTGCCAGTGATTTGAGGAATTCTAATAAGAGGAACAACAGCATTGGTAAATATGGAAAATATATCATCTTTTATTTTCCTTCAGTTTTCATATGCAGAGAAAATTATAGTTAGTGAAACAACTCTGGGTGCTGTATTTTACCTCTTGTTATTTTCTAGCCTGTTGGTCTCTTTTCTTTTAGGGAAAATGATACATTTTCACCCTTTAATCCTACCCCATGAGGTAGATATATTATTGATAATTTTATCTCTGTTACTGAAATATTTGTCAGGCTAATAGATTTAATATTTCATTCTTCTAAAGACTCATTTTGTTTGATTGATGTGACAGCAAAAATATTAAAGAACCTCAAGTTAATGAAACCATTCTTTCTGTTATTTTCAGCGAAGTTTCTTGGGCTATGCCAGTTTTAAAGTGGGAGAGCTGCTGAAGTCAAAGGAGCAATTGCTGGTCCTGAGCCTGAGGTGGGTCTCTTTGTTTGTAGAAATACTGTTAAAGTTAATAACAAGTGATATTTATTGATGGCCAGTGTGTTTGAAAGTCACAATTCTTGCAGATGTTAGATGTCAGTTCTCAAATAGCTAATGTTCTCCACTGCAGCAAGTTATAGTGAAACAGCAATTATTCAAAATTGCATTGAAGTTCATGTTTCAGGTTGTGAAATGTTATTAGCCCTTATAAGAAAAAAACAATATTACATTATCATTAAAGTGATGAAATTCTTTGAAAGTAAGAAAGTAAATATAAATTATGATCATGTTATTAAATATTTTTTCTCTTACTTATCAAAATGTTACTTTTTAATCAAATAACTTTCCAGATTTGAAATATGTTAGAGGCAATATTGTAGTTTTATGATAATAGAGAGTAAGCTGATTATTCTTTTTTCAGCCTATTTTGGTGCTATACTATTAAACATAAAACACTTATCAGTTAAAACACATTCTTTCTTGACACAGACAATAGATCGTAGCTAATTCTGAGTACAGTTTGCTTTAAAATAGAAGATGAGACAACAGTCTTTAGGAAGTCACACTATTTTAATTACTAAGAGCGTTAAATAAAATAAATTTTTCTTTTTAAATTCAAAGTAAATTTGAAAACATAAATTTTGAAACAATAGTTTTCTAATCATATAGTAACTTTCATAATTATGCATACATTGGGGATACTGCCTTGCACTATTTTTATGGTATAAATGAATACAAAAATTGCATAGAATACCATTTGTAAATCTTAAGACTCTCTTATTTTGATGAAACATGGAGACCACTTTCAAGGAATTGGACAATGTCTTAAGTTTGTTTGTCCCCTTCCGCCAAGGACCCACTTATAACCAACAATTTATTTCAGTAAAGATATGATGGCTTATGCTAGCATCTCTATGCCAGGATTTGTCTTTTTCTGATTTTTTCTAATCCTTACAGCTCCTCATTTTGTTTTGATAAGATAATTTAAACTATGTAATACTTCAAGCAGAGAAATAAGTTGTGGATTCTAATGAGGCTGCCATCCGCTCTAGCTTCCTTTAGGTTATGTCTCCTAAACATATGGTGTCGGTGTTGGTGTTATATTTTGTATGGGAAAACATATAAAAATCTTTATAGTTTTATGATATTATTACAATACAGTTTTGCTGCTGTTACTGTTTTCAGTTTGAGGTGTAAACGGTCAGCTAAAAAGAATGGCTATCAATGTCACAGATAACCTAGAAAATATCATCATTCTAGCCTGACTATTGAATGTGACCCATATGCCCCTGGATTCATAACATGAGATGTCAAACATTGAGTTGCCTTAGGACTACTAGCAGTCCACATGTTTTCTAGATCAGATGCATAGCATGTTCTTCTTCATCTTACTGACTCACAAGCCCCAGTATTCATTATAACATAACAGTCATTAACATCAGGAGCATACTACACACTAGTGCAACATTTAGACATTGGTTTGAAACAGAAATCAGGGGACAAGCAGTTCTTAGTAAAATTAAAATTAGTGAACACACAGTACCTTAGAGAGAGGACAAGAACCGAAGGGTCAAGTTTAGGGTATTACCCTTGAAAGAGAAAAGAAATACATAAATTTCATATTTAGATGAAAACAAGACAAATTTCTTCACTTTTGATTTTAATACCCCTGATTCCTAGTCATTTGATCTTGATTATATAAAACAAATTCAACAACGAAGAATTGACTTTTCTAGAAAAAATAATGTTAGAAAACCAATTCTGAAATGGCTAGGTTATTATTTTTCCCAGTTTTGTGCTTTGCCAAATTTGTGGTTTTCTCTCCCTATGAACCAGACAGATTATAGATTTATCGTAGCCTCTTGATTTCTGGTAGATGGCTTTTTTAAAAATTCTGATGTAATTTATTTTCTTTCCACTGATTCTGTCTCTTAAGTATTGAGTTAGAAGAGCCTTAGGTCAGCCTTAAGAAGCATTTTTGTTTTGTGTTGTATTTTAAAATATTCCTTTGCACTGATTATTTCTGACTTTTATTTTATAGTCATTAATTTTAAAACAATAAAATTCTCTGATTTCTGTAAAACAAATTCACAGAACTAAGAGCATTCCATGAATAAATTTCCTTTTCTTCATGGTTAATTTTAGCTTCCCCAAATCTTACAGTTGTGCTTGTATTCACTGTTTCTTTGGGGGCTTCTTATGTGATAATTCAGATTCTAAAACTCTCAAACTAATTCGACCGAGCACTGTGATTTATGTAGCTTCCGTGTCATATGTGCTTTGAACTGGAGATCAAGGGCAGAGGATACATTGCTTTTATTTTTTTTTCCTGCAGAAAACTTAAAGGAACAAGACATGTGCATCTAATTTATAGATTTAGACTCAAACTTAATGAAATATGATGTTGTGTATTTTTAAAGATGTAGAGTAAAATGTGTTTATATATATTGGGGAAAATGCCTCTGATGTATAAAGTGGTTTCTATTCGTATGTCACCTTTAGTTAAATGCGAATTTACTATGTTTCTGAGTGTCCTAACATCTCAAATGGACTTGGGTTCTCTTTAATAATATTGTCTACATCTTTATATTACATCCACTCTGTTTCACTACTGTGCATTTGGTAGTTCCTGTCTCCCCTTACTTCTTTTTTATCTCAATTATATTTTCTGTTTTTGTTTTCTAATTCATTGCCGTGTAGTCCTGACTTCTAGACTTGTAAACAAGGTAGAGTTTCTGTATGGAGGATTATAATTATAGCTGTGAAAGACACTTGATAATATTATAAGAATGATAATAAGGATGACAATAACCAACCATGTGCTTTGTGCTCTGATAATTATATTAGAGATGTCTCATTGACCCTTATCAAATGAGATGCTATTATTAATTTCCATTTCATAAATCAAGAAACTGAGGTATAGAAAGCAGTTAAGTAATTTGTGTAAAGTTATAATGCTCTTAAATGGGAAAGGCAGGGTATGAAACCACACATTTCTAACTGCAAAACCCATGATTTTAATGACCGACATTTTGTCTCTTTCAACAAAAGAGAAAACAGAGAACTAGTTGAAATTCATATCACATATCACATACCTTACTAATGGCAGAGCAAAGCAAGGACTCAGGCCCAGAACCAGTTTTTCATGGTTTCTTCCACGTTTGACTTCACCACCGTGCCGAGGCTTACAGAAGGTGATGACTAGAAGAGTGGTCCTATGCCAGGGAGAACTTGGGAATGTTAATCATGATGGAAAAGTGTGAAAGGGCCTGTTAGTTTAAGGGGGGATTGAAGGCTGAGGGAAACCTATGGAACGTGTTCTTATCCCAGAACCCTGACTCTATCCTGATCTCGATCTGGTTTGCTGCCAAAACACCTGACAATCCTTTGCTCTACCAACCTGATGTAATTTTTGGGAGACCAGTTAAGCAGAACTTTGGAACATTGTAATAATGTCTTATAAGTTGATGAATATAAAAGTTAAATATAAAATAATATAAAAGTTGATTCTCTCTGTGGAAATGATACTAGCAGTCAGGAAAAAAAATTATATTGATCTTAAAGTATTTAAACAACCACAGATGCAAAGCAACAACAACTACAAAGGTAAAATTTGTTTCCTAGGAAATTCATCTCAGGGGAATGGAGACAGAGGAAAGTGTTCCAGCCTTGTCACAGCTTTGTTGTGTGCCTCTGCACAGTTTGGATTTCACTCAGTGCTCATTCATTCAGCAAACATTTACTAAGAATTTTTTATATTCTTAAGTACAGGGGTAGAGTTAATATTTTCCCATTGATGTTACCAGTTATGTGTTTAATGAAAAAAATCTCATTATTGAGCATCTGCTAGCATGCAAGGAATATGTGAGGTACTTTTCATGCATTATCTTATTTAATCCATGTGGCATTATCATTTGTCTTATAGCAACTTGTCTAAAATTCTACAGCTGCTGACTGTGCAAGTGGGATTAGAACTCAGTTTGGTCTGACTCCAGAGCCTATTCTACTTTTATTTTACTACCTAGTAGGAAGCTCAAGATCTAACGGAATTTTTTCTTCCTTGTCCATTTTATATTCTTTTGTTTAATGGGTTTTAGGAGTCTCAATTAATTTTTACTAATGTTTTATATTAAAATTCAATTTTATCTGCCTGCAACATAGTAGAGGTTTAATAATTATTTGTTGGAGTTTCAATTCATGATGATTACTTCCTTATGCTTTTATGGATGCTAAATGTAATGCTAGCACCAAGACTTCATTTCTGGGTGTAATCCATCTAAACTGGTGAATATTATGCAGTCTAAGTATTAGAGTATATCTGAGGCAAGCAAATTTCAGAGTAATGGTGAAAGTTGTAATCTGTTTTAAAAGCTGAAAATCTTAGAATCTACATTTATTTCAGTACAGGGCACTTTACCTTGTCACAGAAACTTTCAGCTCATCTTAACGAGGACTTTATTATTTCTTTTATAACCTACATGTCACCACACCCCCACCCCACCAATTAAATAAATTTTATATCATTTTATCAGGGTGAATGTGATAACACTTTTTCTTGAATAGAGATGTGCAAGTATTTATTCATACGAAGGGACTATGCTTTTCATTTATTACTTCTACCACATTTACAGTAGTGTTTTTATGGAACAAATAACATAAAACACTGATGATCTTAAATGGATATATAATTATATTTTATAATGTATAGATGTATGCAAGATGCTATGAAAGAAAAACATTTAACTTATACTGTTTTTTAAATTTCTCCTATTTTATGTAGTATTTATATGTATACCTATGCATGCATATGTACATGTATTATAGATTATGTGGATGACTATGTGTTTGGGAATCTATATCATTTTAGAACATTTTGCTTCCTCACAATGAATATTTATTTCCTATTTTTTGTCAAATGTTTATGCCTAGAGATGTAAGATCCAAATTGTGAGGTTTTTAAGCTTTTATTTTTTGGCATTTTGGTTAATTAGCCTCCTTAAATACACACACATGAACATACACAAAGTTCAGTTTTGTAGTTTCTGTAAATAAAAGAACAACAACAACAACAACAAAATTCCACATATTTTTAACGTAGTCTTCCAAAGGCGCATTCTTAACTTGAGAGCCAGAAGCAGCGATAAGGAGAGGCTCCATCGTCTTCTATACAAGCATAGTCAGAGTGATAAAAAGATAAAACTGCTAGTGGCACCTCTCAGGTTGGGAGGCCAGGCATGTTTTATAGGCCACAGGGCAGTGGATTGAAATAAGTTTGTTGCTGGAATCCTGTAAGTTGGTGTGAACCCCCACAGTGACCTGAAAACAACCTGGCCATAGATAGACAACAGGGTTTTAAATGACAAATTTTGTTTTCAAATGAAATAAAACATTCTTAGACTTTTGATTTTCTATTCCTACACTTTTTTGCACACAAATAAAGTTGATGTATGTCTTCTTACTTTAAGCATGGAATCTATTTGTTAAATCGTGTCTATGATGAATACTTCTATAATGGCATTTTTTCCTATCAATATCTACTTAAACTTCAGAGATGACTTTAAAAAATCATATCCAAGCCCCTTAATAGTCATGTGTATTTGGCATAAATTTCTTTCTCTTTTAATAGTCTTCCAGTTTTTTGGGGGGGTGGTAGGGGGAGGTACCAGAAAGTAAGATTCTAATGATCTCCACAACAGTAAGAGTTTTCCACGTCTAAAATATTTTGTATATTAAATAAGGTCAATAGAAAGTGATTGCAGCCAATAACCACTCTTTGGAAGAGAGTAGCACATATATGATTAACTATAAAACAGAACAGTGTTATACTTCGTTGAAAGCATGGATGGAAAGCATGGATGGAAAAATTAGAGGAAAAGGATGGCACATAAGTAGCTAAGTTTATGCTTTTGTGTAGAAAAAAAAAAAAAAACTAAAAACTTCATAAGACCTAAAAGCAATGCATCAAAACACTACATTTTTTTCTTTGAAAGTGAACAAGGCCGGATGCGATGGCTCACACCTGTAACTCCAGCACTTTAGAAGGCCGAGGCAAGAGGATCCCTTTAGCTCAGTGGTTCGCAACTATAACATGCCAAAACCCCATTTCTACAAAAACTACAAAAATTAGCTGGGTGTGATGGCGCATGCTTGTAGTCCCAGCTATGCGAGAGGCTGTGGTTGGAGGATCCCTTTTTGAGCCCAGGAGGGTGAAGTTGCAGTGAGCCATGATCGTACTACTATACTCCAGCCTAGGGGATAAGAGCAAGACTCTGTCTCCCCCCCAAAAAAAAAAAAAGAAAGAAAGAAAAAAAAAGTGAAAAAGCAGGAAAACATGTGAGTCAACAGCAAATGCACACTAATGAGTGATCCAGGCACACACATATGAGCAAGACTCACTGTGCTTTTTGCATGGTGACAGGAAGTTCCTCCATGACAGCTCTGACACTGACTTGGACCTCATAAACATGTAGGGAGAGGTAAATAACACTCTTTGGAGTTTATGATGGGTTAAGAATTTCAAATGTTTTATCATAATCTTCTGTTCGCCTCAATCTTCTAAAAGATGGCATAAAAATGATTTTATTTCTGCTTCACAAATAAGCAAACTGAGGAACAGCAGTCCAACTTCTTAATGTTGCACAGCTGAGAAGGAATGGAGATTATTGAGAAGAAGTGTTCGTGATATCAAGTATTTTTCAGAGAATATGAATTTTGCTTAGAATTTTAGGATCCAATTATTATTATCTTTTTTTTTTTTTTTTTTTTTTTGAGACAGAGTCTTGCTCTGTCACCAAGGCTGGAGTTCAATGGTGCAATGTCTGCTCAGTGCAACCTCTGCATCCCGGGTTGAAGCAATTATCTGCCTCAGCCTCCAGAGTAGCTGGGATTATAGGCGCCCACCATCATGCCTGGCTAATTTTTGTATTTTTAGTAGAGACAGGGTTTCACCATCTTGGCCAGGCTTGTCTTGATCTCCTGACCTCGTGATCTACCCAACTCGGCCTCCCAAAGTGCTGGGGTTACAGGTGTGAGCCACCGCGCATGGCCTGATCAAATTATTTTAGAGACCAGAGAAGACTTCAAACCTGGCCCTTCAGCTTCTTCTTGGACCCCTTTCATGACAGGAGACTGAAACTCAGAATTTTTCCTCCCGTTTTCAGACAGGTCTAGTGTTAGAAAAGTATTTCTATTGTATCTCAAGTTTTATCTCTTTACCACAGTCCCAACTCTTCTTTGTGGAGTTAAGTAGAACAAGGCTCATGCTTTTCTTCTATAACCACATTTGAAAGCAGCTCTTTGGTCCAACTCTAAATCTTCTTTCCTGTTTTGTTTGTTTGTTTGTTTGTTTGTTTTTTGCCTTAGGAAGGCATGTGAGGTAGTAGAAACAGGACTTTCATACCAGACTTGGGTGCAAGTCCGAGCTTAGTCACCACCTGCATTACCCAGACATGTCTCTTTAACATCTATTAATGGAAGTAGTAATAAACTCCCTTCCAGGGTGGTTCTGGGCAATTAATAAATGTAGTGAAGTTCCAAGCATTGCCTTTTGCATTAGAGAAAAACTATAAATATCGTTTCCCTTTATTCTTGCATGAAACTTACTAAGTCCCTCAGCCATCCCTTACTTTTGGCTTGGTTTGCTTGCTTAACTTGTTGAAATTCCTTTTTAGAATGTGACAGCTACCTTCTCTAAACTTGGTGTGTTAGGCTGCATTTGCATTGCTATAAAGAAATACTTGAGGCTGGGCAATTTATAAAGAAAAGAGGTTTAATTGGCTCATGGTTTTGCAGACTGTATAGGAAGCATGACACCAGCGTTTGCTCAGTCTCTAGTGAGGCCTCAGGAAGCTGTTACTTACGGCAAAAGGTGAAGTAGGAACAGTGGTCTCACATGGCGAAGGTGAGAACAATGGAGGTGGGGGAGGTGCCACACACTTTGAATCAACCAGATCTTGCAAGAACTCACTCATTATCTCTAGGATGGCACTAAGCCATGAGGAATTTGCCCCCATGACTCCAACACCTCCCACCAGGCCCTGCCTCTAACAGTGATTACATTTTAACATGAGATTTGGAGCGGACATCCAAACTATGTTACTTGGTCAGTGGGAGAGGGGTTGACTTAACTCTGGATCTGGATATAACATTTCTATTATCCAAGGAAGGCGTGCTTACCTGAAACCTAAATTCTGGCTTTAATCACTCTGGCATCATATGGCTTATTGCCAGGTAGCAGCTACCAGCAAAAGAAATATGGACAGCAATTTGGTTGAATCAGGCAACATGCCAGAGTTGGGAGAAAAATACTTATTTAGACTAAAAACTTTAGCAATAAAAGGTTGAAATCAGGACAGAAATTCATAAGTGTAACACAAAGTTTTGCTTTTAGAGGTTGCTGATTCATTTTATTGCTGAATATATCAAAAACTGTCCAGAGAAGTAACTTCAAGTGAAGTAACTTCAAGTGACATTTCTTGGGGTTGAACTGTGAGAATGAAGGGTGACATCAAATACAGAAGTAGGAACATCTTCTTATAAAACTGATTATTTTATGTTAACTCTGTTAAAGGCCCTTAGGGACACGATTTCCTGAAATTTTCAAAAGGCTCTAACATCAGCCATTTTGTAATAACTTAAAATTCCATCAATTTATAGAACTTGGGGAGAATGCAAAGCATGCAAATGTGAGATTAGGACAGTAAAGAGGTAGAAAGAGCAGATGATTTAGAGACATATCTGTGCCCAAATCCTGGCTCTTCTGTTGCCTGTCAGTATGGCTGATTGTTCTGAGACTAAGTTATCTTATCTGTGAAATGGGGATACTAGTGGTACCCACTTCGTGGGGTTCTCTGTGAGGATCACATGAGTTACTAATGTGAAATTCTTACAACAGTGTCTGACACATAAGTTCTTGATAAATGTTAGCTATTATTTTTATTTTTAGTTGATTAGCTTCTCTAGTGCCGGTTTTTGTTTTCCAAGACAGGATAAGACACATTGTACACAAACTATCTGAAATGGCATCTAATGCAAAGCAGGTCCTCATTGTACTACCTACTATTTAAATTATTATCATCAGTTCTTTTATTTCCCACTTCATTCAACTAGACTGTTTTTCATTATAATTTAAATGGCTCTGCAGTTATATATTCTGTATTTTTTTTATGTTCCTAATCCATTTAAATAAAGCTGTAGGTATGACCATGGAAACCAATTAGCACTTTCTTAGTTTGCATTATCCAAAAGGTGTTGGATTTGTCGGATTGCAAATTGGTTTAGAGTTCTCAGTCACTGAAGGGACAACACAAACCAGAGTACACTTCAATAGTTCCTCAATTTGTATAGAAAAGCCTGAAACCTTTCCTTTTTTAAAATGCAAATCACGTAAAGTTAATATCTGTACACAAAGACCTACCTGCTTAAGAAGTTTGAGAGCTAATTTAGCTTTGAAGATAATTTGCAGGAATGATTAGGCCTGAAAGGAATTATATTTGACCTGAAAATTTTGTATTGGATTTGCCCATATTTACCAAAGTCAGTTTCATTATTATCACTGTGTTTCTGCTTCACTGGACACATTTATATCTGCTTTTTCCAGTGTTGTTTTGTAAAACCGGTATCCCTTTGGTTATTAATACATGTTTTTTGAATAAAGGAATTCTGTGGCCAAATAAGTTTGAAAGTCCTCTAAAAAAAAAAGAAAAGAAAAAAAAAAGGGAAAGTGAATTTCTTTCCTGTAGGACATCTCAGAGCCTTCAGTAGCCTTTCAAGGCCCTCGAAGATGCTCAGAGGACACATGTCGCCTGCAGCTTTTCTTAAATTAATTTGAATGCAAGAAGCTTTCATCATGGAATACTTATCAACAGCTTATTAGACACTATGTTCCAAGAAACATAGTCATGTTATTCAGAAAATGCTGATTTAGAAGAACAACAAAAATGTATTTTTCAAAGAAATGTGTGAGTGGTTGTCTATGTGTATTTTCTGCCATAAGCATATTCTGTAACACACACATCCATAGGCAGGCATGTGATCCTCACCCAAATGAACACTCACCCCCCAATTCCCCACACATCATGCCTCCATCCACATGCAGGTGCTATACCCCCATCCACAGTCATTGACAGACCTGTGGCATCTTATACTCATGCCCATGCACAAGTTTGTAATATTTGTACAAGAAGTATGGCGAAAAGTGGAAAAATACTCACTGTTTCTTTGATGTTCATTGACAGATTCTTTTTAAGCTTGCGTAAGTGAACACATATTTTTGTAATCACCTAATATTTTACCTACCCCAAACTGAACTTAGCTCTTATGCTGAAAGCTCTGCCTTTTGTTTGTTTCAGGTTAAACTAAGACCCTTCCTACATTCAGGTACCCTAAATGTAGCCCAAGCTAGAAATCTCTGCATCATTTTCAACTTCTCCTTTCTAAAATTCTTATCTGGTAATGTTCTTTTCTTTCTTGAAACTTTATATGTCCTCTTTCCCTTCCCCACACCACTCCTCTTTCCTCAGTGAACATGAACATCTGCACATCTGCTCAGCCCAGGTATACAAGGTGCTTCATCCACAGCCTGGCGTAAGTCTGCCTTTTTTTTTTTTTTTTTTTTTTTTTTTGAGACGGAGTCTCGCTCTGTCGCCCGGGCTGGAGTGCAGTGGCACGATCTCAAGTCTGCTTTTTCAGTTTCATCTCTACCCACATTATTCTCAATCCTGACCACCTCTTCTTACCTCATTTATGGTGGCTTGTGGGTACCTAACACTTTCTAAAGGTGAAATCAGAGTTCCTTTATTTCTCTGGGATCCCTATTCTCATGCTTTTTGAGCTCAGTTTCAATTTCATCCAGCAAGAGAGCACATTTTTGTATGTGCAGATGGTGCACCTTAGATTGCTCCCCGTGCGTGTCCACTTTTTCCCCACCATTTTTTTATATCCCTTGTCCAAGGAAGATATCTTATCCACCTGGTATTCTCCAAATTTACTCGTACTGGGAATTGAGAGGTAATAGTCTCCAGGCATGTCAGTGAGAAGGTCTAGTCACCATCCCCCACCACAGCTTACCATTGGCCTCTCAATTTCCTGTGACCAATGACTGTCTTTCCATCATCAGAAGCTTAGGGGCTGGAAAAAGGATGTCAGAGCTCATCATTCCTACTCCAGTTAAGATGCTTAATGATCATTAGAAGGTCATCATTTTTTAACTGCTTCCAGTGAGGTTTTATTTTGCATTTCTATTTATATATTTTCTTTTTACAATACATTTAGGGGTTACAAAGGTAGTTTTGATACATGATATATTGCATAATGGTGAAGTCTGGGCTTTTAATGTAACCATCCCCTGAATAGCGTATATTGTACCAATTGAGTAATTTATCATCCCTCACCGCCCCCTCTTCCTCCTACCCTTCTGAGTCTCCAGTGTCTATTATTCCACACTCTGTATCCACGTGTACACATTACTTAGCTCCCACTTATAAGTGAGAACATGTGGTATTTTAACTTTCTTTTTCTGAGTTATTTCACTTAAGATAATGGCCTCCAGTTCCATCCATGTTGCTGCAAAAGATATTGTCAGTTCTAAGTGTGAGTTGTACTGAGGATACCATCCTAAAGTGGAGATAGGAAGTTACTTGCCTCTTGGCAATGTATTACCCTTTGTAGCGTACTCCAGCTCAGGAATTTCTACCCTAAACCGTTAAATGACATTCACTGTTGTCTGTTGTTCTGTGTCATAGCGTAGCTATTTCATAGTAAAACTGTGGCTAAGAGAGATTGTTTGCAATAGTGCTTCAGTAAGATAAAGGATTGAGTCAGGGAAAAAATGAATACTGTTTAATTCATGGAAGATAGGGAAACGTAGAAAACTCATGAAAAATAATAGACAAGACAGATTTTAAGAAGGTAGAAGAGAAGGATGACATCAAACAAATAAAATATGTAGAATAAGACGGAAGTAATAGGCAAGTTTATGTTGTTTTACTTGAATACATTTAGTGCCAACATAAACAGATTGCTTTTTTTTTAATGCTGTGCTGCAATGGAGGATGATCACTTTGCATCCAGCCTATAGTTTTGTGGTTGATCCGCTAAGTTCCCTGATCGATGTACTTAAGCTTAATAGAAATGCCCTGTAATCCAAGCACTTTGGGAAGCTGAGGTGGGTGGATCACCTGAAGTCAGGAGTTTGAGACCAGCCTGGCCAACATGGTGAAACCCCGTCTCTACTAAAAATACAAAAAATCAGCCGGGCGTGGTGGCAGGCACCTGTAATCCCAGCTACTTGGGAGGCTGAGGCAGTAGACTCTCTTGAACCCAGGAAGTGGAGGTTGCAGTCAGCCAAAATCACGCCATTGCACTCCAGTCTGGGTGACAAGAGCAAGACTCTGTCTTAAAAAAAAAAAAAAAGGGTATAAAAATTAGGTAATTACCTTTTTTATAACATCATCTTGGGCTGATTAGTTTATTGCATTATAGGACAGTTTTACATCTTGCATAGAAAGTAAAGTTTTAAAATTAACAAATTATCAAATGAAAGTTTAATTGAACCTGACTGAAGTGTTACTAGGCATATATTACATTATACAAGAAAAACATTATACAAGAAAAACAAAAGACCAAATTAGCTTGTAGAGACATGCCAAATGTTACTTCTTTTTTCCTATGTTCACACACGTAAATTGGGAAGTAAACACACTTCTTTAGAGCTTAATATAAAAACTGATTGATAAAAACAAATTTAAGGTATCATAATAAACATGGTCTAATCCTCATCTATCCATTGATGACCAGAGCAGATCACTTGAATTTTATTGTACTTTTTAATCTTCCCTTATATTTCTCTGATGCAGTCTCTCTCAGGGAAAGGATTTAAAAGTTTAAATCCTAAACTTAGAAATGGTGTAAGTGGGGATTATTTTTCTCTTATCTAGAAACAAATTGAAGATTTTCCAGGACTCACACAATAAATAACAGAGATGGTCTCTAATGGTTCTTGGGTTTGCTTGTTTGTTGGGCAGTCTGCCAACTAACACTAAATTTTTTGGCTATTGACGTTTGCTTCTAGTATCAGGAAAAATGAATTGCTTCTATGACCAAGTGAGATACAGTTTTTAAAGCACTTTCAGGATAGACCTGTGATTGTAACATCGAAGAAAGTTGGAGTTTCATCACTGTTACCAGGAGTTCATTACTTTGCTTAAACATCCCAGTCTATCTGGTAGTGATAATAATATCACTGAGATTACTTCAAATTGTGGTTTTATAAGCCAGATTTAAAGAAAAGGATCTCCTATACTTTAATAGAAAAATAAAGTTTTCAAGCTATTCTTTCTTTCATGTCATTTCTCCTTTTTCGGTACTCCCACTAGTCCTTGAAACAAGTAGTATTTGAGTGATGTTATCTTTCCCACTAAGTTCATTTGAAAAAATATATTGAGACAAAAATACATATAATATATGAAAGATCCAGGGAGAGGGAATGTTAAAAACAAATATTACTGGTTTTGTATTTGCTGTAAAATTGTGTCATTTTCTCAGAGATTGTCTTTGTAATGCCTTTAAATTATTTGAGTCCAAAAATGCTAGTCATGGATAGGAAATGATGCAGCACAATTTCCTTTCAGGGCTAAGTGAAGAAAAAAATGAAAATATAATTTTTAGTGAATATTTTTTCTTTTTTTATACCTTATAGGTCCATTCCTCAATTAGAGCTTTATGAACTTTCTACCTAATGCCTTCCCTATAGAGAGATGGAGTCAGAAATGAAGGCTAATGATTTTCCAAGTGACAAAGAGGGCTTCCTTCTGGAGCCAATTTTAAGAATAGGATGCTGGGCAACTGTGAAGCGAGAAGACAGTCTGGGAGTAGAGAGCAAGCAACATTTTATAACAGTACATGAATACCCATTCTAGGAAAGAGTTTCCTCTTCTAATTTTGAGTCAAACATGTGACTAATCAGCATATAAAGCTGACACATGAGGTCCCAGTGAAGATTGTCGATGGCCGTGTACATTACCCATAATGTCAGCTGGGACTGGAAACTAAGTCACATCACATTTAGGAATTGTGTCTAAGTTCTGTCATTAGTTAGACACATCACTTCAGAAAGTCGATCTTTCTTTGTACGTCAATTATGTCATCTCTAAAATAAAAAATTTGAGTTAGATGAGCTTTCAATCCCTAGTGTTAGTTGCCTGATGATTTCCTCCATCTTGTAAGAGATGAGAGGAAGGAAGTAATTTTTGCATTACTTAGAAGACATGATTAATGAATTATATAAGGAAAAGCTTTTGGTCTTTATCGGGTAATTCCTATGTTCCTGGAAGATAGCCCTTCTAGGATCAGATTTAAAGAATAAGTCTTTAGAAACAGAGGCACTGACAGAGTTCTGAGGGCTTTTCACAGCCTCATCTATAATTGGGACTTCTAAGAGCAGACTGTATCTCATAAGGCTGATTTGAGATTTAAAAATAATAATAATATGTTCAAAAAAATTGAACTAGTGCCTGGTACATAGCTGCCAATAAATATTGGTCATCATTCCTATCCTCATCATCAACTTGAGTGTCTTAAAACACTGAGCCCTGAATAGCCCCTACATTCTTTGAAAATAAATATCCAGCTCCAGGTTGTTTGATGCCTAGCTGTCTTTGGTCATACATACCACGTCCCCCATCTATGGCCAGCCTGGTCCAGTGGGTGATCAGTGCCAATCTCATTGGAAATGTGGCATTAGAGGAAAAACATAAAGGAGAAAATAACCATGTAGACATCAGTTGGGAAGTGGCAATGGTGGTGGTGGTAGTGTTTCAAACAAAAGAAATTGCTAGTGCAAAGGCCCTAAACAAGGAGTTTCATTGGTATATTCGAGGAACAGTAAAAAGTCCAATGAGGCAAGAGTTGAGTGAGCAGTGCATGGAGGAGAGGTAAAGAAATAAGGCCAGCAGGGCACGGTGGCTCACGCCTGTAATCCCAGCACTTTGGGAGGCCGAGGCAGGTCGATCACCAGGTCAGGAGTTCACGACCAGCCTGACCAAGATGGTGAAACCCCATCTCTACTAAAACTACAAAAAGAAAGCCCAGAGCAGTGGCAGGTGCTAGTAATCCCAGCTACTCAGGAGGCTGAGGCAGGAGAATCGCTTGAACCTGGGTAGCAGAAGTTGCACAGAGCTGAGATTGTGCCACTGCATTCCAGCCTGGGCAACAGAGTGAGATTCCATCTCAAAAAAAAAAAAAAAAAAAAAAAAAAAAAGGAAGAAAGAAATAAGGCCAAGGTGGTGATGAGTTCCAGGTGGTATAGAAATGAAAGCCACTGTGCCCATTTCATCCTTTACTCTGAGTAAAGCTTGGAGCCATAGCAGAGTTTTGAGCAGAAGAGTGACCTGACTTATGCTGTGTTGGGATCAGAAGACTGAAGGAAAGCAAGAGTGAAATCAGGGGGACCAGTCAGGAGGACTCTGTCTTAATTCAAGGGAGGAGTGATGGTGGTTTGCAGGGAGGTGGTAAGACATGGTCACATTCTGGATACATTTTGAAGAAAGGACAGGTAGAACATTGTGACAGCATGAATAATGTGAGATTTCAGAGAAAGGGAGGAAACAAAACTTAATTAAATAGTTTTGGTCTAGATTTGGGGAACAATGAAGTTGTCGCTGAATAGGGGAAGCTGTGGTAAGACAGGTTTTAAGAGAAAGATTGGGTCACCATGGAGTACTATACAGCCATAAAAAGGAATGATATCATGTCCTTTGCAGGGACATGGATGGAGATGGATGCCATTATCCTTAGCAAACTAATGCAGGAAAAGAAAACCAACTACTGCATGTTCTCACAAGTGGGAACTAAATGATGAGAACACAGGGACACAGTTGGGGAAACAACACACACGGGGCCTGTCCAAGGGCTGGGGGCTGGGAAGAGGGAGAGGATAAGGAAGAATAGCTTGTGGATGCTGGGATTAATACCCGTGTGATGGGATGATCTGTGTAGTAAAACACCATGACACACATTTACCTATGTAACAAACCTTCACGTCCTGCACACGTACCCTTGAACTTAAAAGTTGGAAATTTTAAAAAAGAAAGATTGGAAGTTCAGTTTTAAACATTATCGAGTTTAGATGAGTTAAGTTTGTAAGAATGAATTAATGAACTAATATACAAAATAATGAAGGAACCCTGGAAGGCCTAGAAAAGTATTTTAAATTACAGTCAAGAAAAGCAAATTTCTGAATAGAGGAAATAAGAGAGAAAAATCATCACCATATTTTAAAAATTCACTGCTAAAAGTATATTTTAGAAAGTCTCTGTCTGATGCTTTCATCAGACAGTCCCATAACACATCAATTTATTAAACAATACCAGAATGGAGAGGAGAAAGTATAATAAAGATAATAACATAATGGTTTAAATAAAAAATACATTGAAAGTAAGAAAGAGTAACTTGACATTGCAGAAAACTGAATCAGTGAAGCAGAGGATAAACCCAAGCAATATTCCAGAGTTCAAATAATATACTTGAATCCTTCACTGATTCTGCAGCTTTTACCACCAGAATACCAAGAATGTAATAATAACTTACTGAATGTTTGTACACGTTGTCTCATTTAAGCTTCAAAATATCTCATAAGGCAGGTAATATATTATTATCCCCATTATACAGATGAGAAAAATAAGTTTAGAGGTGTTGAGCAAATTACCCAATACTATATCGCTGTTATGTTTCAGAGAAAAAGAAAAAAAATAGAAAGGATGAGAGAGAAGAAAATGTATAAAGCGAGGACAATGTATAGAACTGTAATTAAAGGCTTATTTTAGGGAAGATAGGCCAGATTCAGTAATCAGCCTTTTCTTTTTTTTTCTTCCTGAGACAGAGTCTCGCTCTGTCGCCCAGGCTGGAGTGCAGTGGCCGATCCCAGCTCACTGCAAGCTCCGCCTCCCTGGTTCACACCATTCTCCTGCCTCAGCCTCCTGAGTAGCTGGGACTACAGGCACCTGACACCACGCTCAGCTAATTTTTTGTATTTTTGGTAGAGATGGGGTTTCACCATGTTAACCAGGATGGTCTCTATCTGCTGACCTCGTGATCCACCTGCCTTGGCCTCTCAAAGTGCTGGGATTACAGGCGTGAGCCAACACGCCCGGCCTAGTAATCAGCCATTTTAAGATAAAAATTTCTAGAGATTTACAAATACAAATCAAGTGTTTTCTGTGTTCGAAGCAGAAGAAATAATGACCAATATTAAATCATATTCTGGCAATTTGTAAGGTTTGAGGTTTGAAGAGTGTTATGGATGAATTTTTGTGTTCCCTCCAAATTCATATATTGAGGCCCTACCCTCCAATGTAATGGTGTTTAAAGATGGAGTCTTTGGGAAGCAATTAAGTTTGGATGACTTGATGAGTGTGAGGCCCTCATGGTGGGATTAGTGCTCTTATAAGAAGGGATACCTGAGAGCTTACTCTCTCCCTCCCATGTGAGGCCACAGCTAGAAGGCAGCCACTGGCAAGCCAGGAAGAGAGCCCTCACCAGAACCCAACTCTGCTGAGCTCAGACTTCCAGCCTCTAACAACTATGAAAACAAAAATGTCTGTTTTTTTAAGTTCTTCAGTTTTATATGCTATTTTGTTATGGTAGTCCAAGTAGACTAAAATAAAGATGCATTATATTCTAATAGAGTTTGTGGAATAGAGCTTTAAGGCCCTATTCTTATTAAATCAACTGTGTGTTCTTGTTGTTATCGCTAATAATTATGATTTTAAAATTATCACTGTTGCCACAGGTCTGTGGCAAGCCCCAGGCTAAGGGTTTCTGTTCCACAGGATGGGGTTTTTAATGGTTGTCAAGAATAACGCCTGCTTCAAGAGATACCAAGTTGAGATTTAGAAGAAGGCAGAGGGTAAATTAATTGTGATGCTCGGAAATGCTTAGTAAGCCGGGACAAAAATAACACAACATGCCCAAACTCAGGGTGACAGTTTGCGTAACCAACAGAGAACTCATTTGTCTGACTGTTATGCCTATAGAAAAGGGGATATAATCGTCTGAACAGCCGACGCTTATGAACTCCCAAAGTATAGTGTGGAGGTATTTTGTATTTAGATGCAGCTATCGTCAGAACTACCACTTAAAATAAACTTTTTGGGACTCTGATGGGAGCTATGGATGGAAGCTTGTCTATCCCTCAAGGTACTGAATGATTTCCTGGTTATAATTCAGAAAGTAGGGAACTCAATGCCAGAAACTTCAGAAGCACGTCATAGATCACAACAGATCCATTGGAGATTATATGCATAACCTAATGGAAGATGAAGATGCTTGTAGGAAACATTTTTCTCAATGCATAAAGAAAATTGTAACTCTAGACATAGAGGAGATGTATAGGAAAGCTCACACTGCTATACTCATCTATGAGAAGAAGCCTAAGAAAGAAATTAAAGACAAGAGGAAAATGTCTCTAGCTCGGAAGAAAGATCAAGTAGCTTAAAAAAAGGCAAGTGTCCTCATAGCTCAGTAGTGGGCTGTTGAGACACAAACCAAACCATCACAATTGTCTGTAAAGACTTTTAGATAAAGACAATAAACTAATTGATCAAGCAGCTAAAACAAGATCAAAAAGATAAAAAAGTGACCACCACTTTATATTTTGGTTTTCAGAAATAAATTTTTTAAAATTAGATGCATCTTTCTGATTTCTTCTACTCTTGGATAAATCCTAGCACTGCTGATGACTTGTAAGGTGGCCATAAGCCCTTCATGTAACCTCTCCGGGCCTGTTTCTACAAAATGCATTGAGTGATACTGAAGGTTATTCTCTTCCCTAAGAAGTCTGATTTAAGTCAATTCTGATACAAAGAGTTCTAAGAAATTTATCTCAGAGTAAGAAAGAAAAAAGCTATATCCAGGGTTATTTAAAACAAGTAAACCTTTTATTTAAAATACAAATTTCGTATCAATTCTCAAAGATTTACAAAAATATATACAGCAATCTCTCTGGAATTGGAAATTTTAATTCTATAACTTTTAGTTTTTACTGTCTTTCTACTTCCTATTAGAACCTCTATCTGCCAAATACCAAAATATATTCTTTTTCTTACATGGATTCTTTTATTTAGAGATGACAAAGGCCATTTAACTACTAATAGATAAATTTTCTTATAATCGGAAATCTCTAAATAATGTTCTAAAAGTGAGCTATTCATAGAAGAAAGTAGATGGCTTTCCCGTGTACTTTATGTTGAATAAATGGATGCAGGACATTTGATTTATTCCCACTGATCTCTAGAATCTATTTAACATGAATTAAAGCGGAATACTGTTTCCACGTAGCTGAGTATTTTGAACTTTGCTTTAATTACTTTTCCTCCTTTTAACAAAAAAAGTCCTGTAGGAATCTTTATTGTTCTATATAGACTGCTTAAATCGTGATTCAGTCCCATTTTGACCTCTAAAATAATTACCAGATGATTTAGTAATGCAGAGTTAAGACTACAGAGCAGAACAAGTTAAAATCAGGAAATGGAAACTTTCAGATCTTTATATTATTTTAAAATTAATGTTGCCCTGTCTGCCCTTGCATATTTTGCCTAGCTAAACTGAGTTTCTTTATTGTCGTCATAAGTGTTACTCATTCTCAGGTGATTTTTCACCATGCAGAATCCCTGTATTCCTGGGTCATCTTTCATCTGCATGGCGGATCATCCTTCTACCTCTCTGTCCACATCCTACTCTGGCTCTAGCAGCCTCTGCTCTCCAACTTTACTCTGATACGTGAGGTCCATCCTCAGCCCAGTGACCTCTCCTCAATCATTCCCCTTTATTTACCTAGAAACTGGCTTTCTTCCCTGCAACCCTGCCAAGTGGCTGCCCTTCATACCTGGTATAGGATAGGCATCCTCTGAAAACACTTCTGGATTGAGCCTCATGGCCTCAGACATGGTATACCTGAGGCCATGAGCCTCAATCCTTAGGTCACCTAGAGATGTCACCTCCCTTCATGGTATATCTGAGGTCATGAGCCTCAATCCATGGCCTCAGATATACCATGTCTGAGGCCATGAACCTCAATTCTTACATCATCTAGAGATGTCACCTCCCCTTATTTCATGAAAATTTTTACTTGGGGTGCACTCTGTCTCAGTTCAGCATTACTCCTCCCAGACTTCTTGTGATTCAGTAGCCACAGGGGTGCCCTTTTCTTAGCTCAATGGCCTCTCAGGCTTTTCTCTGCCCTATTTGAGTACCCATTCTCATTGTCATCTCCGAGATCTCATCATTAATCCCAATGCTCCAGAGTCTCAATTTTAAGCATCCTATTTTCTGAGTTCTATCACCTCTCTTTCCAGTACACTCCCTCCAGTTGCTCTTTGACTGTCCCGAGTCATTGATGTGAAGTCCTGCTCTGTCCTACACAGCCCCTCCCCCACATCCACTTTTCTTATCCATCACTGAGAAATCACAAAACGATTCCCTCGCATATACCCTCAACTCCTGTGCCCCGCTATCCTGTTGCTATATTCCACAAGCAAAATATAAATTGATTAACTGATTAATTCACTGATTTAAAAATTACAACAAAAACTGTGGCTAAGCCCAGAGTTTCGCATACCTATTTCACACTTGTATTGCTGTAGCTGAACAGGCTGGGGAAACTTGACTTCCGTGCTTACAGGTTTTATTTGGTACACGACCCCTAGTTATACCTAGCAAGGGTATAGGTACCCTTGCTAATACTGTACCCACTATGCTCCCCTGATTCATTCACTCTCCCACTTTCTGGGACCACTATTTTACACCTCCACATTCCTAAAAGCTCTAAAATATCTCTCCTCTTCCTCTTTCTCTGCTGATTTATAGTTTCTGTTTCACTGAGAAGAAGAATCTGACAAGTTCCCACTCCACATTTACCAACCTATCAGCTGATTTATCTGATTTTCATTTCCCTGAGAAGGAAAATTTGACAATTTCCCATGCCATGTTTACTAGTCTACCTGCACCTTCTCTACCTTTCTTCCTGTTATTATACAAAAACTCCCTTTTCGTTTCTAAAGTCAACTCGTCTTCTGTCTAGTGTTTTAGATTCTATCTCTTCTCACTTATTTGAGAACATTATTCCAGCACTTATGTCATTTTTCTTTTGCATCATAAATTATTTTCTCTGCTAGATCATGTGTATCAGCGTTAAAAAATGCCATCAAATCTCCTGTTTATCTTTCTAACTTATGTCCCATTTCTCTGGTCCTCTTTATAGCAGAACCAGAGTAAGAACTATGTCTACTTTGCCTCCCTCCTCTGATTGTCTTTTGAATCTATTCTCATCAGGTTTTCATTCCTATTACTTTAGCAGCTAAACAGCATTTGTCATGATCAGTAATGGCTCCATATTGCTAAATCCAAAGGATAATTGTCAGTGTTCCTCTTCCTTGGGATATCTGCCCAGTGGATCAATTGCTCACTCCTCAAAACCTATTCTTCCCTTGTTATCTGGGACACCAGACTTCATTTTCCTGTGGTCATTTCTTCTCTGTTTCTTTTGCTGGTTGCTCCTCATCACTATCACCTATAAATGTTAAAGGGTCCTATACCTCAGTTTAGGATGAAAAGTCTCCTCTTCACTCTTCATTCACTTTCTTCCATCTAGTCTTAAAGCTTTTAATGTCATCTGTATTCTGATGATTCCTATATGCGATGCATCACATAATGATGTTTTGGTCAATGACAGACTGCATATACAACCAATGGTGGTTCCATAAGATTATAACACCATATTTTTGCTCTGCCTTTTCCATGTTTAGGTACACAAGTACTAACCATTGTGTTATAATTGCCCATAGTATTCAGTACAGTAACGTGCTGTACAGCTTTTTAGCCTAGGAGCAAAAGGCTATCCCATATAGCCTAGGTGAGTAGCAGACTATATCATCTAGGTTTATGTAAGTACACTCTATGACATTCACACAAGGACAAAATTGCCTAATGGCATATTTCTTAGAATATATTCTGTCATCTAGCAACGCATGACTGTTCTTATAGCTCTAGCCTTGGCCAATTCCTTGAACTCCTGACTCTAATATCCAACGACCTAATGATAATTGAACACTAAATAAGTGTCTCAAATTTAAAATCTGCTAAACTGAGCTCCTCATTCCTGCCTGCTGCCCACCATGTCCCCAAATTCTGTTTGTCCTCACCATCTCCCCATGTAGGAAATTGCAATGCTACCCTTCCTATTGTTGAGGGAAAAATCCATGTAGTCTCTGATTCCTCTTTCTCATATTCTCTATAGCCAGTCAGTCACAGTATCTTATTAGCTCTACCTTAAAAATAAAACTAAAATCGGATACATCTCCTCTTCCTCCTAATTTCTCCAAACTCATCTTCATGATCCTCTCTGCCCCCTACAGTTTATTTTCCATATTGCAGCCCAAGTTGTGTCTAAAACTTGTCAGTTCAAAATCTTCTGTTGATTATTTGACCTCACTCAAAGTAAAAGGCAAAGGTCTTACAGTGTTTTCTATAGAGCTCTACATCATCTCACTCCCCATTGCTGTGGTAATCAGAATGCTAAGATGTTCCCCAAGATTCTCAGCCCCTGGTGCAGCTGCTCTACATAACACCCGCCCCTTGATTACAGGTTGCACCGTGAATATATGCTGCCTGTAATTATACACAGGTGGCTGGGATAACCATGCATAATAGTGTCTTAGCAGACTGGAGATGGAAATTCTGACCTTGAGGAGGCAAACCACCATGTGAACTGCCAATGTGGAGGGCCTTATGGCAAGAATGGCCTTGAGACTGAGTGTTATCCTGATAACCAACAAGAAAATGCGAACCTCAGTCTTAAAGCCACAAGAAAATAAGTTCTACCAACAAGCTGAATTAGTTATAACGTGGATTTTTCTAAGACTGCATTCCAGCCTATATCTTGATTTCAACCTTGTTAGGCCCTGAGCAGAGGACTCTGACTGGACTTTTGATTTATAGAAACTGTGAGATAATAAGTCCAGTCAGAGTTTAGGTCAGTGGGTTTATGGAAATTTGTTATGTAGCAATGGAGAACTAATACATACCCATCTGATTTGGTCTTCTAGTCCTTTCTTCCCCACCTATCTAGCTTTAGCCACATTGGCATCTTTGCTGTTTCTCAAATAGGGTAACCAGGATTCACTTCAAGGCTTTGGGATCATCTGCTTCTTTCTGCAAAAATCTTGCCCCAAGAAGGATGTATGACTCATTTCTTTACACTTTAGGTGTGTGTTCAAATGTCATCTTATTAAAAAGCCTTTCCCAACCACTGAAAACAAAGTAGCAGCCCCAACACAGCACTCATCCACCTTTTACCCTGCTTAATTTTTCTCCATGGCACTTGTCATATTTTGACATATCACATTTGTTTATCACTAGAATATAAGTTCCATGCGGGCAGAGAATTTTGTTCTGTTACATTATTGTGCATGGATTAGCGTTTAATAGTACTAGTAAGTGCTTAATAAATATTTGTAAATTAGTATTTTCTGTAATTTTGACCTTAATTTTACATCTTTATGGTGTTTTATGTATTTTAAAATGATTTTATTATGTGTTGTCAGAGTAAATGAGAATTTAAAAAATTTAAAAATCACAGGATTTTATAACTGAGTGACAAACATTTAAAACAAATCCTAATGCAATTAAGCATAAAAATACAGGGATTAAGAATTGCTCAGTTTCAGAGTACATGCCTCATTGTGTAATTTAAAGCTCAGTGAATTTCTGGGTGCACAGGTTTGAAATACATTACACTCTAAAATTATGTTCAACACTGTATAACGTTGACCTTTTAATACTAGCTGTTATTTTAGAGATTTCTTTGCATTCTTTCCTACCATTAAAAAGACATAAAACCCAAAAGCATACAAATTCTCTATATATAATTCCAAATTTGAATATTAAATATTGTCACATCACTAGCATTTAATACTGATTGTTTAATAATTTAATACTCCAGTTCTCCATACCTGTTATCTATGGAAAGTTTTCAGAGTGTCTAAAAGCATTTTGATTGGTTTTGTAATGTTTACAAACCATTCATGTAAAAAGTTTTTGTTGAAGAAGCAAAAAAAAAAAAATGCTTAGCTATCTATCCAGACTGTTTTCACCTGGCCTTATAAGTGTATCTATTTTTTGCTTCTGAAAATTTCCACAGGAAGTCAGGTATTCCCAGTCATCTATCTATAACCTCCTATAACATATTTCTTTCTTGCCACAATCATCTTCCTCTCCCAATAGTCTGTGTTTAAAAGGTGTAGCACTCTTTTCCTCTTTCTCTTACTCAAAACTAAAAATACAAAAAAAAAAAATGAAATAAATGAACTTAACAAAAAGTCTCAGGAACAGTTTCTTTTCTGTAGGTCTAAATGTGATAATTTTAGATGATAGGTGGCCAGCTGATTTATGCATCACTGGCTTGGTAAATATATTGCACCTCCTGAATGAGAATCTAGTCTGTTATGAAATGCTTCCTACTATTCAGGTGAAATTTCTTCCTTTCCTATATGAAATTTCTAATGTCTTTAGATATTTTGAATTTATAGTGCATGGGATAAAATCCATACTTTAATCCAACATTCCAAGTAAATGTCAGAAATTTGCTTGACATGGAAGAGGATAACATTTTAATAATGTGGTTTCTGTATGCCCAGACTAAATGGCTGTGCGATTTTTTTGTTTGTTTGTTTGGTATTGATTTATTATCGGAGAAAATGGATGTGTCCTTTCTCATTTATCCCATTTTATACATTAACATAGAGTAAAATTGACTTTTTATTGTTGTACAGTTCTATGAATTTTAACACATGTATGAACAGAGTCCGTATCCACAGTCCAGATACAGAACTTTTCCATTACCACAAAGAAACCCCTTCACACCCACACCAACCCCTGGCCACCACTGATCTGTTGTCCATCAAAATAGCTATTCCTTTTTGAGAATGAAATTGAATAAATTGAATTGTATAGTATATAATCTTTTGGGATAACTTCATTCATTCAGTCCAATGTCTTTACAATTCATCCAAGTTGGTGGTGTATCAACAGTTTCTTTTTATTGCCAAATTAATATTGCATGTTGTGGATACAACAAAGTTTGTTTAACCATTTACATTAAAGGATATTTCTATTGTTTCCAGTTTTTTGGCTATTATGAATGAAGCTGCTGAATTTCTCATGTATAGGTTTTTATGTGACCCTAAGTTTTCATTTCTCTAGGGTAAATATTTAGAATTGGGATTGCTGGTTTATGTAAGTGTGTGTTTAACTTTATAAAAAGCAGCTGAGCTGTTTTTCCTTACAGAGATGTATGAGAGTTTCAGTCAGTCTTCATCCTTGCCAGCCATTGTAAGGGTGTTAAAGTGGCGTCTCATAGTAGTTTTAATTTTAATTAAAACTTAATGGCCAATAATGTTCAACATCTTTGGATGTGCTATTTGCCATCCATATATCCTTTTTTGAAACATATCTGTTCAAGTGTTTGGATCATTGATTAATTGGGTTGGTTGTTTTCTTACAACTTTAGAATTTTAAGAGCTCTTTATATACTTTGGATACAAGTTCTTTGTTAGATATGTGATTTGCAAATGTTTTCTCCAAGTCAGTAGCTTGTCTTTTTATTATTGTAACCATGTCTTTGACAGAGCAAATTTGCAGTTTTGACAAGCTTTATTTTATTGAGGTTTTTCTTTTATAGATCATGACTTTGGTGTCACACTAAAGAACTCTAAGAACCTAAGTCCAGTTCACAGAAATTTTTTCCTGGGTCACTTTTAAAGTGTTACATTTTTATGTTTTACATTTAGGTATATGAACTACTTTAAGTTAACTGCTTTTGTTTAATTTGTAAAGTTTAAGCAGAGTTTATTTTTTTTCCAAATGGATGTTTAATTGTTCCAATACCATCTGTTGAAAAGACTACTTTTAGTTCATTCCATTGCCTGTAACTTTGTCAAAAATCAATTGGTTATATTTTCTATTTGTCAGTTTGTCTGTCCTATTTCAAAACCAGAGTTTAATTACTCTAGATTTACAATGTATCTTAAAATCAGTTAGTTCAATTCCTTCATTTTATTTTTTCCAATACTGTTTTGTCTTTCCTTGTTACTTGTCAAATCAGCTTGTTGATATCTGCAAGAAATCTTACTGGAATTTTGATTGGTATTACATTAAATCTGTAGATGACTTTGAGGAGAATTGACAGCTTTTAAAGTTGCATCTTCCAATCCATTATCATAGTATATGTCTATATGTCTATTTATTTAGACCTTCTTTGAATTTTTTATTAGTATTTATAGTTTTCAGCATAAAGATCTTACATATATTTTGTTATAGTCACTCCTAAACATTTTATTTATTTTGGATCTACTGAATTTTTAAAATTTCAATTTCTAATTGTTCATTGCCAGATATTTGTGCATTAACCTTGTGTCCTGTGAAACCTGTGGTTTCAATCTCACTTCTGTTTTCCAAATTTTTATAGTGTTATTCAGACCTGTTCCTCATACTTGTCATCCAGGTGACAGCCAAGACCTTTGTGGTGTTCTGGTTCATAGATTATTTCTCAAAGTCTCTTACATACTTTTCAGTATCAGATCTTTCCATGCACAACTTTGGGTGAGCCCAGAGTTCATGAACAATATTAAGAAGTCACTTTCTGGAGCTTCCCCCTCTCCACAATCTCCTCCATACTTCCTGTTTCCTGTGGCTTCCCTTTTTGATCCTCCAACCAGTAAGCTTGGGTTTATTTACCTACTCTCCTGTACAACTCCACTTTCTTCCTGGGGCCATGAGAATAGAGAAAAATAAAAGGTAAGGGGAATTCGCCACACTATCTTGGGATCATAGCTTCTCCAATCAGAGAGGTAACTTTTTGCCCCTCATAGTTTTAGGTCCCTGTGAGCCCTAAATACTGCCATCATTGCCACTGCAAGACTACTTGAGAGCTGGGGCATGAGAGAGTGGAGAGAGAAAAAAGGATCTCCCTTCATTTTTCTGAGTATTAGGAGACCACTTTCCTGCCCATGAGTCAGAACTAAAAGAATTCTCCTGGAGCTCTCTCTGTCTACACTAATGCCCACACTTGCATTTCAAGCTGTGTCTAATCTAGGTTGGGAGAAACCAAAGGGGAAGAAATGGTAAACTCACTGCTGGTTCAATGATATTTAAGATTCTGATCTCCTTCCCCAATATGCATGGTGCTATTTAGTTTTGGTCCTCAAATGGCTGCTCCTTGTGTTCCGTTTAGGTTTTATAGCTGCATTCAGTGTGCACAATGCTGTAGAGTGTGCATACTCCATGTTACCTGCAACTGGAACCCAATGGGCAGATCATGATGGCCATCCATTTATTATTATTATTTTTAAATAGGTGTTTGAGGAGCAGATGGTGTTTGGTTATATGAATAAGTTTGTTAGTGGTGATTTCTGTGATTTTGGTGCACCCATCATCCGAGCAGTGCAACTGTACCCAATGTATAATCTTTTACCACTCACTCCCCTCTTACCCTTTCCCCCAAGTTGCTAAAGTCCATTGTACCATTCTTGTGCCTTTGCGTCCTCATAGCTTAACTCCCACCTATTAGTGAGAACATACGATGTTTGGTTTTCCATTCCTGAGTTACTTCACTTAGAATAATGGTCTCCAATTCCATCCAGGTTGCTGCAAATGCCATTATTTTGTTCCTTTTTGTGACTGAGTAGTATTCCATGGTGTGTGTGTGTGTGTGTGTGTGTGTATGTGTGTGTGTGTATGATATTTTCTTTATCCACCCATTGATAGATGGGCATTTGGGCTGGCTCCATATTTTTGTGATTGTGAATTGTGCTGCTATAAACATGCACGTGCAAGTATCTTTCTTATAGTGAGTTATTTTCCTCTGGGTAGATACCTGGTAGTGGGATTGCTGGATCAAATGGTAGATCTACTTTTAGTTCTTTCTACACTGTTTTCCATAGTGGTTATACTAGTTTACATTCCCACCAACAGTGTGAAAGTGTTCCCTTTTCACCACAACCACGTCAACACCTATTACTTTTTTTATTATGGCAATAAAACAAAGATAAATAGATGGGACTTAGTTAAACTAAAAAACTTCTGCACAGCAAAAGAAATAGTCAGGAGAGTAAATAGACAACCCATAGAGTGGGAGAAAAATCTTTGTAATGTATATGTCCGACAAAGGACTAATATCCAAAATCCAGAAGAAACTCAAACAAATCAGCAAGAAAAAAAAAAAAGAACAATCCCATCAAAAAGTGGGCTAAGGACATGAATAGACAATTCTCTAAAGAAGATATACAAATGACTAACAAACATATAAAAAAATGCTCAGCATCACTAATTATCAGGGAAATGCAAATCAAAATCACAATGCAACACCACCTAACTCCTGGAAGAATGGCCTGTTAATTTTAATGCAATTTTGGAAATCTGACGACATTTGCAAGATGCCAACCTTGTTTTCTCACCTTGCTGATAAAATATTTCTTAATTCAAGGAGCTAGAGCTGGTTTATATTTTACATTTAGCATTGAAATGTTTCCAAATATATATTTTTAATAGTGTCATGAGGAAGGTAAAAATTGCTTTATCTTATTTGTATTTGTATAATTCCTCATATTTGGAGAGTACTGTTTATAGCAGTAAACAGTAATCTACAAGCCAGTTAGTCTGAAAAACTGATGATCAACATTTCTACGTCATGCTCTTGAAGCTTTGTGGCCCAGGCTATATAAATGATACTACTCATTTCCATATACTGAAGAATTTTTATATTTAAACCTAAGAACTTTTCTTTTTGATCACATAAGTCTTGTGAGATAAGTAGGATGGTTTACAATCTTTATATTTTATAGCTGGAAAATCTTTACAGAGGCTGAGTTGCCTGCTCATAATTACATAGCTGTTTACTGTATAGAGTCAGCACTATAACCAAGGGCTTTGTTACTCAACATTCACTGTGCTTTCCACTAAACCATACTTCATTATTTAATGGTATGTGATGAGGTGGATCAGTGTGAGCCAAAAATACTGAGTGTCCATAAACTTTGACAGATCCTGATACAAAGACTTGAAAGACAGGCTATGTAGTTAAGCCCCTTTAAGTACTGGGCAATGTCTAAGGACTTTTAATAGGAAAAAAATAAAATAGTGAAAGTAGAGCTTTAAGATGAAAACTTGACATGAATGAAATGGAAGGAACAGATACTGGAGGAAGGGAAGTAGGTTCTTCAGGTATAACACAGGAGAAGTAATAAAACTAATTGGAATGTTGCTATTGGGAGGGGACACATGAAATAGACATTATGGAGGAAGAATTGGTAGGACTTAGTGACTGATTAGAGGGGAAGGGCAAGGCAGAGGTAGAGGAGGAATATTTTTGGTTTTGGTTTTTGGAGAATGATGTGCTACTAATGTGGGTGAATTTGGGTTTGAGAGAATGAAAGGTTAGGTCTCAAGCTTGTAGAATGTAAAATGAGATCAGAATAAAGGGAATTTGGAGTTCTAGATCAGAAAATCAAGATCAAGTTGGGAATATGGGATTGGGGTAGATCTTCATAAAAGGAGAGTTAAAGTTCATGATGATGGATGGAATGTCTGAAGGTGAGCCTATACTGAGAAAAGAGCAGAAAACTGAGAAATAAACCCTAGAGTTTAAGCTATTAATATTAAACAATACTGAAAAGCTTTATTTTACTATTAATTTGAAAGCATTATATGGCTTCTGACATTTGTGAATTTCAGCCAGAATAGAGGTGTGTTTAGTTATACATACTTAAATATAAATCTAACTTCTGTGAGCCCTATGTAAATCCTGCACTGCTGTATAATTATATTCACCAGAAAGATCATCAGGGTGCAGTCACTCACTCAGTGAATCTGTTTGTTTACTTATGGCCCTTGTTTATTTTTATGTTTGGGTGAGATTTTCATTTCTGCTTACATGTCTAGATGGTTTAAATGCAGGGCATGTCTCCTAGCTGAAGACTCCTGTGCATAGTACCAGAACTACTTTATATTCACAAAGGCTGACAGTGCTAATGATGGTTTGTCCCTAGGTGTTTACAGAGTCATTTTTTGGTTTGTATCTCTGTGGCATTTCCAAAATCGAGAAGTTATTTACATTTTGCTGTTTAATACTTCTGGAGATGTTTTTCTTTTTTCTTTTTTTCCCTCTATTAATGATGGCAGAATTGGTGAGAAAGAAGTTTTGAAAAAGTGTCATTAAATTATCCTTTGTTAGAAGACTGTTTTATATTCCCTTTCCTTTAGTCTTCTAAAAATATTAATGTGTTCCAGCATGTGAGATTGAATATTTCATTAGGAAGTATTAGGGGAGCCATTTTAAAGGCAGATTTTAAGGAACCTTAATCACCAATATATTATGTATGCTGAAAACTTAGGTAAGAAGGGAGTGTAGATTTGTGTTGCTGAAATTTTCCCGATCTTTGTCTTCTATATCTTTTTGTTGTGGTTAAATATTTAAGTCTATCTTCTGAGGGAAAGAGAAACTTGACATTGTGATTGAAATACTGCAGCAGCCATGAACTGCTTATCTTTTACTTCTCTCTCTGCTTTCTGCGTTAAACAGTGGTAATGACCTGGCAATACACTATCTGAAATGACATGGTTTTTTTCCTTAAGTAGATTGAGATACTGATTACTGCAGCCCCATCTTATTGCTACATGAATTGCTAGGAAAGGTAAGAGTATGAAGATCACTTCTGTTTTTGGTTCAATCAAATTTGTATCCTTGTAAACATACCAAGATCCAATGTCATAATTGCTATATACATCTGTATGACATATATAATATGATATTATAAGAAAAGCTAGCTCTTTTTTAATTTGGATATAAGTGCTAAGTCACTTTCCAGATTTGTCATACATTTGGTTTGTTTGGCAGAAAGTGGAATGGGAAGGTGTAGAGTGAGGAAGAGAAGCTAGAATTGACCTGAGATTTTTGTTGAGTCCATATCAATCTGTGATGCCCTATGATGAAATCACAGGAGTTATTAGAGCATGGGGTTTGAGTGCTAATAGTATGGAACAGCTGTTAGAGACCAACTCTTTGTTTTACAGTAATAGAAACAAATCCAGAGAACTGAAGTGATATGCACTTAGTCACATAGCTAGTTAGTGGATGAGTCAGAAGTAGAACCTGGATTTCTTGATTCCTAGCACAGAACTCTCTTTAATATATTTTCTACGCAGATGTGATGAATTTCCATAAGGTAAAATTCAGTAGAATTTTGGTGATGAATAATGATTAAGCTATTATTACTAGCCTTTCCAACTTGATAGGTGATAAATTGAAAGCATAATTTAGCATTTAAGAATTTTTTTTCCTAAATCTTTAAGACATCTTTGAAAAAATCTTTGGAAACATGAAATAGATATTTCATTTGTGACTCTCCTAATTGACAAGAAGTGTGGATACCTGTATTCTTTGTATGGTAAATTTTAACAGAATAAATAGAGAGTGGCTTCTACATTTTACATTCTAGTTCAGTGACAGGGTGAACCATACTTTTGGATGTCTTGTGTTTAGTTCTTTAGTTTATAACCTGGATTTACCATTCTGTTTTTTCCACAAAGTTCAATTGAGGAAACATGCTTTAGGGCATGTAAAAAAGCTGCCCATCCAAAATGGTTTTGGGGAGAAATTTATGCTAGAATTCTATAGCATCACTAGATTAAGCATGTTCCTTGCTTTGATTCCACCCAGGCACTAAGTGAAAGCCTATAGAAGATAAGGAAAAATAGGAAACCCAAAAGGAAGGAAAATCATTGAAAAAGTAGCCAAATGCTTTAAGAAAGGGAATAGATAGAGCTATAGTTCCAAAGTTTACTCCCATATTTCATTGATTATTCATCTATTTTAGTATTTTTGAATGATTCACTTGCATTATAATTAGTAAATTTGTGTTCTCTGCACTTCTAGGAATGTAAACATCATAACATCCTCTTATTACAAAGTCTTTGTATCCCCAGTAAGCATTGAATCACTGTTGAGATAGCATATGCCATGAGACCTTATAGCCTTTCACTATAGTCTCAGATATCGATTTCAGTAAAATTTCTTGAGAGCATCAAATTAAATATAATTTAATACATTAATAAAAGTAGCAATTCTGGTTTTGCTGCTACTGTTACTGTTCCAATACTACCATTAGGATGATGGGGCAGAAGTGGTAATTATCTTGTGTAAGACATTGTGTTGAGCACTTTACATTAATTATCTCCCATAATTTAATTCTTAAACAAGGCTATTGTCATCTCCATTTTACAAATAAGAAAATCAAAGATTCACATGGGTAAATGACTTGCCCAAAGTCACACAGCTAGCAGATAACTCAAACTCTTGAGTTCACACTTTTAACCAATATGACATATACGGTTTATTACACAGCTCTTCTGTTGCAAATCAGTAGGTGCATTATTTGGATTAGTTCAGTGAAAAAATTTAGAATATCATACGTAGGCCTTGTGCTTCTAGCAATTAAGCTAACTTAGCTTGCCCAAGTAAAAAGTTTAAAACAAGCCTTTTGAGAAGAAAAACGTGTTTAGTTTTTATAGATAAGCAGTTTTGATGAAAAAGAAATCTGCAAATATCTATAAAATTAACTTTTAAGTAGTACCCATGAAGGTCCTTATTATATGCTTTATTTAACTACTAAGTACTGAAGAATTATACAGAAACATGCTGCACCATGACTTATGACAAGTTATTGTGTCATATTCAAATGAGAATATGACACACTGGAAAACTGATATAATGAATTATTTAAAGCCATCCCAGGATTAGAGTTAATATAGTTTTCTTCACAGATCATGCTGTCACCTGCCTACACATCTTCTTTGTGATAAATACTTGCTCTCTATATTAATTTCAAACAACTGAATCAACATTATAATTTCCACTGATTTCAAAATCACCAAGAAGCATTTCACTTTTTATTTTAGTAAGAAATCTATTTAACAATAAATCACTTTTATTTTTAATTTTTTTATTTTATTGCACTATGAAATCAGCTGTGTACATGCTATCAGAAATTTTCTCTTTTAATTTTCTTAAAAACATAATTCAAAAGTCGTGTTTTAATTTGTACCTTATCTAGTAATAGAATCAGCGTTTCTTTTCACCTAATTTATTGGTTATTTTAATTAGCATTTTGGTAAACTACTCATAGAAATGCCCCTTCTGCTTTCTGACACTTTTAATACTAAAAAAAAGCAGCATTTAGAAGGAATTAGTTAAAAGAAAGACAACATTGGTGTTCAGCTAAAAGTTGAAAACAAATTTCATGAAAGATGTGACTAATGAAGAAAATGAGACGTCACATGACTATTCAGTTAATTCTACTGAAATAGAAGTGACAGCAACACATCATATCTATGAGGTGGCTTGCTACCTATTTTCACAAAAGGCTCAAGTGAAAAATATTATATGTGCAGTGTTTCCATGGTATAATGGCACTATTTATTCTGTAGTTTTTCTTGCTCGGAAAAGGAAACTAGAGAATCTTAAAGTGTGGCTCGTAAACTTATCTTTAGCTTTCATTATTATTGCCAAACATAAAATTTTTATGCTGCTAAAAATAATGATGGTGAAAATCTTATATTATTATCATTGAATATAAAAGACTTGTCAATGACTTGGAGAAGATAGAAACCTGAAATTGCCACTTCGTTACCTTGGAAGGGTCTTCTCATCTTTTTGAGTCTCAGTTTCTTTATCTGAAAAAGTAAAGAGTTGTACTAAATGAGCTTTGGGTTATGTTCTGCTTTACATGTTCTTATGTTTGCTAGGAGAGAATCTTTTGTACTTAGTAGCATGTAAACAAAAATGTTAGAGAAAAGGCACAAAGTCAGATTTTGTAGCCAATAGCCCAGTCATAGAGGAAGATAAGAATATTTATACTCTTTTCTATTTTACTTGGCCACAGTTTCTGTGATAGACACATAGGTATCTCATGCAGTTAGTATAGATGGGCTGCAGTTTATGCTGTTTTAGATTTGATGGTTCCAAATGGGGTATTGATCTATGACACAATGTTCTTTCCTTGAGGGCACCTCTGAGAACGTTTAGGAGGTTTCATCTTCCTAAGGTACTTTTCGACAGTCCGTGCTCTTACCTCACACATTCATGGATAATTTTAATTTCAAATGAAAAACAACATGCAGTAGCTCACGTCTGTAATCCCAGCACTTTGGGAGGCCTAGGCGGGTGGATCACCTGAGGTTGGGAGTTTGACACCAGCCTGACCACATGGAGAATACAAAAGTAGCCAGGCATGGTGGCACATGCCTGTAATCCCAGCTACTCGGGAGGCTGAGGCAGAAGAATCTCTTGAATCTGGGAGGTGGAGGTTGTGGTGAGCTGAGATCACGCCATTACACTCCAGCCTGGGCAACAAGAGCAAAACTTGATCTCAAAAAAAAAGAAAAAAGAAAACACACACACACACACACACACACACAAACACCTACCCTATTAACATGTTTTGCTGTGTTTTATGCAGATGTTGTCTTATTAAGTAAATAACAATGCTGGTGGTTTTCAGAAACAAATGTGTTTTGGATATTTTTGGGGGAGAGAGAAGCTTCTTACCTTTCCATTTCGTGTATTTTTTGTTGCAGAACTTCAGATGGTGGCAAAGTGGTTGGCACCATAGAAGTCAGTGTCGTGAAGATGGGGGAGATTGAGGATGGGGAAGCCGACCACATCACCACAGATGTACAGGGACAAAAGGTAGGATCTCAGTCTGCTCATTGTACAAATTAAATTAAAAATGATCAGCTTTGCCAGATGTCTGTCTCACCAACATCTCTGTGGGGTTTGAAATCTCATTATCAAAACCTAAATGGGACAACAGCTCTGAAATTGGAATACAATATGTGTGTTTCAGCCTCTGAATCAAAGGGCCTATTTGCTTGGAACTATGCAAAGCAATGCTCCATTCAGAAGCACCTTCCTCTTCCCTGCCAGCTCCCTGGTTGGCACTGCCTCTTCTCAGTTGGAACAAAAGTATTGATCATTGTCGCATTTTACCATAATTAACTCTATGTGAGATGCCAGAAGATTCTGGGATGGCTATTGCCCAAAATAACTTGTTCTCTACTCCCAAAACCCTCTTTGGAAAGATATGCGATTTTAATTTGTATTTCACCTTTACGTGAAGGAGGGCAGATTTAACAAGAAGTTCCTGCCTTATGAGATTGAGGAGAGAGAAGCAGGAAATAGTATTCATTGAAGGAATAGCTCTGGAGGAGGGACAATGGCAACGGAAGGAGAAGCTGCTTCCTGAAACACAGAATAAAGGCCTGATGCATATAAATATGTGTCCAGGATTCTTTCTTTCTTTCTGTTCCTTTTCACTAAGGCAGAGAAACTATGTAAATATTAGCCTAAATTTATTTCTTAGGAATGCAATTGCCTGTTTTATTGAGACCATTGAAGCACATGGGGTAGACTTAGAAACTGCTAGTAGTTTCTTTTAGGAAAATGAATTTTATACACTATAATTTCTACCTTTTAATAAATGAGCATTTTAAAAAATTATTTTTAATAAACAATCATTGTATATACTTCTGGGGTACAATGTAATGTTTCGATATATATTTACGTTATGGAATGATTAATCAGGTTAATTAACAAATCTATCGCCTCACATACTTATTTTGTGTGTGTGGTAAAAACATTTAAAATTTCTCCTTGCAGCAATTTTGGAATCTACAATGGACTATTATACAGTAACCATTTTGCTCAATAACTCACTAAAGCTTATTCCTCCTGGCTAACGGAAACTTGTACCCTTTGATGAGCACCTCCCATTTCCCTAAACTTTCCCTCCCCCAGCCTCTGGTAACCATCATTCTGCCCTCTACTTCTATGAGTTTGAATCTTTTAGATTCCACAAATGCAAGCTAAAAAAATGACCAAGGCAGGTCTCAATTAATTTAGATGTTTATTTTGCCAAGGTTGAGGCTGCACCTGGGAAAAAACACAAATTAGAGGAGCATCTGTGACCCCTGCCTTTTCCAAAGAGGGTTTTGAGGACTCCGATATGTAAAAGAGAAAGAGTAAGCAGGAAGGGAAGAAGAGAGGAAAAAAGAGGGGGGAGGGTAGGCAATGAGGTAAGTGGTCCCATAGTGAGGCTTTCATTAGTGCTCAGTGAATCTACATTTTATATGTGAAAGGGAGAAGAGGAATAGTCAATTATGCATTCCTCTCATATTCAGTAAATCCACATTTTACTTAAAATAAAAGAAGTCAATTACGTGTTTGGCTCAGGGTGGGCAGAGGGATGATTTTCTAGTCTTGTCCTTGTCCCCTCCCTGTGGACATATAAGCTGTTAATTTACATTGTTAGGGTGAGATTCAACAAAACTCTGTATTAAGGCTATTTTATAGGGGGTTATATATTCTGAAAGAGTTGGGGCCCACAAGGAATTGTGAGCAATTTGTGAAGGAGGGCATCTGGGGAGAGATGTGGGCTTCTATCATTGCAGCTATCTGTTCGTCGGGGGAAAAAAACAAAGGCAGTTTTTTGTGTGTTTCAGTTCCCAATCTTAACTTTCCTTCCGACATAGTGAGTTTGGGGTCCCAAGAATCTCTTTTCTTTCTCAGCATATAAATGAGATGATTCAGTATTTGTTTTGTGCCTGGCATATTTCATTTAGCATAATATCATCCAGGTTTATCCATGTTGTCACTAATGACAGAACTTTCCCCCTTTTCAAAGCTGAATAGTTTTTTATTGTGGTATATACCACATTTCCTTTTTCCATTCATCTGATGATGGACACTAAGATTGCTTCCACATCTTAGTTATTGTGAGTAATGTTGCAGTGAACATGAGTGCAGATATCTCTTTGGCATATTGATTTCAATTCCTTTGGAGTACCCAGAGTGGGATTGCTGGGTTTTATGGTAGTTCTATTTTTAGTTTTCTGAGGAGCCTCCGTATTGTTTTCCATAATGGTTGTATTAATTTACATTCTCAACAGTGCATAAGGGTTCCCTTTAGTTTACACCCTCTACACCCTCACCAGTACTTACCCCTCATTTTTTTTTTTTTTTTTTTTTTTTGAGACGGAGTCTTGCTCTGTCACCCAGGCCAGAGTGCAGTGGCGCGATCTTGGCTCACTTCAAGCTCTGCCTCCTGGGTTCACACCATTCTCCTGCCCCAGCCTCCCGAGTAGCTGGGACTACAGGGACCCGCCACCATGCCCGGCTAATTTTTTGTATCTTTAGTAGAGACGGGGTTTCACCGTGTTAGCCAGGATGGTCTCAGTCTCCTGATTTCGTGATCTGCCTGTCTCAGCCTCCCAAAGTGCTGGGATTACAGGCGTGAGACTCCGTGCCTGGCCTCCCTCATCATTTTGATAATAGTCATTCTGACATGTGTGAAATAGTATCTCATTGTAGTTTTAATTTGCATTTTCCTGGTAATCAGCAATGATGAGCATTTTTTAATATATCCGTTGGCCATTTGTATGTCTTCTTTTGCGAGTGTTTTTTAGGTCCTTTGTCCATTTTTTATTGGGTTGTTTTCTTGCTATTGAGTTTCTTATATATTTTGAATATTAGCTCCTTATCAGGTGTATGGTTTGCAAATATTTTATCCCAATCCATGAGTTGTTTCCTTATTGTTTCCTTTGCTGTGCAGAAGCTTTTTAGTTTGATACAATGCCATTTGCTTATTTTTGCTTTTGTTCCTGTGCTTTTGGGGTCATATTACAGAAATCTTGCCCAGAACAATGTCATGGAGCATTTTTAAATGTTTTCTTCCTAGTACTTTTATAGTTTTAGGGCTTATTTTTCAGTCTTTAACTCATTTTGAGTTGATTTTTGTGCATGAGCATGGCATGAGATAAGGGTCCAATTTTATTTTTCTGCATGTGGACATCTAGTTTTCCAAACACAATTTGTTAAAGAGACTGCCCTTTCTCCATTCTGTGTTTTTGGTACCTTTGTTGAAAACGAATTGCCCATATATGTGTAGATTTATTCATAGGCTTTCTGCCCTGTTCCATCGGTCAATGTGTCTGTTTTTATGCCAGTAACATGCCACTTTGATTATGATAACTTTGCTTTATAATAGATTTTGAAGTCAGCTGACATGATTCCTCCAGTTTTGTTCTCTTTACTCAAGATAACTTTGACTCTTCAAGCTCTTTTGTGGTTTCTTAAGAATTTTAGGATTTTTAACATTTATTTCCGTGAAAAATGACATTGGAATTTTGATAGGGATTCATTTAATCTGTATATTGCTTTGGGTAGTATAGACATTTTAACAGTATTAATTCTTCCAATCCACGAGCATGGGATACTTTTCTATTTATCTGTGTTATCTACAACTTTTTTTCATTAATGTTTTATAGTTTTCAGTACACAGATCTTCCAAATCCTTGGTTAAATTTACTTATAAGTATTTTTTTAAAGTGAATGGGATTGATTTCTTAATTTCTTTTTCAAATAGTTTGCTGTCAGTGTAAAGAAACACTACTGATTTTTGTGAGTTGATTGTGTATCCTTCAACTTTACTGAATTTATCAGTTTTAACTGATTTTTTTTTTCTTTTGGTTGTGTCATTAGGGTTTTCTACATAAAAGATCACGTTATTAGCAAACAAAGACAATTTCCCTTCTTCCTTTCCTATTTGGATATCTTTTATTTCTTTTTCTTGTCTGATTGTTCCAGCTAGAACTTTCAGTATAACATTGAATAGAAGTGGTGAGAATGGACATCTTTGTCTTGTTCTTGATTGTAGAAGAAAAGCTTTATAAATGAACATTAAAAAATTAAGGCCCATTGTGACTTATTTTCTGGTTTAGTGTCTCTTATCTTGGAGCATGTTTGATTTTTCTTACCCAGGAAACTGCTGCATGGAAGATGGTATTTATCCAACACGTAACAAATTATTAACTTTACAAAAATATCAAATATTTTCTTTCAATTTTTTTTTCTTTTTCCCAGAATAGGCTAGGGTCTTCTCTGCTACCCTAAACCTTGTTCTTCTCTGTTACTCTCCCTTCTCCTTGGAATATATCCCACATTATAAAAATATTTTAAGAAGGCCCAAGGTTTAAATCAGGTTATTAACTAATATCAGGGCCATGGTAAAGTTTTGGAGCAGACTTTCTTGAGTTTGTGCATTCGAAACCCTGTCTTAGGGCTGGATCCCTTCATTCCATCCTTGTTTGTTTTGTAGTTCTATATAAGACTCATCTTTGTCACTATCACATGAACACTTGCATCAAGATCAAGGAAGGAGGATTCGGAAGCTAAACTGGGGACACAGAGCAGAAATAGGCAGATAATTATGCCTAGACCTGTAACTGTGTACCAGGAGACCAGTAGCAGAAACACTTCCCATTTCAAAGTAGAGCTCCTTTCTCTGATTCTAAATATATTACCAGCCACTTTTCCACTTTCCTCAAAACTAGCCCACCTTTTGACTCCAGACTATGTCACTATAGTATAAGGTAGTGGAAATTAAATTATACTCTTTTCATAAATGGAGAACTTGATACCTAGAGATATGCCCCCACCCAAATCCTACATAGTGTTTCTGGCTTAGGAACATGAACTTTAAAAAGACTTAACTGAGCTGTTCCAGAAATAGGAGGTGGCAGTGGCAATACACACCGTGTGTGAGTCATAAGCTGACTAAAATGGTAAACACATCAAACATTTTGGCATCAGCTCTGCCCTGTCTGGATTATTTGTAAACCTTGACCTTTTTTGCAAATTTTTGATAAAGTAACTGTAAACTCTCTTAGCAATCTTTAAGAATATCGATGTTTGAGATATATAGTAAGGCCCAACATGCATGATATTTATTGTGTAAATAACTTTATCTCAGCGTTTTTCAAAGTGTGGTTAGAATCACCTAGAGTGCTTTTTAGAACTGCAAATGCATGGACCCTTGTACATCTGCTAAATAAAAATCCATAGAAAATCAATTAATATTATCTGTTACTAACGGTGATTTAAGACATGAATGACTATCATTATGGAAAGAGAAAGTAACTGAAATAGAAGTTATTCCTAAAATAACATTGCTTTCACTGGTTTGCATGAGCTAGGGACAAAGGAATGAAACTTCTATTAGCACCATAGTCATGTGCCATGAAAGTGACACATGTTATCTAATGTAGACGTAAATAAGAGAGTGATACTGATATTGCTCAGCTTGGGCTGTCATGACAAAATACCATAAACTGTATGGCTTAAACAACAGGAATTTATTTTCTCACGGTTCTGGAAGCTAGGAAGTCCCAGATCAAGGTGCCAGCCTGTTCAGTTCCTGGTGAGGGCTTTTTACTTGGCTTGCAGATGGCTGCCTTCTTGCTACCTTCTCAGATGGTCTATCTTCTGTGTATAAGCAGGAAGGGGAAGTGGGGGAGGGAGAGAGAGGGAGAGAGAGGGAGAGAGAGAGAGAGAAAGAGAGAGGAAAGGAGAAAGGAAGGGAGAGAGGGAGTGTTTTGGTATCTTCTCCTTTTCTCGTAAGAATACCAGCCCTGTAGTATTAAGACCCCATCTTTATGACCTCTTTTAATCTTAGTTACCTCCATAATATAGGCCCTTATCTCCAAATATGGTCATATTGGAGGCTGGGGCCTCAACATATGAACTTTGGAAGACACAGTTCAGTCCATAACAGTACCTTTATATAAAATACTACATTTTAATCTTGAGTCTTAAATTCCAGAGCATGGAATAAAATATAAGTGAAAATCCAAACTCTTTCTTCTCACATACGTTTGCTTTCTTTTTCTTGTTTCCATAAATCATATTATGAACACATATTTATTATCAAGGGAAGATTGCTCAGAGGTCATTTACCATATTAGATTGTTTCAAACTTCAATATATACACACATAGAAATAGAAGATAAAGCATTAAAACCACATAGTAGTAGAAAGAAAAAATTACAAGAGAAATACTAAAATTGTCTTTTTTCGAAACTAGCATAGTAGATGAATGTTGCATTATGTATCCAAAACATTTTTTCTTTTATTGGAGTCACCTTTGACTCCTTTCTGCCTCTCATAAACTCACAGTTAGTATGTCAGCAAATCCTGTTGACTGCACCTTTTAATTGAAACCAGAATTTAACAACTTTTGGCCCTTTCACTGCTACCAATGTTGTCTATCACCTGGATGTTTACAGTAATGACTTAAAAGTCTCCCTGATTTTTTCCTTTTCTCTCCCTGATCTGCCACCACATGTCACTATATCAGTCTATTTTCAACAGAGCAACAAAGCGACCCTATTTAAATGAAACTTAGGACATGTCTTTCCTCTCACAGCTTCTCAACTCTCTGAAAGTATAAACTCAAAGCCCTTCAGTGACCAAACACAGTCTTACAGGAGTCTCCCCGTCCCAACCCTGGGAACTTCATTACTTCTTTGACCTCCTCCCCAGCTCCTATTTTTTGCTCACTACAGTCCAGTCACATTGTCTTCCTTGTTGTTCCTGAACATTTCAGGTACGTTGCCAACTCAAGGCCCCTGCACTTAGTTTTCCCACCTACCTTTGAAGTGTTTTCCCTAGGTAATTTTGTGGTTCACTTATTTCCTTCTGGTCTTTATGCAGAAATGTCACCTCCTCACTGAAGCCTTTCCTGCAACCCTATCTAAGATTGCAGTGTCTACCTCAGAGCTTTCTATCGCCTTTCTCTGCATTATTTTTGTGATTAGTACTTGTCATTGTTCAATGTTATATATATATATATATATATATATATATATATATATATATTTTACGAATTTATCTCATTTGTGGTCTATTTTCCTCACTAATATTAAACTTCATGAGACAAAACTATTTGTCTATTTTCGTTCCCTCCTTTATCCCCAGTGCCTGAAACAGTCTAAGTCAGAAATAAATGAATAAATTAAGTCAATTTTACTTTAAAGAAGTAAAGCTAAAAATTATCTCATAGAAGACAGAATATGTGGCTGCGTATAACTCCATAACAATTGGTGGATCAATAAATAAGATGGCATGTAGTGAAGAGTGTAGGACTGTGGAAGAAAAATAAAGAAACTTACAGAACAACTTTTGAAGTAGTCAAAGACAATGCTATTAGAGAAAGGATAAGTAGGAACCAAATAATCAAATCAGGTGAAAAATGAGAAAACCCAATAAGTAACAGCCAAAAGGATTGCTTGAGACAGGAAAAGTCCTCCCATTGAGCACAGCCCTTCTTTGCCTGCAGCAGAGATGATCAGCTTCCTGTCAGGATTAAAGCATTGTTAGGAGCATCCTCCAGTGAGGCACGGGAGAGGCTTAGTTTAGTTCAGCCCCTGCCTTACCTCTTCTATTAGTTTAAGATCTGTGTTGTATTGGAATGCAGCGTAGCACAAGTGACCAAAGGGACTGTGATTTCTACAAAAGGAAAGAAAATGTCTTACTGATGATACCAGCAAAAATAGTGTAAGTGGAATACAAATACATCCCCTTCTGAAAACCTGCTTTTCTCAGGCCATGTTGCTCCTGTTCTTTGAAGTACTGTTTTCATTGTAGTTTATCAGCAGTGCTCAGAGGAAAGGTGGAGTCTTTGAGTGGCTAGTGACCAGTCTCAGAAGGTCTTATCCCTTTATTTCCTCCAAATATAAAATTGAAAATATTATAATAAGCCTTAACTTATAGAGAATATTTGTAGGCAAATAATCATCATTCATTCATCAAAAATATCACCTACTAAGTTCTAAGCATTCTACTAGGTTCTGGGGATTCAGCAATGAACCAGAGAGACACAGATGGTACCTTCAGGGGAAGAAAACAATTAAAATAACAGGTAATATATTATTGATTGGTGCTATATGCTGTATAGAAAAAAAGATAGGGTAAAAGGAATAGGTGGTGCTTAGGCATGGTTGTTTATACTAGATGTTGGTTAAGGAAAGATTCACTGATAATGTGATGTTTGAGCTGAAACTTTCAGGAAATAAGGGAGTGAGATGGGGATATATGTCAGGAATAAGAATTCTAGGTAACATCAATAGCAAGAGCAAAGGCCCCAAGGTGGCAGCATGCTTTTTGTGTTGAAAGAGCAGCAAATAGGCCAGTGTGACTGGAGCTAAGGGGTAGAGGAGTAGTGGTTGGAGTTGAGGGCTGAGATTCATGGGGCAGGGAGAAACAGATCGTGTACTCCCCTGTAAGCCATAAGACTCTGAGCTAAATAAGTAGTTATTATTCATTGTAGAGTAGAACACTGATATGATGAATATAACGTTGATGAAAAATTATTTTAACAGCCCTGTATATGCTAAAAGAATTAGAGGTAATATTGAAAATAGGAAAAATTAGAATTTTATGTATTTCTAGTATCATTGAACATCATTCTAGTGATTTAGGAAGTGCATTTCCAAAATTGCTGTGGATTAGAGGAAGTGCACCTCTGACTTCGGGGTGGTCAGAAATGCGATTTAGAGAACATCAAATTTTAAGAGCTGTTTTCAGTCATTCATTCTTTCAGTCAACTAGGACCTCAATAAAGAAATTATGAAAGCACTTTTGTACCCCATCAAAAAATTTACTGAGTAATGTGATGAATGTTATGATTGTGGAATAAGCAGTAGACTATAAGAAAACAGAAAGTAACATTTAAATCAGTGTTTTGAATTCTTTGTCTTCTTCCTCAAAATGTTTGAGGAACGTATACATTCCATTGTTAAAAGTGACCTCAGTGTACATGATTCTTAAAGAGGGCCAGTGCCTGGGGAAGGAGAGGTGGAGGGAGACAGAACAGTGGGGAAATAGCTCAAGCAAGGCTGATAGAGCCTTGGAGAAGCTTGTCTGAGCCCTCAGAGCCCCTTGAGCAGAGCCATGCAAAACTTACAGAAGGATGGCTGGTTCCCTTAGACCTCATCACCAAAAGAACTTTCTGCAATTTTTGTGTGTATGTTTGCTTTCTTCTGTTTGCATTTACTTGTTTATATTGGGTATATTTACTCTAAAAATTCACTATCCTCTTCCCTGTCCCCACTCACACCCCCATATTTTTTTCTAAAGATAAAAGGAAACTCATTTGAAGACACAAATGCTAGAGTCTTCCTGTGTGAAAATAGATTTCGTCCAACTCCTGGGGCCAGAAGAATTTTGTTTCCTCTTTCCATTACAGTTTCATAGGAAGCTGAGGGAGAGCACCACATTTAGTGAGGAATTGTTTTGGACATTCTCTCCCATTGTGGTTCATTCACTAGGAACATGTCCATGTGCTCTTCTGTATCTCTTCTCTCTTTCTGTTGAGAAATTGACAGTACTGTAAAGGTCAGGAGCTTAATCAATTCATTATGGATTCCAGAGATCAGCTTATTTATAAATGATCCTCATACTTTTTGAGCAAGTGCTTGCGTTGTTTTGCTGGAGGCAAAATAATCTTTTGCCCTATATAACTAGTGGCGTCAACATATTTTGTCTTTTATTTAAAGTTGCAATTACTTAAACTCTAGAAAATAATTTGCTTTCTATTGATCTGAAATTAGCTCAGGTGAAAGAAATACAAAATGATTCAGCTTGTCAAATATGATTTACTGTGCTAGGAACATATCTCTAGCATGTTGGGGATAATCATTTTTCTCATTTTAACTTTTTCCCTGAGTACCCTCTACAATTATCTAATATAAGCATATTCTGTATACATTTAAGTAAATCACAAGTTAAACACTCTTTGTAGTAAAGATAGAGCTAGAAATAGTTTTTAAAAAGTATTTTATTCAAAACTTTTTGAAACCATGTACATAGCCTTATGTTTTGCAAATAAAATAATATCATTCCTTATTTTGATTGTTCTCAAAATTTTTTTTTTTTTTTTACATTTTTTCCTAGTGTGCCCTGGTATGTGAATGTACAGCCCCGGAAAGTGTGAGCGGAAAAGATAACTTACCTTTTTTGAATTCAGGTATGTAACTCAGTTTTAAATACTTAGTTTCATGCAAAAATGAATTTTAATTTTATGTAAAATCAACACTGAACCAGCATTCTCACAGTTGTTTGTGAAGCTTAGTAAATACACTGGGAAATCATAAGGGGCCAGCAGAATGCGGGGAGATTGTACAATTCCACAGGAAAGATAAATGTACTAGCTATATTGCAAAACAAATATGGTCAGCCAGGCGCGGTGGCTCACGTCCGTAATCCCAGCACTTTGGGAGGCCGAGGCGGGCGGATCATGAGGTCAAGAGATTGAGACCATCCTGGCTGACATGGTGAAACCCCGTCTCTACTAAAAATACCAAAAATTAGCTGGGCATGGTGGCCCGTGCCTGTAGTCCCAGCAATTCTGAAGGCTGAGGCAAGAGAATCGCTTGAACCCGAGGGGCGGAGGTTGCAGGGAGCCGAGATCGCGCCACTGCACTCCAGCTTGGAGACAGAGTGATACTCCATCTCAAAAAACAAATGAACAAAAAACAAATATCATGTGCTGCATAATGACATTTGGTCAATGCCAACTACATATATGACAGTGGTCTTATCAGATTATAACACAGCTAAAATATTTCTATTGCCTAGTAACATCTTGATGATCCTGACCCCATGTGGGCCTAGGCTAAGGTGTGTGTTTTTGTCTCAGTTTTTAACAAAAATGTTTAAAAAGTAAAAAAAAAGAAAATTTAAAAAGTAAAAATAAGAAAAAGTTATAGAATAAGGAAACAAGAAAAAATACTTTTGTATAGCTGTACAATGTATTTGTGTTTTCAGCTAAATGTTTTAAAAGTGTCAAAAAGTTAAGAAAATTTAAAAGTGTATAAAGTAAAAAAGTTATAGTAATCCTAGGTTAATTTATTATTATTATTATTTTATATTTTTTTCTTGATTTGATTTTAGTTTTATAACAATATAAACAATTTATAACAATTATAACAATTTTTTCCACATTGGCCTGTTTTTAATCCTGTACCTAGAAAGAGTACAAAATACACACTTAAAAAATTGAAATTCAACACTTACCCACGCGCCCTTCTCCATCTCTTCTACCCCTCTTGTTGATTGTGGTATCTGATCTTTTTTTTTTCTTTTTTTTTATTTATTTATTATTATTATACTTTAAGTTTTAGGGTACATGTGCACAACGTGCAGGTTAGTTACATATGTATACATGTGCCATGCTGGTGCACTGCACCCACTAAGTCGTCATTTAGCATTAGGTATATCTCCCAATGCTATCCCTCCCCCCTCCCCCCACCCCACAACAGTCCCCAGAGTGTGATATTCCCCTTCCTGTGTCCATGTGATCTCATTGTTCAATTCCCACCTATGAGTGAGAATATGCGGTGTTTGGTTTTTTGCTCTTGTGATAATTTACTGAGAATGATGATTTCCAATTTCATGCATGTCCCTACAAAGGACATGAACTCATCATTTTTTATGGCTGCATAGTATTCCATGGTGTATATGTGCCACATTTTCTTAATCCAGTCTATCACTGTTGGACATTTGGGTTGGTTCCAAGTCTTTGCTATTGTGAATAATGCCACAATAAATATATGTGTGCATGTGTCTTTATAGCAGCATGATTTATAGTCCTTTGGGTATATACCCAGTAATGGGATGGCTGGGTCAAATGGTGTTTCTAGTTCTAGATCCCTGAGGAATTGCCACACTGACTTCCACAATGATTGAACTAGTTTACAGTCCCACCAACAGTGTAAAAGTGTTCCTATTTCTCCACGTCCTCTCCAACACCTGTTGTTTCCTGACTTTTTAATGATCGCCATTCTAACTGGTGTGAGATGGTATCTCATTGTGGTTTTGATTTGCATTTCTCTGATGACCAGTGATGGTGAGCATTTTTTCATGTGTTTTTTGGCTGCATAAATGTCTTCTTTTGAGAAGCGTCTGTTCATGTTCTTTGCCCACTTTTTGATGGGGTTGTTTGTTGTTTTCTTGTAAATTTGTTTGAGTTCATTGTAGATTCTGGATATTAGTCCTTTGTCAGATGAGTAGGTTGCGAAAATTTTCTCCCATTTTGTAGGTTGCCTGTTCACTCTGATGGTAGTTTCTTTTGCTGTGCAGAAGCTCTTTAGTTTAATTAGATCCCATTTGTCAATTTTGGCTTTTGTTGCCATTGCTTTTGGTGTTTTAGACATGAAGTCCTTGCCCATGCCTGTGTCCTGAATGGTAATGCCTAGGTTTTCTTCTAGGGTTTTTATGGTTTTAGGTGTAACGTTTAAGTCTTTAATCCATCTTGAATTGATTTTTGTATAAGGTATAAGGAAGGGATCCAGTTTCAGCTTTCTACATATGGCTAGCCAGTTTTCCCAGCACCATTTATTAAATAGGGAATCCTTTCCCCATTGCTTGTTTTTCTCAGGTTTGTCAAAGATCAGATAGTTGTAGATTTGCGGCGTTATTTCTGAGGGCTCTGTTCTGTTCCATTGATCTATATCTCTGTTTTGGTACCAGTACCATGCTGTTTTGGTTACTGTAGCCTTGTAGTATAGTCTGAAGTCAGGTAGTGCGATGTCTCCAGCTTTGTTCTTTTGGCTTAGGATTGACTTGGCAATGCAGGCTCTTTTTTGGTTCCATATGAACTTGAAAGTAGTTTTTTCCAATTCTGTGAAGAAAGTCATTTGTAGCTTGATGGGGATGGCATTGAATCTATAAATTACCTTGGGCAGTATGGCCATTTTCACGATATTGATTCATCCTACCCATGAGCATAGAATGTTCTATTTGTTTGTATCCTCTTTTATTTCCTTGAGCAGTGGTTTGTAGTTCTCCTTGAAGAAATCCTTCACATCCCTTGTAAGTTGGATTCCTAGGTATTTGATTCTCTTTGAAGCAATTGTGAATGGGAGTTCACTCATGATTTGGCTCTCTGTTTGTCTGTTATTGGTGTATAAGAATGCTTGTGATTTTTGTACATTGATTTTGTATCCTGAGACTTTGCTGAAGTTGCTTATCAGCTTAAGGAGATTTTGGGCTGAGACCATGGGGTTTTCTAGATATACAATCATGTCATCTGCAAACAGGGACAATCTGACTTCCTCTTTTCCTAATTGAATACCCTTTATTTCCTTCTCCTGCCTAATTGCCCTGGCCAGAACTTCCAACACTATGTTGAATAGGAGTGGTGAGAGAGGGCATCCCGTCTAGTGCCAGTTTTCAAAGGGAATGCATCCAGTTTTTGCCCATTCAGTATGATATTGGCTGTGGGTTTGTCACAGATAGCTCTTATTATTTTGAGATACGTCCCGTCAATACCTAATTTATTGAGAGTTTTTAGCATGAAGGGTTGTTGAATTTTGTCAAAGGCCTTTTCTGCATCTATTGAGATAATCATGTGGTTTTTGTCTTTGGTTCTGTTTATATGCTGGATTACATTTATTGATTTGCGTATATTGAACCAGCCTTGCATCCTAGGGATGAAACCCACTTGATCATGGTGGATAAGCTTTTTGATGTGCTGCTGGATTCGGTTTGTCAGTATTTCATTGAGGATTTTTGCATCAAAGTTCATCAGAGATATTGGTCTAAAATTCTCTTTTTTGGTTGTGTCTCTGCCCAGCTTTGGTATCAGGATGATGCTGGCCTCATAAAATGAGTTAGGGAGGATTCCCTCTTTTTCTATTGATTGGAACAGTTTCAGAAGGAATGGTACCAGTTCCTCCTTGTACATCTGGTAGAATTCGGCTGTGAATCCATCTGGTCCTGGACTCTTTTTGGTTGGTAAGCTATTGATTATTGCCACAATTTCAGAGCCTGTTATTGGTCTATTCAGAGATTCAACTTCTTCCTGGTTTAGTCTTGGGAGAGTGTATGTGTTGAGCAATTTATCCATTTCTTCTAGATTTTCTAGTTTATTTGCGTAGAGGTGTTTGTAGTATTCTCTGATGGTAGTTTGTATTTCTGTGGGATCGGTGGTGATATCCCCTTTGTCATTTTTTATTGCATCTATTTGATTCTTCTCTCTTTTTTTCTTTATTAGTCTTGCTAGTGGTCTATCAGTTTTGTTGATCCTTTCCAAAAACCAGCTCCTGGATTCATTAATTTTTTGAAGGGTTTTTTGTGTCTCTATTTCCTTCAGTTCTGCTCTGATTTTAGTTATTTCTTGCCTTCTGCTAGCTTTTGAATGTGTTTGCTCTTGCTTTTCTAGTTCTTTTAATTGTGATGTTAGGGTGTCGATTTTAGATCTTTCCTGCTTTCTCTTGTGGGCATTTAGTGCTATAAATTTCCCTCTACACACTGCTTTGAATGCATCCCAGAGATTCTGGTATGTTGTGTCTTTGTTCTCGTTGGTTTCAAAGAACATCTTTATTTCTGCCTTCATTTCGTTATGTACCCAGTAGTCATTCAGGAGCAGGTTGTTCAGTTTCCATGTAGTTGAGCAGTTTTGAGTGAGATTCTTAATCCTGAGTTCTAGTTTGATTGCACTGTGGTCTTAGAGACAGTTTGTTATAATTTCTGTTACTTTACATTTGCTGAGGAGAGCTTTACTTCCAACTATGTGGTCAATTTTGGAATAGGTGTGGTGTGGTGCTGAAAAAAATGTATATTCTGTTGATTTGGGGTGGAGAGTTCTGTAGATGTCTATTAGGTCTGCTTGGTGCAGAGCTGAGTTCAATTCCTGGGTATCCTTGTTGACTTTCTGTCTCGTTGATCTGTCTAATGTTGACAGTGGGGAGTTAAAGTCTCCCATTATTAATGTGTGGGAGTCGAAGTCTCTTTGTAGGTCACTCAGGACTTACTTTATGAATCTGGGTGCTCCTGTATTGGGTATATATATATTTAGGATAGTTAGCTCTTCTTGATGAATTGATCCATTTACCATTATGTAATGGCCTTCTTTGTCGCTTTTGGTCTTTGTTGGTTTAAAGTCTGTTTTATCAGAAACTAGGATTGCAACCCCTGCCTTTTTTGTTTTCCATTTGCTTGGTAGATCTTCCTCCATCCTTTTATTTTGAGCCTATGTGTGTGTCTGCATGTGAGATGGGTTTCCTGAATACAGCACACTGATGGGTCTTGACTCTTTATCCAATTTGCCAGTGTGTGTCTTTTAACTGGAGCATTTAGTCCATTTTCATTTAAAGTTAATATTGTTATGTGTGAATTTGATCCTGTCATTATGATATTAGCTGGTTATTTTGCTCCTTAGTTGATGCAGTTCTTTCCTAGTCTCGATGGTCTTTACATTTTGGCATGATTTTGCAGCGGCTGGTACCGGTTGTTCCTTTCCATGTTTAGCGCTTCCTTCAGGAGCTCTTTTAGGGCAGGCCTGGTGGTGACAAAATCTCTCAGCATTTTCTTGTCTGTAAAGTATTTTATTTCTCCTTCACTTATGAAGCTTAGTTTGGCTGGATATGAAATTCTGGGTTGAAAATTCTTTTCTTTAAGAATGTTGAATATTGGCCCCCACTCTCTTCTGGCTTGTAGAGTTTCTGCCGAGAGAGCCGCTGTTAGTCTGATGGGCTTCCCTTTGAGGGTAACCCGACCTTTCTCTCTGGCTGCCCTTAACATTTTTTCCTTCATTTCCACTTTGGTGAATCTGACAATTATGTGTCTTGGAGTTGCTCTTCTCGAGGAGTATCTTTGTGGCATTCTCTGTATTTCCTGAATCTGAATGTTGGCCTGCCTTGCTAGATTGGGGAAGTTCTCCTGGATAATATCCTGCAGAGTGTTTTCCACCTTGGTTCCATTCTCCTCGTCACTTTCAGGTACACCAATCAGACGTAGATTTGGTCTTTTCACATAGTCCCATATTTCTTGGAGGCTTTGTTCATTTCTTTTTATTCTTTTTTCTCTAAACTTCCCTTCTCACTTCATTTCATTCATTTCATCTTCCATCGCTGATACCCTTTCTTCCAGTTGATCTCCTCGGCTCATGAGGCTTCTGCATTCTTCACAGAGTTCTCGAGCCTTGGCTTTCAGCTCCATCAGCTCCTTTAAGCACTTCTCTGTATTGGTTATTCTAGTTATACATTCTTCTAAATTTTTTTCAAAGTTTTCAACTTCTTTGCCTTTGGTTTGAATGTCCTCCCGTAGCTCGGAGTAATTTGATCATCTGAAGCCTTCTTCTCTCAGCTCGTGAAAGTCATTCTCCATCCAGCTTTGTTCCGTTGCTGGTGAGGAACTGCATTCCTTTGGAGGAGGAGAGGCGCTCTGCTTTTTAGAGTTTCCAGTTTTTCTGCTCTGCTTTTTCCCCATCTTTGTGGTTTTATCTACTTTTGGTCTTTGAAGATGGTGATGTACCAATGGGTTTTTGGTGTGGATGTCCTTTCTGTTTGTTAGTTTTCCTTCTAACAGACAGGACCCTCAGCTGCAGGTCTGTTGGAGTACCGGCCGTGTGAGGTGTCAGTCTGCCCCTGCTGGGGGGTGCCTCCCAGTTAGGCTGCTCGGGGGTCAGGGGTCAGGGACCCACTAGAGGAGGCAGTCTGCCCGTTCTCAGATCTCTAGCTGCGAGCTGGGAGAACCACTGCTCTCTTCAAAGCTGTCAGACAGGGACATTTAAGTCTGAAGAGGTTACTGCTGTCTTTCTGTTTGTCTGTGCCCTGCCCCCAGAGGTGGAGCCTACAGAGGCAGGCAGGCCTCCTTGAGCTGTGGTGGGCTCCACCGAGTTCGAGCTTCCTGGCTGCTTTGTTTACCTAAGCAAGCCTGGGCAATGGTGGGTGCCCCTCCCCCAGCCTCACTGCCACCTTGCAGTTTGATCTCAGACCGCTGTGCTAGCAGTCAGCCAGACTCCGTGGGCGTAGGACCCTCCGAGCCAGGTGCGGGATATAATCTCCTGGTGCGCCGTTTTTTAAGCCCGTCGGAAAAGCACAGTATTCGGGTGGGATTGACCCGATTTTCCAGGTGCCGTCTGTCACCCCTTTCTTTGACTAGGAAAGGGAACTCCCTGACCCCTTGCACTTCCCGAGTGAGGCAATGCCTCGCCCTGCTTCGGCTCGCACATGGTGCGCGCACCCACTGACCTGCGCCCACTCTCTGGCACTCCCTAGTGAGATGAACCCGGTACCTCAGATGGAAATGCGGAAATCACCTGTCTTCTGCATCGCTCACACTGGGAGCTGTAGACCGGAGCTGTTCCTATTCGGCCATCTTGGCTCCTCTGTTAATTTATTATTGAAGAAAGAAAAGATTTTAAAAATGTTGTAGCCTATGCATACACTGTTTACCAAGTCTACGGTAGTATGTGGTAATGTTCTAGGACTTCACATTCACCCACCACTCACTCACTGACTCATCCAGAGCACCTTCTTCTAGCTCTGAAGGCTTCTTTCATGGTAAATGCCCTTTACAGGTGTACCATTTTTAATCTTTTATACCATATTTTTACTGTACCTTTTCTATGTTTAGATATGTTTAGGTACATAAATACTTACCATTGTGGTGTGGTTACCTACATATTTATGCACAGTAACATACTATACAGATTGTAGCCTAGGAGCAATAGGCGATACCCTGGAGCGTAGGTGTGTAGTAGGCTCTACCATCTAGGTATCTGTAAGTGTACTCTATGATGTTTGCACCATGACGAAATTGCCTAATGACTACTTTCTCAGAACATAACCCCTTGTTAAACTACACGACTATAAATTTCTTTTAGCTATTGGATCATGTATTATCCAAAACAAGAAACACTAGAAGACAGTGTGAAGCTCTTGTTTAGTTTGACTTCCTAATTATATAACTCATAAAGCTGTTAAAAGAATAGATATATGGATTCAGTAGGAAAACTTAATAATCACATTTGTACATTCTTGGGTATGTAGGTGTGTACTGCATTATTCACATAATATGTTTGCATTTCAACAAGGTATTAAACTGTATGCTAAATGTATTTATGAATAAAATTGAGACATATAGTACTGTTAAAATATATGTGATAATATGAATATGTAAAATTATGGAACCAATTTTTAAATGATAATGTAAATTAAATGACTGTTAGTAAATAATGACTACTGGCCGGGCGCGGTGGCTCACGCCTGTAATCCCAGCACTTTGGGAGGCCGAGGCGGGCGGATCACGAGGTCAGGAGATCGAGACCATCCTGGCTAACACGGCGAAACCCCGTCTCTACTAAAAATACAAAAAATTAGCCGGGCGTGGTAGCGGGCGCCTGTAGTCCCAGCTACTCGGGAGGCTGAGGCAGGAGAATGGCGTGAACCCGGGAGGCGGAGCTTGCAGTGAGCCGAGATCGCGCCACTGCACTCCAGCCTGGGCGACAGAGCGAGACTCCGTCTCAAAAAAAAAAAAAAAAAAAATGACTACTATAGTGACAGGCAATATGCTAATACCTTATGTACCTTGTCTTAGATAATCCTCTGACATGTGCTATGAGGAAGGTACTATCATTATCCATATTTCACAAATGAGGAAGTCTTCAAGATCACCTATGCGGTAAACAGTGGGTCCAGAATTTAAATCCACTTTGATTCCAAGGCCTTTGCTCATAAGCGATAGGCTGTGGTTTTACTAAGAAGGCATTAATCAACAAATTGGTGTCACAGTAAAATACCTTACTCTTTTTTCTAGCCCTGCCATGTTGTACATTTAAGCAGTGACATAGCATGATAATCAGGTTAATGAATAATACACAACTTCAGCAGCTTACAAATACATAACCCCTAAATGATTAGCAGTTTTCTCTTGCAAGAGGCAGCCAACAATAGGGAATGGGGAAGGAGAGGCATCCCTTTGGCTCTGTTTATACACACAGATAAACAAAATACAATTTAATTGAGCAATATGTTTAAAAACATCAAGTCCACTTACACAGAATGAAGAATTAACCCAAGGAAGAACAGGTGTTTCTCAGCCTACAGCCAAATGAGATGGGATTTTTCTTATTTTTAATGAAAGATATAATATTGTGGGGTATGTACTAAATAGCGTTTTGAAGGGTCTACCCAGACAGCTATTAATAAATCAACCATACATCCTAAAAGCATCTGAGTTATTAGTGCTCTTAAAATATTTAAAGTATTATCAAAGGGTCCTCCTCACATTTGTTTTTCACCTGAAAGTTGACTAAACCTTTAGTTATTTACTTTAATATGTTCATAAACCATAATTTATGTCATTCATTAAATGTTAATTTTTAAAAATAAATTTGAGTGGGATATTAAGTTCATGTTAAATACAGCTTGATTCAGGTTATCACCAAAATCATCTATACTATAATTATAAGACAAATTTTAATGACTGACTTATGTGAACCCCGTAACTTTTTTATATGCACAAAAAGAAGTGGCATTTTGTCATGCTTATTGGTTAAGTATAAATTTCAAGGAGAAAGAGAAACATTACTTTAAAATCAAGCAAACATATTACTTATGGAAGAAGAGACACAGAGATCATATTGAAAAATAGATCTTTACCTCTCCATAGTTGTGCCATAAACTCTGTAAGGCATAAGTGTTGGAAGCCATACTAATTCTTTCAGATTACCAGGGTATTTGTTTGTTACATATAAATTGTAATATGACAAAAACTACTGACATAAAATTGATAGGAGCAGCTGCATTCTGCAATTTAAATATACTTTGTGGAGTGAAAGATGATTAATTATTGCTTTTTTCCTTTTATGGAGGTGACAGTTTGGTGGTGGCAGTCCACTTAGTTCTGAATATATTTCTAAATGTCTGTAGTCCAGTCAGCCTGGAGGACCACCCAGAACCTAGGATATTTGCCACAGATATTTTCTTGGAGTCATCTTTTATCAGGGGAAGATGAGACTAAATGAAAGTCAAATGTTATAAAGACTGGATTTTTTAAAACTTTATAAAAATACAACTAAGAGCTATTCATAAAATGTTTCTGTTCAAAATATAAAGGTGCATTGTGCAGATATAGAATATGTATATGACTTTGGCCTGTGCACTTTAATCTTTTGTTCTATTTATTTATCTATCTATCTAAACTCAGCAACTTTGAAATTAATCCATTCTGTACCCATGTGGTATTTCTTTAATCTGTAGGCAAAGTAAGCTATTGACATTCTTCTCAAGTCTTTGTATTAATGTCTTAAATGGAGCTTTTCAGTCTCCAGTGAGTTATGAAGTACTTACTGAGTGGGAGAGAATGTCATATCTTATATCAGTTCGTCACTATTCTATTTACATCTCTAGCGATTTTGGTATAAATCAGGAAGTTCACTTATCTGTTGTAAAACTAAGAAGAAAAAGACTTTCCCCTAAGGCCTCACCCTTTTCATGCCCTTGCAAGTTGAATGTGTATGTTGGGAATCTGGTGAATTTAGGGTGGAAGGAGAGAGAGAATAAGGAAGAGGTGGGACAGAATTTACAATTCCATAAGAAAGATATATAAGTACCTTAATTACATGGAAATACAAACAAGGCACACTAGAAGACACAGTATGTAATAAACATGTGAAGCTCTTACTTAGTTTGACTTTCTAACAATATAACTCATAAAATTAAGTTGTTAAAAAGCAGACTTATCTCTAATTATTTGCTTATTTGTTTAAGTAAAATAGTACTAAGAAAACTTTAAACTATTTTCTATTGGAGGTGAGGTGGAAATGGGAGTAGGGGAAGTGAATCTTGACTGTATAGAAGGGGAGATGGTAGGTCTTTCACATAGTCATGGAGTTTGGTGCCTAAGTCACACTAACTGAGGCACCTTGTTTGCAGCACAGCGATGATAAATGGGCTCTGGTAGTATTAATACAAGAACACTGGATGCACTGACAGAAGAAATGATTTTAAAGCCTAGGTTTTTCAACCAGCCGTTTCATCCTGAAAGACAGTTCAGCTTCTTTGCCTTTCAATTATTTTAAAATGACCAAATTAACCTAAACAGTTTTTGACTTCCTTTTTGGCTCTCAAATGTTTGAAGTTGATGTCGCATAGGTTAGTGTTTGCATTGTTCTCCTTCCTTTTAGAAACACTTCATGAAAGTATTCATTTTCATCAGTTTTATATGGAGGAATATTTGGCATTTATAGTTTTCTTTCTCAGAGGTTATTATTTACAGTTAAAAAGTCTGACCAGTGATAGAACATTAAAAAAAGTTTTAAAGACAATTCTGTGTAAATTTCTTAATTCTCTCTTTTTTTGGTAAAATTATTATATAATTCTACAGAGTACTTCAGCCCATAGACCCTCAAATTACCATGCCAAATCTAAGAAGCTAGTAGACCCTGTGAGAAAGTTTCCCATTATGGTCCCATTTAGAGTGAGTTTCCCCCACTCAGCAAGCATTAGATGTGATACAGTATTTTTGTATACCTAACAACCATGATTTCCATGACTGTGTGAGTTGGAATCCAAACAAAGATGAGGAGACTGTGCTGCTATTAGTCATAAATATGTGCAGTTTGCCCTCCTATGTGGAGAACTTACCGGTATTTGTACATCTTGCTTCACAGCTTTGATTCTTTTTCACCAAATAGGGTTAAACCACCTACTATTGTTGTTTTGAAGAAGATACTAGATTGTAAGCTACTTAGGAGGAAGGAACATTGCTTTTTTATTTGCAGTCTATATCATTTTATGTTAACAACCTCTGGGCACTTAAATGTTATAAATTGAATTCTTCATTATTTAGCATCTACCCTCTCCCATTGATCTAGAAATCTCCAATCAGTTAGAATTTGGTGAACAATTTATTGGTAGAAAAAAAATTCATTATAAGGAATAAAAATTTCCAGTCCTGCTGAATGTGCCCCTGAGATTTCAAGAGAACCAAGCAAGAGAGTTGATTTCCCCACATGGCCCTTTAAATAATGGTGACTCCTAAGCCTAAACACATACACATACACACACACACACACATACACACACACACACACACACATACAGAGAGTGAGAGAGAAATCCCAGCACTTTGGGAGGCTGAAGTGGACAGGTCACCTGGGGTCAGAAGTTCAAGACCAGTCTGGCCAACATGGTGAAACCCCGTCTCTACTAAAAATACAAAAAATTAGCTGGGTGTGGTAATGGGCACCTGTAATCCCAGCTACTTGGGAGGCTGAGGCAGGAGAATCACTTGAACCCGGGAGGCGGAGGTTGCAGTGAGCCAAGATCATGCCACTGGACTCCAGCCTGGGCAACAACAGTGAAACTCCATCTCAAAAAAAAAAAAAAAAAAGAGAGAGAGAGAGAGAGAAACACAGAGACAGAGAGAGGGAAAGGAGGGGGAGGAACGGGTGCTTTTCTTTCTTAAATCTCATGGGGAAAAGGCTTCAAAAATTGATAGTCTTGGAGTCTGGATATAGATGTAATCCATTCACTGATACCCTCTTAAAGGGAAAAATGCACAGAGCTAACCTGATCTTGGGATGGGGGTGGTCAGCAACCAGTGAAGCATCATTCTGGTGATGTACAATATAAACATATCCTGGGAGTGGAAGGTGCCTAGAGTAGATGGGAGCACAGGAGCCTGGAGGGCAGGGGCAGGAGGGGTGATGCCTTCTTTCCCTCCTGAGCACACAGAGGCTCTTCCATACAAGAATACAATAATGCTTGTTAAATGGTAAACAACAGGTGTATCTTATCTGAATTTACACTTCAGATAACAGAAAACTCAATTATTTTTCTTTCTTTGAGAAAGATTTTCAAATATAATTATTTAGGTTTGGAATAAAATATTACTTTCCTTAAGTCTCATTAAAAATTTTGTACTGCCTCTGACTAAAGGAGAGAGAGACACAAAAAACCCTTCCAAAAGTCAGTGAATCCAGGAGCTGGTTTTTTGAAAAGATTAACAAAATAGATGGACCACCAGCCAGACTAATAAAGAACAAAAGAGAGGAGAATCAAATAGGCACAATAAAAATGATAAAGGGGAGATCACCACTGACCCCACAGAAATACAAACTACCATCAGAGAATACTGTAAATACCACTATGCAAATAAACTAGAAGATCTAAAAGAAATGGATAAATTCCTGGGCACATACACCCTCCCAAGACTAAACCAGAAGGATTGAGTCCCTGAATAGATCAATAACAAGTTTTGAAATTGAGGCAGTAATTAATAGCCTACCAACCAAAAAAAGACCAGGATCAGTCTGATTCATAGCCAAATTCTACCAGAGATACAAGGAGGAACTGATACCATTCCTTCTGAAACGATTCCAAACAATAGAAAAAGAGGACTCCTCCCTAACTCATTTTATGAGGCCAGCATCATCCTGATACAAAAACCTGGCAGAGACACAACAAAAAAAGAAAATTTCAGGCCAATATCCCTGATGAATATTGATGCGAAAATCCTCAATAAAATGCTGGCAAACTGAATCCAGCAGCATATCAAAAAGCTTATCCACCACGGTCAAGTCAGCTTCATCCTTGGGATGCGAGGCTGGTTCAACATACACAAATCAATAAACATAATCGATCACATAAACAGAACCAATGACAAAAACCACATGATTATCACAATAGATGCAGAGAAGGCCTTTGACAAAATTCACCCCTTCATGCTAAAAACTCTCAATAAAGTAGGTATTGATGGAACATATTTCGAAATAATAGGAGCTGTTTATGACAAACCCACAGCCAATATCACACTGAATGGGCAAAAGCTGGAAGCATTCCCTTTGAAAACTGGCACAAGTCAAGGATGCCCTCTCTCACCCCTCCTATTCAACATAGTAATGGAATTTCTGGCCAGGGCAATCAGGCAAGAGAAGGAAATAAAGGGTATTCAGATAGGAAGAGAGGAAGTCGAATTGTCTCTGTTTGCAGATGACATGATTCTATATTTAGAAAACCCCATCGACTTAGCCCCAAATCTCCTTAAGCTGATAAGCAACTTCAGCAAAGTCTCAGAATACAAAATCAATGTTCAAAAATCACAGGCATTCCTATACACCAATAATAGACAAACAGAGAGCCAAATCTTGAGTGAACTCCTATTCACAATTGCTACAAAGAGAATAAAATACCTAGGAATACAATTTACAGGGGATATGAAGGACCTCTGCAAGGAGAACTACAAACCACTGCTGAAGGAAATAAGAAAGGACACAAACAAATGGAAAAACATTCTATGTTCATGGATAGGAAGAATTAATATCATGAAAGTGGCTATACTGCCCAAAGTAATTTGTAGATTCAATGCTATCCCCATCAAGTTACCATTGACTTTCTTCACAGAAATAGAAAAAACTACTTTAAATTTCATATGGAACAAAAAGAAAAAATAGCCCATATAGCAAAGGCAATCCTAAGCAAAAAGAACAAAGCTGGAGGCATCATGCTACCTGACTTCAAACTATACTCCAAGGCTACAGTAATCAAAACAGCATGGTACTGGTACCAAAACACATATATGTATATATATATGTGTGTGTATACATACACATATATATATGTGTGTATACACACACACATATATATAATGTGTGTATACACACACACATATATATAATGTGTGTATACACACACGTGTGTGTACATACACACATGTGTGTATACATACACATATATATGTATACATACACACATGTGTGTATACATACACATATATATGTATACATACACATATATGTATACATACACATATATATGTATACATACACATATATGTATACATACACATATATATGTATACATACACATATATGTATACATACACATATATATGTATACATACACATATATGTATACATACACATATATATGTATACATACACACATATATATATACACACATATACATATATATGAACAGAATAGAGGCCTCAGAAATAACGCCACACATCTAGAACCATCTGATCTTTGACAAACCTGACACAAACAAGCAAAGAGGAGCAGGTACCATTCCTTCTGGAACTATTGCAAACAACAGAAAAAGAGGGACTCCTCCATAACTCATTTTATGAGGCCAGCATCATCCTGATACAAAAACCTGGCCGAGACACAACAAAAAAAGAAAATTTCAGGCCAATATCCCTGACGAACATCGATGCGAAAATCCTCAATAAAATACTGGCAATGGGGAAAGGATTCCCTATTTAATAAATGTGTTGTGAAAACTGGCTAGCCGTATGTAGAAAACTGAAACTGGACCTCTTCCTTACAACTTATTCAAAAAGTTAACTCAAGATGGATTAAAGACTTAAACATAAGACCTAAAACCATAAAAACCTTGGAAGAAAATCTAGGCAATACCATTCAGGACATAGGCATGGGCAAAGACTTCATGACTAAAACACCAAAAGCACTGGGAACCAAAGCCAAAATTGACAAATGGGATCTAATTAAAGAGCTTCTGCACAGAAAAGAAACTATCATCAGAGTGAACAGGCAACCTAAAGAATGGGAGAAAATTTTTGCAATCTATTCATCTGACAAAGGGCTAATATCCAGAATCTACAAGGAACTTAAAACAAATTTACAAGAAAAAAAACCCATCCAAAAGTGGGCAAAGAATATGAACAGACACTTCTGAAAAGAAGACATTTATGTGGCCCACAGGCATATGAAAAATAACTCATCATCACTGGTCATTAGAGAAATGTAAATCAAAATCACAATGAGATACCATCTCATGCCAGTTAGAATGGCAATCATTAAAAAGTTAGGAAACAGATGCTGGAGAGGATGTGGAGAAATAGGAACGCTTTTACACTGTTGGTAGGAGTGTAAGTTAGTTCAACCATTTTAGAAGACAGTGTGGAGATTCCTCAAGGATCTAGAACCAGAAATACCATTTGACCCAGCAATCCCATTATTGAGTATATACCCAAAGGATTATAAATCATTCTACTATAAAGACACATGCACACGTATGTTTATTGCAGCACTGTTCACAATAGCAAAGACTTGGAATCAACCCAAATGCCGATCAGTGATAGACTGGATGAAGAAAATGTGGGCTGGGCATGGTGGCTCACACCTGTAATCCCAGCACTTTGGGAGGCTGAGGCAGGTGCATCATGAGGTCAGGAGTTCAAGACCATCCTGGCTAACACAGTGAAACCCTGCCTCTACTAAAAATACAAAAATATAATTAGCCGGGCATGATGGTGGGCGCCTGTAGTCCCAGCTACTCGGGAGGCTGAGGCAGGAGAATGACGTGAACCTAGGAGGCGGAGCTTGCAGTGAGCCGAGATCGCACCACTGCACTCCAGAGTGGGGAAGAGAGCAAGACTCTGTCTCAAAAAAAAAAAAAAAAAAAAAAAAAAAAAAGGCACATATACACCATGGAATACCATGTAGCCATAAAAAAAAGATGAGTTCATGTCCTTTGCAGGGACATCGATGAAGCTGGAAACCATTATTCTCAGCAAACTAACACAGGGACGGAAAACCAAACACCGCATGTTCTCACTCGTAAGTGGGAGTTGAACAGTGAGAACACATGGACAGAGGGAGGGAAACATCACACACTGGGACCTGTCAGGGGGTGGGGGGCTAGGGGAGGGATAGCATTAAGAGAAATACCTAATGTAGATGACTTGTTGATGGGTGCAGCAAACCACCATGGAACGTGTATACCTATGTATCAAACCTGCATGTTCTGCACATGTATCCCAGAACTTAAAGTATAATAATAAATAATAATAATAATAATAATAAAGTTTGTTCTACCATGTAGCACCATAGATTTTAATTGACTTTCACAATACCACACAATTGAGCTAAATATTGAGATAACTTTCTCCTCATTACCACCCCCATCCAAACAATGCATGATTCAGAATATTTTAAGATTCTCAAAACTAGTTCCTGCTATACTCATTTTGAGTCCTGATGAATTCCAGCCAAAAGCAAATGCCAAATTTTTTCCTATTTTTCCTTTCATTAATGTGTTACTAAATTCACTACTTTGTCAAATATCAGATGATATTCATTTTATAACAACAAAAATATATTTTCTCCGTGTGATTTAAATGGATGTTGCCTCAGTGTTTGTAAGTCTCTGGTATGTAAAATTTAGGGCCATCTTGGCTTATAACATTGGCCCTTGATCCTTTTCACTTCCTCCCTAGATTTATTTGTCCTTTGCTGTTTTAACAAACGTGATGCAATCCACTGGCTTTGCTCTATTGAAATTTCCATATGTTTTCATTACTGTGTGCTAATACAGGATTTAACTTAAGATGTTAAGTAGCTTCAAATGGAAGAGTAAATTTGACTATCTAATGATGAATAGAACCATCTCTTAGATGACTTTAAATGCTTCAACTATCTTTCCTAAGTCCATTTATCTCCTCCTCTTCCTCCTTTAGGTAAACTAGGAGAAAAACAATATAGGCAAAACAGTGATAATAGTCAAAAAGTTTACATTTTGTGGAAGAACATAAAGGGGTCTTTCAGTTACGGTTAATCTTTTCCCTGATTCTGATCCCTGTGCTCTCTCTTGCATTGGGGCTTTTAATTATGCTCTTCCGTCTTGCATTTTCCCCTCTCAATTTCCACAATTGGTGGTGTACCTGCTCTCTTCATGGGGAGAGTAATGACGAGAAACATCTGAGTTGCCAGATCTAAGGCTCACTTCTGTGGAATGTTTATATTTACTGGGCATTATGGTAAGTGCAGGAGGAAAAAAAGAGAACAAGAAAAACCACACAGCTCTCTCCACCACTCCCCCCACACATAAAGCTCATATTCCCATGGGAGACATGGACCACTAAACAGACTACTGTAGTACAGTTGGTAAGAACCAAGATAGAGACGGGGATGTGATGTAAAAAGGAGAGACATCTATATAGGGAGGGAGGTAGTAGAAACTGAAGAAGGCTTCCTGGAGGAGGCGATAGCTGAGCTAAGTTTATAGGATGATTACATGTGGTTAGGAAAGTGGGGGGTTCCTGTGATTTGCATGGAATGCCTTGATCAGAGGCATACTGGCAAGAAACAACTTGATGAGTGGAATAGAGTATGGGTTGTCTTGGTTTTTTCAGCATGAAATAGAAGCTAGCTTCTAGCTTTACAAGTTGTATCCTTCACTCACTGAAACAGAATGAACAGAACTAAGGCCAATCCTTTTTCTAACCACCCAAGATCTCAAATCCAAATTCTACAGATGAAATTCACCAATTGTCACCAACTGCAGACAAATAATACGTTTGTGTTTTATTATGACATCTGCAATAGTTTTTCTTATTTTTGGCCAGGAGCTTGTGGGTTTGGCTGCATTCAGGGTATCTGTTTGCTGTATTTTCTGAGCTCCTCTCATGTTTTTCTTACCCTCACTTTTCTGAAGCCATGCTAAGGATAGTGTTTTTGTAAAATTTCTGTTTAGATTTCTCAGTGCTCATCCGATCTTTAAAAGAGCCAAGTTTCATTTATTATGTATTTAAGATATCTTCAAATACAAATGAGGATGTGTCAGTGTCTAATTGGATTACAGACTTATCCTTAGAAAGTATAATGTAGCTTTTGGAGAATAGGCAATATAGATACATTTAGCTGAATAATTAATTAAACAACTACATAATTAAAACTATGGAATGAATAGATTCTCTACAAGAATCTGCAGTGTAGTAAAATAATGAATGTACTGCCTGAAGCCAATCAAGTTGGATTCATTTAAATATGCTGCTTCTATCGTGTACTGGAAGCAAGAAAGTGTGTGAAGATAATCACAGATTAGCTTCCTCTGGAGAAACATATAAACGATAACCTGGTGAAATAAATGTTTGAGCTTTTTGATTATCCCCTGGACCCTGAATCTGTATTTCCAAAATTTCTTGTCCAGTCAACCCACTGATATTCCTAGCATACCTTTGTTTACAGAAACAGCAAAGAGAAGGCCATCCCTATGATATCTCTTTGATTTATCTTTTCTGCCCCAAGGTTACTTGAGCAACAGTCTTTTCTATCTGTGTTGGCTCTGTTGAACATTTCCTTGGCATCCTTACTTTGGATAATTTAGAACTGCAGCAGTTTGGCTTTCACAATTACTGAATCCCATGAAAAAGCAGGTGACATGCTACCTTGTTAAATGTCCCTATTACAATCTGGGAGAAACAATATAGAAATTTGAGTTGTGCTGCAATTTCAAAGGAAAGAAAAATCTGCCGTTTACTTTCCTTCTATGTGTTCATCTCAAGGGGTGGATCTCAAGGGGTGGACCTCAAGGGGAATGTGTCAATCAAGATCTGGACTAGTTTAGAACTTTACTCACATTGTCATCACAATACAATGATATGGTCCAAAATGTCTCAACTACTTTTCTTTTGATATAATCGGTCGCATGATATTTTTAGCAATTGTATGGCAAAAGCAGTAAAAAAAAAATGAAGATGAGAATACACACAGGGCTCTCTTTAAAAAGAACTTATAATAGGTATTACATAGTTATTGAGATAAGCCTATTGTATGGATAGCAAGCCATCTCCTGCATGAATAAATACTTGCCACCAGTGGAGAGCCAGAGATGAAAGTCATTCACACAGTTATTTGCTTATTTCCACAGCTGGAGTGTGTGTGAGCAGAGTGTGTATGCTATAGAGAAGAATCTTTTTTTTTAAAGTTGACAAAACATTCATCTTTTGTGGCACATTGTTCAATATTCGATACATGAGTACCGTGCCTTTCTTTTATGTGCGATAACAAAACCTCCCCACCATCAGACCATCAAGAATTTTGAGTTGAGAACATTTTATTTGCTCTTTTTGTAACCAGTGCAACAAATCTGCATGGTATTTAAAGTTCAGACCCAGTTTCTTTATTTAAAAAATAATACTCTGTTATACTGTATTTTATGATACATAGGAGGTATTCTTGCATCAGACATGATAGGTGTTTAATAAGCAACACTGCTGGGTCAAACTGGGTTGCAAAGTAGATTCCATTATATCTACATTGAGATAATGATAAAGATACGCAATTTAGTACTAATGTTTGGAGTATGAGTCTCAAAAGATCAGAACCCATAACATAAAAGTTAAATAGGCAACATCACTGGCAATTTTTTGTATGATTAAATTGCCTGGTTTTTAAATTGTTACAAGTATTTTCTTTATAAATAGCAGCATTCCTAGAGAGTCCTTGGATGATGTGTACCTGGTAGTTACAGGAGAGTTCTGGTGTTCATTAATCAAACCACCCTTGATTTCTGTTTAATCTATTTCAACAAAGGTTTATATTCAGAGTGCATTGAAGAGTATTAGAATGGAAACAATAAGGCCAGGCGTGGTGGCTTGCACCTGTAATCTCAGCATTTTGAGAGACAGAAATGGGCGGATAGCTTGAGCCCAGGAGTTTGGAGTTTAAGACCAGCCTGGGTAACAATGGTGAAACCCTGTCTTTACAAAAAAAGAAAAGAAAAAAAAAACTGGCATGCTCCTGTAGTCCCAGCTACTTGGGAGGATGAGACAGGAAGATCACTGAGATCACACTATTAAGCTCCGGCCTTGGTGACAGAATGAGACCCTGTCTCAAAAAAAAAAAAAAAGAAAACAATAAACTAAAAATTAGAAGGATTCGTTTTGAGATCAACAAAGGAAGACTTTTATATTTTGTGACATAATTAAAAATACAGTTTTTCTAAAAAATTATTATTGATGTATAAAAGGCAAGCAAAATCCAAGGATTTTTAACCTTGCTTTAGGAGATACAAAAGTTCTGTGTGATCATGAAAAAAAAAGAGGTTGAAAAATAGCACTTATACTGACTCTAGATAAACTAAGTAACTAAATATTTATATATGTTGCTAAATAAGAAACAATTTGGCCATTTTAAGGACTGAAGTTTGTCTTACCATAAAATAATGCATGCTTATTCCTAACCATGTTAGATATATTGGGAATTCATGAGATCTCATATTTGGTATATGGACACCATAATAAATTTAGTACATATTTTTTCTCTTCCTATTCCAGAGATACTATAATAGAAGCAGTAATCAAATTCTTATATCTTTGAAACACTGTCACTTTACAAATGACTAAAACTTTTTATTTTCTTTTATTGATTGGCTGTAAGTTCTTATATTTCAGGCAAAAGAAAGTAAAGATAATGAACTCTAAATATATATTCTGTAAACAACCAAATTGACAAAATTTAAATATTGTGCTTATATTCAAAAGATAATCTTTGGGAGCATACAGCTCTAGATTTTAAAATGCAGTATTTTCTCTCAACATGCTAGAAATAGTGTACTTTCTTCTGGCTTCTGTTGGTGCTGTTGAAAAGTAAGCACTCTAATTCTTGGCAGGACGCATGTACATGTACTAGAAGTTTTGAATCTGGTGGTTGAAGAATGGGATGTTCGAAATCAAAATTTCCATTATGGTACCAATTTTGATAATGATAATGTCCCTAGTGTACCTTTGAGAATGGATGATTGCAGAGGAAAGGATGAATAGATCCTCATTTCAGTGTTCAAGAAGATATATTTTTACCCAAGTAGTGAATGAAATATGTTGTTCTTACAGACCCTAAAATTTTGAAAAGAATTTTTCCCTGTACATTGAGAAGATCTAGCCGACATACCATGTTCAGTATTTTTTACAGCCTTCTGCTTCAATATCAACTGATATTTTTAATTAGCCTTATTGTAAACTGAAGCCAGCTAATCATAGATTCTTGACTGGTGACTGACTTGATATTTTGTTGCCCACTAAGCTTTGGTGTGTAAGTGTGACATAGGCATTCATTGCTGAAGAGCAATGGAAATGAAATTCTCCCCTGATGACTTGAAAGTGTGGTATGAGTACTGGCTTCACTAATAAGTATCAAATGTTATCATAATATCTAATCCTATATGCTTTTTCTGAAGTTTTTTAAAATTGTGGTTACATGACCTTGTTCCTTTCCCCTCCACCCTAAATACAGTTTCTTCACAGTCTCTCTGCCTTGCTTCTGATAATACATGGTTTCAGAAAAGTGTGTTATTGACTCATTGGCACTAAAGTATGCTTGGTATTTGAATTTTTACAGATTTTAAGACAAAAGAGTGAACCTTTCTGACACGTAAGAAATAACATTTAGTAAGACCTTTTGTAACTCCTAAAATAACATATCAGTTTGTGACCTGCTATGTAAATAGGTAAAGTTGACTAAAAGTGATCAGAAGAAATTCAGAAATATATTTGTTCAAAGTATATATTAGGTGTACATACTTATGCTTTAATGTATGTTTGTAGACACATACACTTTATAAAACTTTAGAAGAAGAGAAGAATCAATAGGTAGTAAACTAGAAAGCCACAGTAGCCACATTTATGATTTGGAGTTTGATGTATAATTTTTTTTAATTTAACAAAGATTATATGTCTCAGAAGCTACTGAAAAAAATAAGATGTCAAAATAAAATTCTTAGAAATTCAGATACACTAATCAAAATAAAATTCTTAGAAATTCAGATACACTAATGGATTTTGATTTAAAAAAAGACATTTTGGATCAAATGAATAATAAAAATGCCATCTTGATTAATGGTTTTATTAATTGAGCTTCACCTGACATGCATTTGCTTAGAATTTAACTATTATTTTTTCTTTTTTTTTCCAGTGTTAAAGAACCCAGTATGTAAATTATATAGATTTCCCACATCTGACAATAAGTGGATGCGAATTCGAGAGCAGATGTCAGAGAGCATTCTTTCCTTTCATATTCCTAAGGAATTGATTTCCCTTCACATTAAAGAAGATTTGTGCAGGTAAGAGAAAATAACTATTTTCTCTCATATTAATTATTTTATACCATTTAAAAATTTTTAATTGACAAATTATATATAATCTGTGCAACATTTTGAAATATGTATGCATTGTGAAATAGCTAAACCGAGCCAGTTAACATTTGCCTTACCTCACGTACTTATCAATTATTATTTTTTCTCTAGAACATTTTTTCTATGTTATCTATTTCTATAGATAACATAGAAATCTAGACCTGAACTGTCCCCTATGGTGGCCACTAGTCCCATGTAACTATTGATTACTTGAGATATGACTAGTCCAAAATGAAATGTTCTATCAGTGTAAGATACACACCAGGTCTTTAATTCTTAGCCACGCTTGCAGATGATTTAATAACAAAATATTAACTTGGATATATTGGGGTTATATAAAATATATTATTAAAGTTAACCTCACCTGCTTTTTTATTTAAACTTTTAAAATATGGCTACTAGAAAATTTAACATTACATATATTACTTTCATCTGTGGTTTGAGCTATATTTCTGTGGATACCTTGGTATCTGGCCAATAATTTGAGCTTTGATCTTGTAATAATTCTTGTGTCTTTTCCTCAACTGCTTATGGTTGCTGTTTCTGGAAGTAATTCCTATTTGACTCTCCTTTGGACTTCTCATTTGTAGCGAGACTTTCAGAAATTTATTAGTCTAAAAACTACTGGAGATGACTGAATAAAACATGCTATGCTAATGGACAGTATTGTACAACAAAATTAAATCAGTTGCTATAATAAGGTAGAAGGATTTGAGAGCTGATTGGTTGATAAGAGTATCTCTGGACCATGACTAATCAATTTGTTTCTCTGCCTTTTAAACAAACCTGTAATAGCATTAAAAATGCTGAATGCTACCTTATATAAAATACTGTTAAGGTTCTAAATCTCATTAAATTAGCAACTTTTAAAGCGTTAACACTTTTTAATTGCTGAAATCTACAGCAGAGTGTGAAATTTCTAGCAATTGGGTTCCTGCCATATGCTCACATTAGTACACATAGTTATTTAATAGTATTTTACTCTTTTGGTCGACTCTGAAGCCCGTAGGGATTCCATATTGACCTAAGCCAGTGAGGACACCATAGACAGGGCAGGTAAAATTGGAAACTATTAACAAAATTGGTTAGAGTAGGCATGACTGCAGAAATATGAAAACAGAACCCCAATTTCAGGGAAATTAGACAGGAAACTGGATTATTAAAATATAATCTGCATCTAGGGAAATAAAGACTAAAAATGAGACAGAAAGGTGAATATTTGAGAGTAGCAGAGTGAGGATAATAAAACCAGAGAAATCAGACAACATGTATGGACTCAGGCAAAGAGAAGCTATGACATGTTCAGGAATCTAAGCACATTCCATAAGAGCCAACTGCAAGAGGAAGTTAAGAAGCCAAGTTATCCTGAAGTGGGTTTTCAACATTATCCCTACCTAATACTATTAGGCAATAGACATGGTAATGTAGGCAATAGACAAAACACATTACCTGGAAGGATAAAGCAAGCTTATGTATTACAGTAGAAGCATAAGGAGTTTGGATTTTGGAAGTCATATAAGAGTCATTATGCTCAACATGGTTGCGTTCTAGACCACTGGACACCAAGAACCACTCTTACTAGAGCCATGTAATGATCACCGTTTTATCCTGAAGGGTTGAAGACAGTAGCTAGTCCTCACAGGAGTTATGTAGAATAAGGAAAGACTCTCAGTAGACAAGCATGAGATTCCAGGCAGGACCTGAGAAACACAGAAGAGGAGTTGCCAGATGAAGCAGACTTAATAATTTAGGACTAGGGCTTACCCTTTAAATGGCTCTGGAATAGCTACATCTAGCATAGCCAAAACTAGATTTCTAATTACAGTTAACAATAATTTATTCTATAATTCCAAATACTTAGAAGAATTGTGATGTTCACCACACAAAGAAAAGATGAATTTTTGAGGTGATGAATATCCCATTTACTGTGATTTACACATCATATACAAATATCAAAATATCACATGTATCCCCAAAATATATACAACTATGATATAGCAATAAAAAATAAGATAAATGAAATAAAATGTCTGTGAAGACATAGACAATATAAAATAATGACATGTCAGGTGGACGCGGTGGCTCACGCCTGTAATCCCAGCACTTTGGGAGGCCAAGGCAGGTGGATCACAAGGTCAGGAGATCGAGACCATCCTGGCTAATACAGTGAAACTTCATCTCTACTAAAAATACAAAAACAAAATTATCCAGGCGTGGTGGTGGGCGACTGTAGTCCCAGCTACTCGGGAGGCTGAGGCGGAAGAATGGTGTGAACCTGGGAGGCGGAGCTTGCAGTGAGCTGAGATCGCGCCACTGCACTCCAGCCTCGGCGACAGAGCGAGACTCCGTCTCAAAAAAATAAATAAATAATGACATGTCATAAAACACTGAAATTCATTAACATATATTCATTAACATAATATATTATTATACTATATATAGTATTTAACATAATAACTAATTTTAGCCTAATATTTTTGGGTTGAAAATCTTAGTTGATGGATCATTAACACCACTTCATTTAAAAATTCAACAAGCTAGGAAACGAAAGAGTAAAGATATAGACTCCGTCTTGTGCCTCTGTCTTGGGTCTTCAGTTTAGAAACCTCTTAAAGGATGAGCCGCTGTCTTTCTACTGCTTGTCTGCTACTTTTGAGTCCTTCACAGTGCTATCTTCAAAGTCCACCTCTATTTTCACTAATACTCCTCTGTCTCCATTCATTGATAGCAAATCAAGGGAGAAAGAATGAGTAGGGATTTGGGAGAAAGAAACTAATAAACTATTGAATTTTTGTAGGCATAGCCACTGTCATTACTATTGTTGTTATTTGAACACATCAAAGTATTATCCACCTACCCTCTTCTCTCTTCTCTTTATGGCTTTCTCTGTATCTCTTTTGTTATTTCCGTATGCTTCACAGCAAAACATTTGCTAACACATGGAAGGGGCTGGTGGGCACTTTTGGGAAAGACAAATAAACACTGCCTCCCAATATGAAGTTCCATTGCCAGAGATAAAATTAGAAACTGGAATTGTTCAAAGAAGAAAATTACATTTTAATTCTACAAAAACAAAAGGTATAAAAGCCTGATAGATTCCAAAAATTCACCAGGGTCTATGATGACCAGGCTGTATAGTTTTGGCTTTCTCCAATACCTTTTCTGTATAAATCTCCTATCATTAGAATTTATTTAAAAATTCAACAATTAATGTTTAACATTTTATAACGAAAAGGAGATTTTTAAAATTCTTCCTGGAGACTCAAAGGGGAAATAGGAAAAGCTTGTAGGAAAATTGGCCAGCTGTCTCAGTAGAGTGTAAGAAGATACAGTTATTGTAAAACAGAATAAGAAATCTATACAAAGAGAACCAACTAAAGAAAAAAGGTCATGAAGAAAAGTGTAATGCACTAAATAATGAAATTTTAAAATGCAGTGGCCACATTAAATCCACAGAGCCAGCAGAAAAAGATTTAACACTAAGAAATCATGTCTGTAATTTGGAAGACAAACACAATACGCTCTTCCTAAATGCTAAAGAAAGGTGTAAAAAAGTTCAAATGGATGAGAGAAAAGATGTTAGATGTGCAGGACAAAGAGCTGGACATTGCTAAATAATTTTAAGTGTTCTTAGGGGAAGAACAGTTAGTGCAAAAACTTGATAAAAAGCATTAAAAAGATTCCTGAATCTACAGTTTTGTTTTATCTTTTACATGCTAAAATCAGGCTAGCATTATACTTCCCTGTAGAACCCAGTGGAACAGTATCTGCTGATTTCTGAGAGAAAAAGGCAGTGGCTTTACATTATTATATAGGGTTAGGTTATAAATTTTTTATGGACGAAGCTGATGTACTTACATATGCAAGAGCTCAGAAACCATTACACACCAAACATTCTTGAAAATCCTACTTGAAGATATATCCTATCCAACTGAGAAAATAGTTTAAGAATTACATTTGTAATATAATATAAAAATTAAATTATATTATGATATAAAATTAATATACCATAATGTAAGAATTAAATTAGGCATGTTAAGAATGGGAAATTGTCCTGTAAAAGAACCTGAAGCATTCTTCTTGGTGTAATCTCCAGGGCAAAGCTTTACTCTGAAGTTTTTTCTCAGCTGCTCTTCCACTACCTCTACTCAGATCCCAGAAAGTGTTTTATTTGTACCAACTTCCCTCCCAGTCTCACAATTCAGATAGACTCTTACCTTGTTTAATGAAAATGACAGGTGCTTTAGTACCATTATGTTTCAATAGTTGCAAAGAGTGCAAACCATTCATTTATATGCTTGGAAATCCAAACTGGAAGAACCACTAAGCAAAAATTTTGCTTGTTTTTTCTCCATAAAGACAGAAGTTGTGCCTGAGAAACTTTATGTTACAGTCATTTACATTGCTAAAGACACAAAATAACTATTTTCTGAAATTTTAACATAAATATTATCTAAATTGTAACTTTTTTGGTGAAGAGCAGTAAACCAATGAGTAGCAGATACAAACTGTGTCTAAGTCCCTTTCATATATTGTTCTGTATAGGACCTGTGGGAATACACATACACTCACTCACACACACACACACACATATACAGACACACACACATGCATACCTGAGAGATATTGTGCACTCAGTTTCAGACCACATTCATCAATGATAGCCACCGTCATCAATGATCTCAGCTAGATCTTCTGGATAACTTGCTGCAGATCCTCCATCAGCGCTTGCTGCTTCACCTTGTACTTTTATGTTATGAGGAGGGCTTCTTTCCTTAAACTTCATGAACCAATGTCTGTCAGCTTCAAATTTTCTTCTTTGGCTTACTCACCTCTCTCAGCCTTTATAGAATTGAAGAGAGTTAGGACTTTGCTCTGGATTAGAATTTGGCTTAAGGGAATGTTGTGGCTGGTTTGATCTTCTATCCAGAAAACTCAAAACTTTCTCCACATCAGCAATAAGGCTGTTTTGCTTTCTTATTATTTGTGTATTCACTGGGTAGCAATTTTAATTTCCTTCAAAAACTTTTTCTTTGCATTCACAACTTGGCTGTTTGGCACAAGAGGCCTAACTTTCAGCCTTTCTTGACTTTTGACATGCCTTCCTCACTTTAATCATTTCTAGCTTTTGATTTAAAGTGAGAGACATGTGGGCCATTGTAGGGTTATAGATTGGCCTAACTTTTATATTTTTGTGTTTCATGGGATAGTGAGGCCCAAGGAGAAGAGGGAGGGAGATGGTGGAATGTCTGATCAGTTGGAACAGTCTGAACACACAACATTTATTGACTAAGTTCACCGTCTTTTAGGTGTGGTTCATGGCACTCCAAAATAATTACAATAGTAATATCAAAGATCACTGATCACAGGTTGCCATGACTGATATACTAGTGAAAACATTGAAAACATTGCAACAGTTCTAAAATGTGACACAGAGATAGGAAGTAAGCACATGCTGTTGGAAAAATGGAGCTGGTAGACCTTCACGAAGGATTGCCACCAATCTTCAATTTGTAAAAACAAACAAAAAAACACAGTATCTGTGAAGAGCAATAAAGCCAAGCACAGTAAAACACAATAAATATATATGTAAAATATATGATTTTTAACAAAAAATTAGTAAATACAATATGAACTCATTCATGCCCTACATGAGGGGTAAGCAAAAACTTTTTCTTAAAGGGCAAGATAGTAAATATTTTTGTCTTTGCAAGGCATGTGATCTCTGTCCTTACTACTTAGCTCTGCCATTGTAATACAAAAGCACTCATCGACAATATTTGCATGATTAATTGTAGCTGTTTCAATAAAACTTTATTGACAAAAGCAGGCCTGTCTTTTTAATTACCAAGATGATGAATTTGTAACCATAGTCAATCCTTGACTTCTATGAAGTCAGGATTTTTAAAATCCTATACTTTCTTTTTATAATAACTTGACCCTTTACCTCTTTTTTAAATCCCGATTTGAAACATTTATGTATAAGCTGATGAATAAACAATTGTGAGTTGGTGTGTTGCCATCACTCTATAGAAGTGTTTAGACAATTATTTGAATATTTTCTTACATAACGGTCTCTACTTTTCCAAGGGAGTGGAAAAGGGAGAATTTAAAAGGCTGCTATGATTGATATCAATTTTTTCACCTCACAGATAAAGATTTCTTGAATTTTTACTGTGGATTTACTTGTGAAGGAAAATAGCAAAGGAATAGAATTAAGAAAATGTTATATAGAAACGTCTAAATATATAGTCAAACTATATATTACAAACAAGATATTATTAGTGGTTTCATAATTTTTTTAAATCAGCGAGAATGAAATCCCACTCATAACATTAAAGTATATTATTAACTTTCACACATCTAAAGTTGGTGTATACCTGAAAGCATAAGTCCGTGTGAGTCTTGTTTGCAGAAATCACGTATATGTGCACTGTTTGCTTATTTGTGTAAAGCATACACATATGTAAAATTGAGAATGGAGGAAGTTATTCTTTGCAGCCAATCCTGACATTGAGTGGAAATGTTGGCAGGGACATAACGGCGCAGCAACTGCTTTTGCATCACTTGCACATAGTGTCTGTCTTGCCTGCAGCTGCCATCAAAAAACACACTTGCTGTTAGTCTCTTAGTCTCACAGTTAGTGTGACATTTGGACTCAACATGAACTGTTTTTATTAAATTTGAGATGGTACATACACAAAGTCTCAGGGTTGTGATACACTTTAAATCCTTTGGGGGCTCCCTTCAATTGGCTTAAGCATTAACACCTTCTGAATTCAAGTTTGAAACATAGCAGTTTTTGAATTGGCGGTGAAGTGTTCTCATAACACTATACTTTTTTAATATTATGGTTTAGTTCCAAAAAAATTCACAAGGAGGAAATGTTAGATATCTCTCAAGTTGTTTACTGCTGTGAAGAAAGGCTCATATGGGGGCTTAGTAATTTTCTGATTCTTTGCTCCTGCAGCCACAGTTACAGATATATAAAATGTATATTGAGTTTTTGCCATGAAAATAATACATGCTCACTATGTGAAATAGTAAAAATATAGAAAATTTATAAAAGAGAAAAGATAAAATCACTTCAAATCCACACCAAGGAAGGCAATTTTGTTTTTCTTTTCTTTTTTTTTTTTTTTTTTTTTGAGGTGGAGTTTTACTACTGTTGCCCAGGCTGGAGTGCAATGGTGTGATCTCGGCTCACCAAAACCTCGCCTCCTGGGTTCAAGTGTTTCTCCTACCTCAACCTCCAAGTAGCCGGAATTACAGGCAAGCGCCACCACGTGCAGATAATTTTGTATTTTTAGTGGAGATGGAGTTTCTCCATGTTGGTCAGGCTGTTCTCGAACTCCCCACCTCAGGTGATCCACCTGCCTCAGCCTCCCAAAGTGCTGGGATTACAGATGTGAGCCACCGCTCCCGGCCTTGTTTTTATTTTCTACATCTACTGTCATCTTCATGAGCCTCGCTGTGGTAGAGAGAGGTTTGTTTCCTGTGACCATCACTCTCTGTTATCATCCTTAATTTTTCCTGCACATCTGAGTTATATTAGGTATACATCTGTGATTCTTTGTATAATGTTAAATAAAACTATAGGCTACTAATCAGTTAAAAATATTTTAATTTAATACATTAAAAAGACTAGAAGGAAGTATACTAACATATGAACAATGGTTATTTCTTGGTGATGGATTTAGAGTAGTAATTTGTTTCACAGAAAAATAAAATGAATACACGAACCCTTACAAGTAGTCTAGGCTATTTAGACTTGCCAGTTAGTGGTACCTTGGTTTCTTCTAGTTTAAATAGCTTACTTCCCATCTAAATATCAAAGTCTGTTCAAAATTTAGCTTCTCCTCAGGCTTGGTTTAAAAAGTTTGGATGACTCTATCTTTTTAGAAAAATTAGCAGTAATTTAGAATTTTACTTTCCTTCTTCCCTATCCCCCCAAAAATATACAGGTAAATGAGGTCAGCTTACTATGTCTTCATAGCATCAGTAACAAAGGGATTCTTGATTCCTTGTAGTATTATTTGGATGCCTAGGAGTTTCTATTATGGGATGACCGATAATCATGGAGATGCATTAGCTTCATCTGGCTTTTGAGTGATATTCTGGCATCTCTATTTGTACTTCCTTGCATCTGATCTTGAGGTGCCTGCACTTGAGAGTTGCTTGGTCCTGATCATATGCCTCTATCAAAACATTGGCATTTTCAGGACTTCCGTAAGCCCTCAATGGGATGTGTATAATCTTTTAGATTTCTTATACACCATTCACCGGCCATGTGGAAAGCAGGGCGGTATTCATCTACCTACCACCTTCCACTATCAGTACCACAAATGGCTTATCTATCATCTTGAATAAGGCACCATTGTCAAAGCCTTATATAGTTCATGTATTAATAGTGCTGTATATTTTATATAGGAATCTAAATACTTTATTGAGAATCACACTATGCTTCATTTTATAACTTTATTTTTCCCCGTTTATCATGTATATTCTGACATCCTTCACAAATGGTTCCCTACAGTATGATTTGTAATGGTCATATGATGTTCTGTCATAGAACTGCTCCATAAGGGAAATATAAATTGTTGCTTAAATTTATATTATACATCAATATATATTAAACATATTATATAAATAAATTAAATGTAGAAAACCTTATAAATACATATTCGTGTACATCTTCAGTATTCTCTAGGTTTAAATACAATAAGTGAAATTACTGAGACAAAGTGTGTATGTATTTTAGGGCCTTGGTTTTATATTTCAGCTTGCCTCTAAAAAGTTTGCATCAATTTTACTTCCATCAATTACATAGGCAAAACTTAAACTCTTATTACTTTTTAAAATTATAGTTTTTGATTACCTGTGTGGTTGAACATTTATCTATATATTTATTACAAATATCCACACAAATACACATAAATGCTTATGTGGAAACTGGGATATTCCTATTTTTCCTTTTGACTTACAAGAGCTACTTGTATATTTAGTATATATTCAGTATATATTTCATGATATATATTTTTCAAATATTATCTCTAATTGTATATTTAAAATTTATTTTTATTATAAAATTGCATGTGTATTTTTTCTATTGTACTTAGAAAGTTTAACTTTATTCTGAGATCAGTTCAATATTAAACAGTAAACATGTTAGTTATTTGGAATTTATTAGTTAGCATGTTGTAAAAGTAGATGTCATTTAGTGCATTTTCATTTCTTTCTCACCTCCTTATAATACTGCCAACTTTTTATGTCTCCTCACTATCTTCACCAAAGTAATTAAGAAAATTAAACAGTGACAACAACAACAAAATTACTTTTAAAAGAACTGATAGCTTTGGATATTCATTTTTTACATTTAAGTATATGGTCTGCTCAAGACTTCTTTTCTACATACAATGTGCTTTTATAGTTTTGTTCCTATAGATTTTGCATTTTTTTAAAAAAGTAATATATTTGATTTGTATTGATCTTTTAAAAAAATTCTTATGGATTTATCAATTCCACATTTCCTGTTGTCTTAATTTTTTCTTTTTATCTGTATTATCTTTAATCTTTTTTAAAATACAGACTTCCTGCATGGACTGCATGCTGCTTTTATTTCTATTCTGTCTGTTTAAATGAAGAAACTATTTAAAAACTATGTGATAAAAAAATATTTGTGATGAGCAGATCTTAGATCACATACACAAACCTTGACGTGCATGTTTCCATTTTTAGTATTTTTGAAAGTCTTTAATTTTAGTTTTATTCCATCCTTGACCAAATGTTATTCAGAAAATTTTCTTTTTGAAGATGTTAGAAATTTTGTTTTTACCCTTGGTTTAAAATTTTTAAGTATATTCTGTTTTTCTATTTAGTTTTTCTTGAAACATACTGTTTAATTTTTTTTCTTTTTTTTTTTTTTTTTTTTTTTTAGATAGAGTCTCCCTCTGTTGCCCAGGCTGGAGTGTAGTGGTGTGATCTTGGCTCACTGCAACCTCTGCCTCCTGGGTTCAAGCAATTCTCCTGCCTCAGCCTCCCAGCTAGCTGGGATTACAGGTGCCCACCACCATGCCCAGCTAATTTTTGTTTTAGTAGAGACAAGGTTTTGTCATGTTGGCCAGGCTGGTCTCAAACTCCCGACCTCAAGTGATCCACCTGCCTTGACCTCCCAAAGTGCTGGGATTACAGGTGTGAGTTACCATGCCTGGCCTAATTTTTTCAAATTTTTCATGAATACATGAAAATATATTGCATTCTATATCTGAGATGTAAAAAGCTGTAATAACTTTCATTAACTTAAAATTATCAATTATATTTTTAATGTTCTTTCTTCATCTCTTTTTTTGTTATTTATACTGTCAGAAGTTAAAAGGGCTATATGATAAAAATCGCGCAATGACAGCTTTATTATTAAATCCAGTGTGCACTCCTTACCCCTCATATTTTTGGCATCCCAGCAGCATTCACCTGCTTCTTGGAAACAATCTTCCATCAGATGCTGTGGCTGCGCATTCTCCTGGTAGTAAGATGACCTCCCTTGCTATGCCTTCTGTGTCTCCAGAGTAGACTCTTCTTTTTCTATCCATCCCTTACAGACTGGTGTTTCTTCATGCTTGGTTCTAAGTATCCCAGCTCTCCCACTCCATTTTCCCTTTGTAATCAGTTGCATCCACTGCCATGGAGTTCATCATTACCTACATGCTATTGTTTTCTAAATCCTCCAACTCTCACTTGTATTCTGTGCTCTAGATGCCACTACACAACCACCTGCCGAATGTTTCTGTTTGTTTGTCTTGCAGTTAGCTCCAACTCAACGTGTCTAAAGCTTAACTTATCTCTTTCCTTTCAAATTCATTCTTCCTCAATTAGTTCCTATCTCAGTTCATAATACTACCCTCTGCCTACCCAACAGTTCAGTGTAGGAGTGTAGAACATGTCCTTTTGTTTTTATTTAACTACATGTAACCACATTCTACTTTATCAATTTCTAATTCTAATTCCACAATTTAGCCCAAGCCCATTTAATTTTTATATCTGCTGTTCCCCATACTCATATTACACACTACATCGTTTCTTTCCTATAATAATGCAACCATCTACTAATGGTTTTTCTGTCTACAACTTTACTCTTTTCGTTAGAATTCATGATTCATGTTGCAGGCGCACAAAATCTGATTGAAAATGTTATAAAATGCATATTTACAGTAGGAGTTTTCTGGAGACAGCTTTGATATTCAACCTCTTAAGAATTATATTGGAATTATCTTTTAGGAAGGGAAGAGTAGGCAAATAATATTAGCTCTAAAGCACTGAATATAACATCTTCTTTTTGAGAAGTTTAATAAATTATTCCATAATCATGATATGTAAGGGACTAACTATCAAAAAACAACCTCTTTGATCTAGCATAATTGACAGATGGGAGAAATGGCAGCTGGTTTATTGTGGAGTAATTATGGGTGCAAGGAAGACAGCAACAGCAACAGTTTATGTTGAAAACAGCATAGAGATCCTATGTGTATTTAAGGTCTGTGTGTGTGTGTGTACTTATATGTGAGTGTGTTTGTTTGTATTCATAGTGCTTCAAACTTTATAGTCCTTCAAGCTTGGGTTGAGTGCAGACAAGTTATGTAGGTCTTGCCAAACTACCACCAGTAAAACTTTTACAGTATGTTTTAATGTTGCCATATATTTTGTTTATGTTGAGTATTTTCTTCAAATTTTGTACTATTTCAAAGGTTTGCTGTGCTCAGCCTACATTGAAATATGTTAGTTACTAGATAAAATGATGGGACATGTATAACTTAAACTCCATGACAGCTACAATGTTTTGTTATATCATGTGCACCTTTATATGTTCAGATGAGAGACTGTGGTAGCCACAAAATATTGGCTTTATCAAAAAATTATAAATTCCTAGGCCTAAAACAGTGTTAGAAAACCTATCATGAGCACAAAATGTTTTAAAGTAACACCTAGAAATATTTCAGTGGAAATGAACCTCATAACCAATAAAAGTTCCCAGGAGAAAATTAATTTGATCTATGTCATATTTTTTTTCTCTTTTTCTCCTGCCCCCTTTCATTCCTATATACAATTTTCATCATTAATTCAATAAATGGGAAGTGAGGTGGGAGGATCTTTCTAGCATATAATACAAGGACTTTAGAGGAAAGGATACAAATATTCCAAACAATGAACTTAAAGCCTTTCTTAAATTGTATAATATATATACATATTTATATATATACTTATACATATATATATATATTTGTGTGTATATTAGGGTTCTCTAGAGGGACAGAACTAATAGGAATATGTATATATGAAAGGGAGTTTATTAAGGAGAATCGACTCACATGATCACAAGTGAAGTCCCACAATAGGCTGTCTGCAAATTGAGGAGCAAGGAAGCCTTTAGTGGCTCAATCCCAGCCCCAAAACCTCAAAAGTAGGAGAGATAATAGTGCAGCCTTCAGCCTGTGGCCAAAGGCCAGAGAGCCCCTGGCAGACCACTGGTGTAAGTCCAAGAGTCAAAAGCCAAAGAAATTGAAGTCTGATGTTCGAGAGCAGGAAACATCCAGCATGGAAGAAAGATGAAGGCCGGAAGACTCAGAAACCCAGTAGCTTCTTCCACCTTCTTCTGCCTGCTTTTTCCAGCCACTTTGGCAGCCGATTGGATGGTGCCCACCCACATTATGGGTGGGTCTTCCTCTCTCAGCCCAGAGACTCAAATGTTAACTCTTCTGGTAACAGCCAGAAGCACCCAGATACACCCAGAAACAATACTTTGCATCCTTCAATCCAATCAAGTTGACACTTAATGTTAACCGTCACTTTAGTATAAAAAACACAGTCGAGTTTGGGACATATAAACTTTAAATATAACATTTTATGGGCCAGTTCTTTGAGAGAATACACGCGCCTTATCTTGGATATCACAGTTTGCAAATGTTGTATGTATACTAGATTCATGGTGATAAAATATTTTTTCAGTGATAAACATATACATTTTGTTTAGCACTAAATACTTCAGATATTCGGTATTCTATATTTTAGAGCTATATTTTAGAACAGTGATAAATATATCTATGTATGTATCTATATCCTAAATCTATATTTTTATCATTTCATATTATTATATATGAAGAAGATGGCCGATAAGAGTCTTTAAAATCCCAGCTTTGAAATCCTAGTTGCTGCACAAGGAAATATGTTAAAGAGACACATTCTCTGTGTTTACTTAAATGTTTTCATATAATGTAGAATTGGTTTTCTAAGCAGTAAAGCTATTCTGAGAGACAGAAGATATTTTATTTTCTGATTCTATATCTTAAAACATTTTGTGACTATAATTTAAATGATGGTTCATTTTATTTCAAAATGATAGCACTTCAAGAATACCTTTTAAAAATATTAAAAATATATATTAAAAACTCCAAATTAAATTCAGATTTATTTAGGTGAATTCTTTATCAAAAACATCTACATTATGCAAAACATAGTAGGATTATATTACATAGTGACCCAGACTCTCCATTTAGCATGATTTGACATTCTAAGATTTAACTTATGTATTTTGTCAAAATATATTTATCATCAGACAAGGGTTCCCCTTCACTTGGCCTACAAGGTAGGCATGATTTTATATCTAGCTATTTCTCCAGCCTCGCCTTGTGTCTTGATTTTTTTTGGCATGGCTGAAGCACGTGCATTTTGGGATGTCTGTTGGCATTTGAATACTTAGGTAAAACAAATGCACAGTGAAAATCTTTACTGACTTTAAAGAAACATTGATTAGTGGGAAAAGCAATAGGGAGCAGCTACTCTGTTTAATCTCATATATATCAAATAAACTTCGTAGATGTGTTTGTAGGTTTCTGTCTGTTTCTCTGTTTCTCTTTCTTGCTTGCTCTAAGAACAAAGAACGAAGGATCCAAAAAAAATATGCATTAAAGATATCACATCAGGGCTCTACCATTGACTCACACCTGATTAATATTATTTCTTCTGTTCATTCTTCTTTATGCAATGTTGATGCACAATTAGAATACCATGTGGTATGGTATTCATCATGTAAAGTATGTTTGCCCTACCAACTCCTAGTATTGAGGGCAGATGCTGTGTGTCATTAAGTTCATTGTTATGGATTCCTGGTATCACTTAATGAGAGGTCCTGTAGAGCACTTAGTGTCACCAAGCTGGTGATAGAAATACGTGTTTTATTCTCCTATTTGGATATTAAAATATCCCCACAGGAAAGAATAAGGCAAAACTCATTTAGAAGCACATTTTTTTCAATTGTGCCAAGATTTTTGTATTTCAAGTGAATGGAGGAGGGAAAAGTGTATGGAAATGACAAAAGTACAGAATGAGAATAAATATAAACCTCACTCAAAATATATATCTACTACTTGGCACATAGTTAAAATTTATAGAACACCATTTAATCTCTCAATTTCCTGATTTTTATTTTATTTTTTGATTATACCACTATCATTTGTCTGGCAGAGCTACTATAGTAATTGAGTGATCAAGAGAGTCTAGCACTTATGACTATAGTGTGTGTGTGAGTGTGTGTGTGTGTGTGTGTGTGCATGCACATATGTGTGGAACAGCCCTGGGTTTGAAACCTGGCTGCCCCAAAGCCACTTAATAGCTATATGACATGGCCCAATTTACCTAGCCGCTCTAATTTTCAGTTTCCTCAGCTGTAGAAAAGAGACTAACTACTATATGCACATGGTTATTGTGAGGTTTAAAATAAACTATTGATAAAAAAAATGTAGTTCACAGATTCATATGCCTTTAAAATGTGGAAACCATGCCTAACATTTATGTAAAGAACCATATACATGGTAAAACAATGTATCAGAGCTACTATGATAGTTCTTTTGCATTTCAGCTGAAAGTTGGTTCTGTCTCAGATACAAATCTTGAGTCTGTGATTTATTTTAGTGTCCTCTGGCTTAGAAACCTAGCACACTTCATAGGTATGCTGACTATACTATGCCACGAATTCTCAATGGACAGAAGAGCAGACAGGGCATGCCATCTGTCCAGAAAGCTGGTGTGTTTGGAGCTGAGACACTGATTTCGGAATAATACTCAGGCTTCAGATTAGTTAGGAGCTGCTGAGCAACATAAAAATAATTCCTCAGTTTTGTTATTTGTATTATTCTTGGAATTTAGCACAATACCTAACATATAATAAGCACTCAATAATATATTTTCCTTAAGAACAATTGAAATTGTTAGCACAGGGCAACATGATTACATTTAGAAAATGGGACAAAAGTGTAGAGGGAAAAACAAGTTAGGAGATACTATGGGTGCCTAGGCTTTTGATGATGGTGGCTTAGACCAGGGTAGTCATGTACATAAATTTCAGCTTTTGTAAGGAACTGAATCAACAGAACTTGGTGATGGATTACATTTAGAAGGTAAATGTCAAGGATGACTCAAGCATTCTGGCCTGCATAACTGAATAGATAAGTATAATTCATTGGTGTAAGAAATAGTGGGTAAGGGCTGGGCATGGTGGCTCATGCCTATAATCCCAGCACTTTGGGAGGCCTAAGCAGGTGAATCACCTGAGGCCAGGAGTTCAAGACCAGCTTGGCTAACATGGTGAAACCCTGTCTCTACTAAAACTACAAAAATTAGCTGGGTGTGGTGGCACCCACCTGTAATCCTGGCTACTTGGGAGGCTGAGCCAGGAGAATGGCTTGAGCCCAGGAGGCAGAAGTTGCAGTGAGGCAAGATCGTGCCATTGCACTCCAGCCTGGGTGACAGAGTGAGGCTCCATCTCAAAAAACAAAAATAAAAACAAGAACAGAAATAGTGGATAAGCACCAGGTTAAGAAGGAAAGGACCTCATTGACTTAGTTGAATCATCTAGAACTGAACTATCCCATACCATAGTCACTTGCCACATGTGGCTATTTAAACTTATTTTAATTTTTAAAAATTAAATACAATTAAACATTTAGTTTCTCAGTCACCTGCTTACATTGTAAGTACCGAACAGCTACATGTGGCTAGTACCTATCATACTAGGTAGCACAGATATAGAACATTTCCAACATCATGAAGAGTTCTACTGGTCAAGACTGATCTGGGGTAAATAGCTGCAGCATCTGTAATTTATTTAAAAAGAGCCATAGTAACATAAAAAAAAAACCTCCTTTCTTATGGCCCATTGGAGTTTAATGTGAAAAACGAAAAGGCTGGCATCATACTGTCTACTCAATCCTTGTGGGCAAGATAGAAATTTGGTGTTTGTTTTGTTTTGTGTTTTCCTCAGATTGGTAATGTCAAGATAGATGTTCTCTGCTAAGGTTTCTAGTGGGAGAGGGATTGTGTTATATTTCTTTTTTTTTTTTTTTTTTTTTTTTTTGAGAAGGAGTCTTGCTCTGTCACCCAGGCTGGAGTGCAGTGGTGCAGTCTTGGCTCACTACTCCCGGGTTCACACCATTCTCCTGCCTCAGTCTCCCGAATAGCTGGGACTACAGGTGCCTGCCACCAAGCCTGGCTAATTTTTTGTATTTTTTAGTAGAGACATGGTTTCACCATGTTAGCCAGCATGGTCTCGATCTCCTGACCTCGTGATCCACTCGCCTCGGCCTCCCAAAGTGCTGGGATTACAGGCGTGAACCACCGTGCCCAGCCGGATTGTGTTACATTTCTAATAGAGAGTCCACACAGCATAGCAGTTTAAAGCATGAGCTCTGTTTTGGGCTGAATCGTGCCTTGCCCCTGCCAAATTCACACGCTGAAGCCCTAGCCCCAGTACTACAGAATGTGACTATATTGGAGACAGGGTCTTTAAAGAGGTGATTAGCTTAAAGAGAGGCCATTAGGGTGGGCCCTAATCCAATCTGACTGATGTTCATATAGGAGGAAATGAGGGTACACAGGGAAACACCAGGGAGTATTTGTACTCAGAAGAAAGACATAGTGTGAATATAGTGAAGAGGCTGTCATGGGCAAGCCAACGAGAGGGGTTGCAGAAGAAACCAAACCTGCTAACACCTTGACCTTGGACTTGTAGCCCCTAGAACTCTGTGAAAATAAATTTCTGTTGTTTAAGCCACCAAGTCCATGATATTTTCTTATGGCAGTCTTAGCAAACTAAAACAGGCTCCAAAGCTAAACTGCCTGGACTTAATGTCATCTCTGCCACTCACTAGGTAGGTGACCAGGAGTGAATCGCTTAACTTCTCTGGTTAACTTCTCATTTCTAAAATGAGAATGATAATAATTGTGCCTATTTCAATGAATTGTTATGAATGGCAAATGAGTGAATATTTGTGAAGTGTTCAGAATAGTAGCAGACATAGAATAAGCACTATATAAGTAATTGTTAAATAACTAGAAAGTAAAATAAAAATTTTGTTATGTTGGTTGGCTTTCCAGCAGTTGCTATAGCCAAGACTGTCTGTCCAATGCATATTCAAAGAAAATATTTCAACCGGCTCTGTTGAGCCATATGAAAGTTACATTCAGATGAGTCCCTCAGGTGGGAGCCTCTAATCTTGTCCTTCTGTTCAGAGACACTTTCATAGGAGAAACTGTACTCCCCCAAGAATTTAAATAAAAAAGATAACAGGATTTGAATTCCTAGGAAGTGAGTACATGTCCTGAATCTACCATTTACTGGCAATGTGGCATCAACGAAGTCACTGTACTTCTCAGTCATTTGTGTAGAGTGATATTGTCCAAAAGAACATTCATTGATGATAGAAATGCTCTGTATTGTACCATCCTATAGGATAGTCATGTGGCTACTGAACATTTGAAATATACCTAGTACGATTGAATTTTTTATTTTGTTTGGTGCAGCTGTGGGGCAATGATCTCAGAAGATTGCTATGAAATCAAAGGAAGGGATCTTTTCTATGCAAAAGTAACCTTGATTATCAAAAGGGATAACACCTGGAAAATCTTATGGTGTCCACTAACCAAACAAATTTGACATAGAATATTCAATAGAGCCTGGTGTTTTCCTTCTACCTACGAAACTGGACAACATCCTCCGTCCAAGTCCAGGGTTAGAGGAATTTAAAGGGGTGGTATCCAGAAATGTTCTCTATTTCTGAAATTGTGGGCACAAATTATTAAAATGTGATGAGAATGCTAGCACTCTGTCTTGTTTAAACAGCTTTTAAGTACGTTTCATAACTTCCACGGCTACTTAGAATGAAAAGGCATGTAATGAACATATGTGGATTTGTGAGAAACCTTTGCACAATGCAACTACCACTGCTTTAGACAATAAGTGGAGCACTAAGCTTTAAAATACTAAAAAATAAATGCTGGCCATGTTTAATAACTTTAAAGCAAACTGTGAAGGGTAAACTGATGTTATTTAGAAGTAAATAAATACCAATTTAACTTTATCAACAAGAGCAAATAGATTCTTAGTCTGGAAAAAGACATACTTATTGTTCTTCATTTTTTTCTAATGCAGTTACCTAAAATTAAATTATAGAATCTGGCTGTTTATCAGATACAAACAGATTTTGTGATTGCAACTAAATCCTGTAATAACTGTGTTCCAACTGTCAGTCTTTGTATATAACTTGAGGCTTTATTGTGTATATAGTACAATAAGCAGTTATTTTAACTTCAAGTGAAAATCGGAGTGAATGACCACTTGGAATATTCAGTTGTTTTTCCCTGAAATAGTGGCTCATGGCTTGCAACATTAACCACATTGTCATTTATAAGAATGTATTTTAAAAAATAGGCCCGTGATTTATGGATGCAATTTTTATCCATGTGTGGGTTAAAGCACAGATATTTTGAATTGTAGGCTGAATATACTGTGAAACCTGACATCCAGTTGAACTTTGCTCAGTTTTATGGTGTCACCCAACCACTTTATGAAATTGAAGCCACCTACCAGTCATTTATGTAGTCTATTCTTCACTGACTATTTAGTATTTAATTTTTGTCCTAGTGAATAAATTTTTTATGACTTCTTTTAAGTTTGATTTAAGGTCTAATTTTGTTTAATGAATGAAAGCATCTTGGCTGTTAAACTTTCTACCCATGCATACCATGTGTAGTTTTACTGTGTAATAACTACCAAAAGGCTTTATTTAAGTTCTACAGCTATTTTTATTTTTTAAAATGGTATTATAGAGCTCATTGTGGAAAAATATTTCTATTTACTTAAATTATAACAGTCTCAAATAACACTTTTATATCTCTCATACTGGGCTATATCCTTTGCTGTATACATTTTTATCAAGCTATTTTGTCTTACGACTTTTCCGTAAATGAATTATCTATTATTTTCAGATACTCATTATTACAATAATTACCTTCCATAATTTCTGACATTTTTGAATTTATATACCCAGATTTTTAAAGTTTACCAATTTTGGTTCTCACTTCCAATATCATAGGTGCTTGCACACAGAATGTTGGCCTCAGAACTAAAGAGATTTCTTGTGCATGTCCCTTAGACAAGTCGAACATCACTATAGTTGTTTTTCTTTTGAACAAGTCAGGAGAGTATTTGTAAAATGTGGTAGGAGGGATAAAAGCCCATGGAAGAGCCTAAACTATATTCTAGATGATTTTCTTCCATCTCCCTCCCACCATCACCAACTGGCCTGTCTCTCAGCTGTTTATGCACTAAGCAGAGAGAAATCAGTGTGATGGAATCCCAGCATAGTTAGTGTATGGGTCAGGGTTCCAAAGAGAAACAGAATAGAACACACACACACACACACACACACAATTTATTAGAAAGAATTGGTTTACATCATTATGCAAGCTGACAAGTCCCAAGATTTGCAGGGTGAGTAGGCTAGCTGGAGACCCATTAGAGCCAATGGTGTAGTTCCAGTCGAGTGTGTCAGTCTGAGTCCAAAGGCAGGAAAAAAGCAAAGTCTCAGTTTGAAGGCAGTCAGGCAGGAGATTCCTCTCTTACTTGGGGGAAGTGTCAGTCTCTTATTCTATTCAGGCCTCCACCTGATTGAATTAGGCCGACCCAAATTAGAGAGGGCAGTGGGCCTTATTGAGGCTACCGATTCAAATGTTAATCTCCCTCAAAAATCTCCTCATGGAAACACTCAGTATACCGTTGACCAAATATCTGGGCACCCTGTGGTCCAACCAAGTTGATATGTACAATTAACCATCACAATAGGAAATGCCATATGAAGATAAATTTTTCAAATCTTTATCCCTAAGGAAGACTTGCTTAATCTAGGATTACAGACCTACATCATGCAAGGGTAGAAGACCGAACCATGTCTCATTTCTCCATTGAAACTTGGCAGAGCTTAGCACTATACTCTAGGGTTAGTCTATATTTTGACTTTATCCTAAATTTTAGGAAAATATAAGAACAACAATCTGCAAGCAAACTTCATTTATTCAGTCAACAAGCCCATCTCAGATACTTCCCATGGGTAGGAGACTGCGGTTGGACAAAAAGATGAATAAAGCTAGTCTCTGCCACTCACAGACTCAAAGCACATTTGCCCCATGTTGGAAATCCCTCCTTGAATATATCATCAGTGGGCTTTAATGCTATGTTTTAAATAGAAGCTTTAAATAGAGCTACAATTTTCTATTTTGGTGATCTTAAGCCTTCTGTTTCTTCTTTTTTTGTTTTTGTTTTTTTGCCCCAGTAACGTTTATTTTCCAAACAGAATTGTACACAGAATTCCAATGTAAATTAAAGGGATATAATTGGAGCTACTGGGTGGGTACAGTAAAGGAAAGAACCTGAGGCCTATTCATTTACTCGCCCTAATTTGTCCAACACTTTCTGGGTCCCTATACCTACAACAACCCCAGGGGTATAAGGAATAAAGTTTAAAAAATACTTATCTGTTTAATATTCCGGCCAATATTTTACACATTATATGTAACAAAATTAAAGCACATTTGGTTACTTTTCTCCCAGTTCTTCTATGATTCACTCTGTACTTAATTATTTCTCTTTATTCTTCACAGGGTTGTTTTGTTTTGGTTTTTAATCTCATTTTCTCTTCATGTTTTTAAATAGCTTGTGTTTTAAACATGTCATATAATTAGTAGGGTGTTCTACATTGTGGAAGGTTCGGAGTATATAATGACTTCCAGGAACTTGCAATTTTACTGAAAATAAAAAGCATGTGTTTTTGAAATATTTAAACACAGTAAGACAAAACGATCCATATAGACAAAAAGTACTTCATAAGGTTATTTCCAGAGATCTGTATGAATATTTCATCAAGTATCAAGAATGTGATACTTTGCTGTTGGAATGCCAGGATCTATAGAGCACTAGATGTTTCCTGAATAGACATTAGCAATTATATGTCTCCTTTGGAGATTTGTTTTGTATAATTTGCCTTTTATTTTTGTAGTCAGGAAAGGGAAATGGAGCAGATGGAAGTAAGTCCCAAAAAGTGTTTAATGTGTAAGAGGCCTAAGCTTATTAATATTTTATTATTGAGTCTTTTCTCCCTAACTTCTTGCATCAACTTGTTGGACTCTTGGAGAACTGGGAGAAGCTAGAGACAGGTTAGAAGATTTGTTTTGGAGATAGAACTCTAGTGAGAGTAAAGCAATGAATTCATGAGATTGTATGTGTTTAGCAAGGGGGTGGATTTTCCAGGAAGAATTATTTTGTTGTTGCAAAGTAGTGATTGAAAGAGAGAACATTTGAAAGTAGAAGCTGTTGTGACTGTGAGTAAAATGAGAATGTTTACAGATAGGAGTATTCTAAAACCTATTTTATATGAATTTAAAAAAGCATTTATGTAGCTAATCTCCTTTGCTACCCATGCCAAAGGCTTTGTAATGGTATGCAACTATTTAATTACAACATTAGTGTCAGATTCCTTCTTTTTTTTTTTTTTTTTTTTTTTTTTTTTTTTTTTTTTTTTGAGACAGAGTCTTGGTCTGTTGCCCAGGCTGGAGTGTAGTGGCACAATCTCAGCTCACTGCAAGCTCCGCCTCCTGGGTTCACACCATTCTCCCGCCTCAGCCTCCCGAGTAGCTGGGACTACAGGCGCCCACCACCACACCTGGCTAATTTTTTGTATTTTTAGTAGAGACGAGGATTCACCATGTTAGCCAGGATGGTCTCAATCTCCTGACCTCGTGATCTGCCCGCCTCGGCCTCCCAAAGTGCAGGTTGCTTCTTATATCAATGAAGCAACATGCAGAGACTGGACCACAGGGTGCTGTTATCTTTGGGTCTTATAATGCTGGACACCATTATGCTCTTGAATATGTTTTAGAAAATTTCAGTTATCCTGTAGTAACTGGTAGGCATGCCATTCAAACTAAAATATCCAGGAGTTAAAAATCCCAAATAATAATTTATCTTTTGTTCAGGTTTAGTTTTTAAAGCACGTGAACGTTTACAAATGTAATTCTGTAAATCAACTGCCCAGGTTCCAAATCCCACTCACAACCTACATTCATTAAGTACACTCTGTTTGTTTGCTGTTTGTTTTTATTTTTGTTGCTGTTTGTCTTGTGTTTCTTTGTTGTGCAGTAGAGAATAATATGAGGTAAGGGAACAGTGGGTTTGGGGATTACAGTCTAAAAGCTTTATGGTATTCTAGTGACTCTGAGATAAACAAGCAGTTTTTACCTTAGCTTCTCCATCTGTGAAACAAGAGGTTTCAGGTTATTCTCTGAGCTTCCTTCCAACCGTAGCATCCTGGGAGTTTATGAATCTTATATGAACTCTGATATCCTATAACTTAGACAATCTAGTATAAATTTTTTGAGAATAAAAGTAGGTATTAATAATTACAGTGGAATAACAGGTGTAAACTGGCATATCTGGTTGCTACACCTCTAACATATTGTGGTACGATGACAAATAATGAGGAAAATAAGTAATATAACACATATGTGTACATACACAATAAAGGTCTTTTTTCATCTATACAAATAAACAATTAATGTGCTGGGTCGGGCGCAGTGGCTCACGCCTGCAATCCCAGCACTTTGGGAGGCTGAGACGGGTGGATCACCTGAGGTCAGGAGTTCGAGTCCAGCCTGACTAACACGGTGAAACCCCATCTCTACTAAAAATACGAAGATTAGCCAGGCGTGATGGCAGGCGCCTGTAGTCCCAGCTACATGGTAGGCTGAGGCAGGAGAATCACTGGAACCAGGGAGGTGGAGGTTGCAGTGAGCTGAGATCACACCACCGTATTTCAGCCTGGGCGGCAGAGCGAGACTCCATCTCAAAAAAGAAAAAAGAATTGACGTGCTTTGAACTATATTTATGATTCACCTATCATTAAGACCTTTTGTCTAGTGCTTAACCAGCCGCTAATCAACCCCTTTATAAATGTATGTTAAAACATTGAGTTAAACAGCAGAATGTGACAAGTGGGGCCCGTTCAAGAAGGACATCTCAGAAGATCCAGACTGTATTACAAATCCTGGGGTTACCAAGGAGAGCCAATGGGGCTGAAAGTGTCTGTGGTGAGAAACAACTCTGCTATGTGGAATCTTTAGGAAAAGCAAATAGGAAAGTGTCAGTACAGACCTTTAGAGTTCTAGAATGTACTAGTGCTTCCTGCCTCAGGTAGCCACTTCTCATTTGAAAAATAGCTCCTGTTGTAATACTGGGCTTTAGTAGAGACTGAACCCTTGATGATGGGACACAAAGGGACTCTGTGACTAGAGCTGCCCATTGAGAACTTGGTATTGATTTACCCCACTGTATGGCATAGAAATAATGTATTGTTACATAAGAGTGATAAATTTGGAACATTGGATCCATTGGCTCCATACATTTGGGCTCAAGCAGATCCACAATGTATGACCATATATCATGAAGAGGTGTCCCAGAGTCTTCTATCATCTGTCCTACTGCACCGATGGTTCTTTCTCAACTCGCACCCTCGAGAGTTCCCTGTGACTCACTCACGGAGGAGGAAAGAACTTGCACTGGTATAAAAATGGGTCAGCCTGACATGTTGGGTGGACTTCAAGGTCAATAATGAAGGAAATACCCAGTGGGAAGATCAGCAAACCGTTTACTTGGTATTCGCTTCATGTAGAGAAGGAGGTAACCTGAGGTGCATATGTATGTTAAGCATTGGCAGAGCTAATAATCTGATGGGCCTGAAAGAAGTAAGACTAGAAAATAAAATACAAGGAATACGAGCAAGAGACATGTGAATGGGGTTGTAGGAGTGAGCACAATCAAAATCACGCCTATCAGACATAAAATACTGCAGAGGAAGCTTTCTACTACCAGGTGGACATTGTCACGTGTCCAGTGGATATTAGCCAGCCTCCTTTCTCAGTTACTCCAGGGTTTGTGCAATAGACCCATGAAGAGAATGATCTATTGTGGTTGGACCTAGATCTTAGTGACAGAGGCAGGGAATATGCATGGACCCAGGACATGGCCTCCCTTTCCAAAGCTAATATAGCTATTGTCACTTCTAACTATTAAATGCCAGAAACAGACTGACAATGAGCCACTGAGATGGTACCATTCCTCCGGGGTACGATAGAGACCCAACACCTGTTGGGTGGCAGGCAAATTAAGTTGCATCCTCTCCACTTTGGAGTGGGCAGCAATTTGTCCTAAGTGGGTGAATTATGGTCTAGATATGTGTTTGCATTTCCTCTCACAGTGCCTTCACTGGCATCCACATCCGATAGCCTAAGAATGCCTAATCCAATGATATGGTGCCCCACATAATATTGCTTCTACTAAGGGACATTTGCTGCTGTATCAAAGAAGGCACAACAGTGAGCTTATAGTCATAATGTGTTTCAGCACACAACAGCCATAGGCCTGATGGTACAGTGGAATAATATTAATCATGAAAAGTTCAGCCAAAACACCAGCATGAGGAAAAACCTTAGAATTGAGGTACTGCCTTCTAGGATTGGGAAATATGCCAAACCAATCACTGATGTAGGATGCTATATTTATCATACCCAGGACTCAACAGTTCTGGGACTAAGGGTAGGCCCTTCCTATAATCAGTAGCAGTGATCCACTTGTGGTATTTGCACTACCTTTCCCTACAACCTTATACTTTGCCAGTTAGAATCCTGGTTCTTGTGGTGGAGTCAGGGGAGCAGTGCTGTTCTGTCAGGGGACACAATTAGAATCCCACTTAAGTGGAAGCTGTGATTGGTTCTATCTGTGATCTGGTTACTGTGTGTTCCTCATGACAATAGACCAAAAAAGATGGTGTGAGATATCCATGCTCACCACCATGAGGAGATAGGGCTACTGCCACAAAATCTGAGCAAGGAAAAATACGTCTGAAACTTAGAAGTACTCCACGCCCTGATGGGAAGGAGAAATTGCAGCAAGCAAGACTCCATAGAAGCAAGAAAACTAAGGGCTTAATTCATCAGGATTTAGGTCTGCAACACCCAGCAGCAACTCAGACCAGCTGAAATGCTGGTAGAGTATGGCGGAAAATCTGGGATTAATGGTAAAGGAGATAGGTGATGAATATCAATTAAGGCCTCAGGGACTAGTTGGAGGATTGCATATTGTGGCTGGATTTATTACTGCTCTTTTAAATCTCTGGGGAATCGCACATTGCCATCACTCTAAAGGACTGTACTTAAACTCTCCTCTTGGGAAAGATGTGAGGGATCTTGTTTTGTATGCTATCGGGTTATCAACTCAGATGGTACAAGTACATCTGAGTTGTACACGGGGTTGTCTGTCCTGGGCCCAGTTTGTGTGCTTTTCTACATTGGCTAAATCCTAATCCTAAGGATTAAATCCTTATAATCCTAACATGTCTTCACATTTTTGACCACTTGCTCAATGGTGAGCCTCAGGTATTGCCACCACTGTCACCTTATCTCTTAACACCATTAACTATATCAGCCTCTCTCAAGGTGAAGACCAGGCATTAGCATATCCCCAGTAGCAACTGCCATGGAAGGATTCACAGTAGTTTTGGCAACTGTGAGATAGGGACACACCCAGGAAAGTTCTATCTCCATTAGAGTATTGTTTCTCCAGTGGCTACACAAAGGGGCAGATTATAAAATCATAAAGGCAGAGGACTTAATAACCTGTAGGATGACTCTTTATCGATGAAACATAGAGTATGGCAAGCAACTGACATATAAATGTCCCTCTGACTAACTATTCCAAGGTACAAAGTTTCCAGATGACTTCTTTAGATTTGTTTCACATGACCAAATAACCAGCTATGTTTTCTTGTGAAGTTCTCCCCAGCTCAGTCATGTACCACCTTGTGGCTGCTTTCTTCTCTTCCCTGTATCACTTATTTTTTTACTTCCTTGTGGTTGTCCTAGCATTGCTTGATCTCAGGCTGTGCTCCTAGAGAATCTGAATTGAGATGCCAAGGAAAGGTTTTAATCTAGGAGGTTTTTTGACCATTGAGTGACAAATGAAAATGTCATTATGAATAAATAGCCCTAGGCTTCCTGATTGGAAAGTTTACCAATTTTCATGAACCAAGTTATCTTCTATCCTCATCTATTTTAATGTATGAATGTACCTCTTCTTTACTTTAATGAAATTAATGTGCTTATTAATTTCTTTCCTTTTTAAAAAATGCAGTGACTCTCTTACTCTGCCCCATTTTGTTTTGCAATGTTTTCATTACTGTGTCTGGTTTATTACACTTTTATCATATAGTTCCCCTATATTGGAACTTTTCTCAATGTGGAGAGACAGTATGATAGTTGTTTGTCCTTTTCAGAATGCGTACCTTTTTTACTGTCATCTCTTAGAACAAACAGGTTCATCAGTATACTTCTCTGTATAAATTGTGGCATAATGGAAGAGTGCAATACATTTTAAACAAAAGTTATGGAGTCCTCACAGCTTGTATCAAGATACTCCTCACAGAATACTAAACTTTTCTGATTACATTTTGCCAAACTTATCTTAGGCAAGGAAATGTACACCACCCCCAGTATCCCAGAATGTGGTCAGGGGCTTCACTATCACTCTTCTACCTTCCTCGTCATCCCCCCTTTACTTATTCTTTCTGATAATAATTTAGAGATAATATAAATTGTAACTGTATGGTGCATCTATTAGTACTAAATAAAAATTGTTAGCTAATATTTTCATTATAACTGTATACTGAAAGCAAAGCTGAAACTTTGCATATTAAGTTGATATATTATACTTGCTGTATATCTCAGATTCAACCTAATTGCTCAGATTCTTCTAGACTTGGATATATCAATCTTTTGGAATTACTTGTTTGCTTTAGTGGTTGTTGCTTTTTTCCTGAACTTGTACATCCTGCCATTTGAGTGCAAACAGAATTCAACTCCCCAATCTTCTACCTTCTCTTTGTCTCTCTTTTGGTCATGATTTTTTTTTCTTTACTCTATTATTTATTGATTAATTACTTTTTCTCCCATGAGTGTTTCATCATGAATACTAATCTTTGGAAAAGTTGAGAGTGAGATGAATGTTCACAAAAATTATAAAGACCTCAGATGAAAATTGCAGCAGTTCTAAATTGCAATCCCATTGGAACAAAACAAAGACAGCTACAACCATTTGAAAGCAAGTCACATTTTTGCACACCATCCATTATTCTTGCATTTAACAGAATGTTAAAGATTCTACAGCTCGTGAATTTATTAGCTTGGTATTTAGCATGTTTCATGGCCAAAATAGCAAAGAAGCTTCATTATTACTGGTTAAATTAGCCTCATGAAAATGTTGTTGGTAAAAGGTTACAGAAATGAATAAGAGATCTAACCAAGCAGCATATTGGACCATTTATCACTATAGTTTTAAAAAGGCATTCTGATGATTTAAATTAACTTGGCTAAAGGGTAGAGATTTAGATAAAAGTTAATAATTGAAGCCTAAATGACATGGTTAGCTCTTCTTTTTGATAAAGAGGGAGCAACGCATACACATACAGTAGTTTCATACATTGTCCTTTTGGCAGAAACTGAAGCCAATAAAACCATACGTGACAATACCATTTATTTATTATCTGGGCTTTTTTTTTTTTTTTTTTTTTTTTTGAGACGGGGTCTTACTCTGTCACCCAGGCTGGAGTGCAGTGGCACAATCTTGGCTCACTGCAACTTCCACCTCCTGAGTTCAAGTGATTCTCCTGCCTCAGCCTCCTGAGTAGTTGGGACTACAGGCACGCACCACCACACCTGGCTAAGTTTTGTATTTTTAGTAGAGATGGGGTTTCACCATGTTGGCCAGGCTGGTCTTGAACTCCTGACCTCAGCTGATCCACCCACCTTGGCTTCCCAAAGTGCTGGGATTACAGGCGTGAGCCACCGTGCCCGGCCGGGCTTTTGTTTTTTTAAAAAAATATTTGTAACTATATTATATATAAACTGAATTGACTAAGTATCTCATGTTTGCTTCCAACATGGTCAGGTAGCCCTTTCCACATTCTTTGATTTTGTACAGTTGAAACTTAAAAACTTAGCCATCTTTACATAGAGGTTTTACAATTTGCTTTTTAACTAAATGTCTTCCCTATGTATATAAGAATAGGAAGTCTGCCATCTTTGTGAAAAATTTATCAGGGAATTTAACATTTCTAATTTTTTGCCCTTTGACATAATGTTTTTATTTGTGTGGTTAAGCTATTCATATTTTTTTGTGCTAAAATAATTTTTAAAAAATATTTAAGCTAATAAGCTCATAGAACTTTCCTGGGAATTAGGATGAAATAATTTCTTATTATCTTGACAACTCTGACTAAGGGTTATGCGTTTATGGATTTAAGATAAAAATAAAGTTTCTCTTCTCTTCCACTCTTAACAGAAACCAGGAGATAAAAGAACTTGGTGAGCTTTCTCCACATTGGGACAATCTGCGAAAAAATGTCCTTACTCACTGTGATCAAATGGTGAATATGTACCAAGACATTCTGACAGAACTTAGCAAGGAAACAGGTGTGGAAGCAATTTCTCTACTTACTCAAAGTGAATTGCATTTCCTGCATGTGAAATGAAAAAAAAAATAATAAATAGATTTTATGTAGATAGGAGAACTGGAGATTTTTTAAAACTCTTTTATTTCTAACTTTAACATCTTAAAACAAAGAAAAAACTACCCTATTTTACCTTACAGAATTATTATATGAATAATTGAGACAATTTTTAAAAATATTGAATTTGTAAAAGAAAAGCAACTCATAAATATAGGATATGTTTTTCTTTCTGAAGTTATTTTAACATTTTTCTGTCAAATTTATCTTTTAACACACATATTAATTTATCATTATTTACTAATAATGTTTAATTTCTGGTTTCCATCAGGGTCCTCTTTCAAATCAAGCAGCAGCAAAGGAGAGAAAACATTAGAATTTGTTCCAATAAATCTACATCTGCAAAGAATGCAGGTACACAGCCCTCACTTGAAAGGTATCATAAATTATTCTTTTAAAAATAGCAAATTATGTTACAGTGTGTACTTCTGTAAACAGCTTGACTATTGGCAGAATTCAAAAGTTTAACAATTATATAAAGTTGAAAATGAAACAGTTGAACCTCATAATGACCCTAAATTCTGTTAAAGAGACTATGATATTTTTGTTGCTGTATTTTTGAGAAATACTTTATGAATGTTTCACCTGGATTGAGGTAGAGATGAAAATGCAAACTGAGTAATAGCACCCTTAAGTAATATTAACGGTGGCTAATAGTTAACATTTAAGCTCATTTGAATTAGAAAAAAATAAATAAAAAACAAAATTTGTTCATATTTTTCCTGTCTTGAGAAACCAAAGCCCCAAAGTGGACTAATATGCCAGGTTTTTTTTTGACTTACTGATAACTATCAATAGAAACTCCCTTTTTTATGGGAAAAAGTGAGTATAGTAAGGTAGAAGGTGGTAGAGTATTTAAATGTACTCAGTTGTAAGAAATATTTGTCAAAGAGAAATATATAGGTTTTTCTGAATGTACCTGAAAGTGGTCCAGAGTGACCAATATGGTGTCATATTTACTACCATTCTACATAATCTCTTGCCATTTATCAAAAAAGTGTTTTCCAATGTCTTTTCATCTCGCTTTTTCATGAACTTATTGCTATAGCAATTATGCAAATTTAGGATGACTATATGCCCTGGTTTGCTGGCAAAAGTCCTAGATTATGTCCCTGTCCTCCATATGCCTGTGCCCATTAATGATACCCTCGCTTCCTTTCCTTCTTAAAAGTCTCCCCGTGTAAACGACTAATGCTGTGGTCATCCTACTAATACCCATCTTTTAGGGGGCCTGAAGTTATCAAATTCTTTAGGGTAAGTACATGAAAATGCATACAAACATACTTACAGAGACATCTAAATTCTCATTCTGACACTCTGTTTTGTAGCCCTTGTCACAACATAGTAGTTACAGGTTTAGAAAGGTTAAAACACAAGAGCAATTGTACACCGTTAGTGAAAATGTAAACTGGTATAGCCACTATGGTAAAAACAAATATGGAGGTTCCTAAAAAAACTAAAAGTAAAGCTACGATAGGGTCCAACATTCACACATCCGGGTGTTTATCCAAAATAATTGAAATCAGGATCTCAAAGAGATGTTTGCACTCCCACATTCATTGCAGCATTGTTCACCGTAGCCAAGACAGAGAAATGTCCATCAATGGGTGAAAAGATAAATTGTGTTATGTACAAAGATTGGATTATTATTCAGCCTTATAAAGAAGAAAATCCTGCCATTTGAGACAACATGGATGAACCTGGAGGATATTATGCTAAGTGAAATAAGCCAGGATACAGAGGGACAAATACTACATAATATTACTTATATGAGGAATCTAAAATAGTCAAACTCATAGAAGCAGGGAGTATAATGGTGGTTTCCAGGGGCTTCGGGAGGTTGAAAAAAGGAGGTATTAGTCAAAGGTACACAGTCGCAGTTATGCAAAATGAATAAGTCCTAGAGAGCTACTGTACAGTGTAGTGTCTATAGTTCACAGTACTATATTGTGTACTTAAAAAATTGCTGAGGGGGTAGATCTTTTGTTAAGTGTTCTTATACACATACACGTTAATAATAATAGTAATATTAAAGAGAGTAAGACGAAACTTTTGGAGATGATGGATAGGCTTATGGCATAAGTCGTGGTAATGGTTTAAAGAGTATATATTTATGTCCAACGTCATCAAGTTGTATACATATATATAGCTTTTTATATGTCAATCATACCTCAATAATGTGGTTAAAATGTGAAAGTGAGATCTCAGTTCTGCTTTAGAATTGTCTGAAACTTCATAATCTGAAAAATTAAACTTTATTGTTTTCTAGTGTTTGCATACCAATCATATATATATACCACCAGCTGATTTGCAAGTTTAAATGTGATTATACTTATTCTGATGTATTATGTTATTATATTTGGTGATCAAGTATATGAAATTTTAATTTAGGTCTTATTCACTACGAACTATGTCAAGTGAAAGAACTGAAAAAAAAAAAAAAAAGAGAGAGAGAGAGATGGATGGGCCCAAGGCATTTAGAAGCTGCTGTGGCCTGAATGTGTCTCCCAAAATTCACGTGTTAGAAACTTAATCCCCAGTGCAACAATGTTGGGAGGTGAGACCTAAGGGGAGGCATTTGGATCAAGAGAACTCTACACTTATGAGTGAATTAATGCCATGATAAAAAGAGCTTTCAGGAGCAAGTTTACCCTCTTTAGCTCTTTTGCCTTGTAAATTCATAAAATTTCTTCTCTTGCTTTTCCACCTTCTACCATGTAAAAGCACAGCAGAAGGCTGTTATCAGATACCAGCGCCTTGATCTTAGACTTCCTAGCCTCCGGAACTGTTAGAGAATAATTTATATTTTTTTATAAGTTACTCAATCCATAATATTATGTTATAGCAGCACAAAATGGAGTAAGACAGTAGTTCTTCCTTGATTACTGAGTGTCTGTCAATAGCTTGAATAGAACAGTAGGTAATGATTTTTAAAATAACCAGAAACAAAGTGTTACAAGTATTAAAGAAGCTAAAATACTTAAGAACTATCTGACAATCAACATAATGTTATTCTAATAGGCAAAATGAAAAGCCTTTTATGATGCAGTAAAATGTTTATATTATTTTAGAGTGTAACAGCCCTGGGCTTGAATTGTAGCACTACCGCTTTTTACATGAGCTGAGTCTGCTATTTAATCTTTCTAAGCAATTTCATTCTCATTCCTGATTGAGTTAGGGTATGTAAAACACATAGAATGATAAAATAATGGTAGCTTTATTATACATGTGGCATTTTCCATCACTGGAACAAAATGGATCTGTTTTATCAGAGCTGATGAAATTGGAGAAAATTGATCAAGTAAGAGCCTATTAAAAATCAACGAAGTCTTGAACTAAGGAAATAGCCAGGTTTAGATTAAAGATGACTTAAAGATGCATTTTGAAGAAATCATCACATGCAAATACTTACTGACTGATGGAATAAGGCAAGGAGGGAAAAGGATAATTTGCTTTACAGCCATGGGTAGATGACAGTGTCATCAAACCAGATAGATTTGTTTGGGGCCACATACATATGAATTCATATTTAATTATGTATTCAAATGTTTGTTGATTAACCTTAAAATACTTCCACCAAACAAAGAGAAACTATGACCAAAGTGGCATTTTATTTCATATTTCTTTCTTGAAAATGAAAGAACCATGTACTATGCTGTTTTCCAAGGTACCATCTGAAAAATAGAGTAAAATAGGATGAGGACAATATGTTTAGTTTCTGATTCTCTGATTTGAAAGAAACAATCTGCCAACTAAAAGAAAGAAATTTAGAAAAGCAACAAAAGGGGTGTGTGTGTGTCTGTGTGTTTACACGTGCAAGCATTTTCTAACTTGTTTGGTTTGGGATATGTATTGGTTTTCTAGGGCTACTATAACAAAGCACCACAAACTGGGTTGCTAAAATAGCCAAACTTATTTTTTTCACAATTCTGGGGGCTGGAAGTCTGAAATCAAAATGTCATCAGGGCCATGCTTCCCCTTAAACCTATGGAGTAATCCTTCCTCGTCCCTTCCTGGTATCTGCTGGTTTGCTGGCAATCATTGGCCTGCTAATGTAACACACCTGTCCTCTATCTTGCTCATGGTGTTCTCCTGCCCTCTATGTATGTCTGTTTCTGTATCCAAATATCCCCTTTAAGGACAACAGTTATATAGGATTAAGATCCATCCTAATGGCTTTATTTCAAGTGGATTATATCTGTAAAGAACTTATTTCCAAATAAAGTCACATTCTGAGGTATCTTTCTTGCGAGGTACAAGTAAACCCACAACAGGATTTAGAAAGGAAATTCTTACTTGTAATGACAAATATCAAGCAATACAGAAAAAAAAAATTTAATGTTACAGATTAGGGTACAACCCAGAAACTAGAAGATTTTTGACAAAGCAGTTAGCAGAAAGACTGGTTCTGGTCTTTGAAGAGCTAAGAAGAAAATATGGGAAAAGGCTAGATATCCTAAGAGCCACATTAATGGGAAAAGTACTGAATTGTATTGCATATATAACAGCATGCTAAATTATCAAGCTTATGTTTTAAAAATATGTAATATTAAAAGTTATTATTTGAAACTGGAGTTCAGATTAAGTAGCTGTTATGTAGACTAGGTCACCAACTACATGTTATAATACAGGTTGAAAACTCCATTGAAATTTTGGGTCCTTACCACTTACTACTTTGACTTTAACCATGTTATTTGACCTCTCTGAGTGTCATTTTATTATTTGCAAAATGAAAACGTTAAAAGTTGTCATAGGTGGTAGTGAATCAAATTTTTCTACTTTCTTTTATAACATGTATTTAACAGATTTTGGATTGCAGTTAAATTTATTTAAGTTTTGTGGCTACTGATTTGAATGTTTAGCTGAATTATTATTGCAAGGTAATAATGCAAGTAAGATGGGCTAAGCCTTGGCATTTTACTGGCAAGTTATTTGGATGTGGTCTAATTTTTTTTTTCATCTTTACCATTAGTAAATTGTGTCTATTCACATTTGATTAATAAGCCTGCTATATTTGGAGAGGAAGCTTTGCAAACAATAGCTGGCAGAGTCACCAGATACAAGGCTAATATGTAGCTCTTGAAATAAGTAACTGAGCAGAACTAATGTTGTCATGTCTCATACTGACAAATGGAATAACCTGCAGTTAACTTAGGGTGCCCTGAAACTCATTAAGTTAAGTTTTTCATCCTTATTCATTACTTAAACTAAATGCAACAAGTAGAATACTCACCACAATAGATCTTAGCCAGCAGTGACAAGAATGAAACATAAACCCCAAAATTCAAAACAAAAGTTTTTATACTAATATACTTTAATAAATTTTATTTTCACAGCACATCAGTTGTGAATATTATGGAATATAAATTCTTGTAATGTAATATTCTGTTTTATTTTATATGCTATAGATATACAATAGAAAAGTATTATATTTTGCTATAAAATTTAATGAATTCAAACTAAAGCAACTATTTTGTTTCACAGCAGACATAGTTTATGGATCTGTTGTAATCTATAGTACTAAAAGCCTTCTTTATATAACTGCATTATTAATGTATAGCTAACTCTAAGCATGAGTGTTTTGTAAATATTAGCTATATAGCTATGGTTTTACTTTGTGAGCCTGGTCCCTTTAGATATAGCTGCTTGAGTGATCACAGTGCCTGACACAGCATGTGCAAAAAAATAAAAAGAGGGTCTGGGGTGATCACTTCACCCAAGCTGAATCAATGGAGTTTCACTCGTGGATTCTCTTTGGGGATTCAGAGACAATCTCTCCTTCTGAATTTAACTCTAATTGTGTTCTAGAGAACCAAAAAGTGCTCATCTTTTCCGTGGGGAAGAAAAATCAGACATACAGTAATAAAGGAGACCACAAAAAGAGAGGAAAGGCAGAGATAGTCTCTCATGGCTTTTCAGTTCCTGATTTGAGCCCACAGGGAATGAATGGGCTTGCCCTTAGTTTGCATGAGTGAAACACACCTGTCAAGCACGGCCCCGCCCACTCTCATTGTTTTTGTTTGTTGTTTTTCAGATATCTCAAGTGGGATTCCGCAAATTGGTATGAAAAGAAGCTTAACTAATATATGTTTTAAAAAATGAGTTTATATCATAAAGCTGTAGGTGAAATCAGGTCCAACAGTAGCCAAAATTTACTGTGTTAACTATGGAGGAGTCAGCTAACCTCTTTGGCCTTTCATTTTATAATCTCTACATAGAAGGAAGGAGCAGAAGAGAGGAGCTTCTAGAGCTCTCTGATTTCTGTATCTCAAGAATGTGAGAGTATCACCTCATCAGTGAAGCATAATTATGTTAGATGTATTTAATAACGATGTCAAATTGCTTGGACTATTTTGACACAGATTTCCCTTAAAAATCCCTAAAGGCTTTTGCAATTCCTGCCAAAGACATATTACATGCCATTTTGAAATCAGGGATTATATTTAAATTGTTCCTTGATATGAGGTCAGCGTGTCTTCATTTTTGACATTAGCACTATTTTATAGTTGTAGGAATTTTAGAAAGATCTTCTGGGAAAAATAGAGTTATTATCTCATTTCTATTATTAAATGGCTTTTAAAAGGCTACAAGGCAGCCCTATTATTAAATCTCAAATCAATCTGGTGTCTTTAGTTTGACAAGACTCAACAACTTAAATTCTACTTATCTATTACTTTTTATCTATTACTTTGGATACTATGCAATTTTCACAAAGCCAAAGACAATTTTTGAGACACTATAAAATGTCAAAAAGGAAGACACATTTAAAAGAAAAAAAACTGTATTTTGTTTGCTTAAATTTTCTATAAGATATTCCCACTTAGATTTTTCTAATTGTCTCTTGATAACAAAAATCTGAAGACTTTTATTACACAGCTAAGGGCTATTCAAATCACAAAGATACATAAAGAATAGGATATAGCCATGGTAAAAGCTGTTCAAAAAATCGTAAAGAGCAGGGTACAATAAAAATATTTTTTAAATGATAATACGGATTTTACCGACCAAATTGTTACTTTAGAATTTTAATTTTGTTTTCTTATAGGTATTGTTACCTTAGAATTTTAATTTTGTTTTCTTATAGGTTATTTTTTTTTCTTGTACATTTTTTTCTCTTTGGAGGAAAACAATCAATTGCAGTTAATTCTAAATTTAAAGGAATACAACTGCCCCAGCTAAGAATGAACATGGTACTTTAAGTGTATACCATTCTTCATCAGCTGAAGAGACCAGGAAATAAATCACATGGTATACATAGATCAATCTATTTTGTAGTAGTTACAAGTGAAATTCAAGGCTGAAAGGGCCAAAGGAGATAAACCATGCTGTTTCACATTGAGATATTGGTAGCTGATAATTATGAAATGACAACTGCAAAATATTAAGAAGATTACCTAAGATAATAAATTTGCAACTTTCATAGAAAGTATTGGTATTTTAACAATTTGAGTGACCAGTTTTAAATGTGAGGGAAAATATCTCAATTAAAGTTAAAGATTACACAACTGTACAAAATGTTATTTCAGACCATGTGACAAACCTAACATACCCATAGCTGGAGAACAAAGCTGTTTCCTTTGGCTTAAATTCATGTCAGTTCTGAGAATAACATTCAGCAGCTACTTTCCAATTGTTTCCTTCAAAGCCACTCTTTGGCTATCAAAGTTAAAAGTTTAAAACTTAAAACAAGTTTTTTGAAGACCTGAAGTGTAAAAATGCTATTTAAAGCCAAACTCTTTGAACTTCTATAAAATATGCACACAAAGATTCAAGCTTTTTGAGGAGTGGTTAGAATCAGAATGCAATTGAGGAAATACAAAGACAGGGAGACTTTGCTTTATAAGTATCTAGACATAAACCATATCTAGTGTCTTAGTGGAGAAGACCTCTTGATATTAATGGAATATGATAGGTTGAAAATGCCTTTCTAGAATTTAGATAAGATGCTACACTTCTGCTAGCTGTGAGAGTTTGTCAATTTGAAATTTATTCTATGAAGTTCAAAACTGAAGAATATTTGGGGACTTTTACCCTATTTTTGCTCTCTAGTACTTTCACATTTGAGAACACATAAGTGTGCTTATTGTTTTTCAAATCTGATTGTTTTCTTGCTTATCAATATGTCTGTCTTAGAATTTCTTATCCCCAACCTGCTTTATTTTTTAACTTACTTTTATTGTGTTGTTTAAGTGATAATAAGTGATCAATAAAATTATAAAAAATGATAATAAAAAGAATGAAAAATAAAGAATAGAGGCAGATAAGGAAATAAATATGGAAGTATGTATACATAATTACTATAGGACACGTATTTTCTAGTCCTAGCTAATGAAAGGGAAAGCAGTGACACCATAGTAGCAGTGAGCATAACTAGTCCTCAGTGCTTGATTTCTAAACACTATTCTCTAATGAAAAGGATCAAGGTTTATTGGAAAGTTGGTTGATTGCAGGGCTGGGTCAGGGAAAATACAAGATGATTCTGGAGCATCTTGTGGCTCTAGAAAGTAATGACATGCTAAAAAAATTTTTTTTAATAGAATAGGTATACATAAAGGGCACAACAGCCAACCTTAAGGCGCTCCCAAAACACAAAGTTGGCACAACCTGAACAGCAAAAAGATATTACTGAGTCATTAACGAAATGAAAAATTCCCATGGGTCTATATTAATATTAATAGATGACTGAATAAGTAAATGAATGGAGGAGAAGAGTTAACCATGCCTTTCAGAAGAATTCTAATTAATAATGTGAGAGAAATGAAACAAAAAATTACTATTCAGATATATCAGTAACAATTCAAGATCCATCAATGAATGCAAAAATTAGTGAGTAAAAGTTTAAGCAGAAAAAGGATATTTGCATAGTCTCCAAGTATGTTCCCCCAGATTTTTACTAACTTTCCAGGGGAGAATTAACTGTCAGTAGTGGCAGGCACTCCAATGCATCAAGGTTAGCCTCAAAGTAGTACCGAAACATACACTGATATGATGCTCTGAGAAGGGTACATCACCTCTGTAGTGTTCTGCTCCATATTGCACAACCTAAGTCTAATGACAAACCATAAGAGAAACCCAAGCTGAGGAACATTCTACAAAGTAACTGATAAGTACTCTTCAAAAATGTCAAGATTATGAGAGACAATGAAAGACTGAGGAACTGTTATAGATCGGAGGAGCTTGAGAAGACCTGACAGTTGAATGGAAGGCAGGATCCTAGAAGAGAAAAAATGTGTGAGTGGAAAAACCAACCTGAATACATCTTCTTAAAGGAATTCTATATTCCTTCCTGTTTAGACAGCATATTAAAAGTTAATTCAAATTCCATGGAAATATTGATAGCAATTTAGTTATAAGCTCTTTGATCTTTTATAAACTATAATCCAGAATATATATACATATTACATACACACATATTCCTGAGATGTGTGTGTACATGTGCATCTTTGTGTGTGTGTGAATGTGTAGCCAGATTCTAATGTTTTTATTGACAGTGTATATAAATATTTTATTCCTCAGTTAAGAATATTAATTCCCTGTATGATCTAATGACAAACAAGACAAACCGAATTGAGCATCTAAATATTTATATATTTATTTTTTTATCGACATTGTTGAACACCTACAACATTACAATGATTTCCGTTTGGAGAAAAAGACATTAAATTCACAATGCCATATTTTACATTGTGTGAGCCTAGAGAAGAAAGTAAATTAACTATCAAAATTATTTTATGTGATACGAAAACTAATACTCTGATAAAGATATGAATTTAGGACTATAATAGGAAAGAGGAAGAAGTAAGTATTTCTAGCTGGATACATTACACAAAGATCTCTATGTAGGAACTAACTTAGCAACTAGGCCTAAGTACGAAATTTACAAGGGTAAAGAACAGAAAAATGAAGGAGGGAAGGGCAGTTTAGGTAATGGGAAGAGCCTTAGGAGAGTGTGAGAACTGGAACAGGATTAAAGAAAAGTCATTTAATTAATTGTGTCATTTACTTTCTATATTCTGACATCTTAACAGAATATGTAGAATATTTTTCCATGAATTATATTGAGTTACAAATATGAATCATAAATTCATAGTTCACAAACTATAAGTAATTCAAGGAATTATAAATAAGACATTGACCCTCTGAAGCAAAGGAATACTGTAGGGAACTCAGGGAAGGAAGCCAAAAATGAGAACAAGAAAATGAACAGAGTGGAAAGAAAAGGGAATTGTGGATATGACAGAAGACTGTGGAAGGATTTTTTTTTTAAGTAAAAATAGGGAAAAAGCATGGGAGAACGCTGGAAAAGAAAAGCTTAAGAAAAAAGTATTCTTTTTTTTAAAAAAAGGAACACATGAAAACTATAACAAGAATAGAAATGATACCAGGATGAGAAAGATAATTAAGATCAAAATTAATTTTGCTTATAATTTAAGTATGTACCTAGTTGCTGCTGTAGTAAATCATACTGAAACCTCTGTATGTTTGATAAATAAGAATTACATCAATTCTAATACAGAAATTTTCTGTCCTTAATTTTAAATATTCACAGGAAATTAGGGTAACCCTTGAAAATAGTGTGTGTTCAGTGGGTGTTTGTTTAGTGAATGAATAAAGATTAGGATAATATAGGTCCGGTCAGTTTAATCATTTTTTTTATTTTTATAAATTGCAAGCTTTTGTTTGCCCTCTGAGACCACAATTAACAATGAATGTTTAGTCTTCTTTTTGATGTGATCACAAAAAATCTCTATTTTAGAAATAAACATCTACAATGTGAACACAAATCAACTTTATTGAGCATCCAGTATATGCTCATTGTTGCTGCAGCTAATGGAAAATCTAAGCGTGACTAAGATGTTGAAGGTTGTTTACAGTATAAGTTTTTTTGTTTAGTGAATCAGACTTTGGAAAATATATCAGATCCAAAACTTACCAGCATAAGACTAGACACATTATTTAATCTCATGGAAAATCTGTTTTATTATCTATAAAGTTGGGGAAATAACATTTATCTTATAGTATTATTTTGAAAATTAAATGAGATCCTGAAAATAGAGTACCTACTAAAGTAACGATTCAGGTATGCGCTGAGTAAATGCCAGCTGTTGTCATAATTATTCATTCATTTAGTAACTTTTATTGTGATCTTACTATATTGTTGCCATCATTATTATTAACATTGTTGTTATTTATTAAATACAATTCTTATCCACAAATTAACATATATCCAGTGAAGAATATGAGTCTTAAAGCAATTGTAACAATTTTATGACCATATTCATTATTTTATTTGAATATAGAAACTATCATAAGGAATTAAATCTTCAAGGTAAAGACAAAGCAATGTGGAAGTATAGATAAAAATTATTATTCTGACTGGAATATTCAGAAAGATTTCACAGAGAAGGTGGTAATTGAGTTTGATTGCAAAAGAGCAGTGGAATTTCAGTGGCAAAGAAATGGGAGGGAGGTTAGGATGGAAAAATATCCAAGTCAGAGAACACAAAGATGAAGATGTAAAGACTTCAAGAAATGTGGAATTGCTGTTGTAACTGGACAACAGGCAATCATGCTATAAATAAGGAGTACCTCCCATGTGCCAAGCATTGAGGATATACTCTTGAAAATGAATGACTACAATAATTTTCACTTTCTTTTTTTTTTTTTTTTTTTTGAGACGGAGTTTCACTCTTATTGCCCAGGCTGGAGTGCAATGGCGCGATCTCGGCTCACTGCAACCTCTGCCTCCTAGGTTCATGCGATTCTCCTGCCTCAGCCTCCCCAGTAGCTGAGATTACAGGTGCCTGCCACCACCCCCGGCTAATTTTCTGTATTTTTAGTAGAGACGGGGTTTCATCATGTTGACCAGCCTGGTCTCAAACTCCTGGCCTCAAGTGATCTGCCCTCCTCAGCCTCCCAAAGTGCTGGGATTACAATAATTTTCACTTTCATGGTGCTTATAATACACTGGATGATGTGACCAAGGAAGAATTGGACCCAGGTCATAAATGATCTAAATATGGCCTTGAGATGTTTTAATGTTCTTCTATGAACATTTATAAGGAGGAATTAAGTACTGAAGGCTGTGTTTCAGATAGAGTAACCGACCAGCCACTCATATAAAAGTGAACTACTGCATTGTGGATGCAGAGAGGCTAACATTGAGAGGCAGTAGTCATCCTGACAGAAAATGGGGAAGGTGAGCACTAAGATAAAGATAAGTATCATGAACAGAAAGAATTAAATTTTTGTAACAGAATTGTTAGAACTGGTGAGATATAATGATGAGGGAAGGAGAGGAGTCGAACATGATCTTGAGGACTCTACTCTTGGAGGCTTAAAGGAATGTGTTGTCTGTAATTGTCACAGGGAATCAGGAAGGAAGAGCCAGTTAGGGTCAAGCGTTAGAATATGTTAAGCTTAATAGGCTTTGACACTCAGATGTGCCCATCAAGCAGTTAGGAATTGGATTATTTTGTTTGGAAGAGGTCAGAACTAGTCAAGAGATTTCATAGTCCTTGGTAAAAATATGGTGTGAAAACACTAAAAGGGATGAGTTCGTAAATAGAAAATAGAATGAAAAGAAAACGTCAGAACTTACAGAACAGCTTGTTCATAACTTTAGGAGTTATAATATAGATGGTTCTAAAAAAACACAAACTCCTTCATTTAGATTTAACAATAAACAATCAGTTCTTTTTTATGAGAGGAGGAGACTATTCAAACAACATGCTTCTTCTCCTTTACCTTCTATTTCAAAATGTCTCGGTTTCTTCATAGATGTCTAGAATTCTCATGAGCAGTGAGGTGGATGAATAGAGACTGTTTCTGTTCCCAGAGAGTAGCTTTGGAGGATGCTAAAATTATGGATGAATTGAAGACACAGATTCACCGTAAAGCTGAAACAGCTGAAGTGTCAGGGCCTGCCACTTGCATAGTCCTCGTATAAGACACTACAAGGAATTATAAATATGCTTGTGGTCAAATGTTTTTGCAAATTTGGCAAAAGTTAGTTATTTAAACTTTCATTAATTCAGAGTTCAGTCTCTATTCAGATTTCCCCTCCCTTTTCCTTCCCTTCTTATTGGGTAGTTCTAGAGAGGCTACAGGCAATGTTTTGGGGGAAGTTGAAGTGAGAATACATTTAGTTTAGGCTTAGTGGAATATATGTCTACATTTTTTAAAAAACAGCTTTACTGAAGTAAAATTGACCTAGAAAAACTTGCATATATTTTTACAACTTGATGAATTTGGACGTAGGCATACCCGCATGAAACTATCACCACAATTAAGGTAACAGACAAATCCATCAAGTCTAAAAGGTTTTTTTGTGGCCTTTTTTTGGTTGTTGATGCTGTTTTAAGAACACTTAACATGAGATATACCCTCTTAATACATTTTTAAGTAAATAATACAGTGTTATTAACTATAGGCACTATGTTATACAGCATATCTCTGGAACTTATTTTGCATAACTAAAACTTTATGCCTATTGAATAACAACTTTGCATTCCCCCTCTCCATTTCTTGACAGCCACCATTATATTCTCTGCTTTTATGAGGTTGACTATTTTGAAAACCTCATGCAAGTGGAGTGTTTGTCCTGGAACTGGCTTATTTCACTTAGCATATTGTTCTCCAGGCTCATTCGTTTTGTTGCAGATGGCAGAGTTTCCATCTTTTTAAAGGCTGAATAATATTTTTAGTCATTCTGTATATTGTTGGTATTGCTGGTCACCCAGTTTTTGGCAGAAATGCCGCATATTTTGTTGCATTGTCATGATAATTTGTCTTTTTGCATTTAAATTAACATGGGAACTCATTCCATTCAGAAGACTGAGCCCCAGCATCATTTTTCTTTTCAGACTCAAAAGTTTATTTTTATGGGGATATAGACACCTTTATTGGTGGGATAGTTTCTTATACAGAAAATAATAATCGTAGATAACATTTACTAAATGCTTACCACTTTTAGCTACTTTCAACTACAATTTATAGGTAAGGAAACTGAGACATAGAGAAGTTAAATAAGTGGCAGATCAGGAATCCAAAGCCAGCGACTCAGGTTCCCATCAGTAACTTAAACCACCAGGGAACACTGACTCTCTGTCACTGAGTTAGAAGCCAGAAGTCCCTGAGTGTAAAATCCTTGGGGTTTTAGACAAAGCAGTTAACTTCTAATGATCCTCAGCCTTCTTATCAGATAAATGGACAAAGCAGTTAGCTTGTAGTGATCCTCAGGATTCTTATCAGATAAATGAAGGTAGACTAGAACATAATGTTGGTAACTTTGGGGTGATCTTTTGAGCCTTTGAGAAAGCTGTGATGCCTTTCCATGACATAGAACAGATGTAATTATGTAATTAACAAACATTCTTGGACACCCTGAAACCAGTGTCTTAGCCCTAGGTTAAAATCCCCTGGACTAGAAAATATTTAAATTTCTTACAGATCTAATGTTCTGCTATCTTAATAAGAGCTGACTTCTAGTTTATTAGTGACTTTTTAAAGAGGACACAGTGAACTATTAAGTGATTTTCATTGTATGCCTTATTGACGGGTTGGTTTGTGTTGTATTCTTTCTTGTGATCTTGCATTTTCTGAATGCTGCTGACATCTTTCACTTGAAGACTTTTTTTATTGAAAGAAAATTTTAGATGCATCTGGATTGAACTACTCTGAAGAAGTTATGGTATTTACCTGAAGCTAATAAAATAATTTATGTTTTCCTCGTAAATGAGATCTGAAGAGCAACCAAAGTGTCAATAGCAAAATCAATTTGAAAAGGATCTACTATGAAATTAGGTTTCTCAAATAAAATGTAGTTTAGCAAGAAAGCATTCACTGTCTTCCTTCTTATGGGGATACTTTGCATTAGAATGTAAAAATGATGGCATGTTTTGAAGCCATAAACTTAATATGTATCAAACTTCATGGCTTTCAAGATCAAAGGATTAAGTTTCAATTTAAGTGTATGGATTTTTTGTTATAAAAACAAAGTGTCTTACTAGAAAACAGAACAAGAAACATTTTGTGTATTCTTTCTATGTCACCTAAGGAAATTGCAAAAGCATCTATTTGAAATTGTGTAAAATTTAGTATACACAATCAGGAAAGTACTCTGTATAGATTTTTTAAAATGCACTAGTACTAATCTGCCCTTGAGTCAAAATGCTTAATATTTTGGGTTTTTTTTCTATGTAAAATTTGGTTGAAAGATTGTTCGTTATTGTTGAATTTCAACATGATTGCAAATTAAATGATGCAAAACTCAATGAAGTAAAATACACAAAAGAGCAATTAACATGTTATCTCAGTAAGTATATAGAATAATGAGAGAACACACTGTTCTACACTGTAGCATGTAATTAAGATGTAGTCATAAATCAGGAAAACATTATATCTTGTTTAGGTGCACAGGTGGCTTTTAGAAAGATTGATTATTAGCTCCTCTTTCCCCCTTGAGATGTGAGTTCATAGTTATTCCTAAAAAATTAAACAGAATAATTTCTCATACTTCCTACAATAGGTATGCTTCAATGCAAACAGCATGACGGAGATAAATGTTTGCAAAGTGTTCATCTCCTTGTCTGTTTCTACTCCAGATGCTCTCTACGATGTCATCACTGTGGGAGCCCCAGCTGCCCATTTTCAGGGATTTAAGAATGGTGGTCTTCGGAAGCTACTCCATAGATTTGAAACAGAAAGAAGAAAGTAAGTAAAGACAGGAGGAAAGCACAGATTCCATTAATAACATCTCCCCTTTGGGGAAGTCTATATACAAGGTGATTGGTCCATCACAATGTATAGTTCTTGACATCTTAACCTATTTAGTAACATAGAGTTGTTAAATATCTCAAAACTACCAGAGAAGAAATTAGATTAAACAAATTGCCTAAGTGTCTTGCTTAGTTAGTGGCATTGTGATGGCAGAAAATCTTCTGGAAGTCATATGACTAAGGGGTGATATTCTAGTGTCAACTATTGCTTGCTCAAAGGAGTGTTCAGAGATTTAGCTAGAAATACAGTCTGACTTCACTGTGGAGCCAAAGATACTGAATGGAGAATATGGCTCCTAATTTATGATTTTTACCCTACTAGTAATTTCCATGCTGGCCTGAGGCACATTTAATTGTGCCACTTGAAAAAGACACAACAATACAGAATTCTATGTTCTGTTTCTTAGGGAAAGGCATGAGTATTACCACTATTATTTATAATTTTGATATACTCTTTCCCCAGTTTTTGTTTTTACATGCTTTTAAATATTGCCTTATAAAGCTTTTGCAGCAGTAGTTTATTATTCTCCCCCATGTCTTATCAGTTGGGGTTATCCTATAATATTCTCTGGCTATGACCACGCTCATGTAAAACATAAAGTGCATTATCCAGGTATGAAGAATAACTACTTTCCTTTTCAAATAGTTATTCTTCTTAAGAATCCCATTTTTTTTTTTTTTTTTTTTTACTTTTAGATTCCAAGGGTATGTGTGCAGGTTTTTTTCTTTCTTTTTTTTTTAACCATGGTGAATTGCATGTTACAGGGATTTGGTGTACAGGTTATTTTGCCACCGAAGTAATAAGCGTAGTATCTAATAGGTAGTTTTTCAATCCTCACCCTCCTCCACCCTCCACCCTTAAGTAGGTCCTGGTGTCTGTTGAAGAATCCAAATTTTGAAAGTTAGGGAAAAATAGTCATTCTTTAGTCACAGTTGATTTAGTAATAGTATTAGAAAACCTGTTTGAGTGCCAAAACCAGAAAATTTTTTAACGTTTTATCACATTTATCAAATATAAAATTTGTTTTTTGGTGCCCAGATGTTTAGGAAGAAAGCATTTAAAGGAGGTTAGAATTGAATAATTGACTTACTATTATACAAATATATAAACTACCAATACACATATATTTTTCTTTTTTCCTTTTAAGGAATTGACTTTGGTACAATATTAACTCAGTTGTAGTTCTTATTCTGATTTTTCTAGTTTTTTGTTCATTTTTGTTTGCTTTTTGGTGGGGAAAGGTTTATAGTTTTATAAAATTATATTGCATGGGTAGATTAGAATAACCATCACTATTATAAACATCATATAGAACTGTTTCATCACCACAAAGAAACTCCCTCAGGTTACCCATTAATATTCACACCCTTCTCACAAATATTATTGCAATGGGGAGTGGAAGCCAAAGTTTCAACCATGGGCTCTGCAGGGGAGAGGCATCTCCTATTTACTTTATGGGAGTTGGAAGTTAATTCAAACCATAGGCCCCATGGGGGAAGGGATGCCATCCCTACTGATGTGGGGGTATGAGTGGAAGACAGGGTTTTGCCCATGGAATCTGAGTGGGGATGAAGGGTGTTTCTCACTGATTCCCTACTGTACCATTCTTCTAGTGGGGGAGGAGCATGACATTTTTGTGGTATTCACCCCCAGAACAGGTTGGTATGGCTGGGCCACCCTGTTCCAGGTTCTTTGGCTTTCCCTGGGTGCTGTTTTTTGTTGGTGCTTTGCTGCATTGAGAAATTCTGTGGCACCCAGTTTGGGACATTATAGAAGGCAAGAAAAATCCCGTGGAACTCACTGTAATATCATTGCTTAAGTCCTGAGGCCCCTAACCAATATACCTCCTTTAGTCTACCTTTTAGAGTCTTTTGATAGGTGACATATATGTTTTGTCTAGAGTGTTTCATTGTGATTAACAGGGGAAGTAAAATAGATTGCATTTACTTCATCTTGTCTGGAACTGTGTCTCAGTCTTGAGAGTTGACTTAATCTATTTTTTTTCCTCAATTAAATTTTAAAGTGTATAACCCAATTAGAAGACTCAAAACTGCCCATAGGGTAGTCAGAATCCTGTTGAGCATAGAAAGCATCAGTATGTGAAATATGGAACCTAACCCTCTAATTTTATGAAACATATTTCTGTTAAAGACAACTGTTGAGTTCTGTGGTTAGACTCTGAATAATATTTCTTAAGGTTTAAATATTTGCATAAATATTTTCCTTCATTTTTCTTCACTTTTCACTGGGATGTTACATATCAACACACACGCGCACACACACACACACACACACACACACACTCTTACAGATCTTGGGTTAATTTTAAGATAAAAGTAGAAACATGTTCAATGCTTGCAAACACTGATTGCTTTAAATTTTTCATTTGTGTTTCATTGCTTTATGGATAAAATACAATAAAGATTTTAAAAGAAATAAAAAACAACTTTGTGGATCTTAAAAGAATTCTCCATAGGGCAGTGGTTTGAGACAAATACAGCTTGCTGAGGCAATATACTGGTGAGCATGGCTATCAGCCTACCCGTTAAATTAAGAGCTGACTTGAGCAGAGACTTAATGATTACAGAGTTATCGCACCATGCCAATACTTTTTCTGCAGGCTTTTTCAGCAACAAATATTGCACGTCAGTCAACAGCAATGTATAGAAGTAAAAATGACTATATGAAATGAGTAATTTGGGCTTTAGGTTAAAGTAAACAGTGACATTTTGCAGGACATGAAATCACAAGTGAGGAAATTTTTCTTTGCCTCATCTTTCATTTGATATTGCCCCCCACCAAAAAAAAAAAAACAAAAATAAACAAACAAACAAATAAAAAACCCAGATAGCCAAGTCTTTTAGACCAGGTTTTTTGGGAACTACCACAGCCACTGTACTATTTCACCTTTGTTTATTTTTTTCTCAGCTAAGCCAATAAAATACTGTCATCTGAGAAAAGATATAATTTATGTCCCTTGATGATCTCTTTTGTGATTAATACATTGGCCACATAATGAAAAGGGTTTAGCATAAGAACATTGCTTATAGTATTTATATAAAGCAATTCAGGTCATACAACCATATTTATTAAAATTACAAGATAATTAGGGAGACTGAACTTTTAAAGCACAGTTTCTGAGTACCTTACTCTTGTGCTTAGGAACTTTGAGGAGTCCATACTTATCCACTGGGCATTCAAAGCATCCATGATTTTGCCCACCAGTGTCTACCCTCATCACCCACTTCTTCTATTGTTGTTTCTAAAACGCTATATAAACTATTTCCTAAGTGGGCTTCATGTATTTATACCTTTTCCTTTTTCCTCGTTCTGTTTCCTTTTATTCTGTTCTCCTCATTTTCTACTATTTTTCATTTCTTTCTGTGAAAGCCATTTACATAATCCTATTCAAAATTCTACACATGGTCCATGTGAAGATTTCACCCTTATAATTAGGCTTTCCTGATTTTTCAAGTTGATTTGGCTCTCCTCCCTAATATTTTACTTTTGCTTCTCTTGTAGCCTTACTAGGCCACAGTAATGTATTAGGTTTTTTTCTTGTATGCCGTTTCTGTAATACATTGTGCTTTTCTTGAATAAGAGATGGAGCACCTTGTATATATAAGTATGCTATAGATCAAATACAACAGGCATTGGAATTCACATAGAAATCAGATATAGTTGCTGACTTAAAAGTGCTAAAAACTAGAATGGGAGAAAAAGTTTCACAAATAATCATAATGCAATAAGATTAATAATATAGAGAGCAGGGGTTACCAACCTTGGCTGCCCACTAGAATCACAGACCACTGCAAACAACAACACAGAGCTAAAGAAGCCTTGTCACCTATAAGATCAGTGGTTACACAGTCACAGGGCAAAAACTCTGGGACTGAGAAGTTTTCTTACTACTGTAAGGAGGAATAAGGGTAGATATTTTCTTATTCTCTATTATAAATAGGAGACTTTTTGCATAAAAAGGGGAAAATCATATCAGGCAAATAAGCTGTCCATAACCTATAACATAGTAGACATCCGATAAACCAGGAATGGGAGAACTAGAGGCAAAACCTTATACTGTTACCTTTGAAATGTGTTTTTCTGATAGAATTATTAACCACTAATTAATTTGGGAGATGCAAAACATAAATTCACATTTCTATGCCTTCTCCAGTAACAAATGAGCAGACTAATCACTAGTTACAAAAATATTTGTTTTAATCACCTTCACTTCCATTCTTAAGAATAAAAATTTTTATTTCTTTTTATGAAAGAGAGAGAGTGATTTGAAAGCATTCAATGAAAGCAATGTGATCATATTATTTGATTGGGGATGGTAATTCTTTTTTTCCCTACTTGGATTTTTTTTTTTCTATTTCTAGCATGATCCCTAGACTCCACTTAGACCTTTGACTTGTCAGTCACTGACAGTGCAATTTGGAGTCTAAGATCTTAACTATGCTTACTATTTTGTATGAACTCATAAGTCAAGCTATATATATTTTTTTTCTTTTTTTTTTTTTTTTTTTTTTTTGAGATGGAGTCTCACTCTGTCGCCTAGGCTGGAGTGCAGTGGTGCGATCTTCGCTCACTGCAAGCTCTGCCTTCCAGGTCCACACCATTCTCTTGCCTCAGCCTCCCGAGTAGCTGGGACTACAGGTGCCCGCCACCATGCCTGGCTAATTTTTTGTATTTTTAGTAGAGCCAGGGTTTCACCGTGTTAGCCAGGATGGTCTCGATCTGCTGACCTCGTAATCCACCCGCCTCAGCCTCCCAAAGTGTTGGGATTACAGGCATGAGCCAATGTGCCCGACCAAGCCATATATATTTTAAGTAGAAATACTTTGATCCTTTATTGATATATATTTTAATAAATAATTTAACTGATAATTTTCCAGTTTTGTAAAGAAATATGCTTATTGGAAAATGGAAAAATCAAAAGACAGAGATTAAAATCATACTTGTAATATTCCTCCTTAACAGCAATTACTGGTAGCATACTGGGTGCTCTCTTCCAGTCTTTTTTTCCCACATATAATCTACATCCTTATATTTTTTTCTGTTAAAAATTTGAAACGGCAAAACTGTTTAAAATGACTAATTTTAAAGTTATATACATAATATAGGCCAGGCATGATGGCTCATGCCTGTAATCCCAGGACTTTGGGAGGCCGAGGCCAGTGGTTGGCTTGAGCTCAGGAGTTTGAGACCAGCCTGAGCAACATCGCAAAACCCTGTCTCTACAAAAAAAGTGCAAAAATTAGTCAGGCTTGGTAGTATGTGCCTTTAGTTCCAGAAACTTGGGAGACTAAAGTGGAAGGATCACTTGAGCCTGCAAGGTGGAGGTTGCAGTGAGCCAAGATCACCCCAGTGCACATCAGCCTCTAGGTGACAGAGGGAGGCCCTGTCTCAAAAAAAAAATGTGTGTCTGTGTGTGTGTGTATGTGTGTATATATATATGGTATGCAAATGTATATATATTTATATATAGATAGATATACACACACAGACACACACACATACACATAATATGAATATAATACTCTTCATTTATAAAACAACTTTCATCTTTGTGTTTCGTTGGAAGTCATTCCCAATACTCCAAATTTAAAAATGTCAGTCTCGTAGGCTATAGCTAAAATTTATCTCCTATTCATTTTCAATATTTCAATAAAGTATATTTCAATTAAAATATACTTTATTTTTTTCTTTTCAGAAAGAACATTCTCTGTCACAAAATTTTCTTTTAAAAATTATGGTAAAATTACATGGGCACTCTAGAAATAAGAATAATTTAAATAAAAGCCCCTGTCAGTTCCTTTTTTTCTTTTGGACTGTGTTCAGTAGCTGACAATATATCATTTTGAAGGAGATGGTAATTAAAGTTTTTCTTTTGATTATAATTTGATTCCTTGGGAGTACATTTTTTTTTTCCTCCTGTGAGTTAGTTCCTTGTTGGCTACTCTCAGCTCTTAACTGTTCATATTTTGGCAAATACGGGCTAGGTCTGCCAAAACTGCCCACCAGGTTTCTCTTCTCCATGTGGACTTTCCTATATACAACTCCTTGTATATAACACCAAATCTTCATAGAGAGAGAGTAAAGTGCTTTTAATTAAGTAGTCATGCTGAGGCTTGAACATACTGTATGAAGTAAATAATGAGGCCTGCAAAGCTTTGAACTAAATGTGGTACTAAGTAAATGGAAGGATTTTTGCTCAATTTCACATGATCCTGAGTGAATTTGTAATAAGTGAATTTGTAATGCAGTTTTTCCTCCTTTTTTATTTTCATTGTAGCTGTATACAAAAACAAAATTTGTTTATGGCCCACAAATTCAAAGAATAAAGAGGCTTGTATAGTTGAAATCCTACCTGTTCTAGTCCTCTTCTTTAAAATAAACCAATCTGAGCAGTTTAATCTATTTTGCAGCAAGATTTCGTCTTGTAATGTCAAATTATTTAAGTTTTAGCAGTGATTCTCTTAGCCCACAAACACAAATGTTGAGAATGTAATGTTCTTGACTTTTCTGTAACTCTGTTTAATTTTTCTGTCCTCCATTCTGGAACAGGCAGAAACTTTCATCTCAGACAATTCATAGACTCCGCTCCCAGTGTAGATTTGAATTCTGATTGTCACATACTGTCTTTGTGACATTAGTCAGATTACCACACCTTTCTGTACCTTAGTTTCCTCATCTGTAAAGTGGAAATAATAGTGCTTACCCCAGAGGGTGGTTTCCAAAATTTGATGAGTTTATATATGCTAAGCATTTATAACTGTGCCTGGCACATGATGAAGTCTTAATCGATATTAGCTATTATTTATGTAAATATATAGAAAGGATATATTTCCACAAAAAATGTTTAGGCAGTTTCTCAATTTAGTGCATGTAAATCTTATTCTTTCTGAAAACTAAGTAGGATTTTATTGATTGGATTTAACATAATTATCTAACCAATACACCATTGATGGTCATTTAGATTGTTTCTAAGTTTTTGATTAGAACCACCTGCGCTTGCAAGGTATATCCTTATTCATATATCTTTGCAAATTTCTAGGTGTTTCTTCTAGATAAATTCCTACATTTAGTATAACTACACTTAGTTAAGAGGACTTCTTTTTTTTTTTTTTTTATGTTTTGAGATGGTGTCTTGCTCTGTCGCCCAGGAGGTAGTGCAGTGGCGCAATCTCGGCTCACTGCAAGCTCCGCCTCTCAGGTTCACACCATTCTCCTGCCTCAGCCTCCCGAGTAGCTGGGACTACAGGCACCTGCCACCACGCGCGGCTAATTTTTTGTATTTTTAGTAGAGACAGGGTTTCACCGTGTTAGCCAGGATGGTCTCTGTCTCCTGACCTCGTGATCCACCCGCCTCGGCCTCTCGAAGTGCTAGGATTACCGGCATGAGCCACCGCGCCCGGCCAAGAGGACTTCTTTCTTAACTAAGAAACTAAGATTTCTTAGTTAAGAGGTAGTTAAATTTTAGAAGTAATACCACCAAAAAGTTGTATTAATATGCATAATATGCCTAATTTCTCATTCAGTCTTGAGTACTGAGTTTGGATATTATTCACGTGTGAAGTAGAAGTATGGCTGATGAGATATATATATATATATATATACACACACACATACACATATATATTTATAAATATATATCTAGCAGGTAGCTCCACTTTACTCATATCTTCCATACACCTCAAGATTGAGATATTGAATCATTTTGCATCCCTTTGGCTCTCAAACTTGCTTCTTTTGGGGGTTATTTTCCTTAATAAAAAGGTATGACCATCCACCCCACTGTTCAATGTAGCACCTGAAAATCCTTGACAACTTTTTCTCCCTTGCTTTCACTTAAAATTAATTTACTTTCTTATATATCTGGAAGTTATGCATTTTAATAATGAAACATGGGTTAAGATAATCCTAGCACATAGAACCACTGTCTTTTAAATATTCTACTACCAAACCTCTTAATTACCGTCCTTCCTTCCAGACTGGCTCTCATCCAATCAGTTATCCTTATCTTGGTTGGAATTATATTTCTTAAAGGCAAATATTCTTGTGTTTCATAATTTTAAAAATTTCTTTGCTGCCTCTTGCTTGCAGGAGAAAATCTAAGGTGCAATAATATATACATGTGTTCTGGCCATGGTTTCTTCTCCAGCTTCATCTTGCACCATGACACCATCATCTTTCCCTCCCCTCTACCCTCCATAGTGAACCAGAAGAGAACTTTCTCACCACCACAGATCTTAACTTAAAATCATTTCTGCCTGGAAGCTTCTTCTGACTCCTTGTCTAAGCCAAGTCTGCTTTAAGTCTCCAGTGTACAAAATCCCTCTAGACTGTATGTGCTCTGAGAATATGAAACATGTCTGTCCAGTTTACCACAGTATCCCCAGGACCTAACTTGAAAAGAGTTTGATGAATGGATATATATATGGGGGAATGAATGAGTAACATCAAAGTGTTGCCTGCCATAAGAATAAAGGGAAGAACCAATGACTATGCCTGCAGAAGAGATCAGTGTGATAGAATTAGGTAGCAGACACAGAGACTTTTTGTGGAATTAGGAAAAAGAAACAGAAACAAAAAGACACTTGTGGAAAATGTCTTATAGGCTTTGAAAACAACTATTTGGCAGGTATAACATTAGTGTTTCCTTGCACCTCACTAGCTAGGGAAAATATACTTTTACGTCTTCCGAAAGAAGAAGGGAGACAATTTATATAAAGATGGCTAACTTAAAAACCTGATTCAATATCAGTAATGCAATAGTGACTTTAACACCTCCAAGTTGTGACATTCTTCCAACAACCTGTCCAAAAGCTTGTGAGGCAAAGAATGATCTGATATTTAGGCAAGAGGCACTATATATAGTGTGACAGTTCAGAATTTTAAAAAATTGAATATTTATTTTAAAGGAAATGACTTTAATTGTAAATGACAAAATGTGTTTGCTAAACTGTCCCCAAATTTTTAATGATATCAAATTTGGTGAAGAAGGCAGTCTGAAAATGACAAAATACATAACCACTCTTGGATTTTCTTGTCTTCACTATAGCTGTGGCTACATGTGTACACCTAGAGATATATCAGAAAAAAAAATCAACAAGAAGATTAGGGTTTAAAAGTAAAAATGTTAAGTCTAATATGAAAATTACAGAAAAAATACATTTTGTCTGTTTATTTTTAAAACTAAATATATAAAGATAATATGATTTGAGGATTTATTTTCTGTAAATTAGAAGTTACGTTTCTCCTTTGCTGCAAACTGAAACAACATTTTAAACCATGACACAGTATGTTATCTCAGAAGTATTCACTGAATCCAAGGAGGAACTTTTGAACTTGTTAAACTCCAAGTGATTTCCAGAATATTTTTAAAGCTGTCTGTTGTTCTAGATATTTAATAGTCATCATTGCAAAGGCAGCATACAGCAGAAAAGTCATCTATAAATAAATTGCCAGTCATCTACAAATAAAATATACTATATTTTTCAGAGCTTTGAAAGCTAAGTGTAGAACATCTCAAACTTTAAAAAAATGTACATATGGAATTTATGTCATGGAAAAATCAAACACTTGGCTGTGTTACATGATATAAATACTGTTATTGCAAGATCTTTATTAGAGGGGACTTTGCCTGAATTATTTCAATGTCCTCTTCCTTGTGATGAGGCTTACATTAATAATTGATTATTGTGGTAACCCCATCAGAGAAGGAAGATGGATTGGCTTATAGTGTCAGCACAGATGGAGAGAAGATAAATTACAGAGGTATTTAGGGGCAACTTGGGGGTTGTATGTGTGTTAGGAGTGGAGGTAAGAACCCAGAGGTATCAAGGAAGACTCCCACATACATCTGGGGAATGATAGTGCCATTCACTGCCCCTTGGCTTATAAACTCCAGCAACACAGAGCAGCTTCTAGAGTGTAGGAGAGTATGAAAGGACGTTAGGCTGGGCAGGGAGCAAGGACCAAATCTTAAACAATTATTTGCTATGTCAGCTCCTGGCAGTTCACCCTATAGGCTATGGATACTGCAATTGGTAGGTTTTCAGCTGAAGATTGCCGTGATCATAGTATTTGGAGTGACAGTGTAGAGAGAACAGAAGAATGGCAAACAATTAGACTATTATAATAGTTGCATGAGGGAAAACAGGTACCTGGGGAGTTGAAGATTTTAAGGAAATATCTAACAGAATTTACATCCAGTTGGCTGAGGGCTTGAGGGAGCCTGGGCAGGATTGAAGGACTCTTAGGTTTCTGGTTTCTATAACCGGGTAAATGCCAAGACAGCTGAGAAAGGGGATACAGGAAATAAGCCATTCATTTCCATTGCTTAATTAATAAGGTCAGTTGTTTATACTCCATTAAAGAGACATTTTGAGAAATAAGAAAATAATCATGTTGAGTCCGTGCTGTTTTTCACATTAAGAATCTTTTTTTTGTTTGTTTTTTTTTTTTTGAGACAGAGTCTCGCTCTGTCACCAGGCTGGAGTGCAGCGGCGTGATCTCTGCTCACTGCAAGCTCCGCCTCCCGGGTTCAAGCAGTTCTCCTGCCTCAGCCTCTCAAGTAGCTGGGACTACAGGCACCTGCCACCACGCCCGGCTAATTTTTTGTATTTTTTGTAGAGATGAGGTTTCACCGTGTTAGCCAGGTTGGTCTCAATCTCCTGACCTCGTGATCCGCCCACCTCAGCCTCCCAAAGTGCTGGGATTATAGGCGTGAGCCACCGTGCCCGGCCAAGAATCTTTTAAATCATAGAACTTAGAGAGGATCCCAGAGACCATGAATTCTCCTACTTATTTTATTGATGAAAATACCAAGGACCAACGATTGAGTCACCAATGCAGCTAATGACAGAACCAGAGCTAGAAAATTAGACTTCTGTCCTTAGTCTCAAGTTCTTCTTCCATACTCATTTACCCTCAAGCAGTCAAAAGATGTTCAACACATGACATCCTCTTAATAAGTGTGCAATGTTAGCTTAGGAAGGGATTTTGCTATCCACCAGAGAGAAATAAAATGTAGTTGGTCTAGTCAATTCCTTATGGGTCTTTAAGAGAATATAATTTTTAAAATAAATTATTTGTGCTATTAAAAAACATGTGAATTGATGTGGTGATTTGCACTCAGAGTCAATTACTATATTAATCTGCCTAAAATCGTTCTGCCTAGTAGTCAGTAAAAATATTTTTAAAGCTCCAGCCTTATCAGTTTTCTATCTGCAGCCCTCTCAAATACACTTAAGGAACACCACTTTTTTAGGAATATGGCCACAATAAAAATAAAAGAAGTAAATTTCTCGGAGTTGTTCAAAGATTACCATTCATAATAGTAAAATATTATAAGCATTTTGAATGAATGAATGAATGAATGAATAAGCAAACTATTCTGCATCGCTAAAGTTGAACATTATGTAGCCATTTCAGTTATTCGGTGGATTATGAGGTATGTAGAGCTGAATGTAAACAATGTGCCTGAAAGAAAGTATGACATGTATGCAGAAGACATCAATCTAGACATATCAGTGAATGTGTTGGAAAGGTTAATAAGTTAGAATGCCACAGATAAATACAGTTATATTTATTTTTGAATGTTTGTTTTGTCTTTCCTCCTTTTTTTTTAGTTGTAAAATAAGAGAAATGTTTTCATAAAATCTTTTTGCAACTTCTACTTCCAGCAAATACGGAAACTAGGTAACAAAAACATTCTGCAATCTCAGAGTACCTAGAACAGTTGGATGCAATGTGCCATCCTTTTCCCTTCGTCTCAGGAATGGAAGGAACTTCAATGCAGAGTGGTTAGTAAGCAAGCCCTGAAACTACAGCTGTCCTCAGGATATTCATAGACACCAAGCATCTAGATAAAGCCTTAGGTTTGCAAGCTCTTATGGGAAGAAGACTCAGACAAAATAGTTTTTCCCTTTTTCTTCTTTCTTACTACCAGCCCTTCATGTAGCGTTTAGTGGGCTGGCATCATCACACATGATCCACTGATTACCTTGAGTACCCCTGGTTTTTTGCTTTCCTTAATTCATTGACTGAGTAGTAGTTATTAAATATTTGTTGAAAATAATTTACTGTGAGACAATTCTGAAATTCTTTAATTTGTGTTACAAAATAGAATCATACATCTCTAATGAACTTTGTTTTAATTAGGTGAGAACGTCTTTAATTATATTTTTAATATTTATAAGCAATACTTATTCAATTAAAAATGTTTCCCATATTAGTTATAGCATTTTAATTTTTCCAAATTTAAAATGGGTTGATACTATGTTCAAGAGATAGTAAAACATAATTAGGAGTTCAAACTGTGTAACAATGAAAACCCGGGTTTGAACCTGGTTTTACCATCTATGCTAGTTTGTGTGATCCAAGTCAAGTTACTTAACCTACTCAGGCTTCAATTTCTACATCTTGAATTAATATTTGTTCCTCAGAGGGTTGTTGTCAAAATTAAATAATATAATCCCTGAAAAACTAGCATTTAACGTAATGCTAGGCCCATAGCATATATGTACCCAATGATTATTATCTATTAAAGTGATAGAGGAGGAGATTTAAATTATTAGGATAAATACAGTATAAAATATTGGCTTTATTAGGCACTCTCTTAAAGTATTGTCAGATTTAACATGGAAAAAAATAAAATGGCTTGTATATGTACCTTCTGTTTTTTTTGTATTCTTATTCCAGAATCATAATCATTAGTCTATAATATCATATGTTGGAAAGATTTGTTTTTTCTAAAAGAAATTTATTATAGTATAGTTTGTCTAGAATAAAAATGAACTATTATAAGTATATAATTCCAAGATTTTTAGTAAGTTTACAGAGTTGTGCAGTCATCATCACAATCCCATTTTAGGACATTTTTGTCACCCCAAAAAAGTCTCTCATGCCTGTTTGCAGTCAAAGGAACTTTTATATTTGCAGAGTATTGGGGTATGATTTTTACTCCTGGACCTTTCTTACTCTGTACTTTGATCAAGTATATTAGGGCATAAGGTCTAGGATGAAGCTGAGAAGATTTTGAGGTTGGAAGGAATCAGGAGACCAGGTTTGGGTATTATCTCCATAGGGACAACATGAAAATACCAGAAGTCAAACTAGGCAGAAATAGAACTGACTAGACCTTGGAAGGTGGCAAACGAAATCAAAGCAAGTGAACTCGTGGATAAGTGGGAATAGGCCAGGAAAGGAAATAAAGCACACTGGACTTTGCTTATTTAAAGGTCATATAATAGTACCTGGAAAATTTGAATTAAAGCAAGAATAGGACTAAATAAAGGATGTACATAAAAAAGACGTTTCATTGGTTTAGAAAGTACAAGTAAGAACTTGCAAACTAAAAAGTGGAATAGTAGAAGCCACTGTGTTCTGAACCAGTAAACACATTTTCTTAGAGGGGGAATTTTCAGCAAAAATGAATGTTTTTTTTTTCACAGAGCTAATAAATGGCAGAATCAACTTTTGATCACAACACTCTTTGATTCTAAAATTTTCATGAAACCTTTTTTTTTTTTTTTTTTTGAGATGGAGTTTTGTTCTGTTGCCCTCACTGGAGTGCAGTGGGGCGATCTTGGCTCACTGCAACCTCCACCTCCCGAGTTCAAGCAATTCTCCTACCTCAGCCTCCTGAGTAGCTGGGACTACAGGTGCATGCTGCCACACCTGGCTAATTTTTTGTATTTTAGTAGAGACAGGGTTTTACTGTGCTTTCCAGGCTGGCCTTGAACTCCTGAACTCAGGCAAGCTGCCCACCTCGGCCTCCCAAAATGCTGGGACTACAGGTGTGAGCCACTGCGCCCAGCCCAAAACTGTGATTTGTTTAAAACAGGAGTAAAGGTAAATATCAATTTAAGTACAGATCATATAACTCATTTAATTATGTAAGTGAAATCCAAAAGAGGTAAAATACTGTTTTGTTTTGTTTTTTTCTAATTCTTTTCTCCAAACCCCACTTCCAGTAGAAAATGGAAAGGGTGCATTGGGGAAAGCAGAGAGGCATGAAGCCCGTTATTAAACCCTGTGAGACCAGAAGGGTATATTTAAGTACACTAAAGTGTGAATTTTCTTTTGTGATCCATATTATTTTCTTCTCAGTCAGAACTGAGAGCATATATATTCCTTCCTCTGGATTCAAGAGACCACATTTTTTTTTTTTTTTTTACAAGTAGGGTTTGAGCTAGAAAAAAACAAGTGGAAATAGTTCTAGATTTTTTTTTCTCTGGACACTTAATTCTGCCACAGGAGAAGAGACACACCACTCTAAGTCATTTTTCCCTAAACTCACCAATCCTAATCCCCTTCTGTTCATGTCCCACCTTCCCTGTCTTTTCCTTCTTGTTTTTCTCCTTGCCTGTTAATCATCTCTCATCTCTATTTTTTAATGGCTCCACTGCATAAAATAGTAGCTTGGTTGAGCAAACAGATTAAGGAGTGGAGGTAGCAATGGAGTGGGAAGGGAAAGGATGGATAAGTAACAGAGTAAGTCCCACAATGTGCACTTGTGGTCAAGGAGTTAAGGAAAATAAATTATATTTCTCTTCTTGTCTGCCTCCTGCCGTCTTCAAACCCTAACCATAAGTCAAGGACTTCAATATCTGAGAGTATTATTTATCTTGCAATAGATAAGTTTAAGTATAGAGATACGGAAACCAGTTTGTGAGCTATTACAATAATCCTAGTGGTAGAAATGTTGGGGTGGTTGCAATAAGTGTAGAAATAAGTGGTTGGATTCTGGGTATATTTTGAAGGAAAAGGCAAGACTTTCTGAAAAGTTGGATGAAAGATAAGAGACAAAGAGTCATAGACAATATTAAATGGACCTGCCATAATCTAAGATGGGGAAGAGTGCAAAGGAGCTGGGTGTTGAAAGTGGGGAGCAGATCTCGGGATCAGTTTGGGACAGGTTAAGCTGGAGCTGTGAACAGGAGAGCTTTTGTTTTCATTGGAGTCCAGCGGGAAAGTCCAGGCTAGAGATGGAGATTTGGAAATCATTAGTGCAACATGTGTATTTAAACCATGAGATTACTTAGGAGGGACATATAGACAAAAGAGTTCCAAGAGCTGAGTCTTGGAGCAAGAGGATAGGAAAATAAGGAAGACCAGGAAAAAGGGACTGGGACAAATATACACTCAGGAATTTATAAGTCCTTGTTTTAATTGTATTTTGGTTAGCAATTAGAGCTTATGAATGTGAATGTTACTTCATTATGTGCTTTATATTTTTTTCACATCTCCAAAATATGACATGGATAGTAACAACATATACACACACAAACGTGAGGATGGGGATGTAGGTGTGCATTCTTATGAAAATAATATTAAATATATTAAATTACCGTATTTAAATGAATATATTAAAGTATATAGTACACTTTAATTCACTCTCTCAATAGAAAAATATTATGAAACTAATTTCAATTTTCATTATCTGTGCTTTGCAGTACTATTTATATTCTATAAAATATTTTGTCCAAGTAAATATTTTGCCTTTCTTCCAGAGTCATCTGATTGATCGTTGACTCAAGTGTTTGGATCCAGTTTAAATTTCATACTACTATAAAATAGAGTTTAGTTATGTTGTTTTTATCTAGATAATTAAATTATACTTATTACTTCCCATTTAAGAAGCTATAACTGTTAAAATATATGACATGTTTGAAAAGTAAGGCACTGAATAGGTAGATAAAATTTATGTATACTTAAAATTATTTTGTGAGTGGTGATTTTTTTTTTCCATACCATACTATTTCATCCTTTCATCCTGGACACCAACGTTGGCTTTTATTATGGAAAATGAATCTTTCAGCCTCAGTAGGTGAGGTGCTCATCGTTAAAAAGACTTCATCAGAACAACCGATGCCTGCTACACAACTCTGCTCCAAAGGAGACTGAATTAGGAGAAAGAGGCAGGAGTTAGGATTATGTCCCATCATGGTGATTGAAGAATGTATTGGGGAGAGGAAAGGGAATATATTGGGAGGGAAAAGATGAAATCATGATGAAAAAGGTTAGGAGAGCAAACACTGGTAATGAAGAGGGAACCAAAGCAACTTTTGTGAATAAGATGGGTTGTAAAATTAGCCTTGTAAAAGGTGCTAAGAAAATTTGAATACCTTAAGAAGGAACTTTTATGAGAGTCCTTGTGTAGCATGATCAAGGGTTTAGAGGGGATCTCAGTCAAAACAATGACAGGGTGTCTCTAAAGATGCTCCGTCCCTGCGTTGGTATCTCTGGAGATGCTTGTCACAAGTGCTACAGCATACTAAAGCAGAATCTCTTAGCAGATGTTGCCAAGGAATCTGCATTTTTTTCAATAAACATTGAGGCCCTGTCCTCATCCCCAAGGAAATCTTATTGTGACTGCTAAAATTTGAGCACCATTCAACTAGGGCATGAATAAAGAACATGTGCAGAATAAATATTAGAAATGTGTGAATTAGAATAGAATGGAGTGGAGACTGTCAGGGAATTTGATAATGAAAGTAGTAATATTCAGGAAAATAGTAACAGTGAACTTCTGGGAAAGAATAATAGTAAAGAAGGAAGGCAATATTGATAGGAGTAAAATGGAATGGATAGAAGTGAGTGTATGAGAGGCCAGAGAAGACACATTCAGAAAGCAGTCATGTGGTTTTTTTCCAATTCTGTGAAGAAAGTCATTGGTAGCTTGATGGGGATGGCATTGAATCTATAAATTACCTTGGGCAGTGGGGAGGGATAGCATTAGGAGATATACCTAATGTAAATGATGACTTAATGGGTGCAGCACACCAACATGGCACACATATACATATGTAACAAACCTGCATGTTATGCACATGTACCCTAGAACTTAAAGTATAATAATAATAATAATAATAATAATAATAATAATAAAAGAAAGCAGTCATGTGAAGAGAGAGATGGAAGACCCCACAAGGCCATGAGCATTCTAGCTTTCCAAAGGCTAAGCCACGGGGAGCCTGTAAATAGCCATAAGAGGACACAGGAAGCGATCTCTGATGGACACAGAATAGCAGACCTGCAAAGAGGGATCACATAGAAGTGACCACATGACTCTGCATTGGGTCTGTAAGTAGGTCCTGCTTTCTGCTCTTGGAGCTGCTGGGTATCAAAAGTTGTTCAAATTCTGGTGACACATCTGTATCTTTAGAGAATCATTTTCTTTACAAAAATAATGTGGAGCTGTTTGATTTATTAAAGTCTGTTACGGATTAAACTTTACATCCAGCCTGAGTTCATGATTTCTTTTGTAAAGTCCTTACTACACTCCTGCATGAGATCTGTCTCAACCACTCAAGAAGCCAGAAAGAGACATAGAGAATTGGCTAGGACTACTGTTTCCTTTCCCCTCCTTGCAATTTTTTTTTTCATTTACTTTAACTTGCATTAAGACATACATGATAGCAAATTAAGGTATGTTTTATCTGAAGCCCCTAACTTCTGACATTTAAAAGTCTACAAGTAAACTAGTAATGCGTTTCTTAGCCTTCATAAATCTGATACCTTCATTGACTTCTTGTTCAATCTTCTGAATGGCCCAAGCCTCAAAGTGCATTTCTTTTAATCTTTTACTAAATAAGTAAATAAATAAAATAGGAGGAATATTCATTATATGTTTGCAAAAAAAAAATTGTTTCCTTAAAGATTCTGATAATTTTCCCCTGAAAAATCACTAGTGTGAGAAGAATAGAACAGATCATGCTTCCTAGATGTCAGTTTTTCCTAGTGGTGTCTGAGGTTTCAAGATGAGGAATAAAATTATGGAATTTAAATAATTGAGCTGATAAAAATGTAGTAGACATATTCAGTAAATAACATCGACTGCAAAGTTTTTTGAAAAAATGTCTTGACATTTGGGTATAATGGGATGTAAGCAAGTTTACATGAATCTTGTGCATGCATGAGCCATTACTTCCCTCTTCTTTCCTTCTGGCAACTGTTTTGCTGTTTTGCAGCTTTCCTGCTGGAATGCCTCTTCCTGATGAAATGGATCAAAGATTCCTTCACTCTAAAGAATCCCTGCTCCCATAATGTGCTTGATTAGTTCCTAGATGATGATTATAAAAGTCAATAATCCTCAAGCCTGTAATCCCAGCACTTTGGGAGGCTAAGAGGGGAGGATGGCTCGAGGCTAGGCATTCAAGACCAGTCTGTGCAAGCATAGTAAGACCTAGTCTCTATGAAAAAATTTTTTTTTAATTTAATCAGGTGTGATGGCTTGTACCTGTAGTCCCAGCTACTCAAGAGGCTGAGGCGGGAGGATCATTGCCGACAAAGAGTTAGATGATGCAGTGGACTCTGATTGTGCCACTGTACTACAGCCTGGGTGACAGAGTGAGATCCTGTCTCTTAAAAAAAAGAAGTCAATAATTCTTTAGTTAATAATCAATTTTAGATTTCTTTGTATGTTAAATGGAAAACCATAAGAAGAAAAAGTGTCGTGATAAAATAACACTATGAAATAGCATTCTGCTACTAATGTCCTTTTTCTGTCCAATAAATTTGTCCATGTGCCCACTTGACATTAATTAATTTTCTCCTCATTTCTCAGCTATTAAAATTTACTTCCTCCACACCCCTCACCTAGTAACATGGGGGGAAATGTTAGGTAGTAGGTATTGAATGCTATTTCTGTGCCAAGCACAATTTTAGGCACTTTATATGAATGACTACTAACGTTACACACCTCATAGAATGGTTTAGATGATTATTCCCACTTTCCTGATGAGGAAGAAGGCTGCCCAAAGTCACCAAGCTAGTTAGTGACAAACCAGGATTTACATTGAGATTGGCTTGAATCTTTTCCCACTGGCTTATGTGGCCTCAAGTTCATTAGGAATTAATAGTAATACTAATTTGTTTTGAATACTAATACTTGACATACATGATTACATATATGTGCATGCATGAGCCATTACATATACTTGACATATATGTAATCACGTCAAGTATTAGTGTTAATCTTCCCAGTGTTTTAGCAAAACAAGATTACCTAGTTTTAAAAAGCATTTTCGTCACCTTACATAAAAATTGCTAGTGCATCATTAAAAATCTCTTAGGACAGTTCTTATCAATAGGAAAGAGTGATACTTGGAGTTCTGTTTATCATTTGCCATCTGATATTAAGGGCTGAACATTCATTATGCTGTTTGTGTAACTTATTTTTATCTTTGTTGTTGCAGTACCGGATACCAGTTTATTTACTATTCACCTGAAAACACAGCCAAAGCAAAGGAAGTTCTCAGCAACATCAATCAACTACAACCTCTTATAGCAACCCATGCAGACCTACTGCTTAATTCTGCAAGCCAGCATTCTCCAGACAGCTTGAAGAATTCTTTAAAGATGCTTTCAGAAAAAGTAAGATCCAAATCATCACTATAGTTGGGAAAATGAAATACTCAAATTCCCATTGGTCTGGCTTTCTGCATACATCGCCATTCATAGCATCTGGAAATGTAAAATAGAGTAGGTTAAAAAGTAAGCTTCAAAGTATTGCCACAGGATCAAAATGAATTGGCCTCATTCTCTGTTCAAATCTTACTGAGCACTCTTTTTTTTTTTTTCTTAGTAGGAAATGAAACCTGTTATTGGTTGGTATATATCTTCTCTTTTCCTTGGCATCTTTCATTTTCTTTGGTTTATGGTCTTATTAAGTGAATTAAATTAGATTTTGAAAATTACTTTATTTTCCTCTGGTGATCACCTAATTTTTATGCATATAAAGCTTTACATTTGAATAGGAATGCCACTTCATTTGAAGGCAGAACTTTGATGTGGATTTACATCAGTCTGTGTGGGGTACTTCCTCTGCCTCAGTTTGCTCTCTACAACTTTATTTACCGAGGAGAGGTTCCAAAAATTTCCAAATGTGTCAGTTATTTGAAAAGCAGTATAATCTAAGCCTTAGTTTTTCCAAAGGTGACTTGTTCCTTTATCTGCAGAAAGGAGAGCTAGTCTGGCATGGGGTAGACACTCAATATCAACTTCCAGAACTAACGAGGGCGGCTCGCTGTGTGATAGAAAGCTGAGATAGAAAAAGACAAGTGACAGTTGATTTTCAATGTAAAACCAGTGTCCACTTTCAATGTGTGCATCCTTCACCTGTGCATTTTAAGGAGATCATGTAATTTTTTATGAGAAACTTTCAGTAAATATGCCGTTGGAGAAACTGATCAAAGAAAATTCTCGTAATTGTAGAGTAAGACAAAAGTGTAGTTTTCCACCTCTCTGAAGAACAGATTCATAGAAACCTGGATCTTATGTATGTCCATACTTTTTATTCAGGTATGTTAATTTATAATAATATCTTATGCTTATTTAACATTGCAGTTTATACATTTTTATATGTTATTCTCATAGGAGAAAACATACCTATTTTCATGAAAAAATAGTTAATATCTATTCAGAAAGTTCGAGTGAATTGTCTAATAAATTAAAAAGTGAAAAGCCAAACTCAGAACTTCCAGTTCAAAATGCAGCATTCCTTCCAGGCCAGAACACATGCCTCTGTCGTGAAAAGGGAGGAAAATATTGACCCAAATTTTGCAAGTACTTACTTTGCGTCAAATAGGGCAAGGGGCTTCACACTTTATGTCATTTTATTTAATCATCAGAATTATGGAGAACATATTATCTTCATTTCACACAGAAAAAGGCTAAAGCTCAGAGAAATTTTAAAAATGTGAAAAGTCATGCAGCTAGAGTCAAATACAGGATTCAAACAAAACCTGGGTTCAAACCCAGATCTGGATGACTCCAGAATGGAAGTTCTTTTTAGCGCCCTCCGTCTAATATATGGATTTTGACATTTCCTTATTTAAAAGTTTTTTTTTAAAAATGTTTGTTAGACAAATGCCTTAGTAATACCTAAGTATTTTGATATTCAATAAGTATGTTTTTCTGACTAGGGAAAAAGAAAAAAGAGGAGGTTGTTGCATACAGTAAAATAATATAATTTCATTTCGGTTCATTTCTTTTTTGGATTTATAGATGAGGTGAGGTTTTTCTGGGTTCACCTAAGCTGAAAATTTTAGCGAATAGCACACCACTGCAGTGATTACAGAGCAGTATTTATATTCTTCTTGTGCACTGGGCAGGGATTTGTCATTTCATACATCATTTACAACTTGCTGCAGTGATTTTGGTGGTGGGAGGAGGTTAGGATGGGCATTTTCTGCTCCTTGAATCCAGCATTGCTCCAACTTTTTCCCCTATGTTTTCTCTTTTCTACTGAGTAGACAAGCTTAGTCGACTAATAAATCTCTCAGTCCTTAAAACTAGGAGGATCTTTTTTTAAGTTAAGTTTGCAAGCCATGCATTCTTTTAAGAATTCATGACTGGAATTTCAAAGAATTATCTAAGTTAACAGTTTTGTATAGTCTATGAGCACTGTTAGTATCTCATGGTTTAGAACAAAGTATGATCCATGAATTCAGGTATGAAAGAGAGAGAGTTTTAGTGGTATTCTAAATTTAAATATAATTGAATATTAGTGGGATGTAAGCTTTAAAAGTTCTGTTTTTAAGTTTTGGGCTTGTTGTATACTATGGATTATAAAATAAAAACGTTTACTTCATGGAGAGTCCCCTGGTTTCCTTTACTGATTCTGAACTTGCGTGTTTGGAAAATAGGTACCTAGTGTTGTTTTCTTAGGGACTAATCCATATAGCATATTCAAGACATTAAGGAGTTATCTATATTCATGCTTATCAGGGAAATGTGAAGGTTTTATAGCCTTTGAGCACCTGAACATGGAAGAGTTTACTGTTGTAGACTTGGGGCCCCTGGGGAAGACTGAGGGCAGCCCAGGGCAGTGAAGAAGGAGGTATTCTATTTTGTAATGAGGTGGCATCTCTCCTCTTAGGTAAGCCATTGCACCTGAAGACAATAGCCATGAAATCATTATCAATTAAACATATAGTCTGGGGGAAAAGCAAGTGGCAACAGAAAAATTCAACTTGCTGAGAGGGCATATTCCAGGAGTCTTTGAGTAGGCAATATTTGTAGATCCAAAGGCAATTTACATCATCTCTACTGCTACTGAGAACCAAGGCACATGGATAGAGCTCCCCAACCAAAATTCCATCCATCTAAATAAACACTGTTGGTAGAGACAAACACATACAATTTATAAACTAAAAATAATTCCTGAATTCATACTATTTGACAGTCACTGTGCTCAACAGAAAAGGTAGAAAAATGGAATAAAACACAGGCCTGTTCTTCCCAGGAATTCCAAAACTCGATAGTAGTGGTTATTACGATGTTGAAGTGACAGTAATAGCTAGCATTTATTGGTGGCTTAATAACTCTGAGATACTCTTATAAGTGCTTCAATTTTCAGAGTTCCATGAGGTGGATAATATTATTTTAACATGTAGTCTTCCTAATTCTATGAAGTAAGTATTGTGAGTAGCCTTAGTTTACACAGTTGAGGAAACTGAGGCAGAGAAATATTAAATTTACTCACAATCACACACGTTGTGTTTTTGGCTCCAGATTCTGTGAGCCTGACCAGTATACTGTGTCTTCAGATTGCTATATGGATGCTTGTACATAGGACTACGGAAACAAATGTGGGGGCAGGGAAGGAGTACTATTAAAATTTCACAAAAATCAATATTTTTAATGTTTCATGTTCTAATATGCACAAACTCAATTAAATTGTATCATAATTTTAACATTCTTGTTATGCCTTCTTATGGATAATTGGGTTTGGTTGTTGCATATTAGTTCATGAAAATATTAAAGAATAGTATAATCTTATGGTGTAAGAATCTAACAAAAGCCAAGCTGAGTTTTTCTGAATAATTCCAACAAAAAAGGCAAAAGATAGACCAAAATTTTAACATACAGTATGAACAGTTAATAATAGAGTGAGATAAAAATGCATTTCCTTTTTTCTCAGACTAAAAGTATGCAATTCTATGAAGGAAAAAAAACAAGGAATAGATAAAATAAATTCAAACTAAAATAAATAATGTTTTTAAAGGCCTGAATGTGGACAGTGTTCACGTATCTCTCATAGCTCAGAAATCTATTAGCGTTCAAACACCCATCACTTTCTCCATTCCATTGAGATTGATAGACCTTGTTTAATAAGTCATTATTATCCTGCTCATCAAAAAGCACTATTGAGCACTTAATTATGTGTGGTATCGTACTTGATGCTATATGACAAATACTACATAGATATGGCCCTTAATTTTTACAACCTAAGAATTTAAAAGAATGGGGTGTTTTATAATATTGCATTTGTTAAATAGTTAAATAATGGCTTTTATTGTAAATGTTAGAGGCTATACTCACAGCGTATTTGAGAAATTCTCATAGCTTATAATTCCTACTGTTCTTTCAACCTCAATATACTATACCAAAATGTTCTCTTATATTCAAAGAAAAATAAAAACTATTGTATTCTGAAACATATACAATCAGGATGTTTTCAAGCAATGTTGTTTTCTATAATAGCAATGCCAGGCAGCTAGTGTGCTAAGAAGTTGAAGATACACATAATAGAGAGAAGAATGTTATGTTGATTACTTAAAACTGAGAATAATTTTTTTATTGTTTATTCACTGTAACCACTCCTGGGTCTATCTCAGTCCCAAACTGTGGGAAAGAACTTAATGAGTAGAAATTTTGTTTGTTTTTTTAAGATTGGCAAAAGTATGTATTAGAAGTCTAAGAAAACTTGAGAATAAATGGTTTAGATAAAAATGAAATTTCAGGACAGAAATTATGTTGCTGTTTTTCATAATTGCCTTTAAATGGTAATTATTTAATTGGTGAAATAAGAGATAGTATACAATAAACAAAATTTGTTATTAGAAAATTGTACAATAAGAAAAATAAAGATAAGAATGTAAGATAACATTGACAATGAGACTATATATAAAATTTATGGAATCAGAACTTCTGCTGTTTATGATGGATTAACATGGACCCTCCCACCTTAAACAACAAGAAAGTGGACAAAATGTAGACATAATGGTTTTTAAGCACTGGAAAATAGGTAACAAATTATGTGATCCTTATAACTATCTAGATTTCTTCCTAGGGCAGTTCCTAGGCTGTAGCAAAAAGGAACCTAAACATTATCTTCTCAAGGTGAAGAGACAGAGATTAGAGTTTGGGAGGCCAAGATTGCTAGAATTCACAGAGCAGAGTACCAGAGAGGAAGGAGCTTCACACAGAAGGAACCCTGGAGATCTGTAAATGAGTGCCTTTAACTCTTTATGAGTACCAATCTGTGTATGCATGCGAATAAGCTACCCATGTCCACAGAAATAAATATTAGGAATAAGCTTAAAAACAATTCCTGGTGGTCACACAGGCCCGGGAATAGTTTATCTTTCCACCAGTAAAGTGGTAAGACTTTTTAATACAACGGGAATTGAATAAAGTCCTCAGAAGTGTATGGCCCTAGTAGCGGGACTAAATTAGTCTTAGATTAGAGGCTGCTCTTAGTCTACCCTAACAAGGTTTGAAAACAAGGCTTGAAAGGATCCCACTGATTCTGAGTAATTTTACTTTGCCATAGAAAAATCCAACATTATTTAAAGGAATGCAATAAAATCTGACAGCCAAGAATGTAAAGTCAAAATGCCTGCCATCCAACAAGCACATACTAAGCATGCCATGAAGCAGGAAAATATGATCCGTGACCAGAAGAAAAATCAAGGAATATAAACAGAAATGACAAAAAAGGGAGAGAGGGAAGCATAAAAATATTGGCAGAAATCATGGTCAGTTTTTCAAAATTTAATGAAACTACAGACCCAAGAAGCTCAATATACTCCACACAGAATAAATATAGAAAAATAAACTCAAGTACATCATAATCAAGTTGCTGAAAAACAGAGATAGAACATTGTGAAAACAACCAAGAAATAAAAGAAAAAAAGGACACATGTTTCTCTGACGTTCACCAACAAGAATGATAGCAGACTTCTTATTAGGCTTTAGGCAAGCCAGAAGAAAATAAAGTCACATCCTCAAGCTACTGAAAAAAAAAAAATCCTGCTAACTCTCAAAAATAAAGGTGAAATGGAGACGAGTTCAGGCAAACAAAAGCTGAGAAATTTCATAACAGATTTGTACTACAACAAATCATAAAGGAAAGTCTTCAGGAAGAAGGAAATGATACCAGGAGATATTTGAATGTACACAAAAGAATAGGCAATGCCAAAAATGGTAAATATGTGAATAGATTTTTTTATTAATTCAAACATGTTTCTTATATATATTTACTCTTCCAAATAAAAATAATACCAATGTATTACGTCCTTTGTAACATACTAGTGTAGCAAAGGCATAAAGTTCAGTGGACTAGAATAGAGAATCTAGAAATAAACCAACACATGTATGTTCAAATAACTAGACAAAAGCACAGCAGAAATTCATTAGGAAAACAATATCTTTTTTAAAAATTTAATGTTAGGTTCCAGGATACATGTGCAGTACGTGCAGGTTTGTTACATAGGTAAATGTGTGCCAGGGTGGTTTGCAGCATCTATCAACCCATCACCTAGGTATTAAACACTGCATGCATTAGCTATTTATCCTGATACTCTCCCTCCCTACCATACCATCTTCCCAAAGTCCCCAGTATGTGTTTTTCCCCTCCCTGTGTCCATGTGTTCTCATTGTTCAACTCCCACTTATAAGTGAGAACATGTAGTGTTTGGTTTTCTGTTTCTGTGTGTGTTTGCTGAGGATAATGGCTTCCAGCTCCATCCATGTCCCTGCAAAGGACATGATCTTGTTCCTTTTTATAACTGTGTAGTATTCCATGGTGTGTATGTACTACATTTTCTTTATCCAGTCTATCATTGATGGGCATTTGGGTTGATTCCATGTCTTTGCTATTGTGAATAGTGCTGCAATGAACATACATGAGCATGTATCTTTATTATAGAATGATTTATATTCCTTTGGGTAGATACCCAGTAATGAGATCGCTGGGTCAGATGGTATTTCTGGTTCTAGGTCTTTGAGTAATTGCCACGCTACTGTCTTCCATAATGGTTGAACTAATTTACATTCCCTCCAACGGTATAAAAGTGTTCCTATTTCTCCACAGCCTCACCTGCATCTGTTGTTTCTTGACTTTTTAGTACTCACCATTCTGACTGGCATGAGACAGTATCTCATTGTGGTTTTGACTTGCATTTCTCTAATGATCAGTGATGTTGAGCTTTTTTGTTATCTGTTTATTGGCCACATAAATGTCTCTTTTGAGAAGAATCTGTTCATGTACTTTTCCCACTTTTAATGTGGTTGTTTTTTTTTTCTTGTAAATTTGTTTAAGTTCCTTGTAGATTCTGGATATTAGACCTTTGTCAGATGGATAGACTGCAAAAATTTTCTCTTACTCTGTAGGTGGTCTGTTTACTCTGTTGATAGTTCCTTTCGTTGTTCAGAAGCTCTTTAGTATAATTAGATCCCATTTGTTAGCTTTTGCTTTTGTTGCAGTTGCTTTTGGTGATTTCATCATAAAATATTTGCCCATGCCTATGTCCTGAATGGTATTGCTTAGATTTTCTTTTAGGGTTTTTATAGTTTTGGGTTTTACATTTAAATCTTTAATCTATCTTGAGTTAGTTTTTGTAAAAGGTGTAAGGAAGGTGTCCAGTTTCAATTTTCTGCATATGGCTAGCCAGAGGAAAACAGTATATTTTCAACATATTTTGCAGAAACAATTGGATATCCATGAGCAAAAGAACAGTTAACTTTACCTCATACATATATAAAATTTAACTCAAAATTGATCATAAACCTTAATGTACAGTGTAAAAGAACAAAAGCAGGCAAACTTCTATAAGAAGTCATGAATTGGGAGAAAATATTTATAAAATATGCATATGTTAAAGGATTTGTATCAGAATAATAATGCATTCTTAGAACTTAATACAACAAACAGCTCAATTAAAAATGGGCAAAAGAATTAAAAATATACTTCACCAAAGAAGACTTATGAATGGTAAATAAACACATGCAAAGTTGCCCAGCATCATTTACCATTAGAAAAATGCAAATTCAAACTATCATGAGATGCCCTTAGCCACCTACCAGAACAGCTAAAATCAAAAAGGCCGAGGATAAAAAGAGTGGAGGAGGATATGGACCTGCAACTTTCATGCATCACTGTTATGTACACAATTATTTGCACACTTTGGAAATGTGAATGTTTCAGCAATGTTTCATAGCTTGAAAAACACCGTATAATTTGGTCATCTAACACCTAGTTATTGATTCAAGAGAAATGTTATTCTGTTGGCACTGAGAAGGCTGTTGAATGAGGAAGGATTAGATACATATTTTATGAAGGTCATCTTTATAACAATACATAGGCTGAGTTAAGATACTGGATTTGAATTATTGAACATTACTGGGTATCACAAAATAAAAGTAATGCTTCTGGGGGACTTTACTAAAAATACAAATTCTCATTTATATTTGTATTTGTATTGTAGTTCAAGGTTGGAACTCAGAAGTGTATATTTTAACATTGGTGGCCTTTGATAACATTGTAAAGGAAAGACAAGTTAAAGTGAACCAACAAATAAAGAGACTGTGGAAAGTATCCCTATGGAATGTAGAAAGGATCTTAAGTGGGACTAGCTGTGGAAATGTAAGGATCGAGTTTTGAAATTATTGTAAAGGTATAAGTAGAATAAATTGCTGACTAATCCAGAAAATAGGCGTTAGTGAGGATAATTCAGAGGTTTGGACTCTGAGTACTAATGATACTACTCAAATGGAAAATCTTGAAAGGACAAAATTACTAAAAATTAAAGAACAACAACAAAATCTTGAGTTCAGCCTGGCATTTCTGAACTCTAAGGGCTTTGCAATGAAAACAGTTGATAGAGCTGGTTCAGGAGATGGATAGAGATGGATTTATTAGACCTTGGCGTAAAGATGACAGTTGAACTATGGGAAAATGGATTACCTCACCAATGAAAAAAATGCTTTTGAGAAAGTGATTTAAGGTCCCTTGTGGGCTGACTTACCACATTTTGGGTGAACAGAGAATGATGAGTCAAGAAAAGAAATTGAAAAGGCCAATCAAGAAAGAGAAGCATTAGGATGGGCACAGTAGCTCACGTTTTTAATCCTAGCACTTTGGGAAGCTGAGACAGGAAGATTACTTAAGGCCAGGAGTTTGAGACCTGCCTTAAGGTCTCAGGCAACATAGTGAGACCCTGTTTCTACAATAAAAATAAAAATTAAAAATAAAAGTAAGATAAAATAATAAATAAAAAGACCATGAAAGAGTGCACTTGAGGGTTTACAATGAACTCCCATAGGAGTTTGAGAGGTAGGCACTGTAATTTTATGCAAACTAGGAAAAATGATTATGTGGTTTTTCCAAGGGCAAATGGATAATATATATGAGCTGCCCAAATGTTAAGTAACCTCCTAGCTGTTAGTCTAACATGCTTTCCTTTAGGGAATGTTGAAAATACATCAGTGCCCTAATGACAGAGTGTAGCACTATTCCTATATCAAGTAATTTCAAAATACCAAATATCAAAATAAACAGGATTCTTGCTGCATAGATGATTACTAAAATAATAATCACTTGCATATGCCATTGGCTGCTTCTGTATTACAGGTGGAATTAGGCATTGCCTTAAATGTTTTTTCAGCGAGAATAAGGAGATTTCTAGGTAGAATAGAACTTTATTTACTTTGTTGAGATCTCTAGTGAAAAAGAGTAGTTTTAAATGAACATGTCCTAACTATTCCTCTGCCATTAATATTCAGAAAACTAGAAATTCTCTTCATTCATCCCCAGGAGAAGTAATTTTTAGTAGTTTTATACTTGCAGATAATTCTGTGTGTTGCTTTGAAGAATAGTTGTATGGGGATATGAATTGGAAAAATGTCAGAAGGCTAGAAAACATTTCGTTTTTTTAAGGTAACATTTCTCTTTCATTTTCTAATATGAAAAAATAAAATAGATCTGCCTTACGTTCAGAGTTTATTCTTTTTACACGATATTATTAAGCTGATATTTTAAATAAATTGTTTGCCCTACTCTTATGATAACATTTAGATAGACTTTCTTTTTTCATTTAATGTAGTTCACGCTAAATGAGAAAAGAAAAAGGTTTTTTAGAACAGTCAGTAGGCAACTCAGTGATATGGTCACATCCTTTCCATGACTTCAACTTTCCTAGTATCGTCCCAGTTGCAAGAACAGCAATACAATAGTTCCCCCTTATCCACGAGGATATGTTCCAAGACGCCCAGGGGATGCCTGAAACCCCTGATAGTACCAAGCCCTGTATATACTGTTTTTTTCCTACACATGCATAGCTATGATACAATTTAATTTAAAATTAGGCACAGTAAGAGACTAACATGAGCTAATAATCAAAACAATTATAACAATATACTATAATGAAAGTTATGTAAATGTGGTCTCTCTCAAAATATCTTCTTGTACTGTACTCACGTGTCTTCTTGTGATGATGTTAGATGGTACAATGTCTACGTGATTAGATAAAGTGAGGGGAATGATGTAGTGTTAGGCTTCCACATCAAGGCTACTTGAACATGAGCACTGCAATAACCTGACAGTCGATCTGGTGACCCAGATGGCACCTAAGTGACTAGTGGGCTAGTAGCATATACAGCACGGATACACTGGGCGATTTATATCCCAGACAATCTGAGGCAGGATGGCACAAAATTTCATCACTTGACTCAGAACAGCTGCACAACTTAAAATTTATGAATTATTTATTTCTGGAATTTTCTATTTTTTCTTTCTTCTTTTTTTTCACTTAATATTTTCAGACCAAGGTTGACCACAGGTAACTGAAACCATGGGAAAGCAAAAGCACAGATTAAGAGGGACTACTGTATACAGCTGTGTTGGGATTTAGTGACTACATTAATCTTTTCAAGCTGATTTATTTGACTGCGAAACATCAATGGTCTACACTGGTCTACATCACTAAGTAGTGCTGGTCAAAAAAAATTAAATTTTTTTCAGGTTACATGGATATCACAATGGGACATTTGGGTATTTTCTAAAAAATGTGATTCTCTACACAGGATACTGGTGATCCAGAGAGTTTCCAAGAAGTCAGATAAATTTTGTCAGTACAGACACAAAGTGAAAGATTAGCTATTATTATGTTTAAGATTGTAAGCCTTGTATTCAGTTATCCAAAAAAAATTTTGGGTTTTAAAACTGCAGGACTCTCCTGCATGATCTCCCTTGCCTTTGGTGGTAAATCAACTCAAATGAGATTTGAATAAATGAAGTGGAATCTCTGCATGTGCATGTGAGGGAAAGAAATTGATAGTGATTACAAGTGCTAGAGAAGATTTCATTGAGTGTGAATGAATATTTAGCTACATGGCAATTATATGAGTATTGTGGAGACTTGAAATGTAGTAGCAGGAATTCAAAGAAGGCAAGTTGTTTGGCTCAAAAAATAAATCAAAAGAATTTATTGAAACCATCAACAGAGAAATTGTTTAGTTAAGCTGAATGGGAGTAAATTCATGCTTTTAATATTTAAAGTCACACTGATAAGCACATCCATGCTATATAAAAAATTATGTAAATAACATGTTTCCTCATTTTGCTATGACTACACTGACTTGTTTGAGTACTGTCTAGCCAATTTTTCCATCAGTTTTTTTATATCTTTCATTCTCATTTTAATACTTCATTGTGAACATCAGTGAACACTTCTTTTTTTTGCCTATCTAGTATAAACTGCTTTTTATTTTGTTTTTCTGATTTATTCTGAAATATTTTTCAATCTTTTATTCTTATAAATTATGTTTTTCATGTTTTGTTTTCTCACCTTCAAAGTGGCTTCAATGTGACTAATAACAGGATGTTTAAAATATTCAACAAAATTTAGCAGTAAAGTAGTTACACAGGCATTATAGGCACACTTAATTATGAAAACTGGTAGATGTTCAAAACACTTGGAAAGTTGAGGTTAGGGAAGAAGAGGAAGAAGGACAGAAACATCTAGTTTTATGGCGGGTGGTGAGTAGTGTGGAATAAGGGAGAAAGCTGCTAATTTGTTGGAAAACTTCATTCCTGTTCCATTTGTGCTGCCAATACGCAGTATTCCCTAAAACATATCACCACACTTCTTTCTTAGTTTTCTCATCTTGATTAATGAAGAGGTCAACTTTAAGATCCCTTTCACCTCTAAAATTTTATGATCTATGGCAAATGAGTAACTATGCATATATAACAAAATCTTACTGGGCACCTGTTTTGCATGGGGCTTAACTGGTTTTCTTTAGTTGCTGATGCTGTCAACGAGAAGATTTAGAGTCTACTCTAAATAATTTAGTGACTACTAGTTAGGCTTGGAACTGTTGACCGCATATTGAGAGTGCACCAAGAAATAATGATGTTGAGTTATATCAATGGTGAAGCCAGCATTATCAAGAGTGTCTCATTAAATGGTGGCAATATCAATTATTATTCAATATAATGCTATGAGTTAAAGGGTCCCTTCCTAAGAGATTACAGAGTATGAATATGTTAACAATATGGGCCATTACTTGACTTACATCTCTACTCTTTGAACAGATCGTTAGGCCACATGCATGCTAAGTGAAGTAATTACTGCACCCTTCAGTCTATTACAGGGTGAAACTGTTAAACATTTCATCAGGAAATTGCAAAGTACAGCTGTAAAGTTCTTTATTGTTGGGAAGCCTTCATTGCTATAGTACGTACTAGGTATTTGCCACCAGCTTGTAAAATCTACATGCCAAGTTTCACAGTAACCTCATTAACATTAAGCATTACTGAAACAATTTAGTGGAACAGAGCATTTAGGAGGTGATAATAAGGAAAACAGGCCCGATGTTTTCATGAAGAAGTCTGCCTATGCCATTTCTACTATTGTTGAGATCTGTTTATGACACTAAAAAAAAAATCTTCTCCTTTAAGGATGTATGTCTTTCTTTAGTCTTTAACTGTTTAAAACATATTAGGCTGGTGCAAAAGTAATTGCGGTTTTAATAAAATACACATAGACTGATTACATTTTCTTTTCAGGAGTGTTTGGAATGACTTGAAAGCTGCAGCAGGTAGATGTTGTTCAAATGATTAAGCCCACTGAAATTCATCTCCAAAGACAGGATTTGTGAAACTAAAAGGGAGAAGGTTGAGGAGACAGACGGTGTTTATAGTGCATTTAAAACCTCAGCATTAACTTTAAAACAGGAGGACTTAAGGCCTTGGCAGCATCCCAGAACCAAACTATTTTCCATTGATTGGTATGAATCATTTTCTCTCCTTGGCGTCTGTACTTTTTCCACCATACACACCACTTAAGTACCAACAAATCTGCAATTGACCTTTTCACAGCTCTATGCTGAGATGCCTACCAAGGTGTTTCTAATCCTTGTCAATTTCTTTCCAGACAGAGCTTTTTGTACATGCCTTCAAGGATCAACTTGTCAGGAGTGCTCTTTTAGCACTCTACACTGCAAGGCCAGGAGGCATTCTTAAGAAGCCACCCTCTCCTAAGAGCAGCACAGAGGAGAGCAGTCCCCAAGACCAACCCCCAGTGATGAGAGGGCAGGACTCCATACCACATCATTCAGACTATGATGAGGAAGAGTGGGTAAGTCTCTTGTATATCGCTTGCCTCTCAATGTTTGGCAATGAGAAATAAGGTAGGAATGATCAGATAGCTCTGCTTTCCATTTTAAAAAATGGAAAAAAAGTTATAACACTGATTGTGGATAAATAGGCCACATTTTTCCTTAGGGGCAATTTTTTTTTGGAAGTTGAAATCCTGATAAAATTTATTTGCTAGCCAATGAATTATATGTTTAAGTGAGAATCTGTCATCCAAGTAAAGATGCCACAGTTACAAGACTCTTATGTTTCCTTATTTATTGCCAAACTATATAAAACATGAAAGTTATTTTTTAGAAAAAGAATAAAAAACCCTCCATGTTACTACTACTTAGATGCAACAAGTATTTTCATTGTTGCAATCCAGTGTTTTGGTTCTGGAAGTACTTTTTAAAAGTATTCACATTTAAACGACAATAGACATAGATATCTCGCAAATCCCTCTCGCTCAAGGTTCTATAATGTAAGATGCTGCTCTAGGTGCTCTAAAGTTTACAGAAGAATGGCCTCATAAAATGATACGAAAAAATAGCTAGGAAACATGAATAAACAAAGGAAATAAATATGGTGAGAGAAATTCTAGTTGGGCCGAATATGATGGGAGAAACGTGAAGGTGTACCATGGCAGAGGAACAGGGTGTTATTACTGAATCGATACATATAAATTATTCAAGAATTCTCCAAAGTATATGCATATTACACACACACACAAAGGGAAATCTATTACTGTATCATATGTTTAACAAAAAAAATAGTGTGCTAGCTGTATTAGATGTTAAGCTTTTAGTTAACAATTACTTTTCTTGCCACCCTAGAATTTAAGAATGGGGAGTAAATTACTTGAAAGGCACAGGCCTCTCAAAAAAAAAAATGTTATCTGAAAGGCTGTGAGGTGATGCCTGCTTTTTCTTTTGGTAAAATTTCTATCACAAAAATGACAGAGGTGGGCTCCAAGAGGTAAATGCTGAGTGTTTGTCGTTGGTGATTAAAATTGCATTTCTCCCAATGAAGCATTTTCAAAGAGCAAATCTAATATTTCTTTCTCCCTTTTACCTTCACCTTCTTCACTTTTTTTTTTTCACAGTTCCAAGTGTACACACCTCTTAACCTCTGAAGTTCAATTTTCTCAACTGTAAAATGAAAATAACAGCACGTGTTCTGTTAGCTCTTAGAGTGGTCATGAAATCAATGATTTACCATGTTACAATGCTCCATTTCCTGGAAATGCCAAGGCAAATGCATTATATTACTTTAGTATTATTGTTATATGTTTCTTAAGTAATATAAATTATATAATCTTATTAAGAAGATTAATACTATCCCTTGAGATAAGTGGGGAAATTAGATATGTCATACAATGTGGATTGTGAATTTTGAAGAGTTCGAGTGTATACAGAAAAGAAGATATATTTTATTTAATAAACATCCAGTGTTGACCTTTTGACAAATAATTACCATTTTATATTAAATCAAGTGAGAATCTTGGAATTTTTCCCCCTCATTTTAACTCACTATGTTTTACAAACCCTTCCCCCTCACCTTGACCCCCTCTTCCTGTTGAAAATAGTCCCTCTCCTTCCTTGTTTCCTTTTCTTTAGATAATTTTTGAAACCTTTTATTAAGTATTTCAAGTGGGAAGGTAAGTAATGTTAGATCCTTAGTTCTTGGAGCTCAGAGTCTAGTGATAGATAAAAATATGTAAACAAATAGTTACAACATTTTGCAACAAAGCTTAGAAAGAAACATGATAGAAGACAGTTTCTGCTAATATGACTTCAACTCAAAATTTTACGTCCAGAACTGTCTTATGATGGGCAAAGACGGAAGAAAGTGGGGACTGTATCATTAGTTGAGAAGGTTTACAGAGCACTATTCCCTTCAGTCAGTGTTACTGAGTACCTGTTCTGCCTTATTCACTGTGCCACATGCTGGGGACAGCAGGTGAACAACGTTGGCCCTCAGTTACTCCACAGCCTATTCAGGGCTGTAGAAAGACAAATAGCAATCGCAGTGCAGCCTTAGAGATGTACATGGGATACAGCAAGAATGTGGTAGCCATAGTGGTGTTGCCAGAAGTAATTCTGGAGATTTAAATCTGAGTATAAGTTAATCATTCAAGAAAGAAGATGTGGTGCCCTTTTAGATGGAGCATAATAGCTGACATACAGAGAGAGGTAGTTAGTGTGTGTGTTTGTGCCTGTGATTATTATTAGTTATTTACATGTTTTGTTTTAAAGTGAGTGAAATTTGAGCATGTTATATTCCAAAGGCTATGTGAGAGGCACAGAGGTGATAACTGATGGAGCAAGGTCCTTACAAGAGAAGGAAGAAAGTCAACGGTAGGGTCCAGGTGGAAGAGCAGGCACTTCTCCTGAGACTGCAGGGAGGATGTGAAGATGTGAGGGTGGGTGGGGCTGGATGGCTGCTTTTATCCATAAAGTAGAACCATGTGCTAAGAGAAAAAGACGGGGAGGACTGGAGGGAGTGGTGAAGGTTTCAAATAGGCACCGAAGAAATGAGTACTTGAGCTAATGAGTAACGTGAAAAATTTGAGAATAATTCCAGGCTTTGTGATGGGCCAGCCAAGGCTGGAGTATCAGGTGGCATGGTTGTTTGTTTAGCATTCATTATTCTTTTGGGAATATTTTCTAGTCTTAACACCAGGAAAAAAGTCTTTCTGATTCTTTTCTCCAGTTGATGAAAAGCTGTCATCTCAGTTTCTCTTGTTGTCCTTCAAAGGCAAAAGGATTGGGCAATAATGAAGGGCTGCATTGCTCTCTGCATCTCCTTAATGTCATTTCTAAGCCTCCTTCTGAACTCATTGTTTCTGGAAAGCATATACAAGCTTTGCCTAAATTTACCATAATTACAAGAAAAATCTTTCCCACTCAGAAAAGTTACTTCTAATTCTCTCCTTCTAATATAATTTTACTCTTTTTGCAAACAAGAACCGAGTTTGTTTGGTATATAACATTTTCATTGATTTTCCTTAGCAACCGCTTTCTACTGAAAACATTCCTTCATCAGAGGATAGAAATCCCTTATAAAAAGATAGAAACAATATTTCACCAGAGTCATAAACACTAACATTATTCTCAAAGCTTTATCTAACTTTGATAAATTGAGTAAAACTAAAGAAAATGTAGCTAATTGAAGATGCCTTTAGAGACTGTGGTATTAAATGAATTAGAAACATAACTTTGTATACTCCCTTTTTTAATTAGTTGTTAGAAAAGTTTCAGTGCTGATTACAAGTCTAGTCAATGCTGGTAGTAACTCAGCATTTTAAATTAATTCAATTGGGTTTCTGTGATATTATGTGAAGATATTCCCTGATCACTTAAATTGGCTTACGTTTGCAAATAAGGTTACAGTAATTCCATTAAGCATTTTTTGTTTGTTTTACTTAATTTCTGATAGTGACTGTAATAATTACCTGACTTGAACAACTGTATTTAGCTTCTTATAATAAGTATTTGGGAAGCAAATAAATGGTGTTAGATTACACTTAAATCCTACCCGGCTGATGCAGGTAAGAACCATTCTTTTGAAGTCAAAAAAGAGAATCCTGCTCACTCTAAATCACTATGAGGCTGTCCTTTCTCTTTTCAACTTGTTTTGTTGACAAAATTGATGGCATATGAATCTGGATAATAATCATCTAGTCAATATGGTAAAGATTGAAACTAAAATGAATGTTTACAAAAAAGTCTGTTATTTGCTGAATTTTACTTATTAAATAATGGAATGCTTTAAGGGTTTATTTTCCTGAAAAGCTAGTAAACAATTAAACCCCAAAGGAATATTTGGGATTGTATAACAATCTGTGCCAAGGAATAGACTAACATACCATTCTCTTTTAGCCAGTTAAGATGACATATTACTTTTCTTTCTCTACATCTCTGCAACAGATGCTTCCAGCAGCTGGGATTCCAAGATTAGTTTGTCCAAAATGTGAAAGCATGTCATTTAACCAAACTATTAAGTTGACCTAGTTTTTGTGGTTTCTAATAATTCTGAAATTCTGTGGAACACTGTGATTTAATTTCAAAATTACTATAGTGATAGGTTAAGGGCTAAATCTGCCTACTTCTATTCAAATCAATTGTTAAAAAAGAAACTTCTGATCCTTTATATTCTGATCCATTCTAGCAAACTGCAAAACTAGAAAAACAATTCTTAGTATTTAGACAGACACAAAACCCATTTTTAATTGATCTACATTTCTGCATCAAGCGGCATTTCAGCATCCAAATTATCCAATTAATTCCCTTCATGTTACAAATATAAGCCAAATTTAAAATTTTAGTCTTCTTTCTTAAGCTAGGCAAACATTTGCTATTTCATATTATGTTAAATGTGTTTATGTTACATAAACACAATGGATGATCCATCCATATTAATTTTTCAATAATTTTATAGACTTTAGAAACAATAGCACAAATTCATAGTCATATTTATGTAAAACATCCTATTAATAGACTCCATAGATAACCTAAAAATCTGTGGCCATTCTGTAACTCAATACTACCAAAGATTATGTTTGGGAATAAGATTTATATGAACCATCTTCTGATATATTCCTTACAAATTTTATACAGTTCATTTTGTACTATACCTTTCTCTAATGATGCCTACAGCAGATGTGAATGCTTAACCCATTTATGCCTGAGGCTGCAATTTTTTGAATTTCTGCATGAGTGAAAAATCAGACCTTGGCGATGACCTTGAGCAGTAGGATATAAATAACTGCATGCTTAGCATTCCAATAATGGAACACTAGGCATAAGGGGGCCAAGCTTGACAGGAGCATTGAAGAGCTATTTATACTACCATAATTGGTAGCAGTGAGCATAGACAGTTGCAAGCATTGTTAACTGTTGAGAACAAAACATGTTTAGCCAGGTATCTCCATAGGAAATCTATAGTGATCTATATTCCCAACTTCTCTTGTCCAACTACTCTGTCCATCTTAGAAAACATTACGTCTACAGAAAAACATTGAGACCATGCATAATGCAGAGGTACCTGTGAAAATTAATATTCAAAAGATTTTGTTCAGTTATCTGATTGGCTAGATGTGATTTAAAACCATTGTCCTGATCTTAATAAGAAGGAGATAGATAATTCTCATTCTTTAGAAGTAACAAATTTTTATAGACTCCTTGATATTAATCTATGATTAAACTTTTTCAAAGCAACACCTTATAGCTTGGTTACCTAAATGAGTATTATGTCTACTAAAATATGGCCATTTACTTCCAAATTTTGTAAGTGATAGATGCATATATATGTGTGTATATATATTAATATATGTATATATATATATCCAACTTCAAATCATTTTGTATAATAAAGCCTTATTCTTATATTACAGGAGCACATAGCCTAGTGAACACTGATTATAATCAGTTGTTTATATGTCTGTTTTCTCCATGTGTTCATGAACTTTATAAGCTTTGATAGGAAAAAAACAATGTCTCATTCACTGTTGCATTCACACAGTTAGTGGAGCATGTGAACACGAAAGGTACTCAATACACATTTATAGAATAGATTAATGTCTTTGAAATTTGTCTGCAGATTATTTTGATTTGTCTTCTTATTTTGAAACAGAGAATATTTCAACTTAATATAATTCTGCACTATGTCCAGTAGCTTTTCTCCCACTATAATTCATGAGTCCTTTTGAGGATTTTGTTTCTCCCCTTCAGTGAAGAGTACCCAGCTATGTCCTTCTCTTCTTGGTTCTTACTTCCCAGTGTCTTAATCAACTCTAAGATGACTATTCTAGCCATCTGCAAAATATCCCCCTCTCCCTAGTGCATATTTCCTAGTGTCTTAATCAACTCTGTAGTGACTATTTAAGTCATCTTCAAAATATCTTCAAATATAGAAAGTGGTAAAATTCAAGATAGACACAGAAAATCAGTGATGACCAAAGCTAAGGTCATGACTAATGAAGGCCTTCAGAAGCCTCTAGAAACCAGTGATGGCAACTTTATTTAATTATTAATGTGCAGATTACAAAGGTTCTAGTTACACAGAAATAATTTCTTCAGATGTTTCCCAGCAAATATAAATTGAAAGTGACTAGTTGTCCCTTGTCCCAGGTTTTTCTTTTTTTTTTTATCCCTAAGTCACACATAATAGGGTTGTATGGTTCTGTTAATCTTAAAAGGAGGAGGGAACACTCAAAGCATTCACTCTCACCATCAGAAAGGGCAGTCAAAGGCAGGGAGAATGGGGCCAGTTGTTCCCTATATGGCAACTGAATGTGTTCTATCCTCTGTTTTCTTGATGGATGGGAAACATTCCTGAACTTCTCCAGTCTATATCACCCAAGAGAAATGTGCTTTGAATACTTATCCAATATTAAGGTCCACAAAGGGTGATTAAGCAAAGTTCATGACTGGTCCATTAAAATGCACAAATGTTCTATTAAAGAAAAGAAACCCCAGGTGAAATCTTTATGTGCATGCATATTCATGAAATCTTGCCAATTTCTAGATTTTCCCACATGCAGTTAATATTTTCACCTATAAAACCCTGTTTTATAACACCTAACACATCTTATACATCCTAGCTCAATGTCTTTTTCAGAGTTAATGTAGGAATAAGTGAATGGATAGACTTGCTGATATCAACAGCTCATCCTCCAATTCAAACCTGTATTTTAATAGATATTTTACTTCTATTAATGTAATGAAATAATGTAATGATTATGTAAAATAATGTAATGATTTTCCTGCAGTTCTGTATTGGATACCATCATCTCCCTTGGATATTTTCTAGACATTTATAATGCCTGGTTCAAAATCAGGTATTTTGATGTGCCTGTGTATAATGAATATACAAACTTGCATACATACACATTAGAAATGTATTATTACATTCAAATCAAGTGCCCTCAAACTTTAATATATTCTATTTTGAATAATGAGATATTGTTTCCCAAACAGAAAGTTTTTTAACTCCAAAATTTAGTGAATAAGTGAAGGAAACACTATGGTAAATATAGGTAGACTGTTGGCTTGATTTATCAAGGTTCATACAATTAAAAAGAATTGGTGTTTGAAAATGGTTGTGCACAACACACTAACTGATAATGTCATACAATTCAGCCAGTTGTGCAAGTATCTAATAGTGTGCAGATAACATCCAATTACCAATTTAAAGTTAAAAGCTTTAGTCAATCAGTGGAATTTTTTCACTTATTAAATGTTTTATTTAATATTTGCACTGAATTGAAAGCTTTAGCATGATGTGGCATTTATTAGGTTGAATGCAGCCATTCAGAGTAGGAACTTGGTTATAAATTCAATTTGAAGATGCATGTAATGAGAACTTCTTATAGTATAGTTTTTTTTTACTACCAAATAACAGATTAGTAAGTCAGTCAATAGATATTCAATAAGTATAAACAGTGTGCAACAGTGGTATAGGCACTTATATGAAACCTGACCTTAACAGTCATATCATCTCATTTAAGTAAGATGACTAGCACTCATAAAATGAGCAGAGGTATTGAAAGATATTCTAAGGATGCAGGTGGTTGTGTGATACACATTAAAAATGCCAAGCCAAGTGTGGTGGCAGACACCTTGTCGTCCCTGCTACTTGGGAGGCTGAGGCAGGAAGATTGCTTAAGCCTAGGTGTTTGAGGTTGCAGTGAGCTATGATCACCCCACTGCACTCTGGTCTGGGCAACAGAAGATCTTATCTCTAAAAATAAAAGAAAGAAGAAGAAATTTTGAAATTTAAAAACGCCCAAAATTTTCAGAGTCGTTATGTGACAGTCGGAAAAGATGGAAGAATTATCCTCTTTTTCTTTCTTTTATTCCTGTATCCATTCTTCTTTTATGCATCTATTTCCTCTCTAGGACTAAGACATGAGAATGAAAGGATTAAAAAATAATAGTCATTACATTTATAGAGCACACAGTCTATTAAAAAGAAAAAAAAGTGCCGGGTGCGGTGACTCACGCCTGTAATCCCAGCACTTTGGGAGGCCCAGGCGGGTGGATCATGAGCTCAGGAGATCGAGACCATCCTGGCTAACACGGTGAAACTCCGTCTCTACTAAAAATACAAAAAAATTAGCCGGGTGTGGTGGTGGGCGCCTGTAGTCCCAGCTACTCCGGGAGGCTGAGGCAGGAGAATGGCATGAACCCGGGAGGCGGAGCTTGCAGTGAGCCGAGATTGTGGCACTGCACTCCAGCCTGGGGGACAGAGCGAGACTCCGTCAAAAAAAAAAAAAAAAAAAAAAAAAAAGAAAAGACAAAAAAGCATGTTAGGCAGAGAGAAGCATGAAACATTCTTGGAGATGGTGAGATTTGAAAGGGCAAGAATTTAGATTGATGGAAGATAACGGAGAAAGTATTCTAGGTATAAAAGTCAACATGTTTCAAGATATTGGAAATAATAGATCTTCCAAGGTTTCCTTCAAATCTTTGATGTTCAGCGCTGAGCCGGCATATAGCAGATGCCTAGTAAATATATGTTGATTTAATGCAACAGCATGTTTCTAAGACTGCAAGAAGACATCTGGATAAAGGTTTCATTTTGAAGACTAATGAGACATAAGAATTATCTAGGTCTACCCAACTATAGATGTGCCTCCAGGCTGAGAGAAGAATGTAATATTGGCTATAGTACTGAGCCTGCTTTTGATTAGAAATAATCAAAAGAGGAGGGTGATCAATGAAGATTAATGTGGCACTCATAGATAGACCTGATTTTGTGATAGCCTATAATATAGGTCTGGGAAAAATCCAAGCCAGGGGAATATGGAGAGGTCAAAATTGGAGAAACAGTGGTTAATTGTTACAAGGAATTCCTTTCCCAGATAAGGCCAGGAGTGAATTTTAAACTGAGTGTAGTTATTGGGAGATGAAGGTCAGGTATTTTTACATAAGGAAATAGGTGAAGTTAAAGCAGGAGGACCAATAGGAAGCAAAGATCAGGGAATCTCATCTGGTGGATGTTTACATGTCTGGCTATTTTTAGTGAATGTGTGTGTGTGTTGATGTGTGGATGTTGATATGTGGTGTGTGTGTGTGAAAGAAAGAGATACCGTGGGCTATACACGTGCCAGTTTGAAACATACAATATTTTAAGTGCAACTCAATTTACCTAACAGTCTGGATGAAGGGTTCAGGGAGAAAAGCTATCCAGCTCTTGAAAGAATAAAGGTTTGCAGTATTACAGACCTTGGCCAGTATAGAGCATATTGCTGTCAATCAAAATCAAGGATAAATGGAAGCTCCTTTTTAAAGATGGAATTGGCCTTGTTAATTCACTGACTGTTTCTAATCAAAGTCCTCAGAAATTGATAATGACAAGTGAGAAATTATTCATGGAAATACAGATACATCAGGCTATTTTGTACATCTATATCAGCTCTGGCTTAGTCTTCACATTCTTTCTGATCAAAAATTGGCCTTAGAAAAAGTTGGTCAGCTAAGTATTACGGAATATATTTTTTAAGTTAACTACTGCTCCAAAGCAGTCAGGATTTCTCTTGATGCTACCAAACTCACAATTGTGTGACATGCTGAGTCACCATCATGCTGCCTGCCTTCATGGCTCATCTGCCAGGTGTAATGTCCCCCTGGCGACGTCCATCAACATTTTTGCATCTACTGCCATTGGGTTTGACCTGCATGTTACCTTAGGTTGTAACCCAGAAATAAATGAGCACCTGACTCAGAGTGAAATAAATATTGCTGCTGGTTCCCCACTGACTCCATGACCTTATTGACCAGGAAAATTTTATAGCCAGTTGACCTCCAAGGAGTAGGGTTGTTGTGAAAGCTCCATGGAGGTTAAATACACCAATTTGGCTCCATTGAATAAAGATTAGACTTTAACCTGCCGATTCCCCATTACTTCCTTCATACAGTAGGGGACCTAGCAAGATAATAGCTGCTATTTCTGGGGAAAAGTCCCAGCAATCCATTTCTCTGATAGGTGGTAGTGGTTGTTTTTAATCCTCTCATGTGGCAGGGAGCTAAGCAGGATCTGGAGGGGCTGGAAGCACCACATACTGCAGCCACATTCTTATGCTACCGTTGTCTTCCCACTAATCAGCCTTTCTTCATCATGGGAGCAATCTGAAACTAATTGTGTGATTTTAGTAGAGAAGAAAGAAGAGTAGGCCCTAGCCTCATACCAGCAATCTAGGCATAAGGCATTTCCCCTGTGGACTGGCACAGTGAGTAAAAATCATCAGAATGAGAATGTATTTTTGCTGGTAACTTTCCTCTGTGTATGTTTTCACAGAGATATAATGGAAAGGGGCTTGTTTAGGAAAGAACTCAGATATTCAATGCTTCCCTTTAAAAATCTTTCTTACCCTTCTCTAGCATCGTAGTTTCAAAATAATTGACTATCATGTACTCCAGTCTTCTAGTAATTGAATTATCATCTTTCCTCCTTGTTATCTGCACCTTGCTCTATATCCTGGTCACATGAATGGATCTGGGGCCTTGAACCTGATACTCCTTTATTAATGCAGGTCACTTATGTCCTTTGTGCCAAAGTGAATGACCCTTTAACCAAGTGACTGCTCTATCCCTGCTTATAAGACACCTTTGATCTCAAACTTGAGGGTCCATGGGACGGGACCAGCCAGTTCATTTTGTAGACTTATCTCTTATCCTAGGATCCACCATTGGACTCATATTTAAGTCTCAGATAACTAAAACCTAGTCTTGCTCCTGTAAAGTGGCACACACCTCTACCTGACCCTTCCTGGGTTTCTTTATCTGTTTTTGTTTTTGTTTTTTTTTCTGCTTAGTTTGTGCTACTGTGTACCCCATTTCTGTGGAAAATCACAGTGGAAGAATCAAGTCTTTGGAGCCAAACAGAATGGAAGTTCTAGTCCATTTATACCATTTTAATGTTGAGTTTTATTAAACATCTCTTACCAGAATTCTCTTTATCTCTAAAAACTGAGTCAATAACAGTAACCTTATCTGGTGGCTTTTGAACATTAAATTAGCTAATGTGCATATACAAAGTGAATATAAACACCAGCCTTTAATCTGTCTCTGGAGTCACCTCCTTCTCTTGCTTCCTCCCTCTTTCTCTACCTGCCTTCCTTTCCTCCAACAAAAATTACTGAGAGCCAGGCCCTGTGCCATAAAACAAGAACACAGTTCTCAAATAACTCAGTCTAATATTAGAGACAGAAACACACATCAGTACCTTTAGTAACTGCTACTAAGTAGTAATAACTTCTTAGTAAAGGCCATAAAAGAGAAGGAGGCCATGACCAGCAAGGCTGAATTCTCTCACCACCAGATAGGCAGCATCTCCTCTCCAACAGACAAGGGATAGAAGGAGTCTGCTTAGGGTCTGCTGCTGAGTGTCCCCTCAAGCAAATATTTGATTATTCATAAATTATGTATTAGTAACACAGAAGAGACTGCTCAATTTCTCACCCTAATAAATATTGTGTCATCTCCTGTGTCCTCTAAACATTAATGACTAAATTTTTTTATTCTGCCTACCATATATGTAACCCTTTATGACATGCTTATTGGTTTTAGCCAATGAACATGCTTCACTACGCTCCTCAGACCAATGAAGATCTCTTTACAGGCTACAAAGGTGACTTTTCTATGAGCGAAATCTTATAACCTGAGCTGTTTGGAAAGGAAGAACAATATATACGTGTGAATGTCAAATTATCTTTTAAATACTTTTATTTTCAGGCTCTTCAGAGATGTGATTAAGAGAAGTTGTTCTATCCCTTACATTCCTTTATATAAGAAAAGCAACATGCAACGCGACTTGATCTTTGATCAAAATATAAAGTTCCCTTTGGTGCAGTGGCTCCCCACCTGTAATCCCAGCACTTTGGGAGGCTGAGGTGGGTGGATCACTTGAGCCCAGGAATTCAAGATCAGCCTGGGCAACATAGTAAAACCCCATCTCTGCAAAAACTACAAAAATTAGTTAGGCGTGGTGGGCATGCCTGTGGTCCCAGCTACTTGGGAGGCTGAGGTGGGAGGATCATTTGAACCCAGGAGATCAAGACTGCAGTGAGCCAACTGTGCCACATACATGCGCAAGTGCACACACACACACACAAACACACACACAAGTTCCTTTCAACATGGGCAACAGCAAGAGAGTTAACAACTTATGAACAAAGCTAGTCTGGAAAATTGAGGGGAACCTGCTCCCCTTTTTTTCCTCAGTAGCAGAGTTGATTTCCAGTTTTAGCTGGAGAGTTGTTTCATTTTTCAATTTAATCACCTTAAAAATGCAGTCGGTGGTAGTGATTCAGGCATATTCAAAAGAGAGGGCATGAGTTTGTTATTGTGCTCCAGAATGGAAGCTCCTCACCAAATCCCAATCCAGATGTCAAGACCATCAGGTTACTTACCCTTCCCCAGCATTTCTTCCTGGAATAAATGAGCTTCCTTAGCTCTCCTGGCTTATGGTTCAGAGGTTCCTTTACACCATTTTCTCAGACAACAGGCAGATGATGATGTGATCTATGGATGCAATTGGTGTTTAAATTTTTCTTAGAGGTAAAGTGCTTTCAATTCTTAGTGGAAAGATCTGACTTTAGGGGAAAGATTGTTATAATCGCTTGTGGTTAATAGAGTACTTCCTACTCAAGGTTACAGTGTGAGGGGAAAGCTTGATTTACTTAGGAAAGCCAGTAAGTTTTGGATGTGATTTTGCCAAATAGTAATAATTTCAACAAGTGCCTTCTTAGAAAACACAGCATTTGGCTCCCATTGCAGCTTGGTGAGGTAGTTAGAGCAAGAATTATCATTCCAACTGAGACAACTGGGCTTCCCCAGGGAGGAAGTACTTTTCTCAGTGTCTCCTAGGTAGCATGTCACATAAGGATCCAAAATTACCTGTGCTAACTTTGAATGTTCTGCTTTTCTTTAAAACCCTATTATTCCTCAGCTAAAGTAGGCATGTCTGTGCACTCCGTCTTTACAACATAGCCATCACATAATCTAAATTCAACTTTAGTTTCTATTCCTTGATTTATCCTTTCCAAAATTAATTTATATGTTTATGAAGTAGCAAAATTAGCTTTGGCAAAAAAAGTACATTTGAGAAAAAATGTACAATCCACTAAGGAAATACTCTAATTTAGTACTATCTTTACATTAAGTGGTACTCCAGGTTCCTGGGATAGCTCTATTATAGAGAAAGCACCCACTGAAAGGTTGTTCTGTGGTGTGATGCAGGGAAAACACCATAAATCTATCTGGGTATTATGCCTGGAGAGAGAAATTAGGAGTCAATGCTAGATGATGTAGGAAGAGAAGCACGAAGGAAGTGAGGAATGGCAGTCGTCTATTGTGATATCTGTATTCAAAATAGTATTTAAACAATTAATAGCAATTTTGTGAATCAAAGAATTAAGTTGCATGCATTACCTTAAGCAAAAATGGCTACTAATGAGAACTGGGAAGATTAGTGGCAAAGAGGCCCGTTAGTGGTACAGGCTGCTTCTTGGGAAATAAATCACTCAAAATGACTTATTATGTAGCTCTAGTGTATAATATTAAGTAGAGGTTCTAAGACAGTATGGTCAGAAGTATCTGAGCAATTTGTCAAAATTTCAATTTATTGTGCCTTCCTCCCAGGGTTTCTGATTCAGTTGGTGGGACCCAGGGATCTGCATACTAATTTTCTGGGCTGTTCTGTTAGAAGTGGTCTAAAGACCATACTTCCAGAATTTCTAGTACCTAGAATAGTCAAATTCACAGGGACAGAAAGCAAAATGTGGTTGCCAAGGGCTGGAAGAGGAAGGAATGTGAAATTCATGTGTGTAAGGGGTGCAGAGTTTCAGTCTAGGAAGATGAAAAAGTTCTGAAAGTGGATGCTAGTAATGGGTGTATGACAATGTGAATATACTTAATGCTACTGAAATATATATATATGTATATATAACCAAAAATACTCCAAGAATTTCTCACACAACAGGAGGCCATTCTTTAAAAATGTTGGTGTGTGTTTGCTTTCATAATAAGTGTTGATAAAGAGAATAGATGCCTTCAATTTAAAATATCATAATTTGTGCTCAATTATGGATTAATATTGTATGATGGTCATCATTTCTTTATGACAGTGAAAATAATGGACTAAATAAAAAGGTTTATAATACTTCATTTTTGCTTCATTAAGAGAACATAGATTCATTATATATCCATAGTCTGACCAAATTAATGGGAATTTAGAGCTACTCAATCTGCATTCTAATGACTACCCTTCCAAATGCTTCTCTAAAATAGATTTATCCGACTTTGCCTTATCTTGTTTTTGTGACAAAAATATGTAGTGATACTCATGCTTTTTTCAGGACAGGGTGTGGGCCAATGTGGGGAAGAGCCTGAACTGCATTATTGCTATGGTGGACAAACTGATTGAAAGAGATGGTGGCAGTGAAGGCAGTGGCGGCAACAATGATGGAGAAAAGGAACCTTCATTAACAGATGCCATTCCCTCTCACCCAAGAGGTAAGAAATAATTTTTTTTCCCAATCATTTACTGAGTAAACAAAATGAGAAACTCGTGAAAAAAAAATGATATAGAAGAAGAGGAGTCAATAGTATCTTTGATGAGAGTGCTGATAGCATGCTTTTCCACTGCTCTGGCTTGGATGATGGAAGGCTATTTATCAAATTGCATCTCAGTTGTGTTTTCGGAACTGCTAGCAATGTTCTTTTTTTTTTCTTATCTTACCACATAAAAACCTTGAAAAAAGAACAGTGTTTTAAGGCTCTGACATAGTTTAACCTACCTTTACACATTCCTCCAAAATTTTATTAGAAAGATAAATAAGCATCTGCACTTAACTCTTAGAAACATAGGGGCATATCAAGGACACAGTATCTCACAGTGGTTTCTTAACAGAATGTAATCAGATAGGATGATTTTTGCATTTTATTCTGAGAAATATTTGTGTAAATTATCTCCAAAACATATGGGAAGATTTGATTATAAGGAATATGTTAGCATATTGCTCTAAAAAAATATATGACAAGTCTAGATTTTTGTGAAACCATGCACACATGTGTATACATGTGAGTGCATGTGTTTTTCTGTGGAGAGATAGGTGGGTAGGTAGGCAGATAGGAAGGCAGATACTTTCAAATGTATACCTTATTACAAGGTTGGCTAGAAAATACAAACAAAATTTTAACTACAGATGTGTCCCTGTAAATGGCTTTGAAATTTTCTTTTTGTTGATTTGATTAATGTTTGATTAATATTGACACAAAAACCAAGGCAAATGTCTACATCTCTTTACGGCAGTAGGAACTGCTGTTAGGGTTGAGTCAGACTTTTTTGCTGGGTACTTTAAGTGTTTGGAGAGAATAAGCAATACTACCCTACTCTCTTCTGCTGAAATCTGTTCTTTCTTTTACTTTAAAAAAAAAGAGTCATAAGAAAATACAAACATTTATAAAATTAGATTTATGTTTCCTCAATTTGTTTTCCTAATTTTTCATTACTCACATTTTTATCAGGAGTTTAATTATATAAAACATCAATCTTTCATCACTTGATTAACAGTAGAACCATTTCTAAATTATATTTGTAAGCTATGGCTTTCTAAAGTATTCTTGTTGTAGATGGTCCCTCTTCCTCTGTCATACATTCATATAGGCAAAACATTTATGCTAATGTTCTTTATGTTCACACTTACTTGATCTAACTGTATGTAGGGATTTTCTTTTTTAACAATACCAGTTTTTATTAGTTAATGAATCTTGTCTAGCTTCATAACTTTACATGAATCAAAATGAAAGCTTGTCATAGCTATGTCATGAAGAAATAGCATACTTCAATTTTCTTTAATTGAACAAATATTGATTATCAAGTATGGGCCAGACACTGCTGTCCTCTAGAAAATGAGGTAAGAAGAATTCATTTTAGTGACTATGTCCATTGATAGATTTTTTCAAGGCATATTATTTTTTAGCAGAAATAAGATAAGGGACACTGGATTTTGTTATATTTTTTGTTTAATGTTGCCAAAACTTCTCACTGAAGACAATAACATTCCAAAATATTTGAAATTATACAGTGTGTGTGTGTGTGTGTGTGTGTGTGTGTGTGTGTGTGTGTGTATCTTGTATTTCATCAGAAGACTGCATCTGGGCATTCAAAATGCATTTTAAAAGGTAAAATATTTGGCAGATAAATCAGCCGTAAGATTAGATGAATCATTTTTATTTGAATATGAGACATTGTGTACATATAGTCTAAAACCAAGTAGAAGTTGCTGCAGAAGTAGAATTCACAGCTAGATCAATGTTGTGGATGGTTAGAGTCAAACTACAACATATTGCCCTCTAATTTATTTTCTTATTTTATTATCTATGTTTATTTCACTCATCACCAATTCTTTCTTGTGTTAGAATTTTTTTAAGAGAAGTCACTATTTAAATGTGTGAAATATGTTACTTTTGTCTGAATATTTCCTCATAACCATTCTCCAGAACGCGTATTATAATGACTGTAAACGAATTCATCAAAATAGAAGCCATTATTTTAGATTTTTAAGTACTATCATAGTGCTGTAATTAACATATAAGCATCTTTGATTCTGTAAGTCTTTAACTAAATTTTATTTCCCCATAAGTTAGATTGTCAGAACTGGAATTATTTTGTAAGGAAGAGTTGCCCCCTCTCTCCTATGTATTTATTTATCCATTTTTTATATCAATGTGGACTCATGAATACTTATTTTATTTTTAACTTAAATTTTAATTATATTTGACACATAATAATTGTACATTTTTATGGGGTTCACCGTGATGTCTCAATGCATGTGTATGTGTGGGTGAACGGAAAGCTTCTCCTTTTGCCCTCTGAAAAGTTATTGAAAAATTAACTCATAAAAAGGCAGATTCATAAGAGAAAAGGAATATAAATTTATTGCTATCATGTGTAAAGGGAGAATCACACTGTGATTACCTAATATCTCAGTACAGATGCTTATATACCCTACATTTTAGGGGAAAGGGAGAGGAGAGGTAGTGTGGATGATTTTAGGAAGATAGTAAATAGTTTTTAGGATAATTTAATGGGCTTGAAGAACATACAGTTGTCTGTTGGGCCTGTTGGTTTGTGACAAAAATATGTCCAGGTTTGTTGACGACTTTTGTCTTCCTCCTGGGATATGGGTTCAGTTAGTAAAAAACCAAGGAGTGGATCACAGGTAATTGTTTTTTGGTGTTTTGCTTGTTTGTTTTTGAAGATCTGGAGTTTAGGCAGTTAAGGAAACTTCAGCCTGTGCTTTTGAAGAGGTAGAAGATTGAGAGACATGGGGCCGAGGCAGAGAAGAAACAACTCTTCTCCTTCATAGGTCTGCCCTGTCTTTATATGGATAGGGAAAAGTCTGTTCTACCATCTGTTGATCTCTAAGGGCCTGTAATTCAAAATATTCATTATATCAGGGAGCCATATTTTGGGGTAAAACTCCATGTGGTGCTTTATTCACATAATGACAACATCAGAGTAATTACCATATTCATCACTTTAAACGTTTATCATTCCTTGTGGTGACAACATTCAAAATCTTTTCTTCCTTGTTTGAATACTTATTTTATTATTTGGTTAAGAATCCAATACTAATATTATTTATTTTGGACTCAAGTTGTTCTCTCTTATTCAGATTGATTTCTGTGTCCTTCTGATGACATCCTCCCATATGTTGTTTACTCCCTTACTTTCTTATTTCCCTTACTCATTTTCTTACTTGTTTTACTCACTGACTTCCTCTTTGGCACCATAAGAAGCTCTAGGCTCATCTTATATTTTCCCTACCCCAGCTCCAGGTTCAGCCAATTTCTAAAGAAACCTGGTTTCATTTTATTGGAGAACAGCATTTAGAAATCAACATCTGGATGGATAGAAACATTTTCATGGTTCTCTATAACAAAAGACACTCTAACTAACAGGATCTAAAAGCAACCTTCTGATTACAATCTTTTCAGCCTTAAATATTTTCACTTATTTCCTGCCACTTTGGGTGAAAATATCATATTGTAATTTCTTGTTTCTGTGAAGTTTGACATTGTATAACATGTTACTATATTCCAAAATATTATTTTTGATAATAAAATGTATTTCTTCAATAGTCCCAAATTTATCCCAGCCCAAGCCATTTTGCTCCTTTCTTTTTTACAATTAATTAGTGAATTGATTAGGCAAGCAATTTGAGACATATAGTATTTATTACAATGTATGATATGATAAATACTGATAAGCATTTGTTGCAGCATCATTTGTTAGTGATGTTATTCTTCATGTTGTATTACTTCTGGTTTTTTGTTTATTAGATTCTGTATCTATTTTAAATCAAATTCTGGAATTTTGTTTTATTTCATAGGGTTTTGATTATTGTGATTTATGTTGGGATACATTTCTAAATTTGGAGTAAATCAATCCTATGACAGTTTTTCTTTTTCATCACACTCCTTTATTTTTACATTGTAGCTATAATTTGTGTTTGTTTTGCTGCTGTATACTTAACATGGCTAAACAGATGGTCATCTGGGTTGTGCTACTTTTATCCACTTTCTTATGTTGTTCTTTAACCTACAGCTATTTCTCTTTTCAAGTTGCAAATTTTCCTTTTAGTAATATTTTAAATCTGTAGTTTTGAAGGTTTTCTGTTTGTTTGAGAACCAAGGTTTTACAGTATATCTTTGGCTTGCTTTATAAATTTCTTTTTAGGGTAAATGCAGATAGTGCTGAGAGACATAAAACTTTCTGTGCTGTTCTGAAGAGAAATAATAGAATAACTATTCCAAAGTTCTACAGTTTATATATATTTATGTGGTTTCCTAATGAATGAAGATTGTCCTTTTATTTGTAGTACACTCAAATACCTTTCTAAGCATCTGCTGTCTGTATAGCACTACATGCCTTCAGTTTCATAAACTGCTGACTCAAAGATAAAATCAGTGAATATTAGAACCTTAGATTTTGACGTCATCTTAAAGATTATGTAATTAAACCTCCTAAAATATGTTAAGAAGCTTATCTACAATATCTCTGCCGGTTTTCAACTAGCCTATGAGGCACATCTTCAGTTATAGAAAACTCTTTTTATCTTCTAGAGCAACATACTCCAGACCTTGATCCTAATATGTTTTCTTTCATTGTACCCACTGGTCCAGATATAATCCTTTGCAATAAAAAACAAATTTACTTTTCTTTCTTTACATTAAGCCTAAGGTGTATCTGAAAGCAACCCTCATGTCCCTTTTGAATTGTCACCTTTTCAATCATTTTTCAAAGGAATAGCTTCAAGCATATCCAAGAGTTTGCATTTCTCTGAACATCTTCTAGTTTGTCTCAGCAGTCTGCAGAATTAAGCGCAGCGATACAAATACAGTTAATAGCTGCAGAGTAACCCAGGAGGACCACCTCCCTACTTTTAGGTACTATTCTAATATAATGATATCTAAGCTGGCATTCACTGTTTTGACACTCACATTTTACAACTAATTCTACTGATATCCATAAACCTTGCTAAATTTGACCTATCCTTCAGGCTTCTAAAGATTCAAGTAACATTTAAGCACCACTATATACTAGACATTATGAAATATTGGGGGCATGAGAAGATTAAAACAATCTATCCCAATTTTACTGAAGAGATGGATGTCTAAACCCATGACTGACTAGTATAAAATGCCTTTGAGTACACTCTAATAAATACCTGTTTCTTTCATCCTTCATATCTACTGACCTACTCAGGATGATTTTATTCACATTTTATATGCATTTTCTGTCCATTCCTAGAAGTAACAGATAAAAATGATTAGAAAACAGAGCTACATAGAGATTCTTAAGGCACATCACTAAAAGGAACAGTATGCATTCAAATACGCTGGTTAATCACTACCCTTTGGGGATGTGTGTTCAACCAGCTCTATGTTCACCCATTCATATCATTGCATGGCCTATATTTCTCCATCTTTCACAAGTATGTCATGAAATGCCCTGTAAAAGGCCAAATATCCTATGCCATTGAATTATTTTTCCTAATCTATCCAGCTGTAAATCCTGTCAAAGATAAAGTTCCTCTGAAATTATTTTCACTAATGAGGCCACATAGGCTTCGAGTCATCACTGCTTCTTTCAAAGGCAGTAAACCTCCATGTAGATCATCGAATTAGTCCACATATCATTGCTTAGAATTTGTTTCTAGTTTCTTGGTACTCATGTCCTTTTTTGCTTGAAAGTTTCCTTTTAACTTGTAAGGCACATTCCACATTTCCTCCTGGGATCTGATAATTCACTATATTTACCTTATATTTTACTTTATCTCTGTCTGCCTTCAGTTAACACAATCATCTGGGCCAGTTGCTGTGGCTCACACTTGTAATCCAAGCACTTTGGAAGCCCAGGTGGGTGGATCACTGGAAGCCAAGAGTTTGAGACCAACCTGGGCAGCATGGTGAGAGCCCATCTGTATACAAAAAGTAAACAAGCAAACAAACCGACAAACGCACAGCTGTCTGCTGGTAACTACTAGAGGTTTGCCAGTGATTTGTCACCAGTTATCAATGTCTTGCTGGTGCCAAAGATTTTTCATCCTAAAAGTGCACCCCAACCTTCAAATAGGAACACATATAAGGCTGTAGTGAATTGCTCCTCTTTCCCATCTTTTGTCTTTGGTTCCCTAGATTAGCTATCTATCTAATACACTTAAAATAATTAAAGACTGGGCCGGGCAGGGTGGCTCACGACTGTAATCCCAGCACTTTGGGAGGCTGAGGCAGGTGGATCACTTGAGATCAGGAGTTCAAGACCAGCCTGGCCAACATGGGGAAACCCCATCTCTATTAAAAATACAAAAATTAACTGAACATGGTAGCACGCGCCTGTAGTCCCAGCTACTCGGGAGGCTGAGGCTAGAGAATCACTTGAACCTGGGAGGTGGAGGTTGCAGTGAGCTGAGATTGTGCCATTGCACTCCAGGCTGGGTGACAGTGAGACTCTATCTCTAAAATAATAATAATAATAATAATTAAAGACTAGAACAACTCACAAATTAATGCAATTATATATAAAATAGTTCAGGCATTAAGCCTCATGGAAAGACACTAAATTTGTATTGGTTGGAAAAGAAAGAAGAAAATTCTTTCATTCATTCCATATTTGTTGAGTACTTACCCTGTTCCAGTCACTGTATCCAGGAACACGTTCAGTCATGGCCCTGTCCTTACAGTCTAGTACATGAGTAAGTTCTATTTGAAGGGATATACCTAGTGAGAGATCTTCCAAAGGCATCACTTACAAGATAAAAGACTTAGGAAAGGAAGTAAACATTTGGGAGGCATTAGCAGATAGATTAAACTGGATAAAATGTAAAGAGAAAGAAGAAGAAAAGATGAGCAAAATCTTTATTGGCCTTGAGGCATGAGGATTACTCTCAGATGAGGTGTCAGAAGTATCAAGGAATGAAAATCAAATGCAGTTTGGAGACCAAACGAGGTATCAAAGGAGGGGTAATAATCACATTAATAGCTGACACTTAGTACACTCACATTTATGTGACAAGTACTTTGATGAACTTTTACATTCTTTCCTCTCTTCCTTTTCACAACAAGCCTGTAGGGGAGTTTCTGGTTCTGTCCCCATTTCATAGATGAAGGGGTTAAGTAATTTGCCTAAGATCACAGAGCTAGTGGGCATCCAAGCAAGGATTCAAATTCAAGCACAGTGATCTCTATCTGAGATCCTCAGAATATCTGTTGGAAAAAGGAATGATTAATTTTTTTTAATTTTATTATTATTATACTCTAAGTTTTAGGGTACATGTGCACAACGTGGAGGTTAGTTACATATGTATACATGTGCCATGCTGGTGTGCTGCACCCATTAACTCATCATTTAGCATTAGGTATATCTCCTAATGCTATCCCTCCCCCCTCCCCCCACCCCACAACAGTCCCCAGAGTGTGATGTTCCCCTTCCTGTGTCCATGTGTTCTCATTGTTCAATTCCCACCTATGAGTGAGAACATGCGGTGTTTGGTTTTTTGTCCTTGTGATAGTTTACTGAGAATGATGATTTCCAGTTTCATCCATGTCCCTACAAAGGACATGAACTCATCATTTTTTATGGCTGCATAGTATCCCATGGTGTATATGTGCCACATTTTCTTAATCCAGTCTATCATTGTTGGACATTTGGGTTGGTTCCAAGTCTTTGCTATTGTGAATAGTGCCGCAATAAACATACGTGTGCATGTGTCTTTATAGCAGCATGATTTATAGTCCTTTGAGTATATACCCAGTAATGGGATGGCTGGGTCAAATGGTATTTCCAGTTCTAGATCCCTGAGGAATCGCCACTCTGACTTCCACAATGGTTGAACTAGTTTACAGTCCCACCAACAGTGTATAAGTGTTCCTATTTCTCCACATCCTCTCCAGCACCTGTTGTTTCCTGACTTTTTAATGATTGCCATTCTAACTGGTGTGAGATGATATCTCATTGTGGTTTTGATTTGCATTTCTCTAATGGCCAGTGATGGTGAGCATTTTTTCATGTGTTTTTTGGCTGCATAAATGTCTTCTTTTGAGAAGTGTCTGTTCATATCCTTTGCCCACTTTTTGATGGGGTTGTTTGTTTTTTTCTTGTAAATTTGTTTGAGTTCATTGTAGATTCTGGATATTAGCCCTTTGTCAGATGAGTAGGTTGCGAAAATTTTCTCCCATTTTGTAGGTTGCCTGTTCACTCTGATGGTAGTTTCTTTTGCTGTGCAGAAGCTCTTTAGTTTAATTAGATCCCATTTGTCAATTTTAGCTTTTGTTGCCATTGCTTTTGGTGTTTTAGACATGAAGTCCTTGCCCATGCCTATGTCCTGAATGGTAATGCCTAGGTTTTCTTCTAGGGTTTTTATGGTTTTAGGTCTAACGTTTAAGTCTTTAATCCATCTTGAATTGATTTTTGTATAAGGTGTAAGGAAGGGATCCAGTTTCAGCTTTCTACATATGGCTAGCCAGTTTTCCCAGCACCATTTATTAAATAGGGAATCCTTTCCCCATTGCTTGTTTTTCTCAGGTTTGTCAAAGATCAGATAGTTGTAGATATGCGGTGTTATTTCTGAGGGCTCTGTTCTGTTCCATTGATCTATATCTATGTTTTGGTACCAGTATCATGCTGTTTTGGTCACTGTAGCCTTGTAGTATAGTTTGAAGTCAGGTAGCATGATGCCTCCAGCTTTGTTCTTTTGGCTTAGGATTGACTTGACGATGCGAGCTCTTTTTTGGTTCCATATGAACTTTAAAGTAGTTTTTTCCAATTCTATGAAGAAACTCATTGGTATCTTGATGGGGATGGCATTGAATCTGTAAATTACCTTGGGCAGTATGGCCATTTTCACGATATTGATTCTTCCTGCCCATGAGTATGGAATGTTCTTCCATTTCTTTGTAAGGGATGATTAAATTTTAACAGCGGTTTTGTATATAGATTTACCTGCCTTTAGGTTTGTCCTTGATATCTTAATGAACTGTTTCTCAGATAGTCATAACTTATACTTCACTTGTTTGCCAAGCTTTCTCCCTCTTTTACAAGGTCCTAAATTCCCTTACCACCACCTGCCTCTTCAAGACACTTTCTCCCTTTTTTACAGGCCCTACATTTCTTTACCCCTACCTGCCACTTCAAGGCACTTTGACATCTCCTTCCACCTCACCCTGCCTCATCCTCCATGATCCAGTCATATTAAACTCTTCTGAGAACTCACCTGGTGCTTTTCATTCCTGAGCTTTCAAAGCTTTCCCCATGCCCAAACTTCACATCATCTGGGGTGCCTTCCCTGGTCATCCAGGCTAAGGCTGTGAGTGTGAGACCAATGTGGTCACACACGGCCTCTCACTCAGCAGAGCCCTGTGCTCTGAGATTAATGCTCTGAGTTGCCATCCTGAAATTCCAAATAACTTTATCTTTGCATTTGTGTTTTGTCAGTGAAGTCCAATAGGGTGATGAAGCCTGTACCCGGGCCTTGGAGGCTTGCCTCACTTGCAGTTCTGCAGGGTTCTCCAGTGCCTGCCCGACCTTCCATCTTCACGCCAGCCCAATGATCACTTCCCACCCCCACCTACCAACATGCCTGGGTGCCAGTGCCGAAGAGCCAGGGTGAGGCTGACTGCCTTTGAGGCTCTGTACTCACGTAGCCCCACATCCAAGGGAGTATGGCAAAAAAGAGTAAATAAAAAGCACCCTCCGGGCACGGTGGCTCACACCTGTAATCCCAGCACTTTGGGAGGCCAAGGTAGGTGGATCACAAGGTCAGGAGATCGAGACCATCCTGGCTAACACGGTGAAACCCCGTCTCTACTAAAAAATACTAAAAATTAGCCAGGCATGGTGGCAGGCACCTGTAGTCCCAGATACTCAGGAGGCTGAGGCAGGAGAATGGCGTGAACCTGGGCGGGGGAGCTAGCAGTGAGCGGAGATCGCACCACTGCACTCCAGCCTGGGCGACAGAGCAAGACTCTGTCTCAAACAAACAAACATTAAAAAAATAAACAAACAAACAAACAAAAAACACCCTGACAGGTCTGGAGCAACACCACTGAAGGAAAAAGGAAAAAATCTCATTTACTGCTTTTTGAATAGGTCCTCCTGTTTTTATTTTTTACTGGATTCTGTCATTTACGTTGTCACACTTTCTGCAAGGCTTGCAATGACAAGGGCCCATAGGCATCATATGAAGTAATATGAATGAATCAAGCGAAGTGGACAGAAGCCAGAGCAAAGTAGAGAGTATATGTTCCTCCAAAAGGGGGTCACTGCTCCAGCCCCAGCCAGTCATTTCCATGGAGAACATGGACCTAAAGTTGTCATCCCTTCTGATTTTTCAAATAAATCTGAATGTTTATATAAAATATCTCACTTTTTTTTAAGGTTAAAAATTGCTAAAATGTGATAAATTCCACATAAAATTTGTAGGCCATATAAGACTGGTCTATAGGCCACTATTTTGAAACCTTTGAATCTCTGATTTATTGCACATGCCATCTTAAATGTCATTTCCCCTGTTAGACTTGGCTCTGTAAGAAAATATGCCAAGTGTTTGTGATTTGTTCTTGAATCTCCAGAACCTAACATAATTCGTAGCAAATAATAGAGGCCCAATATTGTGGAATGAAGGCCTAGTCATATGGATCTACCATTGCTGTTGACACTTTTGAGGTTTTCTTGATATTAATAAGTGAATATTGTTCAACATTTATGCAAAAATACTAATATTCTCAGAATTTATATTCAACATTAGACAATTATTTCAGTGGTTTTAATAGTTATAACAAGTCTTTTATTTTATAAAATACAAACATACAACATACAAGTACCAAAGAATCTTTTTCACTAGAGGGCTTAAATATTAATATTTTGAAATTCATAAATTCCTACATATGAATATTGAGAATTTCATTGGAAAAAGATCAATGAATGAAGCTTTAAAAAGTTAATAGTTCTCCAGCTAAAACAACTTTTTTTTTTTTTTTTTTTTTTTTTTGAGACAGAGTTTCGCTCTTGTTGCCCAGGCTGGAATGCAATGGTGTGATCTCAGCTCACCACAACCTCCGTCCCCCAGGTTCAAGTGATTCTCCCACCTCAGCCTCCCAACCAGCTGGGATTACAGGCATGCGCCACTATGCCCAACTAATTTTTTGCATTTTTAGTAGAGATGGGGTTTCTCCATGTTGTTCAGGCTGATCTCGAACTCCCGACCTCAGGTGATCTGCCCGCCTTGGCCTCCCAACTAGAGTATACTTACAAATTTTTTTAAAACTTAAATAATCAAAATATGCCATGTAAAGTACATTTTTATTGTAAGCCTAGAATTTCAATAACATTTTTGAATTATGACATTTTAAAATATCTGTTCTTACCAGAAAACTAATGCTGTTTTCCTTAAAAATTGTACAATGAATTATGAAGTAACAGAGTAACATGGGACTCAGAGCCAGGATCTTGGCAAGTCCACAGTTTGGTACTTATTTGGCTTCATGGCCTTTGTCAAGCCATTTACATTCTCTGCGTCTCACATCCTGTTTTGGTAAAATAATGTACAAAGTTTTAAGGTCTCTTCCAGTTCCAAAGTTTTATGGTAATAAAAAGGATGCCACGTTTTTAAAGGTGATATTAATTTTTTTCAGTCATTCAACATATTTTAATTATCTACTATGTGCTAGGCACTGTTTTAGACCCTGAGGACTACAAAAATAAACAGAAAAGATAAAACACTGGCTCTCCTGAAGTTTATGCTCTAGTAGCAAAGAGACAATAAAAAGTAACACAAGAAATAGGGCCATTGCATGGTATAGTAATGGTGACAGAGGCTGTAGAAAAAAATATAGAGCAACGTAAAAGGGTTTTGATGTAATGTTGTAGGGTAGAGATTGCAGTTTAGTGGAGTAGGCGATGTAGGTCTCATTTAAAAGCTGATGCTTGAACTTGTCTCAAAAGACACAGGAGGTGAGACAGTGAGCCATGTGACTATCTAGGGAAAGGATATATTGGTCATAGAAAATAGCTATTACAGCAGCCTTGAAGCATAAATGTCCCTACCATATTCAGGAAACAACAAGGAAGCCAGTTTGGATCAAATAAGGATAATGATGGTAGGAGAGTAGAAGGTGACATTAAACAGGTAACTTAGGGGAAGGATCATGTAGAGGCTTTGTGTAAATGTTGTTTTTACTCTGAGAAAAATGGGGAGCAATTAGAGAGTTTTGAACAAGAGGATTAACCTGATTTGACTTAGATATTAACACCTAGGCTGTTGTGTTGAGATTAGACTATACATGAAGAGGGTAAAACCAGATATAGGCAGTTAGAACATGAATACAGTTGTCAAGGTGAGGCATGATGAGCTTGGACGAAGAAGAAGACAAGTGGAGGTGATGAAAAGTAGTGAGATTCTGTACCTATTTTTAGGGTAAGACATTTGAAATGTTAAATTCGACATGGAGATATCAAGTTTGCAGTTACATATAAGAATAGAGTTCAGGAGACATATTCAGGCTAAAGACATTAATTTGGAAATTGTTATTATGTAGATGGTACTTAAAGACACGAGACTGAATAATAACAGCAGGGATTGAGTGTACAGAGAAAGGGGAAATAACCTATAGATTATATATACTTGAGGACATTTCAGTGTTGATATGTCAGAAATAAGTGAAGGAACCAGCAACAAAGTTGGGCAAGAGACGGCCAGTGAGGTAGGAGGAATACAAAGAGAATATGCTATCCTGAAAGCCGGGGTTAGAAAATAGGTCAAATAAAATGAGGACTAAGAGATGGCTTTGGATTTAGCAGTACGGATGTCTTTGATGACGAGAGTAGCCTTACTAGAGTGGGTAGGAATTAAGTAGAGTGGGTTAAAAGAAAGAGGAAGTAAAGGAAGTAGAGACAACCTGTATAGACAACTCTTTTGAGAACTTTCATTGTGAAAGGAAATGGAGAAATAAAGTATAGGAGCTGTAAAGGGAATTAGGGTCAAAACAGTGATATTTGTTTCAAGATGAGGAGATAATAGCATGTTTGTTTTCTGACAAGAATGATCCAGTTAAAAAGGAAATATTGATAATGTGGGAGGAAGGGAGAGAATTGCTAGAGTGACACTCTTAAGTAGGTGAGAGAGGATGAGATCTGGTGTACCAACAGAGGAGATGGTCTGAGCTAGACAACAGTTCATCCTCAGAAATAGGACAGAAGGAAGAGCATAAAGAATCAATGCTGGTAGGAGGGCGAGTGCAAAGTATCATGTAGAAATTACTTTGTTTATTTGAATTGTTTTAACATAGAAGCTCATATTTATGGATTACTTGATATGTGGTAAAAAAAAATATTGACTGCGTTAACTCATTTAATTCTTACAACACTGTAGAATTAATTCTACAAAATTAAAGGATGAAGAAGTAGAGAGTTGTAGTGACCTGTGCACAGCCTGGGTTCTAACCCTGGTGGTCTGGCTCCAGAGCCTGCCCTCTTAGAGTCTATGATGCATTGCCTCTGCTCTCTCCAAGAAAAAAAAAAACCTTCTCCAATCTTATTCTCTACAAACATATTCACTAGCACCCTTTTAACAAAATGTTGAGTTGTTTCAGGCACAAACTTGTGATGCTATATGATAACTTCATGAAAATCAGTCCCTTAGGTATATCTTAAAGGCTCACTGTGGAATCATATGCAGAAATTAAGAATTCATAATTACATCGAAAAATTACTTAACTTTCTCATAAATATGGTGATGTTCACACCCACAGAGAAACCGAGATAGAGGAAAAGGGAGATGATAGCTCTCATCCAGGAACTTTAGGGCATGTAATATTTTTGTTTTTTTTTTTTTGGAAACAAAGTTTCACTCTTGTTGCCCAGGCTGGAGTGCAATGGTGCAATCTTGGCTCACTGCAACCTCCACCTCCCGGGTTCAAGCAATTCTCCTGCCTCAGCCTCCTGAGTAGCTGGGATTATAGGCATGCGCCACCATGCCCATCTAATTTTGTATTTTCAGTAGAGACGGGGTTTCTCCACATTGGTCAGGCTGGTCTCGAACTCCCACCCTCAGGTGATCCGCCTGCCTTGGCCTCCCAAAGTGCTGGGATTACAGGCATGAGCCACCACGCTCGGCTGTAGGGCATGTGATTATTGAATGAAATGGCCTAAGAAATGTACTGTTTACATTGTTTGGTTACTTGACTGCTTACTCAGCATTTATAAGTTAAATCTATGGACGTGAGGCCCTATTGTGTTTGCAGAATTTTGTTTTTAAACTGGTGCAACTACACATTTCATGCATATAGCAAAATTGCACTTGTATAAACTTATGCTCCAAAAAATTGATGTACTATATTCCATGGTCTTGAACATTACTGGGAAACTTCTATATTCACCTAGTTTACTTCACCTACATTCACCTAGTAAAAATGTTGCACCTCTTCACTTCTCTGATTGCCTGTACTCTGATAAGGATTCAGTCAACTCAGTATCCACTACCTGTCTTCTCAACCTTAGATGCTGGCCAATATTTAAATGACAGGAGCTCACTGATGTAGACATATTGATAATTTCAGGTTGCTCAAAGACCTATGACCTATGCAGCTTATTCTTAAATACCCAGCCTGTTTGAGGGCCAGAATCCTGAGATTACAGTTTATTTAAGGCCAAAAGGCAACAAAATAAGCCCAGTGAATGTGGGTGTGTGACTCCTCCAGTCAACACATAACCTGAATTTAAAACTTTTGTGCTACAACAAATACAAGGCTTGTTTGATTAATGGATTTGGTTCCTGGAAACTGTCTTAGCAGAATTTACTTTAGGCTTTCAATTTTGTGCTACGAAATAAGAAGTTTAACCAGGATATCAGTTGTTGCATTTCCTTTGCTATTTTCCTAAGAGCAAGACTGGAAAGTTTTATGACACTGTGTTCTCAGGCTGGCAGGGTTTAAACAAACAAGGTTCCCTGGACATGAGGGAAGGTTGCCTTTGTTCTTGTCATAGCCATTTGTCTTGGGTTGAGCAGTACAGTTATTTCTCATACATGTGGAAGGTGCTAAGATCAGTCATTTACCTTGGATCATAGTTCAGTGGACATTACACTGATTACATTTTAAGATACATGTTTGTTCTTTATGTGAATGTCCTTAGGGCCTTTGAGGCTGCCCTGAGATAGAGGCAAGGGAAAGTACATTCACATGCTACCTTCCTCTCAGGGTTAATATAAACCTTGTTTCTTCATTCACCCTGTCTGATACACATTGTTTCTGATGTGGCCTTGCTTCTTAGCTCTTGCCCTGTTCACATATCCTCTGCGCCGTCCTTTATCCCCACCCCTATCGACCTCCATTCCCTATCCCTACCATGGTGACTGCCTATACCTAGACTCCCATTGGTTTTATTCCATGGCTTCAGCTTAACATTTACTTCTGTTTTATTCCTGCCTTCTCCAAATCACTGAGTGATCTCAGTCATTTATTTCCTCTCTTCCAGTACCCCCTGTTTCTCCCTTTGGTCAGTTTATGCATCTATTTATTAGATTTGTCATTACAAAACCAAACACTCCTCTCAGTCTCTATTCCTACAAAGCCTCACTGTGGGTGTCTACTACCTGCAGTCCAGGCAGACTTCCCTGGGCACTTTCCACATGTGACTTCCTTTAAGTTTGCAGTAAATGCCACAGCCATGAGTGAACACAGTCTTCTCACCAGAGATGAACTCTCTTGCCTCTAAACTCTCTCTCTTCTAAAACTCGTTTGGTCACTGTCCCAACTTTTGTAGCTGTTATCATACCACCTTATACTGTAGGTATTCCTTTGTACTTCTTACCTTTCCTTCTCAATTTTAGCTCCTTGAAGGAGGGGGCATGAGTTAAAAATATTAGTATCACCCACAGCACCTCACATAGAAGACACTATCTTTGTCCAATGAATGAGTCCATTTCTCATGATGTCATGAAAAAGGAGGGGGGGAGCAATGATATAAGAAAGACACATTAGCATTTATTAAAAGAAGAAAAATAAAAATAGATTTCTCAATTCCTGTATCAGAGACAGGCAGTAGATTATAAAGACAGGAAGAGGGTCAGGAAGGCTTGGTTGGAGAAGGACATTCTGAGTGGCCTGGAAAACATTCGAAGCAGCCAAGTTTCCACAGGTGCTTTTCTTTTCCTGATTACTCTTCTATTGTCTGGAATTAGCCTAGTTTCTAGGCCCTGTGCCCCTAGGATATGTCCAGGTATTTAGAGGCCTCCTATGGGCAGATGTCTAGGGTCTATGACCAAAGTTGGCGACGTGTATTATGCCCATACAAAGGAATTTACCTATAAAGTGTCTGCAGAAGAAACCTTATTATTAGTTGATCCCTTCACATTATTAATGTTCACACTGCAAAATTGTGCCTGAAAGACAAGAACTTCACTCACAGAGGCACATAGGTACCCTTATTTGGGTTGATGTAAGGCATAGGCCCTTCAAAATCAACAAAAATTTTATAAGCAGGAAATAACAAGCCCCCAACCATGAACCGGTCACCATTTCTGTACTACCTGGGGTTCAGGCATAGATGAAAACCCCTACTGGCTGTAAGTTTGGTCTGTGTTCACTTCATGACCTTGGGAATTTTATTGCCCCCCTTAATGGCCATTCTAATTGCTTGGCTTCACAGTTCATCATCTTGTTACCTTAAGAGAATCCTAAGAGCTGGCTCATTTCTTCTGTTATCTCTTTGCATAAAGTTTAATGCATGTGCAATCTTTTTACTTTTCCTTTTTTCTGTGTCTGAAAGGTTGCGATAACGGAAATAACAATAGCTACAAGCTTTTGTGAAGTTAATTATTTTAAATGAGCAAAGAAGACCAAGCACCTGAGAAGAGAATGGCTCAGAAATTGTGAAGAAAGCATGATGCTCTGCTACAGTTGGTTGATATTTGGCTCTTTTATTTTTCTCCTGAGTAACATAAGAGTGATTGAGCTCAGAGGACATGAACATCCTGCACAGGAAATAGATGATGTGTGGAGGAGGTGAGGGGGGCACCCAGCAGCCGTTCTCTGAATCCTTCAGTGAGCTTCCCTTGAATATGCCGGAGAAGCAAGTAGAGGGCTGGAAAACAGAGGCTGTGCTTGGATGGCTCCCAACACACTTCACAAAGCTCAGGAAAAGCTCAGCTAAGCCACATGCATTTTATGTTTTCCCGAGGAAAGATTCTTGTTGGTCTCAGGGTTAAGGAGTCTCAGCAAGTTCTTATAGACACACTAAAACATTCACTTAGTGTTTCCCTCTGTCATGGAAAGGAGCCCAGGGAATAAAATCACACTTAGTGCCTGCGAGGCTAGTTGGCTCAGGGCAGAGATAGTGGGGCAGTGACTATATTGTGGGGCACCCTTAGCTCCCCAGCTTCACTAGGTTTATAAAAAAGGTATGTGTGTGTATGTGTGTGTGTGTGTGTGTGTGTGTGTGTGTGTGTGTATAAAAGTACGAAATCCTGAAATACACACATCCACTCTTCTGAGTTTAGTTTTTTCAAGTTTCAACTAAGATTGTGTGTATGTGTGTGTGCACACACGTATATATATGTGTATATACATACACACACACACACACATATATATATTTATATATGAATGAATACTACCTTCATCTTTATCAGGAGGACCAAATAAACACCATGTAAACTGTAAGGTATAGAGAGACATAAAGGTGAGGGGCAAGTGACAAGTCTGAAAACTGTCAAGAGCTGAAGCTTGGGTTTTTTTTAATTTTCCCCAAAACATATTTTAAAGCAAAAGACTAAAGCATTTATTTTTCCTTTGTGAGAATGATTTGGGATGTTCATTGGAGCAAAAAGGCCATTTATGAACTGACTTTGGCTTTGCTTTGGCCTGTCGTAGCCACTGTGTTTATTTCAGAACCTGAGATTTACACTGACTGCATATTAACAGAGAAGAAAACCTGGAGTCATTGGCATTGGAATTTTCCAGTACAATTTTCCATTATCTGCTCAACTTAAATTGTTTCTTTTCTAGAAAAAAAATGTATTTTTAGCTTTTTCACTTATGTTCCTCCATAGAAGGCTTACTACTATTTTAAAGACATATTACCTTGCTCACAAACTTGTAATTTTCTCATTCATAATTAATGCTTTCCGATATTGTCATTGTCCTGATATTTTAGCCATAAAAAGTATATATAATTATGCAAAATAGAGACACTGGAATATTGTTAGTATCAGAAGTATGTAACACTGTTCCTAGGTTTAGAATGTTGTGTGTTCCTTTTATCCTGGGTTTCCACTTCCAATCTAGTGAAACTGGAAACCAGACTTGTTTTGGTGTTGTTTTTTTTGTCATCTGATTGTAATTTATAATTAAGAATCAACTGGTTAAATAAGTGAAGATGGAAGTGAATAAAGCAACTATCCTTATGCTAATGAGACAATCTGCAAAGTTTTCTCCTTTAAATACTTTTTAGAGAAACAAATATTTAATTAGAATTGTCACTTAATGTCTTGCAAGAAAACAAATGTGGTCACTTAAGTTATTTTTTAAATTTTCTAACTAGAAAAATCATATAAAGTATTGACCAGTTGATTCAGTATAGTACCATGCAAGATGCTTAAACAATAAGTACATGCTGTTTGGGAACTATACAACTGCGTACAAAGTAAAAATCAGTTACTTGAATGCAGTAAGTGCAAAGTAGTTCTGCTTCAGCCTGATTAAGCAGCGCCACCTACTGCACAGAAGATGTATTTTATGTTTGGGAATTCTCTAGTAGAAACAAATCTCTACAGAGCTAAGCACAGAACAAAAGCAGTTTTCAGTCTGTTATCGTTTAAAATTTACATCTGGGTTAATTTATTGAAGTTTTTTCTAGTGTTTCCCTGTGTCTATTAGTCTACCCATTCATATTGAGAACAACAATTAAATAAAGGGAGAGAACAGGAGATAAAAATGCAAATATGAAAAAATAGGAATATAGGATATTCATTCTTGGTATCTATTGATGTATCTCTTATTATGAAAAAAAAGTTCAGTGTACCTCTATTTTCCCTTTTACACATGACAATGACATAAGAATCAACAGTTAACCAATGCTTGTTTAAATTGAACCATTGTTCACATTTTATTCTAGGCTGCCTATAAGTTTGTCCAATATTAAATGATCATGCATTAATAGGGCTCTGTTGCATTCCTCTTTCTTTATGCTTTTTATCCTCATAATAGCATGTACATCTACAATATTTTTAAAATAATTTCTAACATTCTAATGTATTTTACATTATGACATCACATAGGCATTTCATAGAGTATTACTAAGAATGTATCTTTTTATTATGTTGGGGCCATTAATTATCCTTTCAACCCTTTGGGTTTATTTCATCTAGTCTATTATACCACAACATAAAATAAATAAGTGACAGTAGACATGGTACGATAGTGATTGTGATTCTTTTTATTATTCTCTGTCACTCTTTCAAGGTCTTAACTGATTATTTACCACTCACATTACTCACAATGATGCTTGCACTTTTATGATGAGGAGATCATATCATTTCAGTTCCTGCTTTATAATTAATTTCGCAGCATGCACTCATTCATATCAAATCGTATTTGTCACCCATTAATTTATTTATATATTAATGGAATGTCACACGGTCAAGAATTTATGATAGTTAACATTTGCCAGGGCTTTGATCTCCAAATTAACTGAAACAGAACATAAATTGTTTCTATATCATACCAAAGTCATAATTATATAATTGATGCCTGTTAGAAATCTAGACATACAAATAGCACAAATGGTCTCAATTTTGCATCCTCATTTGAAGAACAGCTATTTGAATCCCAAATACTACCCAAAACTTGACTTACTTAAACTTGTCTATATCTTTAAAACTTTTTATATTTATTGTAACTTTTCTCATTCAATTAAAACTTATTGAATATTTACTATATGCTAGGCACTATGCTAGGTTCTAGTGATTCGGTGATTAAAAAATGAATTCCTTGCCCTCAGTGAGTTATCTTTCTTGCAGAGGAAAATGGTGAGTAGTGTGTGAGTAGTACTGGGACAGGAAGATACAGGCACAAAAGGAAGTCAGCTCAACCCAATCTTCATGGAATAGGGAAGTGTAGTAAGGGGGAAATGAAGGAAGACTTCCTGGAGAAGAGAAATCCTGAATTGAGTTTGCAGAAGAGATAAAGCATTTGTCAGGAAGATAAGTAGAAAAAGAGTGTTCCAGGAGAGGAGATAGGATTTTCAAAGACATTGAGATGAGAGAACAAGATAAGTTTAAGGAAATACATGAGGTTCAATTCACCTGAGACTCAAGACAGCAAATAAACTTCTGAAAGATGAGATTAGACAAATAGGCAAAGTTTAGATAATGGAGAATCTTTCATGAGTTTGAACTTTATTTATTTATGAATGCTTTAGTGTTTTTTTTTCAAAATATTTTAAGAAGTGAGGAGTGAGTGGTACAATCAGATACAAACTGATTATAAATGTTTCTGGCAACACTGTTGAGAAGGGAATTCAGTAGAGTGTGACTGGAGGAAGGGAGATGGGTTAGGGAGTAGTCCAGGAAGTAATCCAAGGGAGAGCAATAAACAACGATGGGCATGGACAAGGAGAAGATGCATATTGATGGACTGTTAAGAGTAGTAGAACTAATTTAATGACCAAGTTAATGTGAAAACTGCAAAAGAGGAAGTCCAGTAAAACTTCTGTTTCCAGTATGAGAAAGATTTGATGGCACCACTCACTAAGATACAGGTAGTGCACAGATTAGAGATGAGCAGAGAAGAGAGATCTGCTGCAAATATGTTAAATGCATCCACTTGGAGAGGTCTGATGGGTGGCTGCTTATGGACATTGTGGAGTTCAGGCGAGAGATTTAAATTAGAGATCTTCAGCTCTAATCTTTGTGAATCCTTAAGAATATGTCTAACTTACTGAAAAATTAAAAATAAGTTGGAAGTTGGTTCTGCATTATATTCCAAGACCTTCCTTCATCTATTGCACTGTTCTTACACCCCCTTCCCCCAGAGGACTGGTATGAACAGTTGTATCCCCTCATCCTTACCCTGAAGGACTGCATGGGAGAAGTGGTGAACCGAGCCAAGCAGTCCCTGACATTTGTGCTCCTTCAGGAACTTGCGTACAGCTTGCCCCAGTGTCTGATGCTGACGCTAAGAAGAGACATCGTCTTCAGCCAAGCAGTAGGTGCCTGTTGTTATTGTTAGTACAAAACAATGCCGGATTGTTAACATCCTATCCTTGATGATGAATAGAATTCTTATTGGGACAGCTTTATTTTTAAAAAGATCCTTAAAGTTTTGGTATCCCATGTTTCTTATTCACGATAAATATCAGCTGAATATCCTAAGCAAAGAGTTTATGAGACCTTAAGTATTTATTTCTGAAAAGAGATGGCCAAGTCTCTAACATGTAAATTCTGCTTCACAGGGCATGAAGTCCGTGAAGGAAGTGGTCATCATCTTTGTATTATGCTCTGGGATCTACATAAGTGTAAGGGAAGGGACTGTTGACTTGCACTCCAGGTGACAAGCTAGGACTTGGCAAAGGGGATCTGTTTGCAGTCGCTTATTTGTACAGCTCCCCCATGAATCCTGGGACAGGATTTCACAATTATCTCTTATTTTGTTTTTAAAATAAGTTTTCAGGGCAGTAAGGCTCGAATAGGAGGTTTGACAGGGCCACCTTCCTTGCCTACACCCAACATGATTCATAATGCCAAGGCCTGCCTCCATCACGGTGGGTGTGCTGGTGCCTTCCTTCTCCCCACCTGCCTCCATCCTCATGGCTGAGTTTTATAGACAGGACATATGGAGAGAAAGAAAAAGAAGACTTCTCTTTCTAAACATTCTAGGAAAAGGGAATATTTTAACCAAACTGTCGCTTTCCCCCACTATTTCATGAATGGTCCAGTGGCACATGAAGCTAACCAGGTGTCGGAAAATATGCTCTGCCTTATACATACATGTTTCGTCATTGTGTTCTTTTAATGACCCTGTGAAATGATTATTATCATCTCTATTTTACATGTACAAAAAATAGTAAGATTTGGAAGTGCTTAAGTGTTTATGAATTTACTGTTAGAAATGGTAGATATAAGATTTGAAGACCTATCAACCTTACTCCTGTCCATGTTCTTTTTCCCTTTGCACTTCTACCTTCCCCAAGACTTTTATACACAGCAATTCTAGATCAAAGACTGTCAACTTGTTTTACTATGCCTACCAAATAGTTGTAGTTTTGTTATACATACCTGATAATCGAATCTGTGATGCCTCAGAAGTCTTAAAATATTTCAAAATAAAACAAATACGTTTGCTAACTGCAGTAAATCTCATCAATATTTTTTTTTCAGCTTGCTGGATTGGTTTGTGGTTTTATCATCAAATTACAGACAAGTCTGTATGACCCAGGCTTCCTACAGCAGCTTCACACAGTGGGGTTGATAGTACAATATGAAGGACTGCTAAGTACATACAGTGAGTATTGCTTTAGTACAAGTTAAAATCACATTTCTATTCAGAAGGACATTTAATCCAGAAATTTTTCAAGAAAACATAAAAATAAGTAAACCTTTATTGTGCCAAGTATTACAAAAATAATATAACTTTCAGTTTTTTGCATTCACCTTGTAACTTACTTTTGCCTCCTATTATGCTTTGAAAATGGAATTATAGATTATTTCAGAGTGGACTCCTGAGCAGCCATCTGGCTTTTTTAATATAAAAGGCTCTGTGCCAACATAGTTGCAATGACTGGATTTTAAAGTCTCAACCCTGTAATGTCTAGAACTGCACTGTTCAATATAGTAGCCTTGTGTGACTTTTGGGTAATTGAAATGTGTCTAGTCCAAATCAATAAGTACTAGATATGCATACCAGATTTCAAAAACTAGTTTTAAAAGATATTTTATATTGATAATTAATAATTTCATATTAATTTACAATTGAAATGGTATTTTGGATATACTGGATTAAGTAAAATATATTATTAAAATTAATTCTACCTTTTTAATTTCACTCTTTTAAAAAATGACTACCAGGAAATTTAAAATTATATATGTGGCTCACATATTTCTGTTAGAGAGTGCTGATCTGGAATCTTAATGATCTCCCTGTCAGGCTTCATTTGTTAATGTATGGAGATGCAAAACTAGCATGAACCTGGGTCAGTGATGATAAATTCAGCTACCTCTGTTATTTCTAGACAACAGATATCAGTCCTGCCAGTAGAAAGAAAGGTGCACAAATCACAAAGGGGTTAAAACACTCTCTCCAGCCTCACAGCAAATGTCCACGTTCTTCCTTCCCTCAAAGGGTAGATTGACTTCTGAAGTCCATTGAAATGGTTCTCATTTCACTAAGAAACACCTTCAGCCTCTGAGGAAAAGTGTCTAGAGTAGGTTCACTGCATTCAGAAACTCATTCAATAAAATGCTAGAACAAATTCCAGCAGGGAGGCATAGTAGCTAGTGACATTTTCCTCAAATGTTTGTTTGTAGCTAAGTGCCTTTTCTATTGTTTAGGCGATGAAATTGGAATGCTAGAGGACATGGCCGTTGGCATTTCCGATTTAAAGAAAGTTGCATTTAAAATAATTGAAGCCAAATCCAATGATGTGTTGCCAGTTATAACAGGAAGACGGTAAGCAGTGCTCACTTCCTGAAGACCAGGCTTTGTTAGACATGTCGTGTTAACTCCTGTCAGAGGAGGCAAGGAGAATTCAGGTTTGATTTGGGAATATTTCTTTTGTTTTTTTTCTTTTCCTTTTTGGTAAGAAATACACATGGATGATATGATAGGGGACAATCTCAAAAAACTCCTGGAAGTCTCATGAATGTTTTAAATTGTAGTGAGTTGAGTATGGCAGTACTCTCCCACAAAATACAAGAAATTCAAAATAATAGCCTGCATGAGAACATTTTTCTCCTTATTACTATCTCATCCAAAGCTCTGGGTGTTTTTACTTTTGCGGGAGTTGTTCAGTTAATAGACTCATAATTCTTGAAATGACTTTAAATTAAATTCAGTTAAAAGCAGCAACATTTTAGAAAAGATATATTTCTGTGTCAGGGGAATATACCACCATTTTTCTTAATTATTTTTGACAATTCACTCTCAGACTATGAGATTTCCGAGAAGGGTTTTCAATAAATAGCTTCGAAGGTCAGTGTATGATAGGCAAAATGTCAGAAATAATTAAGAAAAATGATGGTGTGTAGAACAGACCTCCAATAGAAGAGGTACATCTTATAGTAAGTTGTCTCAATCAGAGGTCCAAACTATTCCGGTGTTAGTGCTTTTAATTGCTGCATGAGGATATTTAAAATTTGAAACATTCTGGGGTCATGTTCAAAACATATGAACATACAAAAGGGAGAGCCTTTTCATGCTAGAGAGAGATGCAAAACACACTGAGTATAAAGTTCAAAGTAAACTTGTTTTCCTGTTGATAGTAAACATATAATAATTATTTTAAATGTTATGAAGGATACCCAGAACCACATAGTTGACTGAAAGGTGACTTTCTTACTCACAAAAAAACCCACATCCTCAGAAACTAAATATTTACCTAGAATTAATGCTTAACTTGCCATTCATTTGGGAGAAAAAGAATAAAATTGCTCATACGCACACCTGAAAAACAGTACAATTCTATATTTCTCTCAAGTTTACTATCAAAAGTGAAACACTAACACTTATATCACAATGTTTAAGGGAAGCTTACCAGGCCATTTAGTGTAGGCAGAGTACAGCATGCTTTTTCTGAGGAAGTTCTTCAAACAGTATTGAAACTCAAAAGTGATCATGCAGGTAGGGGCATGGCTCCTAGAATGATGAAGTGAGCAGCTTAGCACACCCTCTCTCCAAAAGGAATATTACAACTGGAAATAACAATCCAAAACAACCATTTTAGGATAAACAGAATAAATTGGATGCACACCACAAATTCAGAAGTACTTATTTGTGAGAAACTAGTGAACATTGGGCAGCATCAGTAGAAGTCTGTGGCATTTTGCTGAGGGCTGCTCCCATCAACCCTGGCCCTGTGAACACAATTTCCTAGGGCAAGGCCATTAACACCAGCAGCTTCACTAACAGAGGGGGCTGACTTGACTTGGATTGGAGTAGGAAATAGCACAGTCCTGAAAGTTGTCAGAAATGGTGGTTTAGATTAACGAGTCTAACTTATAATCACATCGAAAAGAATAGGTATAAACTTAACAAAGTTAGTCTGAATGTTGTACACAGAAGACACAAAATATTGCTGAGAGAAATTAATAGGATCCACTAAATGGAGAGACAGCCTGTGTTCATGGATTAGAAGACTCAATATTGTTTAGTAATTCTCCATAATTGATCTATAGATTCATTGCAATCGCTATCTAAATCTCCGTAGTCTTTTTGCAGAAATTGGCAAGCCTAACCTAAAATTTATATGTAAATGCAAAGGACCCAGACATTTTGTAAAAGAAGAACAAAGTGGAAAAACTTACACTTTCTGACTTCACAAATTACTACAAAACTATAATAATCAAGACAATGTAGTATTAGCATAAGTATATAATGTAGATTAATAGAACAAAATTTACTGTCCAGAAATAAACTATTATCTTTAAAGTCAATTGATTTTAAACAAAGCTGCCAAGGTAATTCAATGGAGAATGGAGAATCTTTTCAAAAAATGATGCTGGGACAATTGGTTTATCTATATGGAAAGAGAAGAATTTACACATACACAAAAATTAGCTCACAATAGATTATAGATCTAAATGTAAGAGCTAAAACTGTGAAACTTCTAGAAGAAAACTCAGAAGGAAATATTTGTAAGTTGGGTTTAGGTAATGAGTTCTATATATATACATATATATACACACGTATATATACGTATATATGTATATATATATAGAACTCATATATACGTATATATGTATATATATGTGTATGTGTGTGTGTGTGTGTGTGTGTGTGTGTATATATACTTTAAGTTCTAGGCTACATGTGCACAATGTGCAGGTTTGTTACATGTGTATACATCTGCCATGTTGGTGTGCCGCACCCATAAACTCGTCATTTACATTAGGTATATCTCCTAATGCTATCCCTCTCCCTTCCCCCCACCCCACGACAGACTCCAATGTATGATGTACCCCATCCTGTGTCCAAGTGTTCTCATTGTTCAGTTCCCACCTATGAGTGAAAACATGCAGTGTTTGGTTTTCTGTCCTTGCAATAGTTTGCTCTGAATGATGGTTTCCACCTTCATCCATATCCCTACAAAGGACATGAACTCATCTTTTTTTATGGCTGCATAGTATTCCATGGTGTATATGTGACACATTTTCTAAATGCATTCTATCATTGATGGACATTTGGGTTGGTTCCAAGTCTTTGCTATTGTGAATAGTGCCGCAACAAACGTACATGTGCATATGCCTTTATAGCAGCATGTTTTATAATCCTTTGGGTACATACCCAGTAATGGGATGGCTGGGTCAAATGGTATTTCTAGTTCTAGATCCTTGAGGAATCGCCACACTGTCTTCCACAATGGTTGAACTAGTTTACAGTCCCACCAACAGTATAAAAGTGTTCCTATTTCCCCACATCCTCTCCAGCACCTGTTGTTTCCTGACATTTTAATGATCGCCATTCTAACTGGCTTGAGATGGTATCTCATTTTGGTTTTGATTTGCATTTCTCTGATGGCCAGTGATGATGAGCATATTTTCATGTGTCTGTTGGCTGCATAAATGTCTTCTTTTGAGAAGTGTCTGTTCATATCCTTTGCCCACTTTTTGATGGGGTTGTTTGATTTTTTTTCTTGTAAATTTGTTTAAGTTCTTGTAGATTCTGGATATTAACCCTTTGTCAGATAGATAGATTGTAAAAATTTTCTCCAATTCTGTAGGTTGCCTGTTCACTCTGATGGTGGTTTCTTTTGCTGTGCAGAAGCTCTTTAGTTTAATTAGATCCCATTTCTCAATTTTGGCTTTTGTTGCCATTGCTTTTGGTGTTTTAGTCATGAAGTCCTTGCCCATGCCTATGTCCTGAATGGTATTGCCTAGGTTTTCTTCTAGGGTTTTTATGGTTTTAGGTCTGACATTTAAGTCTTTAATCCATCTTGAATTAATTTTTGTATAAGGTGTAAGGAAGGGATCCAGTTTCAACTTTCTACATATGGCTAGCCAGTTTTCCCAGCACCATTTATTAAATAGGGAATCCTTTCCCCATTTCTTGTTTTTGTCAAGTTTTTCAAAGATCAGGTGGTTGTAGATGTGTGGTATTATTTCTGAAGGCCCTGTTCTGTTCCATTGGTCTATGTCTCTGTTTTGGTACCAGTACCATGCTGTTTTGGTTACTGTAGCCTTGTAGTATAGTTTGAAGTCAGATAGCATGATGCCTCCAGCTTTCTTCTTTTGGCTTAAGATTGTCTTGGCAATGCGTGCTCTTTTTTGGTTCCATATGAACTTTAAAGTAGTTTTTTCCAATTCTGTGAAGAAAGTCATTGGTAGCTTGATGGGGTTGGCATTGAATCTATAAATTACCTTGGGCAGTATGGCCATTTTCACGATATTGGTTCTTCCTATGCATGAGCGTGGAATGTTCTTCCATTTGTTTGTGTCCTCTTTTATTTCGTTGAGCAGTGGTTTGTAGTTCTCCTTGCAGAGGTCCTTCACATCCCTTGTAAGTTGGATTCCTAGTTATTTTATTCTCTTTGAAGCAACTGTGAATGGGAGTTCACTCATGATTTGGCTTTCTGTTTGTCTGTTATTGGTGTATAGTAAAGCTTGTTATTTTTGTACATTGATTTTGTATCCTGAGACTTTGCTGAAGTTGCCTATCAGCTTAAGGAAATTTTGGGCTTAGACGATGGGGTTTTCTAGATATACAATCATGTCATCTGCAAACAGGGACAATTTGACTTCCTCTTTTCCTAATTGAATACCCTTTATTTCCTTCTCCTGCCTGATTGCCCTAGCCAGAACTTCCAACACTATGTGTTGAATAGGAGTGGTGAGAGAGGGCATCCCTGTCTTGTGCCAGTTTTTGCCTATTCAGTATGATATTGGCTGTGGGTTTGTCATAGATAGATCTTATTATTTTGAGATACGTCCCATCGATACCTAATTTATTGAGAGTTTTTATCATGAAAGGCTGTTGAATTTTGTCAAAGGCCTTTTCTGCATCTATTGAGATAGTCGTGTGATTTTTGTCTTTGGTTCTGTTTATGTGATGGATTATGTTTATTGATTTGCATAGGTTGAAGCAGCCTTACATCCCAGGGATGAAGCCCACCTGATCATGGTGGATAAGCTTATTGATGTGCTGCTGGATTCGGTTTGCCAGTATTTTATTGAGGATTTTTGCATCAATGTTCATCAGAGATATTGGTCTAAAATTCTCTTTTTTTTGTTGTGTCTCTGCCAGGCTTTGGTATCAGGATGATGCTGGCCTCATAAAGTGAGTTAGGGAGGATTCGTTTTTTTTCTATTGATTGGAATGGTTTCAGAAGGAATGGTACCAGCTTCTCTTTGTACCTCTGATAGAATTTGGCTGTGAATCCATCTGGTCCTGGACTTTTTTGGTTGGTAGACTATTAATTATTGCCTCAATTTCAGAGCCTGTCATTGGTCTATTCAGGGATTCAACTTCTTCCTCGTTTAGTCTTGGGAGGGTATATGTGTCCAGGAATTTATCCATTTCTTCTAGATTTTCTAGTTTATTTGCATAGTGGTGTTTATAGTATTCTCTGATGATAGTTTGTATTTCTGTGAGATCAGTAGTGATATCCCCTTTATCATTTTTTGTTGCATCTATTTGTTTATTTTCTCTTTTCTTCTTTATTAGTTTCGCTACCGGTCTGTCAATATTGTTGATCTTTTCAAAAAACAGCTCCTGGATTCATTGCTTTTTTTGAACGGTTTTTTGTGTCTCTATCTCCTTCAGTTCTGCTCTGATCTTAGTTATTTCTTGCCTTCTGCTAGCTTTTGAATGTGTTTGCTCTTGCTTCTCAAGTTCTTTTAATTGTGATGTTAGGGTGTCAATTTTAGACCTTTCCTGCTTTCTCTTTTGGGCATTTGTTGCTATACATTTCCCTCTACACACTGCTTTAAATGTGTCCAGAGATTCTGGTATGTTGTATCTTTGTTCTCATTGGTTTCAAAGAACATCTTTATTTCTGCTTTCATTTCGTTATGTACCCAGTAGTCATTCAGGAGCAGGTTGTTCAGTTTCCACATAGTCAAGCAGTTTTGAGTGAGTTTCTTAATCCTGAGTTCTAGTTTGATTGCACTGTGATCTGAGAGACAGTTTGTTATAATTTCTGTTCTTTTACATTTGCCAAGGAGTGCTTTACCTCCAACTATGTGGTCAATTTTGGAATAAGTGTGATGTGGTGCTGAGAAGAATGTATATTCTGTTGATTTGGGGTGGAGAGTTCTGTAGATGTCTATTAGGTCTGCTTGGTGCAGAGCTGAGTTCAATTCCTGGATATCCTTGTTAACTTTCTGTCTCCTTGATCTGTCTAACGTTGAGAGTGAGGTGTTAAAGTCTCCCATTATTATTGTGTGGGTGTCTAAGTCTCTTTGTATTTCTCAAAGGACTTGCTTTATGAATCTGGGTGCTCCTGTATTGGGTGCATATATATTTAGGATACTTAGCTCTTCGTGTTGAATTGATCCCTTTACCATTATGTAATGGCTTTCTTTGTCTCTTCTGATCTTTGTTGGTTTAAAGTCTCTTTTATCAGAGACTAGGATTGCAACCCCTGCCTTTTTTTGTTTTCCATTTGCTTGGTAGATCTTCCTCCATCCCTTTATTTTGAGCCTATGTGTGTCTCTGCATGTGAGATGGGTCTCCTGAATACAGCACACTGATGGGTCTTGACTTTTTATCCAATTTGCCAGTCTGTGTCTTTTAATTGTAGCATTTAGCCCATTTACATTTAAGGTTAATATTGTTACATGTGAATTTGATCCTGTCATTATGATGTTAGCTGGTTATTTTGCTTGTTAGTTGATGCAGTTTCTTCCTAGCCTCAATGGTCTTTATAATTTGCACTGTTTTTGCAGGGGCTGCTACCAGTTGTTCCTTTCCACGTTTAGCGCTTCCTTGAGGAGCTCTTGTAAGGCAGGCCTGGTGGTGACAAAATCTCTCAGTATTTGCTTGTCTGTAAAAGATTTTATTTCTCCTCCACTTATGAAGCTTAGTTTGGCTGGATATGAAATTCTGGGTTGAAAATTCTTTTCTTTAAGAATGTTGAATATTGGCCCCCACTATCTTCTGGCTTGTAGAGTTTCTGCCAAGAGATCTGCTGTTAGTCTGATGGGCTTCCCTTTGTGGGTAACCCAATCTTTCTCTCTGACTGCCCTTAACATGTTTTCCTTCATTTCAACTTTGGTAAATCTGACAATTATGTGTCTTAGAGTTGCTCTTCTCGAGGAATATCTTTGTGGTGTTCTCTGTATTTCTTGAATTTGAATGTTGGCCTGCCTTGCTAGATTTGGGACGTTCTCCTGAATAATATCCTGCAGAGTGTTTTCCAACTTGGTTCCATTGTCCCTGTCACTTTCAGGTAAACCAATCAGATGTAGATTTGGTCTTTTCACATAGTCCCATATTTCTTGGAGGCTTTGTTGGTTTCTTTTTACTCTTTTTTCTCTAAATTTCTCTTCTCACTTCATTTCATTCATTTGATCTTCCATCACTGATACCCTTTCTTCCACTTGATTGAATCGGCTACTGAAGCTTGGGCATGCATCATGTAGTTCTTGTGCCGTGGTTTTCAGCTCCATCAGGTCATTTAAGGTCTTCTCTATACTGTTTATTCTAGTTAACCATTTGTCTAATCTTTTTTCGAGGTTTTTATCTTCTTTGTGATGGGTTTGAACCTTCTCCTTTAGCTTGGAGAAGTTATTACCGGTTTAGGTAATTAGTTCTTAGACATGACACAAAAATCAAGACCCATAAAAGAAGAAAATAGATAAATAGGACTTCATCAAAATTATGAACATTTAAGCATCAAAAGAACACCATTAAGTAAGTAAAAAGACAAGCCACAGATTAGAAGATAATATTTACAAATCCTATATTTGAAAAAGGACTCATATTCAGAATATGTAAATAAATGTTACAACTCAATAATAATGACACCAAAAACCTAATTTAAATATGGGCAAAAAGTTTGAATAGCCGTTTCACCAAATAGGATATATGAATGATTTATAAGTACAAGAAAACATATTCAACATAATTCCTCACTAGGAGAATAAATTTAAAATCACAGATACCATTTCCTTCACACTAGAATCATCAGATAAGAGCAAATGTTGGTGAGGATGTGGAAAACCTGGAACCCTTGTACATTGCTGGTGGAATTGTCACTTTGAAAACAGTTTGGCAGTCTTAAAAAGTTAAATATAAAATTACCATATGACTTTTAGACTTACCCCCAAGAGAAAATGAAACATATCTCCATACCACGGCTCAATCCTGCATGTTAATAGCAGCATTATTAATAATACGCCGAATCATGGAATAATCCAAGTGTCTATCAACTGATAAACGTGTTGACAAAAAGTGATATCGATACAATAGAATTCTATTCGCTAATTAAAAGGAACAAGCTACTGATACATGCCACAACATGGATGACTTCAAAAACATTATGCTAGGTGAAAAAGGCCAGATAGAAAAGATTACATACTGTATGAATCAATTCATAGGATATATGCAGAAAAATAAAATTCATTCATAGGAAACAGAGAGAAAATAGATGTGTGGCTTTCTGGGCTAGCGGTGGTAGTATAGCTGACTATAAACAGGCACAAGGAATCTTTTTAAGTTGATGGAAATGTACTAAACCTGGATTATTGTCATGATTGTATAATTCTATAAATTTGTTGAAATTATGAATTATATACTTAAAATGCATGAATTCATATCAATTTCTTAATAAAGCTGGTAAAATTATCACAAAGAAATTATATGTTTCACCTTCAGAACAAGTTTAAAGCATGAACTGACTCATTGATGCTTCTCATATTCCTGAAAAACTGTTAGCCAGGCTATTGTAAATGGCATTGAGAGCAATTAAACAAAGAAAAATAATGCGCTCACTCATCTGAAGGTAATGCTAACATCCCTGCTTGCTAAATTCATGATATTTACCAGGTCTCTATTTCATAGGTAGAAAGAAACAAGTCTCAGAGTCAGTGGTCCACACTGTTTATCAATAATGTTATACTAGGAGAAATTAAAAAGATTTTCACAAAGAGGCTCACTATTTGCCCTATGCTTATTTCCCCAGTGCATATCTTACAATGCCACCACTCTATATAGTTCTTGAAACACATGGATTTTCCCAACCTCTGGGCAAAGCTTTCTAAATTTCTATATTCAATTCACACTGTATCAGAAGATGACAGTTTTTAAAATATGTAAGTAGCTACTCTTATTAATCATATTGTACTAATCCTAACTTAAATTTTCAACATTAAAAAATAGGGGTAGTTTTTAATGGACATTTCCAGTGAAAAATGCTCCTGTGATATGTTAATGTTTCAAAATGACCAGAATTCCTGAAAGTTTCACTCTAAGCAATAAAACCATTACCTTTCCATCAGCGCATCATAAACAGAAACACTCATCAATAGTGATAACAAACAAGCCATACCAAAAAATCATATAAATTATTTGGTTTATTTAGCTTCACTGTATTGAAACAGCAGTCATTAAATTATTGCTCTTATTCTTAGGACTGATTGAGTTTTAAAAATAATTAAATAAAGAAAAAAAATTGAGGCTATCAATGCACATGACCCTGGGTGTACAAAAATGAACCGAACATTTTTTTCCTGAAGGAATTCAGAGTGAGGTAGAGAAATCACACACGTAAATGAATTCTTACAATTTTTATGTCAAGTAATTTAATAAGGAGATGAATGAATGAGGAATATAAGCATATAGCAACAGAAACCTAAATCAGTGCTATATTCCAACCCTTTTAATGTTTTCTTCCAATAAATCTAAAATAACACAAAACAAATAAGTAATGTTTCTTCCCTTTGTCCTCTGCCTTCTTTAGAGAACATTACGTGGTAGAGGTCAAGCTTCCAGCCAGAATGTTTGAGTCACTACCTCTACAGATTAAAGAAGGACAGTTGCTTCATGTGTATCCAGTACTTTTTAATGTTGGAATCAATGAACAGCAAACTCTGGCTGAAAGGTAAGCTTTGGTGTAAGAGTCGCACTTGAGATTTTTCTTTGTTCCTTTTAAGCATATGATGAGAAGTCCCATGTATCTGCATGTAGAACTAACATCAATTTATGAGTAACATTTTTCTTTTTATCAGTATCAAATTATTTGAGATAGAAGGTAAATTTTCATATTTAAGGAATCCTGGCCCAAGCCAAATTTAAATGTGGCAAAAATATTGAGGAAAATCTTGATGCCAATACTAAATAAAGCATTTGCATGGATTAACCTTCTTTGTTTCCAAATACCTATGTGTATATTAAATTTTAGAATTCATGTTTATACATATCTCAATATTGTAAACAGATAATAGCATCAAGTTTTTAAATCTAAAACAGAGTTTTTCTCTTTTTTGTGTTTATTTTAATGGTTATTATTTGGTAATGTTAGCTTTTTTAATAATGACTTGCTCAGTCAGCAAATGATTGTACTGTGATCCCATAAGTCAGTTAAAAAACACTTTTTTTTTGCTGGTCGTGGTGGCTTACGCCTGTAATCCCAGCACTTTGGGAGGCAGAGGAGGGTGGATCACCTGAGGTCAGGAGTTCAAGATCAGCCTGGCCAAGATGGTGAAACCTCGTCTCTACTAAAAATACAAAAATTAGCCAGGCGTGGTGGTGATCACCTGTAATCCCAGCTACTCAGGAGGCTAAGGCAGGAGAATTTTTTGAACTCGGGAGATGGAGGTTGTGTTGAGCTGAGATCACGCCACTGTACTCTAGCCTGGGCGGCAGAGCGAGACTCCATCTCAAAAAAAGAAATAAAAAAAAATCTCTTTTTTTTGAAAGACTTATTTTTACATCTTACATGGCTCACATATAGAGATTACAGAAAACGTAGATAACAGTTAAAGATCATAGAACAGGCCAGGGTCAGTGGCTCACACCTGTAAATCCTAGCACTTTGGGAGGCAGAGGCAGGTGGATCACCTGAGGTCAGGAGTTCAAGACCAGCCTGGCCAATATGACAAAACCCCAACTCTACTAAAAATACAAAAATTAGCTGGGCATAGTGGCGGGTGCCTGTAATCTCAGCTATTTGGGAGGCTGAAGCAGGAGAATCGCTTGAACTGGGGAGGCAGAGGTTGCGGTGAGCTGAGATTGCACCATTGCACTCTAGCCTGGGTGATACGAGCAAAACTCCGTCTCAAAAAACAAACAAAAAAAGATCATAGAACATACTTTTGAAATATTTTAGAGAAAGAAGTTAGCATCTTGGCTGTAGGGGCTGACTGGAGAAGTTCCTTCACAGGCAACAATTTTGGGAGTTTGATAGTCTTTGGTATTATAATATTTAACATGCTTTCTTATCTATAATTCACTCTCCAAGTGACCCCTGCCCCACAGGTAAGTTTAAAAGTACCTAGCATATTCCTTGCCTTGATAATTAAGTACTTTTGAAAGCTAGTTTCTAGGATTAGATTATATTCTATTTATCTATATATATATTTGTCTCAGCAAATTCAATGTTTGAGATGAATGATATTCCTGAGCATGAACTATACAACTTGGAGCAGGGGAACAGCATTCCAAATTGCCTCTTCTTCGGTACACTACAGTAGAGTGTTTTGAGTTGGAATTAATAAGGTCTGTGATTGTGATCTTGAGAGAGATATGAGACTCTTCCATTTACAGACTTTTCAAAGACTAGTCAGCATTATATTTTCAAGGCTTCTAAGATGGACTAATTTGCATCATTCATGTTATTGTGATTGTTTTAGTTGTCAGTCATTTTATTTAAGAAGTGTCCTTTCCTTCCTTCTCATCTCTCTTGCATACTAAGAATGCACTTTTTTCACACATGGAAGCTGTACAAGACACACAAGACTGGAAAAGGAGCAAAATGGCAAAGTAGGGAAACCCTGAGAGAAGCAGGAGGCCTGAATTTGAATAGCACTCTGACATCAACCGTTAATTTGAGCATATTGCTTACTCTCTGTTCTCTGAACCTCCTTTTTCTGATTCTGAATTTTGAGCTTTACCAGCAACATCTACATGTTAGATATGCTATGTAATCTAGAAGTAGTATTTCACTACTGTTTACTCAAATTCAAAATGTAGATGTTGTATATGACCATTCTTAGATAAATAAATACTATTAGTCTGCTTGGGCTGCTGTAACAAAATACTGTAGACTGGGTGGCTTAAACAACAGAAATTTGTTTCTCATAGTTCAGGAAGCTGGGAAGTCCAAGGTCAAGGTTTCAGCCAATTTGGTTTCCAGTGAGGGCTCTTTTTCTGGCTGTCAGACAACTGACCACATTCTCCCTATATGCTCACATAACCTCTTCTTTGTGCCTGTGGAAAGAAAGAGCCCACTCTCATAATCTCATTTAACTTTAATTACCCCTTAGAGGCACTGTCTCAAAATACTGCCATTGCCATTTCGGGCTTAGGGCTTCCACATATGAATTTTAGGACAACACAAACATTTATTCCATAACACTAATGTTACTCCAGCAAGGATGGTATTTTTTAAATACCAGTTGATTACAGTGTCTGAAAACATTAGAAGAATATATTTCAGATTCTATGGAAACTCCTCTAGATTTTTGGGGTCTGTATCCCTGTTCTCCAAGTTCAACTCAGTATAGATACTGAACACTGAGTTTATACCAAGCACTGCTCTGCCAAGCTATGGGACATAAGAGGAATACAGGGTAACAAGAAGCGTGGAATCGGCTTCCTATCCTGAAAGAAGGTGTAATCCAGTGAGGAAGACAAGTCAACAAACATTACATTACAGTTCGGCTCATGCAATAATTAAAGGTGTGGAAGGAACAGGAATAGTGCATAAAACAAAGCAATTCACAGAAGGGAGATGAATCCGTGGGGGAAGTATCATAGAGGAGATGAGCCAGGCTTTAAAGATGAATCAGAATTAATCAAGCTATCAAGAAAAGTAAGACATTCAAGTCAAGAGTGGATAGAATGTTAAAAGTCCCAAAGGCATTGAAATACTGCTGCTAAGGGAGGAGAGTGTAACTACATTCCCACAAGAGGTTTTGGAAGCCTTTGTGGAAACTTAGATGCTAAACTAGGGAGACTATAAGACATCGTCCTTTCAGGGAGGAGAGAAGCATTGAAGTTCAGTGAGTTGATATGATGAAATATAGGTTAGATTAATTTTTCCAACATTTCATTTATTGCATGGTGCAATGTATGGTATGTAGTTGATGTTAAATATTTTTTGTATAGATGAATTCATTTTTCATTGAGACTGAATGATCTGACAAGGGTCCAGAAAGTAAACTGGAAGTGAAAGAGACTAGGGGCATAGTTCTGTGGTATTTGGGAAGCTTTAGGAGAGTCTAAACTGGATATGATTAAATATCTTAATATATAATGACAGTGGTTGAGAAAAAAAAAAAAGGAAGGGTTACCAGAGATAGGAAAAGACTGAGGAATAGTGGGTAAGGTGAGGAAAAGAGGAAATCCAAAATGATGCCTAGATTTTGAACCTGAATTAATGCCAAAATATTGGGGACATGCTTAGCAATGGTTCAAAGGAGGAAGCAGTTTTAGTTTTGGGTTATGTTATATTTGAAGTGGAGTTGGAAAATGCACACTGAAATTTTCTATTCACACCTAGAAATAGAGATTTTGATGAAGATACATATTGGAAGCCATTTACATAGCATCCTTTTATAGGGAGACAAGTGGGTTTTACCTTTGAACTTGGGAAATTCTCAAAGATAACACAAGGTTAGTGACACACTGGTAGACAGGTTTGTCTTGACACCTCTTGGTGGAAGACTACGTGTACAGAACCATTTGACTTCATGGTATGAACGAAAAAAATGTCGGCAGAAATGATCTACTGTCTGGGAAATCTGGCTCTACGTGTGCCTACAGCAGTTGATAGTGTGGGCAAGACTGCGTGCAGCCCAGTGTCCAGTGCTGGTCTTCTGGTCCCCTCCCTCAGCTGCCACGAGTGAAATGGATGGTTGGATAGATAGTAAGAAAAGTTTTTTAAAACACATACAGGGATGTAGCCCTGCCACAGAGGTGTGGAGTAGGATAGGGAAGCTAATATCAATTATGTCCATGCACAGAGACTGTTGTTTTATACATGGTATTTTATCTAGGTTCACATTTGATGATTGTGAGGATATTTGAGGTGTTAGAAGCGATTAGTGAAATCAGGGCCAGTGGAGATTGGAATATGTTTGAAATCACCATTGTGAATTGTAGCTTGAAAAATGAGACAGACTCTTTCCTTAGGAAATTATTTTCTAATCTATTTAAAAAGGAAAGGTAAAATGTGTTACTTTTTGGTACCGTTTTATAACCCACAGCTGTTTTCTTTTTTCTGTTTGTAGGTTTGGAGATGTCTCTTTGCAAGAAAGTATTAATCAGGAAAACTTCGAACTTCTACAAGAATATTACAAGATATTTATGGAAAAGATGCCTCCTGATTGTAAGTATGTGAGTTAGAGAAGACAGCAATAATAGCTTCTTGATTATAAATCTTTAGAAGAGGTCAGACATAGAGGTCAGTGGACTACAGAAGCAGGGGTAGGGATGTGAGAGTGATTTTGAAATTATCTGATCCAAAAAGACTGATTGCCAAGGTAGCATGGCCAACACCTGCATCATTCTCTTGATTGCCTTCTTGAATGTGTCCTGCTGTTCATTCTGAGACATTAATTTCATTGCCACTGGAAAATGCCAAATAATAAAAATATGGACCTTATAATTAGACATTTTAATTAGTCTGATAAAAATTTTGTATAATTCTTAACCATATAAAAGACTTTACTAAAGATTTAAGTCTCCATTTATAAGCAACATCAGACATAGGACACACATGCAGGAGAACATCAGATATAATACCAGTTGAACAAAATAATATTAAGTCAATGTGAATGAGGGAACTAACTTATTAAATATATGTATTGCAATATTTTATGCAAAAAAAGTTAAGGCACCCAAGCCTTTAAAAATGTGTTTTACACATTTGGAATTTGTTTTGGAGGGGGCCATTGTCCAATTCTACATTTCTTTTCCCCATCGTATTAAGCACATAACATTTGAGCAGTCCAAAATCAGAGAGCTGGGAATGTATTTGGAATTCATCTATAAATAGTATAAATATGTTGAGATATTCACAATGATAAGAAGCTAAGTTTTAATAAAGTAGGAAAATTATAATATTTTAACCAAAAACTGTAATCAAAGTCTACTCGTTACTATTTGTTCTGTAATCATGAACAATTTGCTCACTGATTTATATTCTGTTATTTAGTGTGAAATAGCTCAGGTGGCAGAGTGTTTATGTCTTCATAACCTAATGAATGTGGTATCCAAATATTGCAGTGGCATATGCGTGCCCATGTGTGGATAGTTAAAAATGTCACTTGCAGATTTTATATTATGATTTATATTATTTTATGTCAAATCAAATATTATTTTTTGCCAAAATGAATTTAAGTACATGGAGATTCTTTGGTAGCAAGCATACTTTAAGTATTAAATTTGTTAATTACCTGAAAAGTTAATAATGTAAGTAAAACTATTTTTCTTTAGCAATTAATGAAAAAAAAGAGTTTATTATAACTTGAATGTTAATTATTTTTTAACAAATTACTTACAATTTGGAAAAAAAGTCTCAGAATTTTTGTCAGTAGCTTGATAAAAATTATATTTCTTATATTAATTCTTGAAAAGTATATGTGGTCCCCAGGCCAGCGGCATCAGCATCACCAGGAAACTTGTCAGCAATGCAAATTCGCAGGCCACACTGTGAATCTACTAAACTCTCCCCGAGTCTGTGTTTTAATAGGCCTTTGAGGTGGCTTCTGATTCATGCTAATGTTTGAGAACTAATAATATGCCATCCTTACTCAAAATATATATTACAAAGTAGATTGTTGGCAAAGTCTGTGAGGACTTTCAGTGCTATACTTAAAACAATCATATTGCTAAAGAAATATGTATAGGTACTGTTGAAATACAAAATAATTCTATATTCAAGTAACTTAAACTCTTCATAGGAATATAAGTTTAAAAAATTTTAGCCCGGGCAACATGGTGAAACCCCATCTCTACAGAAAATACAAAAATTAGCCGGGCATGGTGGTATGTGTCTGTGATCCCAGCTACTCAGGACGCTGAGGGGTGGGAGTATGGCTTGAGCCCGGGAGACAGAAGTTGCAGTGAGCCAAGATTGTGCCACTGCACTCCAGCCTGGGTGACATAGTGAGACTCTGTCTCAAAATAACAACAACAACAACATGTGATTCTATATATTGCCAATTAAATATAAACAAGTGTTTTTCAAAACATGTAAATATATTTCTCTCCTTGCAAACAAGACGGAATTTTGTATAAAACCAATTGCATTTCATTGCTTACACAGTTGTCTGAACATACTGGATTGTTTTCTGATATTTTGTTTCCTGTATTTTTGAGACAATTCTATTTGACACAGAATGGAGTTGTAGTATGGCTGTGGTTGTGCTCCATAACAAAAGTACAACTCCAATCTATACAATTATGATGACATATGGGTTTATTCCTCCTGTAGACATATTGCAAGCCAAAGAATGATTTGAGTTCTGCTCTATTTAAGGAAAAAACATAAAGCTTTTATAAGAGTATGAGTAGAGGTTAGGCCATTTGCTAAGAAGGAAAGAACTATCATGCTGGGTCATATCCATAATCCATATAATCTATTATTTTCCTTCTTTCATAGTGAAATCAAGGGATAATTTGTGTCAATGTTAAAGGATAGGTTAATTTCTTAAACATATTGCTGTCACTTTTTAATTCATTATGGATGTGCTGACTATTAATTTACTGATTCTCTTTTTAAATGATTTATGAAGTAAGTAGGTGAATTCTATTTTTGAAGTAAAAAAGTGTTTCTTCTCCAAAGATTTTCTTAACTTTAAGGGATATCCCTGACTTTTGTGATATCAGGACTTAATGATAAATTAATTTTAGCTTATATATTCACTCCCAGTCAAGTGGCTCTCATCTTTTTACTCTTCTCATATAGAAGCATTTGTGGACTAAATATTCTTCCCAAAATGTCTTCTAATTCTGTTATATTTGTAGCAATTTTAGTTTATAGTCACAATTCAGCAATCTACAAACATGGAATAGTTTTATTTCAGTAACTACTACCAGTTTTATGAAGCACTCATCAACCTTTAGTAGTTAGTAATTGCGGATAGGGGAATGGATAATTAAAGTTGCCAATCAACATGCCCTTTCAATATGTTTAGCATGGTCTAGTGCTTTTAGACTATTTAAAATCTCAGTTTCATTTGGAATAAATATTCAGCCAAGTTCAAATATTATTATCCTCCACCCCCATCTTCCTTGCAACTGTAGAAAGACCATTAGTGGAAGTCTTGGTAGGGCAGGGTGGCCTCTGTGTCTGTCTTTCTTTTGCGGAATTCATGGGATCTAGAACTGGGATGTGCCTGTTACAGAGAAAGAGGCCACATATAGGAATCCCAAAAGTTCCTTTCCTGTAAATCTTTGCTGAATCTTCATCTGCAGAAAGTACTATATTGTTGGTCCTCAGTATATGTGTGTTCTGTGTTGGCAGATTCAATCAACCCCAGATAAGAAATATTTGAAAAAAATAAAAATAAATATGCAATGACAAAAATATTATTAAAATGTTTAAAATATAGTATAACAGCTATTTACATAGAATTTATATTGCATGAAGTATTATAAGTAATCTAGAGGTAATTTAAAGTATAGGGGATGATGTGCTTAGGTTATTTATAAACACTGTGTCATTTTATATAAGAAAATTGAGCATCTGTGATTTTGGTATCTTCTGGGGTCTTGGATCCAATCCTCCTTGGGTACCAAGGGACAACTTGTATATCTGATGGACAAAGCTGTTGATGACTACTCTATCTGGGCACATGTATTGTGTGTTTCTCCCACCATATCTCCTTTGTATGTGATGCAGCTCTCAGACAGTTGTTCTGCTGACTGTAAGGCAAAAGAAATCTTCAGAAGTTACTTCCCCTCAGGCCCTACCTGTGATATTCACTGGCCCCTTTGATCAGCCTGGGAATTCCAGTGTGGCAGTTATTAGTGCTTCTCCTTTTTGTCACTCTAATCTTCCTGTTGGGCTTGATGATCTCAGACATCCTTCACATTCCCTTTTGTGCCTACCTAAAGCATTCAGACACTTACATTTTGTGTTAGAAATAAAATAAAATAGTACGTCTGTAAATCACTAACACAAACTGCTCCGTGTTTAAAGTCACCACTGCGTCTCATACATGATTCAGGGCTTCTGAAGGAAGTGGATAAAGCCCCTTCTGTCTTCCTCTTCCCTTTAAGGGAGGAGGGACCAACTGTCAAAGTATTACAGCTAAATTATCTGTCCTTTCTCTAATAATGCCCATATCTTTTGTGCTTTATCTGAAACAAAGAAGAAGGATATTGTCATACGGCTCTAATGAAATTGTACCATAATGATTCCTATGCTAGCACTATAAGAGTGAGCTTACTAGCACTGTGAGCTAAGAAAGAAAAACAGGGCTTTTTTTTAACCTGTTCTATACTTTTTATATAATATTTGACATTCCAGTGTTTTATATATAGTGTTTCATCAACTACATCAATAAGGATTGTATACAAAATACTTTTTAGAAAAAAAAATTTAGTACTGTAATGAGGGTATGTAGAATGTAGTGTGTGTGTCTGTGTGTGTGTATGTGTGTGTGTGTTTATGAACAATTTTTACTGTAAGCCTCACATTAAATTTAGCAGATATTGGTGGAGATAATATTATGTGCAAAAGTCTGTTCTATTCAGTTTGGATGATGAAAGATGAGTAAGATACGGTCTATGCCGTAGTATCTTTCAATTTAATGACTCAAGGTAATCAAAGAATAATCTATATTAAGGCTAAACCTCTTTCTGAAACAATAGTTGCTCTTTTGGAGTGTTGATTCCTTTTCTGAATAATTTAGTTTTGTTGTTGCTGTTGTTCAAAAAATTTTACTTCCTACCAATCACTTCTGACACTCGTTGTATAGTTATGCATTGTCACAGATTTTATTTTTGCGCCAGGAAAAATAAAACATCATCTGCATCACTTATATTTACAAAAATAAGGAAATAGGATAAGAACCCAATATTTTATAGATAACTAATTTCAAGGGAATTATTTGAATAGTTTTCTATGTAGTCCACATAGAAAACATACATTATAAAATGAGAACATTCATAAGTGTAAGGAAAGGAAGACTAAGGATCCCATAAAAAGTAGAAATTATTGGAGATTGAGTCAAATAAGCTAAATGAGAAGAGTACCATCCACGTGAAAATGAGCAAAAATATCTAATGTGTTGATGAAAGAAGAATGAGGATGAAAGTGAAGCTATTGGATTTGATGATTGTGACTCATTAACGGCATTTAATGGAGTCTTTAATAAAAAGCATGGACTGAAATCACATTACAGGCAATTAAGGAGAGAATGCATGTTGTATAATCAGAGAAACAGAGTGGTGAAAGCTACTCCCTTAGGAAACTTAACAGTGGATACAAATAGAGAAATTAAAACATAAGCTGAACGCAATAGAATCAAGTGAGAGAGTTTTTCTTGAGTCTTTATTTTTCCAAGGTGGTAAATTGATGCATGTTTAAAGACAGTTGGAAATTTCAGGGTGGAAGTTATGGACAAAGGATCTATACTTGATCCTGCTGAGAGGTTCTAGGGAGGTAACAATGATGAGGCCCCCTGAGACTAGCCAGAAAGCTAACCAGAAGTCGTAAGACAGAAGAGGACTAGGCCTCTCATATGATGTAGAGACTGTAAATGTAGTCCTCTGGCTTCCAGGGAAAAAGAAATATCTGCCATACCTGGTTGAGGCCCTTTAACACCTAAAGAATTCCAGCAAAAGGTCACAGAAAACTCTTGAAGACTGATACAAAGGTTTTGAAAGAATCCTAAATATAGTCTGGGGTTGGTCTTCAGACCTCTGCTGATACAACACTTTCTCTCACGTCTCTCACGCTCCTTTGGTTGCTTCAGAGGAAAAGCTTCAAAAAAAAAAAAAAAAAAAAAGACTTTGTTCACATCCACCTTGCCAACTAAAAATCTGATCAACCATGGTTCTCTCTGATGTCCTTTTAAATTCTTTTAGAATAATTATTAACATATAACCCTTAAATATAATTTGTAAAAGCTGTGAGTGCATGTCAAGGACTTAGGTTTAGTTTAAGTAAACTAACATTTAGTACATTTAGTTAATAGGGCACAATTTATTTATATTAAGGTTTTCTGTGTCCTTTGAACTTATATTTTTAGTTAGCATTTTCCATTTTTAGTATTTCAATTTATCTTAAATCTTATTTGAAATATAGAGTCATGGAGCAAAGATGGCTTAAGTCAAGGCACAATTAGAAAGAAAATTATAGAAACTAAAAATAATATGAAATTTATAAAAAGTAAAAGGACTCCATTGGGACAAGTAAACCTTCCCATGAGAGGATTTCACAGAAGCAGGTGAGAAGGAGGAGCTTTACTCTAAGTACAATGTGGAATATCTAAAATTGAATTTTATTAGGTCAAATAATGGAGCAACTCACCCCTAATATTGAATACTCTGTCCAAATAGCCATTGAATATGTACCAAATTTTTCCAACACAGGAGAGAACTCTCTAGTACATCAAGATAATTTTTCCAGAACAAGTATGTGATAATGCTTTTCTGAATGAGATTATTAGATTTTGTTTTCAAAATGAAAGAAAAGAACAAGGCTACTAAGATATACAGAATCATATTCCATGTATAATAAACTTACAAATTGATACACATGAGGGTAAAGCTGAGAATCAGAAAACTAGCTACAACATTTATAACACAGATTGTGCTCTGGAAGAAATCAACACTAGGTTTTGGCAGACTTCTTTAACAAACTGCACTGTTGGACTCTCCATACTGTTCCAAAGCCACAGACTGGAAAAGCAATCAGTATCACATGTTAACAGATACCTTGTACTAGAAAAGGATAATATCACTGAGAAACAGAGTATAAATTGATATATAGTTGGTACATATATCAGAGAGAAGAGTTGCACTACATTTTATCTAACGATGAGAATTGAAGCTACTTAAGTATTTCCTTCATAGTGGTGATTTGATGAGCTCTGTCACAGACCCAAAAATAACTGGTGGAATCAATACTGATGGCACCAGCTGTGTGTGCCACATAAATGGGCAATGCTCCATAAACAAAAAAGGGTACATCTGAATACCAATCCACTTTCTGCTTATTTACCTAAAATTGGAATCCATGTGTGTTGATACTCACAACATCCCAATGTGGTTCATTGCTGCCACAAATTTCAATGTGCTGCTTTCACTTTCTTAGAACATGGTATGGTTGATATTTCTCATTTCTGCTTTTCAGAGCCCTATATCCTTAGAAACTGTCACTTATCTTGAGCCTGGATTCCCAGACTTCACCCACAAAAGGCCTTCAAACAATCAGATTGCTTCTGATTAGCACAGAGACTTTCTGACACAAGTTAACTATTTCCTAGGTTCTACAGTAATTTCTAAGTTATTAATCATTTTTCTACATGGTAATACTCGGTTTCCTCTGAACAGTTCACATTTATATAAAGAGATCCTTTCTGAATGTTAAGAGAGCCTCTCCACATTACAGAACAGTGACTTCAGAGGTGGCCATTTTTTCTCTCAACTAAGCTTCAACAGTGACAAAAAGCACTGTTAAACTTTGCCCCTTCATCATCATGCTCTCCCTTCCAAATATCTCTTTTCTCTCTGCATCATTTTCACTGTCTGTAAACTTTGAGGAGGAGGTCAAGCTTATGCAAGAAGGGGTTAACCTGCAAACAAGATCAGGAAGAGAAGGACAATTGAGTTAGGATATTAGCCTAGGCTATACTGAGGTAAAATTAAAAAATAATGCCAAGTTCTCAATGGCAGTATTCAGATGGCCCCAGACAGGAAATCAAGAAGTCTAAGAATTTACAAATTAAGCAGGGTTTTTTGAAGTCAAGTCACCAAGAGTTTAGCAATACTGAGTTGCTACTAACCCAGGTGCTAAAAGGACAAAGGTAGTGTCACCAGAGGCCAAAAGCTGGGGCTGTATATCTGGATCTAGAGTGTTGTTGAGGACTGTCTAGCAAAACCTGGGACCGTGAATGGAAAAGTTTCCCAGTGGGAGCTGGAGCCATAGAAAAGATATAACCACTTCCAGGGGCCCTTAAGAAACAGAAAGGTGGGGAAGCAACAGGCTGGCTTCTATCTTCCTCCTGTCCTTGACTCTCACTCTGGCTCCTCATTGCCCAGAGTTAAGTGTAAGTTAGCCTGGAAGATGAGGTTTCCTGTGATAAAGAGCAGAATGGGAATGGTACATACAGAAATGAGGGCATATCAGCGATTGATCAGCATCATCGACCCCTGTGCTACTCAGTATCTTTCCTTGCTTTTTACACATACAGGAGTAATTTCAAACAAATCCATATCTGGCTGTGGGGCCAAGATTGTGTGTTTTAACAAGCCGTCCTGGTGATTCTGCCTGCACAGTAAGACCTGAGAACCACTTGCTTGGATTTATAAGATGTGATAGAGTTAGCTGTCAAATTTCAAATGTTGTTTTTGCACTGCATTGTACTCTGGACATGAGTGTAAAAGAAGATGAAATTTCCCAGAATGTTAAAACAGTTCATCTTTTATTTATCTATTGTTTTAACAAATATTAATAGTTGAATGACCTAAGCAAAACATATATGTAAAACAACTCAGCAGTAATGATGATTCTGTTCAATGTGAGATTACCTTGATTTATAATGTTAAGCTAAGTAAGTGTGTCTAAATTTCCTAAACATAAAGAATAGTCTGAATATTACAGGGCTTTATATGGTATTTTTAATAAACTTGAAGACATAAGGGTTTAAAGATATAAGAAGATACAAAGATTTTCTTAAATTAACACATGAATGTCATTCCAGCAGAAACTATACATTAGACTATTACATAGTAATAAACAAAATTTACTTCCAATAACTTTGCTTTATAAACATCTCAACTGTCATACCATGTAGACATCCAAATATATAAATGAAAAATCCAGTCAGTTATCCAAATATTTTGCATATTTTATTTAAAACATATGTATATTTGGAAACATCGAGATGGCTGAGGAATTCTTCATATATTGTTCATATTTGTCATTGCATAGACACATAAAAATGTGTAAAAGGGATTGGCAATAGAGAGGAATATTATGTTATACTGCAGGACAAGCTTAAGTTTGAAAATGTCCCAAAAAGAGTAGATAAAAGTGGAATTAAAATTTTTCACCACCCATTTTTTCACCTAAACTCATTCCAGTAAGTCTTTTATCCATGTAACTTCATGGAAACTTTCTGTCAAGAGCCTGCATTGTTAAACCCAATGCTGAGTCACTTGTCCTCATCTTCCTTGATCTAGTAACAAGTGTGACATAGTTATTTCTTACTTCTTTTGTCACTTGGCTTCCCAGCCACCACACTCTGTGATTTCTCCTGCTCTATGGCTGCTTCTTTTAAATCTCTATTCCTCATTATCTTTCCAACATCTAATGTTGGAGTGACCTAGGATTCAGTCCATGCATGTCTACTCTGCTCCCCAATTGAACACAGCCTAGTTGCTTTAAATACCTGCTATTAACTATCAATCTTCATATCTACATCTCCAGCCCATCTCTCTTCCTTAAACTCTTGTATCCTGCTTAACACCTTAATCTTTGTTCCTGATAAGCCCTTAAAAAAGCTGTTCTTCCTACAGTCTTCCCCATCTACGTTTATATTAATTTCAACCTTTTAGTTGCTTTGGGGAAAAAAATAGCCACCCTTGAGTCGCCTCTTTCACATCCCCTTTCCAGTCCATCAGAAAATCTTACTGGCTCCACTTCCAAAATATATGCCACCAGTTCTCACCACCTGCATTGCTACTACCCTGTGCAAAACCCTTCTTACCTCTTCTAGGTTTTGGCAACAGCTTCCTCCTAGCATCTTTGTTTCTTCTGTCACTTCTCATTTAGTCCATTCGTATCCACTACATCCAAAGTGACTGTTTTAAAATGAAAGTCTCATTATGTGTCTCCTAAAACTCTTCCAGTAACCCCCAATGTTGTTAGTTTTTTTTTTGTTGTTGTTGTTGTTGTTTGTTTGTTTTCAGAATAAAAACCTACATTTTTACGGTGGCCTCTAAGGCACCATACAGTCAACCCCTTTGATCCTTTGATCCTTCTCCACCGCTTTCTCTCACACTTACCTCACTCTGCTCCACACTGACTTCTGCCCCCCATGGACCTCTTGCTGTTTCTTGGGACTTTTTAGTGGCTCTATGCCCTATCTTAAATGCCTTCCCCCTTATAGGTCACTCACTCACCTCCTCTAAGTCTTTGCCTAAATGTCACTTTCTCAGTAAGGCCTTTCTTAAACACCCTCTTTAAAATTGCAATCTCTTGCCCGCTGGAACCCTTCTCTCTTAAAGTTTTTTATAGCCTCTATCATCATGTAGCATGCAATATGTCACTTACATTATTTGACAGGACTCCTTACCAGAATGTAAGCTCCAGGAGGACTAGCACGTTGTTTCTATTCCATTAACATTTGTTGAATGCATGGTATAAGTTGAGTCATTTAGTTGGTTGTTTTAAAGAGTCAAACAGCAGAAAGCTGTTGGATCTTGGAAATAGTTAATGAAGACTATGAAAAGTAACACTATTTCTGTTAATAATTGTTGAGTGATACAAGGATTAAATAGTGAAATTATTTTGGAATTCACATTATCACATTGAAGGTTCTGAGAAAGTCTGTAGGATGGCTGGCAAAGTTTTTCTGTAAAGAGCCAGAAAGTAAATAATTCTAGCATTGTGGGCCATATGATCTCATCACCACTCAACTTGGCTACTATAGGGCAAAATAAGCCATAGACAATATGCAAATCAGGCCAGGCATGGTGGCTCACACCTATAATCCCAGAATTTTGGGAGGCTGAGGTGGGTGGATCACCTGAGATCAGGAGTTTGAGACCAGCCTGGTCAACATGGTGAAAAACTCTCTCTACTAAAAAATACAAAAAATTAGCCAGGCATGGTTGCAGGCACCTCTAATCCCAGCTACTAAGGAGACTGAGGCAGGATAATTGCTTGAACCAGTAAGTGGGAGGTTGCAGTGAGCCAAGATCACGCCATTGCACTCCAGCCTGGGCAACAAGAGCGAAACTCCGTCTCAAAAAATAAAATAAAATAAAATAAAATAAAATAAAATAAAATAAAAATAACATAAAATAAACAAAAAATGGACATGGCTGACTTTTAATAAAAATGTATTTACAAAAATAAAAAAATGTATGACCTGGGGTTAGCCTGCAAGTCATAGTTTGCAAACCCTAATCTATAGTGTCTAAATTAATTTTATTTAAAATAGCTTTTTTTTCATTATGGGAACATACAAAATTATCTGAAACCCTCATTTGCATTTTTTAAATAAGTGTTCCCCAGGACATAGATTAAGAAATACTGACCTAGTCCAACCCCATCATTTGCTATGAGGGACTTGGGGTCATTCACATACCCTTTGGCAGGAGAAGAGAGACTAAATTCCATGTTCTCTGACTCCCAGTCAAATGTTCTTTTAATTTATATGCTGCTGCTCCACCATTGCTGTCTAATGGCTTCTGCAGTGAACTGAAGATTGTAGATTTTTAAATATTGGAATATTTCCAGCACCATACTTTTATTTTCTGTTCATATATTTTTACACACTTGTAATTACAAATTTATTTTAAACTCATTGCAGAAGAAACTCTGATGCACTAATCTTTTGAAGTTTTTAATGCTTTTTTAGCATTAAAAAGATTGAGAGAATTTTTTAACTACTATCTTTAGAAGCACTTCTGTTTCTTTTTAAAAGAAAAAGTGAGAAGAAATAATATCCAATTTTTATTTCCTCAATGCATGTTAAACTACATAGACTTTTAATGTCCCTTAAATTTTAGACACGATCAAATTATGAAATACAAACAGCAGTACAAGCAACAAAGGTAGACACACATATACATATACAAAGGTCCACCTGCTTGGCCAACCAGACATTGATCTATGTTACTATCTATGTTGCAATGTCTGTGTTATTTGGTGGTCTTCATAAATTACAGTCGTCAAATCTTTTAGCTAGCCTTATTCTGTTGTAGTATGTGTAGGTACAAACTTAGATTTTCTTGCCTTTCAATCATCCTTACATTTTCTTCATTATTTTCTCTTCACTGAGGCTCTCATCTTTTTTGAATGTCTAACTCTTGCATTCCAGATTCTACTACTCACGAAAGATTGGCTGGCCTCCCAGTATACCAGTCTAGTAAGTCTGCACATAATGGCATGAAATCAAAAGACATAAATTCAATTGAAAGCTCACTTAGGTGAGTCATTTAGTGTTTTCAATGCCTGCATTTCATTGTCAGCCAAATGAGAATAATTACTTTGTATACACCTTGTACTTCAAAGTAAATTCTACCATTATCTCACCAGGGAAAAGAAGTTAATATTAAAATTTCCACTGTCAATTTCTGTGACTAAAAAGTGTCACATGTACTTATGAATATTAGAGAGATGGTTAAGACGATAATTGTGGTACACTGAGCTTTTCAACAGTTATATTTCTGCTGTGTACAAACAACAGAAACAAACAACAATCTAGTTAAATTTGATCGTGAAGCTTTTTCAATTGTTTGAACCAAATTTCATCCCTATCCAATAGCCTCTCTCCTTCTCTGTCATTTCTATAGTCTTTGCAATCTATGTTGACTTATCTTAATTTTTTCGTGAAATCACTGATTCTCTGATAATCTTTCAAACAAAGCATACTTTTTTCTTTCTGGAATGCTCCTATAGGTGAGCTCCTGAAATCATCATTAGGATAAGTTCTCTGGTCTGACACTGCAAAGTAAGATGGATACTGAAAATATTGAGACTCATCATCCCTTTTGGAAATAAATATCTGAATTTAACTTCTTGTTAACAAGAAGTTGTTAGTATGATGTCCAATCAACAGAAAAACGATTAAAGGTGACTACGTTAGTTCTAACCTTCAATGAAACATCAAATTAAAGACAATTAACAAATTCTTATTTCACTTTTTAGATCCACTTTTCCAACTCTGTAATTCACTCAGCTATTTGGCATAGCACTCTTCCAAACATTCACTCTTTATTTACCATTCTCCTCCTCCCTGAACCACAACTGCAACGTCTTTTGTTTCCAGTCCACTTTTTCTTCAGCCTTTATTTTATCATTCTCCCAATTCTGCATCACAGAATGTCAGATAGAGTGAAACTCTCCTTAGAGGCTAAGTAAGGGTGAGAAATTGAAGTCTCAAGGATAAAATTATCTTTATCAAGTGGGTCGGAAAATAACAGTGTGAGCACATTAATAGATTAATATGTTTTGTTGCCATTGATAAACTGTAAATATATGAGTGTCCCAGATTACCAAATCAGAGACCACATCAAGTCAAAAAAGGGAGCCATATGAATGGAATAAATTATAGGTTTCATATTCTTATTACCTCTTTCCTCATTTTGGAGCCTTCCAACACAGCTTTATTTTCATCATCTTCCTGTATTTTACCTCATTTATACCTAATACCTCAGAAATTATTAATTTAACTTATTCTATATAGTAAGAAAGATTCAAGACCTCATTCTTCCTTGCCTCCAGGAGCCTGAAGAGGTAGGCCACATACTGTGACTATTGGAAAAAGCCCCAATCTTCTCAACCATCTCCCTTTTTCTCTGACTTTCTTACAGTTTGTGATTTAATTCCTTCCACATTATAGGCAGCAGGAGAGGCATGGAAAAGGTGAGCCCTTGGTTTTTGGAGAAGGGCTGGTTATGTGTCTGCCTCCCTGGGCTGTCATCTGACCTTGGTGTATTTCACTAGCAGTCTGGCTCTTGCACGGGCAGGGAGGTAAGACACTGAAATCACCTCAAAAGCTGTGTCCCTTCTCTGCCTAAATTTTGAGAAATCCATTCTTAGTCTGTTTTTCAGACTTCTGTGTGGAGAATGCACTCTCAAGGAGCCATTTATTGCTAGGGCTATCATTGGGGTAAAATGCAGGGATGAGGGAGTTTGACTAGGTGAAACAAAGGAGGCCATTAAACTGCCTTCAGTGCCAGCACCTAGGCCACTTGAGTATGGGCAAAAGTAGTTGTTCACCCAGTTTAACTTGGCTCACAAGAAGACTGAACTGGGGATTTGTGTAAAGCCCTTCTCATACTCCTGTTTCCTTTCCCACTCTGCTCTATCGTCTGTGCTTGAACTATCTTAGGCATCTTGAGGAGACTGGAGTTTAGAGTTGGAGAGCCATTTAACAAATCATCTTTAGATTTTTTGACATGACTTTAAATTGTTTGGAAATTCTGAAATCAAATTATGAATGCTGTCTTTAAAAAAATATAAACAGGAAAAAAATATGTTATCGTCGTATTCTTCTCCCTGAACACCATATTCCATGGTCTCCAATGTATAATGTTGATTGAGGAAATTTTGAAGAATTTTTAATATATTGCTTTGGATATAATTTAAAAATTACTTTTAAAGTTTGTTTTTTTCCTTTTGCTATGGGTGATGCAACCTTGAAATTTGTTTAAGACAAGGCACTGAAAGTGTGTATGTCAAAAATATTCAACGCAGACCAGGATGGGATCTTGACATTTGATTTTTTTGTATTGCCTTCTTCATAAATTGAAAATTGGAAATGCAATTTAAATAAAGCTGGTTTTGGTGGAGTTTTGTCTGTTCTTATTTTTCAAGATTTTACAGTATCTAAAACAACATAATTTTCAGTTTTAAGATATCTCAATGGCTTTTACCTAATTGCATTTGTCTGCTTGCTAGTACAGTTAACTATAATTATTTTAGAATTAATTGTAGAAGAGACTTGATGTTACAGACTATAGTACTCACCAGAGTAGGCAGTGAAAGCAGTGTTCATCATGTTAACTTTTTCATACTTAGAAGTACAAGCTCTTTAAACTGTTTTTATTGTAGCTGTTCTGTTCTGGTTGCTTATTGCCAGATAACAAGCTACCTCAAGTTTACTGTTATAAAATCAGAATCATTTTGTTTATGCTCACAGATTCTGTGGGTTAGGTATCAGAAAGGGAAACTGGGGATGGTTTCTCTCTGCTCCATGATGTCCATGACCTTCAGATGAAAGGAAGAATACCTGGGGGCTGAGAACTGGAGGCATCTGGAGGTTTCTGTACTCACATTCTGGCACCTGGGATAACCTCACTCAAAGGCTGGGCTCAGCTGTGACTGTTGACTTAAGCACCTAAACAAGACCTTCCATGTGGCTTGGGCTTCTTCCAGCATAATGGCTGGGTTCTTATAGGGAGCATCTCAAAATGAGGAATACAGTCGGCAAGTTCCAAGAGAATTATCAGGCAGGAGAGGCATAATCAATTCAGACCTGGCCTCAGAAGCCACAGATCATTACTTCTGTCATACTTCATTAGTCAAAAGATAGTCAGAAGCCCACCCAGATTCAACCTGAGGAGACATACATTCCACGTCTTTCAATAAAAAGTGTCGAAGAATGTAGAACTATGTTTTAAACCCATCACTGCAGGTGTGATAGATTTGCTGCCCTCCAGAAATACTCTGACTTGTCCTTTCCTCATTCTAAATCAACAGTACACATTTGTACTGTGGCTGGTCAATGTTGAATATACATATATAACAATTTGCTTACCTTAGAATGCTTTTGATTGCAAATGACAAAAACTCTTAATTCAAACTAGCTTAAACAATAAAGAAAACTTGCTGATAAACCTCACTGAAAATTCTAGCAGTAAGGTAGGTTTCAAGAGAGGGTTGGTTCAGTGACTCAGCAGTATAAAACAATATCTCAGGATGGGCACGGTGGCTCATGCCTGTAATCCCAGCACTTTGGGAGGCCTAGGCGGGTGGATCACCTGAGGTCAGGAGTTTGAGACCAGCCCAGCCAACATGGCGAAACCCGCATTTCTATAAAAATACAAAAATTAGCCAGGCATGATGGCGGGTGCCTGTAATCCCAGCTACTTGGGAGGCTGAGGCGGGAGAACCCCTTGAACCAGGGAGGCAGAGGTTGCAGTGAGCCGAGGTCACACCACTGCACTCCAGCCTGGGTGATAAAGTAAGACTCTGTCTCAAAAAACAAAAGCAAACAAAAAACAATATCTCCTTTGTATTTTATCATTAGGCTGCTCTTATCTCTTATGTTAATTTTATCCTATGTCTGGTCTTGTGGCTAAAAGATGGCTGTTATGAGCTAACCCCACACTCAACCAAAGGGCTAAGAAGAGGTTCCTTTCCTCTTCAGGAGCTTCACTCAGCTGGAACAGCACAGGCCACTTGCATATCCTTAAAACAGTTGCTAAGATGAGAATTTAGTGCCAACTGGTTTAGATCATGTCTATTCGTGAACTAGTCTTGATTTCAAGGGGTATGGATCACACAAATGGACGTCAGAGTGGGAGTGTGGTGCATCCCATGGCAATTTTGTATCTGCCACTTAGTGTGGGAAGTGAGTAGATTAGGGACTGGGAAGGCAGCCATAATTTCTGATTCATCTTGGAACAGTTTCTGGCCACACAGTTATTTGGCCATAAGAGAATGAAACTATTTGACATCATTAGCATCACAGTTCAGTGAGCTAAAAGGCCACGGTTCCATTCCTGTTTACTTATTAATACCCTGCCTGTGATTCAGGTCGTCAAAGTCAGAGCTCTTCTTGTTGAAGAAACCTATTTGACCTAACAAGGAGGATATAGGCCCTAAAACCTGACTCTCAACTTGATTGTTCTGTTCCATTGGGGAGGTACGAGAATAGTCATGGGGTTTGTGAATGTTTGTGACTGGGGTGTGTGACTGCACGTGTGTGAGGAGACTGTTTCTTACTTTGGATACATTCTGACTTTTACCTGAGAAAGTAGGCTTCCCCTCTGAGGCTGTGAACTCTTTTTTAAGTGCTACTAATATCTTCTGTTTTTCAGAGGTGACACAGAATTTAATAATGTAGCCTTTTCTGCCAAGAGTTTTATTCATTGTTTTCCATTACTGGTCAATGACGCATGACCGGATTCTTGCCCTTATTTTGCAGTTGAGGAAATAGGGACAGAGGGTTAAGCAATTTGCCTAAGACTACACGTCAAAGCAGCAGTAGAATTGGCATTAGAAATCACTTTCCTGGAATCTTGGCTCAGTGCTGTTTTTGAAAAGCAATTATAAAAGTTTCAAACAAAAAAGAACAAATCATACATAGCACACATTTGGGAACCCATTGCTCAGCTTTGGAATTTTCGTAAGAAACAAATATTTACAGATAGGGTAAAAGCTCCCTTTGTACCCCTCCAGGTTACCACCCTTAATCCTCCCCTCCTATGAGAACATCAATATCCTGAATTTGATGTTTTGCATCCTCATACACATTTTACTCTATATTTATGTATCCATAAAAATATGGTACAGTTTTGCACATTTGACTATATTATTGCTGTTGTTTTGTATGAATCTTTCTATAATTTGTGCTTTTTTGCTCAATATTGTTTTTGTGATATATCCATGTTGACACATATGGCATTTGTGTATCCTTTTTACTTATATTACTTTGCATTAATATATTGGTTTATTCTTACTCTTTATGAACATATTAAAGCTTTTTTGCTATTTAAAATTATAAACAATAATGCAATAAACATTCTTGTAACTTTTACCTCTGAATACTTTCTTAAACTCCATTTGAAAAAAAAAAGAATACTATTATGGAGATATGCATAGAGACTCAGCTGCCCTGTCTAAATTTTGTGTTAGAATAATGCAGGACTGAGTAGCAAAAGCAAGACTCTTTGGCTATATTTACATTTGAGGAGACACAGTCTAAGCCTAAAACCAATTCACGTTCTGTGTACACCACAATTTTCAGTTGATACATCAGGATCTATCATTACATCTTGAAACCTCACCTATTAACAAACTGGCTATTATTAATGATACTGCTTTCCTGAACCAGACCTGAATTTCTGTGGTCTGCAGAATTTTTATTGGGTTGAAAAAAAAAAAAATGGCAGCAACCCAAGTATTGGGTTGATAGAGGTGTGCTCTGAATAAAGCAAGTTTTGTCACTATAGAAATAGAAATAGTGGCCTAAAAATGTTAAAAAAAAAATCAAAATTACTTTTCTTGTAAGAAGCACACCATGGGAGAGGAAATGAAATTTCCATGAGACATCATGCCTGTGTATTCTAACACACTCTCTTTATGAGGTGGGAATGGGGAAAGGATGGCCAGGTGCTTGATTTACATTTAGGATTCTTATAGTCTGTTTAAAATGGCTTATTAAAACATTTCCATGTCTATAATGAAACAAAATTATTTTGATAAATCATGCTCTGTTCTGGAGTCTCAGCGTTCTGAAGAATTTGGTCTATTGTGTTAATACTAGAGCTGGTTTTAGTACTACCAATGGTAAAAACATCAGCAGAGATTTGGGAGAAATTACTGGTACAGCAGTTAAGAGACAAAGTTTTAGCCTTGACTCCTCCTCTGACTATGAACTTTGTGAAAAAGTCACTTCAGTCCCAGTCACTTTGGACATGGGGTTGCCCTAACTCAGGGCTTTGCAAATGTTTTATGTTGATCCTAGGAAATGTTAAATAAATGTGGTGTGTTGGAACTACAATTTTTGAAAAATTATGAAATACAAAAATTTCGAGTGCAATGTATACACTAAGGGTAAATATCATTTCATAAGGTTTTTGTTACAGAGGGGTGTGTGTGTATGACTGCTGTGAGATGTTTGTAAAGTAAGCTTTTTTCTTTTTATAAATTGAGGTATTTTTGATAATTAAGGATTAGGTATACCTAAGGCATACAATTTGATGATGTATGATACATATCCATTATTAAATAATTACCATAGTCAAACTAATTACTACTTCCTCACCTCAGATATTTATCACTTTCTCTCTCTCTCTCTCTGTGTGTGTGTGTGTGTGTGTGTGTGTGTGTGTGTGTGTGTGTGGTGAGAACATCTACAATCTACTCTGTTAGCAAATTTCAAATACATAATAAAGTATTGCTAATTAAAATTGCATTGTTATGTATCAGCTCTCCAGATGTGATGTCTTCATCTCATGTTAAAGGAAACTTCTTATTCTGTATTGCTTTCAAAACTGTTTGAAAGCCATTTGTACAAGCCTGACTTCAGAAAGAAGCTCAGGGGCTTTCCAGAAGGGGTTAAGCCCTTGTTTAAAACTCATCAGTTGCCCGCATTTTCTAGGATGAAGCCCAGATTCCCCAGCAGAGCAGAACATGATTCTCCTTCATAAATCTTGCCCCAGGACTAACCACTCCAAGGACATTCTGAACTGCACACTCCGTGTTTCTGCAGTACTGGCTCATGCCTCGTGCCTTTGCTATTTTCCCCTCAGCCTCAAACGCTCTTGGTAGCTGCAAAGCATTATCTTTGCTGGATGCCCTCCAACACCCACCAATTCTTATAGAATTGTCCAGTGCTTCCCTTGCTTCACAAATCTTTACTGAGTTATGTCATAGCCTGCAGTGTACTTTCCTGGATTTAATAATAGTTTAAATATCCATCCCACCCTACTAGACTGTGGAAATTTTGAATTCGGGTCTTTATATCGTAAGAATTTAGGTTCTTCAGGATATAATGAACTGTTCTACCATGAAGCCAAGAAAAAGAATTTAAGTTATTTCTTTTTCTCATGCACATTCTCTGTTCCCCATTGCTCTTAAAATCATCTTATTATTTAAAAGCAATATGTGTTCATTTAAAATGATATGAAAAGGCAGTTGAAGCATTACACTAAGTTGCACAGCCTAAAGATGGCCACTGTTAATATCTAAACTAGTGTTTCACTCTGCCTATATACATATGCCAAGAGAAGCCAACATACAGGCATGCATGTGCACGTGCACACACACACACACAAGCACACATTGTTACACAAATAAGTTTATTCATTAATCTGGCCAATTCTTCTTTTCAGCAATGTCAAGGACACTTTCTATGTCACCGATATACCTGTACATAATTTTTAATGGCTGCTTATAATTCTAATTTATGGCTTCCCCTGGGTTTGTTTTGGTTGCCATTTATCAACATTAAAAGCAGTGATGGTGGACTTGACTTCTTATTTCTTGCATGCCATGATTATAAATTAAAAAGCAACCTTATTGTCCTTACCTTCTTTGATTAGCCACCAAGTCCTGGTCTGATTTTATAACTCCCTTCAAGGCATTCCATATTCGGCCTCCTTCCCTTTATCTTTAGGCTATCTTTGGGCTGTGTCCTGTTAAAATTCCTGTATATCAGAGAACCTTCTACCTCACAATGTGATGTCTTCAGTCAAACTTTCTCTTTTGTATGAGAATCATCTGTAGTTATATAGTAAAGATATGACTTTTGACAACTTTCTCTTTTAGAAACAAATTCAATGGAATCATGCATATATTTTATATGACTATTTTGAACCTCACTTCCCTAAACCTATCTGAATTGTACCCAACCTTCCTCTATTCTGTGGTCATAAAATCCAAGATGAGATATGATTATTTTCAATGGAAATTCCCACCTTACCAACCACTTCTGCTCTTAGATATATATCACTAGTATAGTTCACTGGGATACTTCCTCTCTCCTCTGGAGCTAAAGTCACAAACCAGAACTATTCAGATATATTATTTTGCTAAACTGCAACATCTGGTACAAATTTGAAAAAGTACAAAGCCTCATTACTACTAAAATTCATTTGTGTCAGTTTTTGTGAACTTGTAAGGAAGACATCATCTATTTCTTCAGTGAAACTCGGTAACGTAGTTGTAGTCCATCTTATTTTCTCCTGTTTTTAGCCTCAGTTAAAGCTCTCAGGAATTTATCTCTCAGTTTATGGATTCAACAGTAGAGTGTATTTTCATACTATACAGTACTTATCCAACCATTCACTTAGACAGTCTTTTTGTTTCTATCACTATAATATTGAATCCCATCTCACCAAGTCTTGGGGACATTTGGGTCATAACGTACATTGTCTCCGTTTTTAGTATAAAGTGTATGCCATTTATTACCCATGCTTTAGTTGTTAGTATGCAGAAATCTGAGCAACCAGTGTCATTTCCTGCTTTCTACCCAATTATCTCATACTGTGAAGTATAGCCTCATGTTTTTCCTCTTTCCGTGTCATATCTGTGCTTCTTTATAGTGCTGGTTCTCAAGCAGGATATATTTTTCTGTCAGGAGACACTGGCAGTGTCTGAAGGCCATTTTTACTGTTACCTTGGGAAAGCTGCTACTGGCATGCGAATGGTAGAGGCCAGGGATGCTGTGAAACATCCTGTAATGCACAGTATGGTCTTCCTCCCAGCAAAATATTACCTGATTCAAGAAGTTAATAGTGCTGAGTTCAAGGACACTTGCTGTATAGCAACTGATTTCATGTGTCTTATTTGAACTTTCAGATTTCTCCCAACCCTGAGTTGTTCAATTTAATATATTCTCTTGATTCAGACTAGCTACTCAATGGCAAAAAAAGGAAAGTTATATCTCATGACATCTATGTCTTATGCTTTTGTTAAAGTGAGACAGAAGCCAACATCTTTGTCCAAAATGCTGGTAAAATAGTACTGTAGGACCACTTGATATTACCATAGTTATACAGAATAGAGAATGAGAGAATTAAGCATATTTGTAAGTAAAGAAAAAAACAGGTAAATTAATAAGTATGGTTGTCCTCAGACACCCTTAGCTTCAAATGATATTTCTTGTTATAAAATTGTGTTTGAGGCTGGGTGCAGTGGCTCATGCCTGTAATCCCAGCACTTCAGGAGGCCAAGATAGGCAGTTTGTTTGAGCTCAGGAGTTTGAGACCAGCCTGGGTGACAATGGCCAAACCCTGTCTCTGCAAAAAATACAAAAAGTAGCTGGGCATGGTGATGTGCTCCTGTAATCCCAGCCACTTTGGGCACTGAGGTGGGAGGATCACTTGAGTCTGGGAAATTGAGGCTGGGCTGCAGTGAGCAGAGATTGGGCCCCATTGGCACTCCAGCCTGGGTAGGCAGAGCAAGACCCTGCCTAAAAGAAAAGTTGTGTTTGCAAATAAATGTATTGAAAAAACCTCCATGGGCAGCTTAATGTGAACACTGTCTCATTTTATTTTTCTCCTTTGTTTTTTCCCCTTCAGATATTTCACATTTTCAGGAACAAAATGATTTAAAAGCATTGCTAGAAAATCTCCTTCAAAATATCCAATCCAAAAAAAGAAAGAATGTAGAAATTATGTGGCTGGCTGCAACGGTAAGCACTCTCATGTCAAATCTTATTTCCTGCCATGTCATAACCAGCAAATATTATCAGTTCTCTACTGTGCAGGGTCCAACCTCTGCACTTTGGGTTGCCAGGTGTCATCTTCTATTAGTCCATGGATTAGGCATTTTTACTCTTGTTGGTAGTTCTATCCATAGACTAGAACATAAGATAGAAGAAGATGCACTTAAGAAAGACTCTTGCTCACTTGCTATTCTTACCAACCTTGGATGTGTTCTCCACTCTGAGGAAGTGTCTGTGAGTTTCTTGATGTTGCGTATTGCAACGTCAATTGCCCGTATCACCCAGGATTTTGAACTGCTGCTTTAGAGACATATGGTTTCAACAGAATGTGGTTATCAGATCTCTGATTCACAGCTTCAGTAAGGCTCCTGGACATATTGTTCAGTTAATGAGCTTATAAATGTGTTTGTTAATTTAGATGTTGGCATAGAATTCATTACTGATGGATTGCTCTTGGGGTAATGAACTATATTTTGTATAGCTCTTTCTCATTTAATGGTGCCCTTGGGGTAAAAGAGCTGCCTGTGTTCTCACCCCAGGTTTCTATAAGAATTAGAGATAACAAAAAAAAAGCCTGTATTTTTAAGGCTCTTATCTGGTAACCGTTGAGGCATAGCTCACATGAAATTTATGAATTGTGTTAAACATTCAGACCCAAACATCCTTTCATTAGGAATGCATCCTTCCATCAGGAAAGGTACATGTTAAAGATCTTTATGATAAATGCCATGTTTGCAGTTTCTGCAGTGTTACTCTTATAATTTGGAGCTCAGGTTAACCATGCTTCTTGCATACTCTATTCATTCTCTAGCCATAGCATTTAAAACAGAAAGTTTTCCCCTACTTCCAGTGCTTCAATTATAATTCAATATCACTTACTTTCTTCTGGGAAAAAGGAATGGATAATTTACCATGAGCCCATATGAAATAATTTACCAAAAGCAAGGCAGAGGAAAGCTTCTTTAGTTTCCCTTCCTGCCTTCTTGGAGCCCCAGGGAAGAACATCAAAGGTAACAATATGAAATGTCGCTTTCAGGCAGCTGATTTACACTGGTTCCATTTAGCACCATACTGTATTACATGAAGGTTGTTTTTAATAGTGTGGCTGCTCTTTGTATCTTCTAAGACCACTACGGTTGTTAATTCTAACAAAAATTTCACAATGGTAGGTCATAAATTGGATTTTCTATTTTACTGAAAACATGACGGCATGAAGATAGTTTGATACTCATGCCATCTGATGATTTACAAACATATAAATGTGTCATTATGTACATTGTGAAGTTATGTAAATAGATAAATTAAGGATACACATGTATAAACACAAATGTGTATTTTAGTATATGCAATTTCCCATTTTAATGTATGAAAAAGTTTTCCTATAAATCCCACACATTTCTAAAATATTTTTTTGAAATGTGTATACTGACCAAATATGATTTACTCACAATTCACCACTGAATGAATGATTAGTAGCATTTCTGTTAGCTAATGCCTCAGTTTCAATATTCTATTTGTAAATCATGGGCCTATTTATGATACTTTTAAAATAAATACCGAAATTCCTTTTGATATTTTCCAAAAATATTTTGTTAATATTTGTTTTTATTTTATTTTCCTTTCTTTTAAAAATTTATTTAATGAAATACTGCTTTAGTTAATGTTTTACATTCTAATTGAAAAATATAAAGTGGCCAGGCGTGGTGGCTCACACCTGTAATCTCAGCACTTTGGGGGGCCGAGGCGGGCGGATCACGAGGTCAGGTGATGGAGACCATCCTGGCCAACAGTGAAACTCCATCTCTACTAAAATACAAAAATTAGCCGGGCATGGTGGCACATGCCTGTAATCCCAGCCACTCAGGAGGCTGAAGCAGGAGAATCGCTTGAACCAGGGAGTTGGTGGTTGCAGTGAGCTGAAATTGAGCCACAGCACTCCAGCCTGGTGACAGAGTGAGACTCCGTCTCAAAAATAATAATAATAAAAATAAAAATAAAGTCATTTGTTTTTTTCTTCTTTAAGTTTAAATAGTAAAAGTGAAGACTTAAAGAGGACAAATGACAATCAAGTGTGTTAAGTCAATAGTTCAGGTATTGTAGAAATCAAGGCCTAACCTGTGTACTCTGATGGAAGTGCCCTTACCTCCACTAGACTTTAAATTTAGAACATTAAATATTCTAAGTAGGACAAGTGCATATGATAGTAACAATAAATTTTAAGGAATATTAATTCAATTTGAAAATCATATCTCATAAATAGCCATTATGGTCTATTTTATTATTATAAATATAGTTAAGAATTTTTAAAAATGAAATACTATTTATTTGAAAGGATTAGAATTTTTTAGATGTAAAAAGATTGTATGGAGACATCATGCTCTCACATTTTTCTAGTCACTTATATTGGAAATAGAAGTACCAAAGGTCTGAATTAATAGTGATGTATAAATTCAAGTTTAAGAATCACAATTAAAACATGGTAATAAATTCTAGATTAGCTATATTATTTTACCTTCTTTTAAAAGCGGACAACTTTTAAAGACTGCTTGATGACAGATAATAAAGAAGACCTTTGTTATATCACATTAGATCTATTTTAAATGCACACTGATTAGCATTGTAATGCCGAAGTTGATTATTGTTATCTCATGTTAGAACCCTACCATGGGATAGAAGACAAAGGAATGGAATGATTCCCCTATTACTCATAAGGCAATGAGACAAGAGAGTATTGATGCTCAGTGATTTTTCTCTGACTTAAATCAGAATAACAAAAAGAAAGAACCATAGAGGAAAACAGAACATAACAGAAATTAAGAGACTTGATTCTTGAACTTAAGTAGAGTTCTGTTTGAATCCTGGTTCTGCTCTGTTATGTGCAAGTTACTTAACCCATCTAAACCTCAGTATCCTCATCCGTAAAATGAAAACAATTATACCTTCCTCTAGAGTTCTGCGAAGTTTATTTATTTACTTTTATTGTTAATTTGGGAGGTTTTTTTTTTTTTTGAGACAGGGTGTCACTCTGTTGCCCAGGCTGCAGTGCAGTGGCATGATCACAGGCTCAAGTAATCCTCCCACCTCAGACTCCCTAGTAGCTGGGACTACAAGCATGCATCACCATGCCTAGCTAATTTATTTATTTAAATAGAGAGGAGGCTTTGTTATGTTTCCCAGGCTAGTCTCAAACTCTTGAGCTCAAATGATCCTCCTGCCTTGGCCTCCCAAAGTGTTAGGATTACAGGCATGAGCCGCTGTGCCCGGCCCCTGTGAAGTTTATTAAAAAGAGCAAATGTATATGAAATTTCTTAGTGTTGTACCCTAGAGCACAGTCAATTTGCAATAAACAGTGGCCATTTCTATTGTTCTCCTTTTTAGTATTGATGAGTAGTTCCCTTGTCTGTTGTGAGGCACCATGAGGATGTTTAAAATCTCATAACATAAAGCCAAGACTAGCAAATGTTTCTTAAATGAAAAATAAGAGAATATTAGCTATATACGATTTGAATCAATTGTTTGATCCAGGGAATATAGTTTTTTGGTTGGTTGTTTGTTTGTTTTTTCCTCTTTACAATGATGGTGTTATTTCTGAGCTGGGATTAGTTTAGCATTGTCCTACACTGCAGACCAGGCACCCCCCTTGGGTAGTGTGCTGCGTCCTCTGCTGGATAGTTTACATCTTATATGGCTTCAACAGTTCCATGCCTCATGCACAAAGAAATAAATTGGGTCCATTGTGTTGGCTTTTGAAATGAAAAGGTAATGCTTTTACATTTGATGAGACCGATTGAACAAATTGACTATCATAAACTAACAGAAACCCAAATTTATATTTGATGTGTTTAGACTAGAAGTGTTTGGAGGAGGCCGACACTTTACGGTATTACAAATGAACAAGAAACGTTCGTTCTTACATATGTTACAGATTTGCCGCAAACTGAATGGTATTCGTTTCACCTGTTGTAAAAGTGCCAAAGACAGGACATCGATGTCAGTGACACTTGAACAATGCTCAATCTTGAGAGATGAGCACCAGTTACACAAGGACTTCTTTATCCGAGCGCTGGATTGCATGAGAAGGTATCTCACATGTTTTTCAAGTTTTTTTCTTTTAAGGTCATTTTGAGTTGTTTTTATTTTTTTTTTCAAAATACATATTTTATTGGAGGACTAAATATTTTAGAACTTTACTGCATTTTCATGGCTTATAGCTTATGACATCAGAGATAGATAATTTTCTCCACCTGTATAATGATTTCATCTCTATCTATATTTCCCCTACTCATTTTAGGCTACTTTTCTAAACTTTTCACTTTTAGAAAACGTGGCTGTGTACACATTTGATGACATGCATTATTATATATGATATTATATATTTTATTAGCTCATTGGCTCAAGTTAAGGGGCCCCGAAAATCTCATATATAACACTGTAAGAGCAAGTTTTCATGATGCATAAGTATTTATGAGTACTTGCAAAATTAAACTAACTCATTATCCAAACAAAAGCTTTCCAAATTACAACTAATAGGTGATATTCCCATGGCCCACAGAATCTCTGGGTCAGTAACCTCCTTTCTAAAGTTATTTTCACATCACTCATCATGAAGATGGGATGACACTGATACTTTAAAATAGAGAATTAATATGGTTACTCTGCCGACATTTAAAATGCTGTGCCCGAAGTCATGTTTCTTGATTCATTTCCACAGTAATTAAATCTAAACTGTAAGCCGTAATGGGAAGGAAAAAGTGCTTCATTCACAGTGTCTATCAGCAAGGACACACGTTAATTAAAAAGTTAAGCGAAATTGTCTCTTTGCTGCAAAGCCTAGCTCAGAAGCACACTAGGAAGCATGGGACAGGCTCTGGGTTCCCAGAAAGGAATGTCATATGATTCACTGGAGAAGGCTGCTTCTTATCTAGCCTGCCATTAGCTATCAGTTTTCTTTTAACTGCTGCAGTCTTTCATTGGTGACATTGATGTTTGCTTGTGTTTGTTCTATGCCTCTGTGTTTTCTCACTAACGAGAGGTTTCTGAAGTTCTGTATTTCATCCCATTTCATGTCTCTTGGCATTTTCATTCTTCCGTGGAGCTCTATCATAATTTTTTGATAAATGTGTGAGGATGTCTTAGAGGCCTGACATGAACATCTCAGCCATATACAACATGTTTGGTTGATATAAAAACTTCTTTCAAAAAATAATATCTCAGCACTAATGGTAAAATACCAAATTCAAGTATGAAATCTTCAAATCTGCAGAAAAAGAACAGAAATGTCACTATAGATGGAACAAAGGTGCTTGGTGAGAAATGCAGGAATGCATGATATTATAGGTCAGGTACACCATGGGACTAAACTGATTTAGGTAACAAATCTTCTGGAAGATGAAATTGGTGTGCCTGTTTATTTAAGATAGAAGAGGGGACCCTTAAATTAGACATAAAATAATTCAAACAGGTAAATAAAGGCAATATATTTACTGGACATGTTATACTATAGAACAATATATTTTGGTATTGCCTATGATGGACATTATATATGCAATACATTTGCTCATGATATAGCATTTGTGATGATTCATTTTTGTGTTTTTAAGGTAAGGCACTAGAAATTTAATCTAAAACACTAAAGGCTTAACTTCAAATCCCTAGTATTCTGGTGATCTTCTTCTTCTTTTGGTTTTGTCTGTATATGAGGACCGTGCCAGAGTGTGAGTGTTGGCCTGTATTTGTGTGTATGTATGCATGTATTTAAAGAAAATAAGATGAGTTCTTTTCTTTAATAACTGCCTTCATTTCCCTCTGGGTATTTTGCCTTACAATACAGGCTCATAGGTTTACAAGCTCTGGCAACACAGCAGAGTAGATATGAACATGAGGTTTGGGAGCCAGCTAATTTGAATCCAGGCTATATGCCATACATTACCCATAGGCAAGTTAGTCTCTCACTGCCTCTTAGTGCCTTAGGGCAAGTTACTCAACCTCTTGTACCTCTCAGTTTCCTCATCTTTTAAAACAGACATGATAATAGTAGCTCCATTTTAGGAGTGTCTCGGGGATTAAATGAAATGATACATGTACAGGAATTAACAATGTTTGGCACATGGTAATCACTAAATAATGTTGGTTAAAAAAATTAAAAAATCAAGGGCTGTAATGTTAATACTCTGATTTTCCATGTGCAGTATAATCTAGCTAATTATGATCCTTGTAGTTTTATGTTTGTGAATATTTTATGACATAAGGTTGGACTACAATAGCATATATTAAAATGAAGTGTCCTGGCAGCTCTTGTAAATAAGGTTTCAAATGCAGTATCTTCCCTATTTAAGTAAATCAGCTCTTTAAATAGCACTTTAAAAATGTGCAAGTGTTTGCAAATGCTGTGTTAATTATGGAAGCATCACAATCCCTGAATAGGTTTTTTATAAACATTTTTGATGCTAATGCATATCTAGAAATAATCGTAGAATTTAAGATAAAGAAGTCACCTTAGAAATTTCTTATAGATATTTTTATACATATAACTCTTATAAATTTCCTACCGCACATACAACAGTGAGTGGTTCATGAATAAACATTTCTCAAGTTACTGCTTAATGCTGATTGATTACTGGGGTCCCAAAATTCTGGATTCTGACAATATTTTACAGTTGAGTTTTTTGAGAGGAAGCAGATTTTCCCAGCTCCTCACTCTGCCATCTAGCAAGTCCCACCCTTCAGACAGTGGTTTTTAAATGAACATCAGAACCACCTCTGGAAATTTAAAAAATACATATGTTTGATTGGTGTGTTAAAAGGTGGAAGGATGAGAAGGGAGGGAGGGATGAGAAACTACCTGTTGGGTATAATGTACACTATTCAGGTGACGTTTACACTGAAAGCCCAGACTTCAGCACTATGCAGTATGTCCATGTAACAAAGATGCACCTGTACCCCTTAAATCTATTTTTAAAAATGTATCAAGATGTAGTTTAAGTTATCATCATCTTGGGTTCAATTTTATAATAAAACAACATGTCCTATACTAAAACGCAATACATATGTTTAGACCTCACATGGATTATAATTGAGAAGATCTGAGGTGGGTCCCAGGATTTAATTTTTTAAGAACTTTACAGACATTCTGGGGAACAACTCTGGATTTTTAAAAATCAGTGTTTTAAAGGAATTTGATTTGTATGTTTTTGAATTTACTGCAACTTTTAATTTTATTTAACATCAGTTGCAGTTTATTTTACCTTTGAATTACTCCAATCACCTTCCAGGCTATTTTCTCTGGATTTCTTAAAAATTCACCAAGGTTTCTTCATCATAAAAACTCAAGGGAAAAATAAAGTTCGCCAAGGTTATCATATCACTCTTTATTTAGTTTTATTTTGTCCTTATCTATATTAAGTATTTTCTATTGTATTGTGCTTATCTCTGTAGCAGTTTCAAATTATTTACGATGAGCAAAAGTATATAAATGAAAGTAAATAAATAAAGCTCCATTTGGCTCTTATTCAGAAATCCCCTCACAAGAAGCAGCTCTCTGAAGGTAGAGATTTTCGTTTCTCTTTGTTCACTACTATATTTCCAGTACCTAGAACAGTACCCAGTGAACATAGTATATATTTTTTCTCAATAAATATACAATAAAGGAATACGTGAATGACATGGGTTTCTAAAACTTTCGGGTCCTATGTATTTGGTGGTATTGTGCATACATAAGCATTTTAAATTAAGCATATGAAGTTATCACTTGATTGTGACATATTGATAAGCACAAGCTGCAGAATATGAAAGTAAGAGTCTTATTATTCTAATTCAAAAACAAATAGGCAAATATTATCCTAATTCAAAAACAATAGAAACCATTTCAGCTCACCACCTGAATCCACCCTTTGTACAATTGTCAAAAAATTCAGACTTCCTTTTTTTCTACTTATCCAGTATTACTTTCAGCTGCACACTCCTGATGGGGCTTTCGGGTACCATCTGTTTGATGAAATGGCATAAATGCCTCTTCAGATTAGAAAATTAAACACAAGGTGTCTGGGTGATCTGACTCTCTAAGGATCTCTTAGTGGTTGCCTGTATCATTAAGACCAAAACAGTGATTCTTAACCCTCACAGCCCATCAGAAATCTAGAAAACTTTTTTTTTTGTTGTTAAAGGCAAAGTCCCACCACATACTAGTTTCTAGGGGGGAACCATGATTGAGAACCACTTGACTAAAGTCTACTTTATTTAAACCAATTTTAATTTAAATCCGTAATTGATTTTAATGACATTATGACAAGACTATAAACCTGGTATGTCTATCCTTCCCTTGAGTTTTGAAATGTATGTGTATTGCAAAATTCTACCTTGATCACCTATGGCACAAGTTGTACCACAAAGGTGGCTTAATAATTTGCAGGTTTTTTTTTTTAAGAAAGGGAGAATACTTTATCAGAATTCAGTTTTCAGTTTTGGACTCTCCATGGAATGCTAAGAGCTGTCTTGTCCCAATGCATTTGCAGAAAGCATTTTTAGTAGGAACTTTCAGACTTCCTATTAATCAAACTTATATTTGATTAATAGACTATTAGGATTGGACCTTAAAAATACAATAATAAATTTGACTGGATTTTAAAATGTCATATTTGAACAAAAAATAATTGTATAGGGAAATTTAATGCCTCTATAAAGTAAATTAAAACAAAAATACCATTGTACTATTATTTTTCCTTAACAGGAACTCTAGGATGATGACTACACAAAGTAGTAATGTGACACCATAGTTCTCAATTGTCTTTTGTTTTATACTATGTTACTTCCTCAATCTGTCATAGCTCCTTAAAATTAGGATAGTTAATATGCCATTAGTAAGAAGACTCAGGGTAAGTTTCAGCATATACCTATGTATCACCCTCGCAATACAGGGCTTTAGTCATTCTATTTCAGTAAATATTGAATTTATAAGAGACTTAAAAGGCCCATTGGCCTTATTGAGTTTCATTTATCAAATGTCATATTCTCAACATGTTGCGCCTGTAATTTATCTGTTGGGGGAGCATAATTTATGAAGTATTCTGCTTTATAAGTAAATGACTCTTAACCAATTGATGTCAGTAAAAGATGTATTTGCATGACTTCCTCCCTGATAGGGTTCACTTTTAAGTAATGTAGTTCAATTATTGTTGAAATAAAAAAGTTTCTTCCTTTTGTCTTTAGTCTTGTTTCCACTTGAGCTTATTTTTTTCTTTGTTTTTGATTGTACTTTTAGAGAAGAGCTGCTATTATTTCATATTATATCCTATTTCAAATATTAAAGAGAAGTATAAGCATTGTAAGCATAGGTAATTGAAGCTTGCAGCTATTTTTTTAAATTTTATTATTATCATACTTTAAGTTTTAGGGTACATGTGCACAACGTGCAGGTTTGTTACATATGTATACATGTGCCATGTTGGTGTGCTATTTTTTGACTACTTGAAAGGGATGTGTTTGTAGGGAACATCGTAATTGGGAACAGGTCTTCCATGATTGCTAAGTATTGTCTCCTCCCTTGAGAGTTTCAGTGGTGTGTTTGCTACATTACTTCAGTCAGTATTTGCAGCAAATAACAGGAATAAGCTGAGAGAGAGAGTCACCTTCATCTCAGGGTTATTAATAAAAACATGAAAATTGACCTTATTTGGGATGTTTTTACTTCAGCTGAAGGTGAGTTGAAAGATACTGCAAAGAATACACATCTTAGAAATCATGTTAGAGCAAGTAGCTTTTAATAAGCCATCCACTATAAACCCCAAAAGAGAACTGATCTTTCTGGGAAAATCAAAGAATGGCCTACAAAGGACTTCAACTTCCTGAACAAAATGTATGTGCTAATTTTCGTCGATCTTCTTCTTATATTCATGCCTGACAAGATTGTCATAGTATTCTATTGACAGAAAAATGATGATTTTGAAGTCTATTTCTTTCCCATACTTTCTTTTGTTGATAGTGTTTGTTTTCCAGTCATAGCAACTTGAGACCCTGTGAGTGTGGAGGCCATAGTACAGAGCAGCCATCAGCTTTATCCACACCTTCCCAAGTCAACCACTTCTTTCAACTCCCAAAATTATTAACTAAGTGCCTAGACATAGAAGGATGTGAAACATACATTTTAACTTAATAAAATAATACAATGGAAATGAATCTAATTGAAACAAATACATTTAACTTATGCCACAAACACAGATTTTTAAATCCAGGAAGACCTGGAGTTAATTCCTTATTCTAACACTAATTATCTGTGCAGTGGTGGACCCATTAATTAATCTCAAGGCCTCAGTTTCCTAACGTGTGAAGGCGAGATGATGCTCCATTGCCCTCTTGTGAGTGTTGTGATAAATGAGATGACTTAAAGTCTCTGCACCCAGTGGGCATGAAGTGTTCTGCTGAGAAATGTTACCCTTGCTCTCTACACTCTCCCCATCTCTATCTACCCTGCTTGTTCTTCCTTAGAACATTTTTCTCTAAAAGTGCATCTTTGGATATTGCTAAAATGGGGAAGTTCTCCTGGTCTTCGAGGTCTTAGGAAAAAAGTCTCAGGATTAACATTTGGTTTCTAAAAGGCTTAAATTGTCTCTCAGTGACAGTGGGCTAGTGGGCTACAGGGTTTGGAAATCTTGCTAGAGCCCTAGCTATAGCATCGGGGAATCTAGAAACAACTTAGCTTAGAGTCGGGGTTAGTGCATATCCGGGGCCCCCAGAGAGCAGCACTCAGCACTCAGTTTGTGGAACTAGAGAATGTCTAAGTCCTGAATTCCCACAGCTTTCACTGGCAAGTTAGGATATCCTGTAATTAATGTGTCAGGAGCCCCACCTCTGGAGGTGAGTTGGGAAAACAGGTCATTAATAGAAATATGTGGTCGTCATTTTCATAGTCAAAAGTGAACATCTTTTGTATATCTACTATGGCAGAGTACCATGCTATACAAATGGAGAAACACATTTGAAATTATAATAGCCACTAATAGTCAATGAGGACTTACTATGCACTAAGAATAACACTAAGCATCCTATATGGGGAAACTGCTAATTCCCACAAGAACAGAATCAAATAAATGAGTCCAGAGCATAGAAAGTGTTCATTATTAAGTGGCTCAGAGGATAAAAAGAATCACTGTGGCCAGGAGGTATCCTGGAGGAGGTAGAATCTGAACTGTGTCTTAAGGATGCATACAATTTAGGTAAGTTGCCAGGAGTTAGGAAAATCTATGTTAGAATTATCTAAGTGGATAAGAGTAGTGCTTATTCATTCATCACACTTGTCAAGTGATTTTGCTTACGTTTAAGTGTTGTAATGTGTGGCACATTGAACAACTTATTTTCTTCAGCTGATATCAAGTTTTTGAGATCTGTATTTATTTTAGATCTAGTTATCTTCTTTTAAACTTATATAATACTCCCTTGTATAAATAGACCACAATTTATCTATTGCCCTAGTTAATTTTAAGTAACAGCAAAACATCAGATGTTTTACCAACATCTGATTACCAACAATAGTGTAATAGACATTCTCACATGTATATCCATGTATATAAACCAATAGGTATAATGGGTGGTAAGGCATTTGTATTTTTAATTTTGCTAGATGCTGCCAGATTGCTTTTCCAAATAGCTATACTAATTTATAAGCCACAAGGCATGCACATGTGTTCCCATTTCTCCACACATCCCAATACTTGTACTGTAAGAGTTTTTAACCATCTGATGGATGAAAAGTGCTATCTTTGTTTAAGTTATATTTTCTCAGTAACACAAAATAAGATTAAATATCTGTCTAAACATTTACTGGCCATCCAGATTCTCACTCATCTCATCTTCTATGTTTCATATAATGGAGTTTTGCACATAATTGCAAATTATGAAAGGTTTCCAGCATTTATAAATAAACCACTGGCCTGTTGTGTTTAAGTTACATTTAGAAGACACTGTTTCAGGAGTGGTGCATTTTTTTAAAAATGTGCTTTATTTTTATTTTTTAAATGAAAGCACAGTGGAATAAGACAGGAGCATCCCTTGGGTTTGGACAGAGAATGCATCATGCTATGACAGGAGCCTGTGACATGATGTGAAGCTTTTTAGCTGGGAGGGGGACAGGGCTCCATTTTAGATAAGAGAAAGACACTTCCAGCTGAGAAACAAAAACCTACAGTTGATTAGAGAGATGATTGATGCCTTTGCACTTGGAAAATGAGGTGTAGCAAGAACTAGTCCAAGAAAGGTCTCATTTTCACTAAAGAAGGCTGAGATGCAGGCAGCCCAAACCTGAATGATCTATGGAGAGCAGTTATGCCAAAACCTAGAGTCTATTTATGCCCCTGGAAGGTTGAGACAAGAGAATCAAGGAAATAATTTTCATTTCACTGCCTAATGATTTTTTCTACAAACACCATCTGCCTTGTCCTAGCCAATGATATCCATGAATTCATATATTCAATATGCCTATTATGTTTGTCCTCATATACAAAGAAATCCAAAACCATTAATTCAGTGAATTATCATTATACTGTCTAAAACTTCTTGTCTTCCATCAGAACACTTGCTATACTCAGGTAAACACTGTCATAAAATGGCTTCAACCCTTCTTCTAACTTGAATATTGGTTATAGTGCTCTAGACACTGGTTCAAGGGAACAAATTGGATGGCTTCACAGGCCAATTTCTAAAGAAAACTGAACTGGGAGGCAACTGTATTTATGAATAAGTACCCAAAATGTTGCAAGCTTTTCTCCTGATCAGAAGACCACAGATGACAGAGAAGTTCAAATGCTAGGCATAATATATTAATGTTCAAACGATAGTGGCCTAAAGCCCTATGAGCAAAAATGCATTATGCATAATTACACTCCATTCTCTTCCATTTAGTGAGCCTATCAGAACTCATATGAGTGTGAATGACATCATTATGGGGATCAAAACTGTAATTTATAGAGCATATCATTTGCAAAATTGGTATTTTATTAGTAACAAATCACATGTGATATCTCTCAAATACCATAGTATTATTTAGGGGTAATCACTGCTCTGAATACCCTAAAATCTAACAATTAGGCCAGCTCAGCAAAGAGCAGGCTGCCCCACTATGGCACATAAAGTGGGTAAGAGGAAGGACTTTGGAATTAGACTGCCTGATTTCTCCACTTCTTAGCAGTGGGAATGAAATTCTAAGAGGCCTTAGGTTCTTTATCTGTAAAATGAAACAACATATATAAAGAAATTGGTAACTGGGTATAGTTCATAGTAAGCAGTTGGTAAAGTCAAACTTATATTGTAGTGATAATTTCACCAGCATCCTCATCTAATAGGGTTGTCATGAGCGCTAAAAGAGACAATGATCACTGATGCACTTAAATAGTACTTGTTACACAGTGAGGATCAGTAAATATTAAATGCTGTCATGGCTATTACTGATGTGTGGTGATGACTGTTATTACTGTCATTATTGGTTCTTTGTCATGGCAGCTTCCTATCACATTGTTTTTACTAAACTGTAAATGGTTGTTATGTCCTCAAACTATATTGAGGAAAGGTAAAAAAAAAAAAAAAAGTCATTTCCACTATTCATATCATCTGTTGCATTGGTTCTCTTTTATTTACTTTTTTTTTTATTATTATCCTTTAAGTTCTGGGGTACATGTGCACAATGTGCAGGTTAGTTACATATGTATACATGTGCCATGTTGGTATGCTGCACCCGTCATTTACATTAGGTATATCTCCTAAGGCTATCCCTCCCACCTCCCCTCACCCCATGACAGGCCCCGATGTGTGATGTTCCCCACCCTGTGTCCAAGTGTTCTCATTGTTCAATTCTCACCTACGAGTGAGAACATGTGGTGTTTGGCTTTCTGTCCTTGCGATAGTTTGCTAAGAATGATGGTTTCCAGCTTCATCCATGTCCCTACAAAGGACATGAACTCATCCTTTTTATGGCTGCATAGTATTCCATGGTGTATATGTGCCACATTTTCTTAATCCAGTCTATCATTGATGGACTTTTGGGTTGGTTCCAAGTCTTTGCTATTGTGAATGGTGCCACAATAAACATATGTGTGCATGTGTCTTTATAGCAGCATGATTTATAATCCTTTGGGTATATACCCAGTAATGGGATGGCTGGGTCAAATGGTATTTCTAGTTCTAGATCCTTGAGGAATCACCACACTGTCTTCCACAATGGTTGAACTAGTTTACAGTCCCACCAATAGTGTAAAGGTGTTCCTATTTCTCCACATTCCCTCCAGCAACTGTTGTTTCCTTACTTTTTAATGATTGCCATTGTAACTGGTGTGAGATGGTATCTCATTGTAGTTTTGATTTGCATTTCTCTGATGGCCAGTGATGATAAGCATTTTTTTCATGTGTCTGTAGCTGCATAAATGTCTTCTTTTGAGAAGTGTCTGTTCATATCCTTTGCCCACTTTTTGATGGGGTTGTTTGATTTTTTCTTGTAAATTTGCTGAAGTTCTTTGTAGATTCTGGATATTAGCCCTTTGTCAGATGGGTAGATTGTAAAAATTTTCTCCCATTCTGTAGGTTGCCTGTTCACTCTGATGGTAGTTTCTTTTGCTGTGCAGAAGCTCTTTAGTTTAATTAGATCCCATTTGTCCATTTTGGCTTTTGTTGCCATTGCTTTTGGTGTTTTAGACATGAAGTCCTTGCCCATGCCTATGTCCTGAATGGTAATGCCTAGGTTTTCTTCTAGGGTTTTTATGGTTTTAGGTCTAATGTTTAAGTCTTTAATCCATCTTGAATTAATTTTTGTATAAGGTTTAAGGAAGGGATCCAGTTTCAACTTTCTACATATGGCTAGCCAGTTTTCCCAGCACCATTTATTAAATAGGGAATCCTTTCCCTATTTCTTGTTTTTGTCAGGTTTGTCAAAGATCAAATGGTTGTAGATGTGTGGTATTATTTCTGAGGACTCTGTTTTGTTCCATTGGTCTATATCTCTGTTTCGGACCAGTACCATGCTGTTTTGGTTACTGTAGCCTTGTAGTATAGTTTGAAGTCAGGTAGCGTGATGCCTCCAGCTTTATTCTTTTGGCTTAAGATTGTCTTGGTAATGCAGGCTCTTATTTGGTTCTATATAAACTTTAAAGTAGTTTTTTCCAATTCTGTGAAGAAAGTCATTGGTAGCTTGATGGGGATGGCATTGAATCTGTAAATTACCTTGGGCAGTATGGCCATTTTCATGATATTGATTCTTCCTATCCATGAGCATGGAATGTTCTTCCATTTGCTTGTGTCCTCTTTTATTTCGTTGAGGAGTGGTTTGTAGTTCTCCATAAAAGGTCCTTCACATCCCTTGTAACTTGGATTCCTAGGTATTTTATTCTCTTTGAAGCAATTGTGAATGGGAGTTCACTCATAATTTGGCTCTCTGTCTGTCTATTATTGGTGTATAGGAATGCTTGTGATTTTTGCACATTGATTTTGTATCTTGAGACTTTGCTGAAGTTGCTTATCAGCTTAAGGGTATTTGGGGCTCAGACGATGGGGTTTTCTAAATATACAATCATGTCATCTGCAAACAGGGGAAATTTGACTTCCTCTTTTCCTCATTGAATACCATTTATTTCCTTCTCCTGCCTGATTGTCCTGGCCAGAACTTCCAACACTATATTGAAGAGGAATGGTGAAAGAGGGCATCCCTGTCTTGTGCCAGTTTTCAAAGGGAATGCTTCCAGTTTTGGCCCATTCAGTATGATATTGGCTGTAGGTTTGTCATAAATAGCTGCTATTATTTTGAGACATGTCCCATCAATACCTAGTTTATTGAGAGTTTTTATCATGAAAGGCTGTCGAATTTTGTCGAAGGCATTTTATGCTTCTATTGAGATTATCATGTGGTTTTTGTCTTTGGTTCTGTTTATATGATGGATTACATTTATTAATTTGCGTATGTTGAACCAGCCTTGCATCCCAGGGATGAAGCCAAGTTGATCATGGTGGATAAGCTTTTTGATGTGCTGCCGGATTTGGTTTGCCAGTATTTTATTCAGGATTTTTGCTTCGATGTTCTTCAGGGATATTGGTCTAAAATTCTCTTTTTTTGTTGTGTCTCTGCCAGGCTTTGGTATGAAGATGATGCTGGCCTCATAAATGAGTTAGGGAGGAGGATTCCCTCTTTTTCTTTTGATTGGAATGGTTTCAGAAGAAACGGTACCAGTTCCTGTTTGTACCTCTGGTAGATTTTGGCTGTGAATACATCTGGTCCTGGACTTTTTTTGGTTGGTAGGCTATTAATTATTTCCTCAATTTCAGAGCCTGTTATTGGTCTATTCAGGGATTCAACTTCTTCCTGGTTTAGTCTTGGGATGGTGAATGTGTCCAGGAATTTATCCATTTCTTCTAGATTTTCTAGTTTATTTGTGTAGAGGTGTTTATAGTATTCTCTGATAGTGTTTGTATTTCTGTGGGATAGGTGTTGATATCCCCTTTATCATTTTTTTATTGCATCTATTTGATTCTTCTCTTTTTTCTTCTTTATTAGTCTTGCTAGCGATCTATCAATTTTGTTGATCTTTTCAAAAAACCAGCTCCTGGATTGATTGATTTTTTTGAACGGTTTTTTGTGTCTGTATCTCCTTCAGTTCTGCTCTGATCTTAGTTATTTCTTGCCTTCTGCTAGCTTTTGAATGTGTTTGCTCTTGCTTCTCAAGTTCTTTTAATTGTGATGTTAAGGTGTTGATTTTAGATCTTTCCTGCTTTCTCTTGTGGGCATTTAGTGCTATACATTGCCCTCTACACACTGCTTTAAATGTGTCCCAGAGATTCTGGTATGTTGTGTGTTTGTTCTCATTGGTTTCAAAGAACATCTTTATTTCTGCCTTCATTTTGTTATGTACCCAGTAGTCATTCAGGAGCAGGTTGTTCAGTTTCCATGTAGTTGAGCGGTTTTGAGTGAGTTTCTTAATCCTGAGTTCTAGTTTGATTGCACTGTGGTCTGAGAGACAGTTTGTTATAATTTCTGTTCTTTTACATTTGCTGAGGAGTGCTTTACTTCCAACTCTGTGGTCAATTTTGGAATATGTGTGATGTGGTGCTGAGAAGAATGTATATTCTGTAGATTTGGGGTGGAGAGTTCTGTAGATGTCTATTAGGTCTGCTTGGTGCAGAGCTGAGTTCAATTCCTGGATATCCTTGTTAACTTTCTGTCTTGTTGATCTGTCTAATGTTGACAGTGGGGTGTTAAAGTCTCCCATTATTATTGTGTGAGAGTCTAAGTCTCTTTGTATTTCTCAAAGGACTTGCTTTATGAATCAGGGTGCTCCTGTATTGGGTGCATATATATTTAAGATAGTTAGCTCTTCTTGTTGAATTGATCCCTTTACCATTATGTAATGGCCTTCTTTGTCTCTTTTGATCTTTGTTGGTTTAAAGGCTGTTTTATCAGAGACTAGGATGGCAACCCCTGCTTTTTTTTGTTTTCCATTTGCTTGGTAGATCTTTCTCCATCCCTTTATTTTGAGCCTATGTGTGTCTCTGCACGTGAGATGGGTCTCCTCAATAAAGCACACTGATGGCTCTTGACTCTTTATCCAGTTTGCCAGTCTGTGTCTTTTAATTGGAGCATTTAGCCCATTTACATTTAATGTTAATATTGTTACATGTGAATTTGATCCTGTCATTATGATGTTAGCTGGTTATTTTGCTCGTTAGTTGATGCAGTTTCTTCCTAGCCTTGATGGTCTTTACAATTTGGCATGTTTTTGCAGTGGCTGGTACTGATTGTTCCTTTTCATGTTTAGTGCTTCCTTGAGGAGCTCTTGTAAGGCAGGCCTGGTGGTGACAAAATCTCTCAGCATTGTTTTGTCTGTAAAGTATTTTATTTCTCCTTCACTTATGAAGCTTAGTTTGGCTGGATATGAAATTCTGGGTTGAAAATTCTTTTCTTTAAGATTGTTGAATATTGGCCCCCACTCTCTTCTGGCTTGTAGAGTTTCTGCTGAGAGATCCGCTGTTAGTCTGATGGGCTTACCTTTATGGGTAACCCAACCTTTCTCTCTGGCTGCCCTTAACTTTTTTTCCTTCCTTTCAGCTTTTGTGAATCTGACAATTATGTGTCTTGGAGTTGCTCTTCTCGAGGAGTATCTTTGTGGCATTCTCTGTATTTCCTGAATTTGAATGTTGGCCTGCCTTGCTATGTTGGGGAAGTTCTCCTGGATAATATCCTGCAGAGTGTTTTCCAACTTGGTTCCATTCTCCCTGTCACTTTCAGGTACACCAATCAGACATAGATTTGGTCTTTTCACATAGTCCGATAGTTCTTGGAGGCTTCGTTCGTTTCTTTTTACTCTTTTTTCTCTAAACTTCTCTTCTCACTTCATTTTATTTATTTAATCTTCAATCACTGATACCCTTTCTTCCACTTGATCAAATTGGGTACTGAAGCTTGTGCATGTGTCGCGTACTTCTCGTGCCATGGTTTTCAGCTCCATTAGGTCATTTAAGGACTTCTCTACACCGTTTATTCTAGTTAGCCATTCATCTAATCTTTTTTCAAGGTTTTTAGCTTCCTTGCAATGGGTTTGAACATCCTCCTTTAGCTCAGAGAAGTTTGTTGTTACCGATCGTCTGAAGCCTTCTTCTCTCAACTTGTCAAAGTCATTCTCCATCCAGCTTTGTTCCGTTGCTAGTGAGGAGCTACATTTCTTTGGAGGAGAAAAGGTGCTCTGATTTTTAGAATTTTCAGCTTTTCTGCTCTGGTTTATCCCCATCTTTGTGGTTTTATCTACCTTTGGTCTTTGATGATGGTGATGTACTGATGGGGTTTTGGTGTGGATGTGCTTTCTGTTTGTTAGTTTTCCTTCTAACAGTCAGGACCCTCAGCTGCAGGTCTGTTGGAGTTTGCTGGAGGTCCACTCCAGACCCTGTTTGCCTGGGTATCACCAGCGGAGGCTGCAGAACAGCAAATATTGCAGAAGGGCAAATGTTGTTGCCTGATCCTTCCTCTAGAAGCTTCGTCTCAGAGGGGCACCCAGCTGTATGAGGTGTCAGTGGGCCCCTACTGGGAGGTGTCTCCCAGTTAGGCTACTTGGGGGTCAGGGACCCACTAGAGGAGGCAGTCTGTCCGTTCTCAGATCTCAAACTCCATGCTGGTTGAACCACTACTCTCTTCAAACCCATCAGACAAGGAGGTTTAAGTCTGCAGAAGTTTCTGCTCCCTTTTGTTCAGCTATGCCCTGCCCCCAGAGGTGGAGTCTGCAGAGACAGGCAGGCCTCCTTGAGCTGTGGTGGGCTCCATCCAGTTCGAGCTTCCTGGCTGCTTTGTTTACCTACTGAAGCCTCGGCAATGGCAGATGCCCCTCCCTCAGCCTCGCTGCTGCCTTGCAGTTTGATCTCAGACTGCTGTGCTAACAATGAGTGAGGCTCTGTGGGTGTGGGACCCTCGGAGCCATGCACGGGATATAATCTCCTGGTGTGCCGTTTGCTAAGACCATTGGAAAAGCACATTATTAGGGTCAGAGTATCCCGATTTTCCAGGTACCTTCTGTCACGGCTTCCTTTGCTAGGAGAGGCACATTTGTTCTCAAAGAGTAATTCCAGCATCAGCATCATCCAAGAACTTGTTAGAAATGCACATTCTCAGGCCCTTCCCAGAACTACTGGACCAGAAACTCCACACGTGGGTCCAGCAATCAGTGTTTTAATTAGCTCACCAGGTGATTCTGATGTGCACTTAAGTTTGATAACCGCTTGTCTAGTGTAAGGATATTGTTACATTTTTAACATCTTTTTTGAGATACAATTCACATGTACTTACCAGACTATAACACCCACCCATTTAAAGTGTTTTGTGTAGACTGTAGAATGTGATGTTTCAGAAGAAAATAGAGATTATGTGATTACTTATAACTTTGCCTACAACAATGTTGTAACAAGGATTTAGTCTTGAAGGTTGAATTATTATATTACATAGACATTGTTCATAATTAGAAATTAATTCTAAATCATGGGGCATTATTTGGGGTTGAAATAAGTCTATTTTCAGAAAATTATACATTTGATATTCATGTGATCATGAGACTCTTCCCAGAGAGGGTGGTGCTCTACACTCTTGGGGGAAAGGAATGCTAATATCATGAAGCTTCCCAAAAATCCAAGAGAACTGGGTTCAGATAGCTTCCAGATAGCTGAACACATGAAGGTTCCTGGAGGGCAGTGCACCCAGGGAGTGCATGGAAGCTCCGTATCCCTTCCCTTATACCTCACCCCACACATCTCTTCATCTGTATTATTTGTAATACCTTTATAATAAACTAGTGAACATATTATAGGGTACAATGCAGTAGTTTTTAGTATATTGACAGAGTTGTACACCTATCACTACAATAATTTTAGTACCTGTTCAGCACTCCTAAATGAAACCCCATTTCCATTACCAGTGTCTCCCCAAATGCCATCCCCCCAGCCCTTGGAAACCACTAGGTTTGCCTCATCTGGACATTGCATATAAATAGATTTATACAATTCGTGGTCTTTTGTGAATGCTCTCTTTCATTTAGCATAACATTTTCCAGGTGCATCCATGTTGTCAGACATTTTTTATTCCTCTGTAAAGTTCCCTCTTTGTGAGTATTCTGTGCAGTCATTCCCAGAGTATTAACATTCAGCTAATGAATGATTCCCTACAACAAAACAGGGGCATATGTGCATATGTGTTTGTCTGGGGTGGGGCGATGTGTGATTGTATTTGTACATGTGGGCTTTAATTTTGTAGTTTCCTTTTTGTAGAGACTACTAAAAAGCTCAGGGCCAATTTTGTGATTCATCTACTTCAGATGTATAGCATTCTTTAATAGGCTTTCACTATGTATGTGTGTGTGTGTGTGTGTGTGTGTGTGTGTTGGCCTCATTCTTAACTCCATTTTATGACATTACTCTTGCACTTACTGTTTCTTTCTCACTTTTTATTCCTGATATCTTACTGAATTTGATGTATCAATGTAAACTGCCTTAAATTCTTTTTGAAACATGGCAGGGTGTAAATACTTAAATAACAATAAAATCACATAAACTATTCACTATATCCTATACTCAAGACTCTTCCTAAATTTACTCTTAGCAGCCTTCAATACAAGCTGAAAATACTAAATTTTTTAAAACTGCAAAATATCTGTTTTCTTACATCTGAATTTGTGTGTTTTCAAAATGATGTCTGTTTTCTCAACTATTTGAGAAAATTGTGCCATTATATTTATTATATGCTTTAGAGTTTTCAAATCACTTTGACTGTTCTTTTGTTTTTGAAAATAGAAATACAATAGTTGTCATCTTTTGTTCAGTTTTGTTTCATAATTTAATTTTATAACATAAATTCACAGAATTTTATAACACTAATAGTTTTATTTGATTTTGTGCTAAAGATTTTTTCTATTGAAGAAAATAGACTAGAACAAAAGTGAGAAAAAGACATATTAGAGCTGTCAAGATATATTATTTTTGCCAGAAAAAAAGGGAAAAATGCCTTCCACTTCACAAGAATGAACCAATTTTATAGCAGCTGCTCTTGAAATAGATTTATTGAAAACTCCTAGTATCTGTAGTTGCCATTAAAAAAAATCTTTCATATAACAAACATCTCATATGCATATGTTCAAGGTACATACTGTTAAGTATTACTTGGTCATAAAGTTAAATGGCAACCGAGACCACTGTGTAGACCTACCATGGGTTCAGCTTGACCACATGAGAAACATCTGGTTGACAGACTGTGGAAGCCCACATTCCAACAAGCATTTGATGAGTTTCATCTTTTTTTCCTCTGTGGTTTGACTACATACATACAATTTTATTGTGTATGTTAATAACTTAAAAGCTGCTAATGTATCATGTGGTTCCTGAACAGAGAATTGAGCTGATTTTTGATACACTAAATAATAAAAGATTTGATGTTTCAGAAGAAAATAGCCATTATAACTTTGCTGTACAACAATGTTGTAGCAAGGATTTAGTCTTGAAGGTTGAATTATTATAGTACACAGAAATTGTACATAATTAGAAATTAATTCTAAATCATGGGACATTATTTGGGGTTGAAATAAGTCTATTTTCAGAAAATTATACATTTGATATTCATGTAGTCAGTTATAACCTTCCATTATGCAATCCTTAAAGTTAGTTTATAAATTAAAATTTCACCACAGAGGTTATGATTTCAGACCATAATGGAAAGTGGAAACTCTGTTGCATTTCTATTTATGGCAAGGTAAAAGAAAGTCACATTTCTTTGCAGTATGCTTTATTTAGTTTTTTCATAAATATTTTTATGGGTATTTTGCTATCTTTGCCCACATCCCCTGAATAACAAAAGTACACTAATAACCTTGGCACTAGTGCTAAGATGAAAGGAAGATGAAAAATATCCCATTTTTTAAAAAGCCTTAGGGATTTTAGGATGTCAGCATACTAGTACTAGGGAAAATAAATTTATGTGTATATATTTTTAAAATTTTGAGCTCAATTTTAAATTTAGTAGTTGCCCTTTGAATAGCTTTATCTCCAACCAAATGTTAAAATGGTATTAGCATGTTTTGTCAATATGTTTCTGAACATATTTTCTTCTGGAGTTTGAAATGGAAGCAAAATTTCAATTTAATTTATCACAGTCAAGGAAAAAACAAACTAAAAGAGTCTTGGAAGAATCTGGACTTGTGTGTGTGGAGGACTAGAAGAGAAAAAGAAGCTTTTTAATTCATTTAGGGTCTGACGAGGTAAAAAGCATGTGTGAACTTCCCTCTCTAATTCTCATGGCTTGGGCTCCTGGGCAGGGTGGATAGTATGGGTCTTCAGTCAGGCAGGGCATTCTTTTCCCTACAAAGGTAGGCTTTCTGTTCAGGCAGATCATGTGGACTGTTTCCACCAGCAGCTAAGAAAGAAAGTTGCTACAAGGTAAGTAGTCAGCACTCCTCATAGATATTGACTTCTCCTCTAAGGAAAATGCTCAGCAATCTGATATTTTTGCCACATCCCTGCAAAAAATAAATGTTGAATCAACATTCTTACATATAAAAGAAGGCTTTGGCATCTTTATCCTTGTATAGCTTTATGTCTCCATTGGAACCAATAAATCTAAATTCAAGGTTCAGTATTTCAACGTTAAACAAAAATTATATTGAAGTGCCTACGAAAGTGTAGTTAACATATTTCCCCATTTCTTTTGGAATATGTACCTGAGGTCTATACATATGTGTTTCTGTTGGATCAGTGTTGAAAGGCAAACTAGGTATCTTCTGGTCCAGAACTTCACAGTGTCTTATGTTAAGGAGTATATTCATCTAAAAAAGTTTTTTTGTGTTTGTTTGTCTGTTTGTTTGTTTGTTTGTTTGTTTGTTTGTTTTTGCGGGGGGACGGAGTCTTGCTGTGTCATCCAGGCTGGAGTGCAGTGGTGCCATCTTGGCTCACTGCAACCTCCGCCTCCCAGGTTCAAGTGATTCTCCTGCCTCAGCCCCCCAAGTAGCTGGGACTACAGGTGCGCACCGCCATGCCCAGCTAATTTTTGTATTTTTAATAGAGACAGGATTTCACCATGTTGACCAGTATGATCTTGATCTCTTGACCTCAGGTGATCCACCCGCCTCAGCCTCCCAAAGTGCTGCTGGGATTACAGGCATGAGCCACCACACCCAGCCTAATAAAGTAATTATTTTTTAATCTGGATATTGTTCTTTATACTAGCCCTTCAGTTGAGTTTTGTGGTAGATTTTTCAACTGAAGACTCTGCACCTTGAATCTAATATGAAAGCTCTGTGATTCTCCCTGGTATGATGGTGTGATGGTGTGGTGCTGTGATGATGGTGTGGTGCTGTGATGATGATGTGGTGGTGTAATAGTGTGATGGTGGGCAAGAGCAGACACACTGGATGCCATAGGATGTTCCCTTGGTGCGCCTGAACTGATTCCACTGCAAGGAGATATGCTTTTCTGAGTACTTTATACAGAATTACTAGAGCAAGCTTAGATCTCTGTGTTTGAGGAAATAGTCTAACTAAAGTCATTTCAAAGAATCACTTTTGTTTGACAAAATGAATTTAGCATACTTGCAAGACTTGTGATCCAAATAAAGTAACTGAAATTGAAGAGTAAATTGGAATGAATTTTTTCATATTACTTTTACTTGCTTTGGAGACCAAAGTTACAGATATATATATATATATATATATATATATATATATATATATATATATATATATATATGTGTGTGTGTGTGTGTGTGTACATATATATATGTATATATGTACATATATGCATTTATATATGACATTTTATATTTTCTATATTAATATATCATGCTATATATTGTATTTAGAACATACAATATATAAAAATTCTTTAAATGCTTTTTGCTTAAATCTAATTTGATCATGTTTATAAACCTCATTTTCATTCAAATGACCCAATCGTTGTGACTCCTGAGATATATGTGTATTCTTATGCTATCTTTTCAGCCACTAAATTTAATATTAATTTTAAAATTCCAACATTTGTGTATCTCATTAAAATAAGACAAATTGAGAAAAGAATAGGTGTAAATTAACTGTTCCCAAATATGTCAGACTATATACTTTGCTTTTTATTTTCATGGGGTAATAAAATGTCACAAGTTTTTGGTAACAGAATAAAATGTTTGTTTACACATTAATTGTTATTCTCTTAAAAGTCAATTTTCAAACTCCTTCATTTCTATGTACTTGTAACTTTTTTTGCTAATGGTATTTTAAGACTGCAGCATTTGGAAAGGACCTTGGAGATTACCTAGTGACCCTGCCAAGTAAGGCAGGGATTCTTTTTACAACATCACTGACAGATTGTCAGCTAACCTTTACTTGCACATGTACGGTAGCAGGGAGTTTGCTACTTTGGGTATCAACCCATTCCATTTTTGGACAGCTATATGATTTATAAAACTTATCTTCTTGTTAAGCTGAAATCTGTTAACCCATAACTTCCAATTATTGATCCATTCACCTGCCTGGATCAACCATCACCTTCCTTAGGTCAGCCTGTCAAATATTGGAATACGGTTTCTGTGTTCTGCTTAATTTTTAAACTCCCTTTAAGATGTGAAAGTCGGTCCAACTCCTGCTCTTCCTGAAAGATATTGCTACCATTTCTCAATGCAGTCTTCATTTTAATACTCTTTATAAGTAATTACGAGCAAAATCAAATACCATGTTCTAAATTTAATATGAAGAACACAGAGTAAAATAAGGCAAATGTCTGCCTGTTTTCCCTTTTTCCTTCCAGTTGTACAGTGCTTACTAAGTATCAAGCACTTTTCTAACTACTTTACAGATATTAATTGCTCTAATTCTAATGCCTGAGACCCCTTGGCCAGGGTAGGTGGTATGGACTCCAGACAGGCAGGGTGTTATCTGTGAATTAAATCTTCTAACTTGTGGATTAACTCCATGGATTTTTAACCTACGGATTAAGTCTTAAAATCAAGAAACAGCCACAGACGGGTTAAAAGACATGCAAAAGGCCTTACAGCTAAGACGTGGTGGAACCAGGCCCTCTTACTCTGAGTCCTAGTTTCCAAGAGCCTAGGCTGATAAATTTACATTCATTTCTTTATTCCTGGATCCATAAAATGCATGACCTTTTTAAAGGAACTTTGTCTCACTGTGTAATAAATTTAAAACTGTAGTCCTTTGTGGTATATATTGTCATCTAGCAAGGTTTCTCCTGAGTTTTTCTGGGGTACTTGATACTGTACAATGAAATATAAATGAATACATTTTTATTCTAATTGGCTCTAGGCATCAAGTAAGAATGGTGGCCTAAATGAGCATTATATATTTCCTGTGCTTTAAGAAATGGGGCTGAGTTTTTTGGTAGGATATACTTATACCCAATGATAGCTAATTAATAAATGGTTTTGGGCTCTGCAACCAAACACTTATAGAAATAAGTAAATAAATTTTTAAAGTAGAAATCCCATGGGGCAGTTTCACTGGGCAGGGTGAGATTCCTGCATTGAAAAATCGTGAAAGGTGCAAAACCAAAAATCAGTCACGTATGTATAGCAAGTAGCCATTCTATAACTAATTTGTGGTTAATTCTTGAGTTAAGCCAGACCACAAAATCTTGACTAAAATCTTGAAGTAGGTAATTTAACTTGGTTCAAATTCACTTGAGTTTCCTACTAAGTAGCACGATGCTGTCAAAGGGAACAGAATACCAGTAAATAGTTGTAGTTACCCAGAACCAGCTTGTCTTCAAGAAGATCCACCCAGAGTACAGAATTGGAAAGTGAACTGGCATGTCAGTCCTGAGCTAGCTATATGTTATGCCATCGGTAGAATGGAGCCATGTCTCAAGGGTCTACCTACTGCCCCAAAATGCTTTAGAGCCTATGTAGGCTGACCTTGGTTGATTTAGTTGACTATGAGTTGCTTCTTCCAAAAATATGTTATTTTATTCTGGGTTATTATTCCACTAGGCCAGAATCCATATACCATAAGGAGTATAAGGTTCTGGACACTCTCTTTTATCAAACAAGTAAGCAATTTTTGAGTGCATATTATTTACCAAGCACAGTGCTTTGCATTGAAGATGCATATATGAATATGTTGTGTTCCTTCTCATGAAAAACCTCAGAATCTACTGAGAGAGAATCACATACAGATACATGATGATAGATTAAGTCTTTTAGGGTATTAAGTACGAACTACTTAATGGAAACAGAATTTCTGCTTTTGGAAACAGAAATAAGGGAGTGATTAGGCAAGTAGGAGGCCTAAGAAAAGTATGGGGCACTGTCAGGGGCTACAGGGAGAAAGTGAACTTTAAGCTGGTATTATTACCGGATAGGTAAGTTTAAGAAAGAACACCCTCCACCCACAGGAGACATTGATGATTCTTATTTTTGAAAAGTTATTGCTTACTCTAGAAATGTCACCATGTTTTGCTAGATGCCTATGACTGGGTTGTATTGACAATAAATATTAAAAGTCGATTACTTTATCAAGTTATGTTCTCTGACAAAGTAATGACCTTAAGAAAAACTAGAAAAGTGACTAAATATCCAGGTTTATAAGCCCTTATCTCCTCCACAAACATATTGATTGGGTTTTTAGGTGATTTCTGACCTGCCTGCACTTTTCTGCTTTATAGTTTATCAGATGGCAGCAGGCAAGACTATATTTGGGTGAGAAATCTGTAAAACGAAAACATAATCTTTCTCATTATTTTCAATTTTAGTTGTGACCACCTCTCAATTGTTGTAAACACTATCACTGTTCAACCCAATCTCAATCCTTTATTCTTAGAAATAGGGAAAACTGTATTAGAACTAGACATCTTACAACAGATAATAAGTTGATTTTGTCCAAGAATCCTCCTCAATAGGTTTTTAATATTGGATTAAAAATTGGCAGTGACATTTAAAATATTACTTCTGAAAAGTAGAATTTTTAGTTTCCTATTTTGTTTTTAAAAGTCTTGAACCCTTCCCATTTCTGAGTATTTCATAAGTGTTAAATGGTATATGAGAGTGGTATATGAATTCTGCAGTGCCTTAAACGTAATATTGAACTGGAGAGCGTGTGGTCTCTTGTACTACTGTGTGCTTTTGGAATAGACAACAGAGGACCTGAAATTGCTTCCTCAAAGTTACTTTCAGGGAAAAAGAAAAAATCAAGCACAATCTGAGAAATAATGGCACAGTAATATTGTGCTGTGTATTTTAAAACGATTTTTGAAAATGAGGAGCTGTTTTTATTTGAGTGAGTCCAAGACACCAGAATTAGTCCTCAATTTCAAGGCTTTATAATAATATGATCTGATGAAAATGTCAAATCAGTATAAAATATCAAATAATGATTACCCTCAATTTAAATATTGTGATCATAAGCTTCTGAAATTTACTAAGATATAATGTATTTATTTATGGAGTAACTAGGATTTGCATGGCCCAAATACAGGATACTGTTAGAGAGAACAGCACTTAGTTCCCCTAGAGGATCTTGACTTGTATGGTATTTTTACATATGATTCTTTAGTATATGGCACATTAGGTAGATAAAATATGTTCTTTGCCCTAAGCTAACTCCGGTATAGTAGGGGAGGCAAGAAATACAAAATGGCGAAAATGCAAGGCTACATGCTGTGAATGCCATCTGGTTGAATCCAGAAAGTGCAATACATGCTCACAGGAGGAAGCTGACACCCTATGATGCTTTCTTTGCCTGAAGCATTTGAGTTGGGTCTTAAGGAATAGTAGATATAGCTATATAGATAGATAAAATTTTTGCTAAATTGTAGGCACTGTAGATTCTAGAAATGTTTAATAAGCAGAATGGGCACTACACAAAGAGGTAACGGATATGCAGAAAGTTTTAAGGAGTAAAAAAGCAAATTTTGATATAATTTTAGCATGAATAGTTCAAGAAAATAGAATAGTACCAGTTCTGGATTTTGTGCCTTCATTGTTTGCCTGTGAATATGTGAGAATATCCATAATCTTTATACACAGGCAAATGAGAAATAGGCTAAACTATTTCTTGTTTAGCCTGTAGGTCTTTGTTAATGTTCATACCAATACCAGCTGACCTCTTAATTTCAAGTCCAACACTGGGAGTGTATATGTCAAACTATCTTTTAAAATACCTACTTAGAATTTATCTTTTTTTAATCATAAATGAACATAGATAAATTCAGCTTTATTCTCGCATTCCATCACTAACCAATACTGAGGAGGAAGAATAACAAAAATTATGTTAAGAGGCAGCCAATAAAGAACTTGATTATAGGTTACGTTTCTGTAACTTTAGAGTGAAATAAACAGATAAAATACTGCAGAAAGGAAAGGCTTATGAGTGATTTTTAACATACTATTAAAATGGAATATTTATTGTTACAAAAGATCATGTGAAATGTGCTACTACATTTCCTAATTTTTGATTTGTGTGATGAGATATTTATATGTTCCCATCTTCTCCCAATGTAATTACTTCCATGGTGCCTATCTTTCTGGAATATGTGTACGCTGCCATCACAAACAGTACCATACTCTAAAATTTAAAAGAAAACTTGTCTCCTTAGCATTTAGCACAAATGACCTCTCAACCATGTGTGGTTCACAGATGAAGGGTGAAAACTCGCTAATCAGAGCCTTCAGAGTTCCCAAGCAACCAGGACAAGAGACAAGGTATATTTGAGTTGTAAAATGCAGCTCAAAAGTTGGTGTCTCCCTAATTTACTCTTTTCACTAGTATTGCTCAGATTCCCGAAGGCAACTAGAGGACAGTAGACCTCTAAGCTAATGAATGTACCCTATTATCACCATGGACATCAAGTATTAATGTTATCAACACTTTGTAGATTTAGATTTTCCATTTTAGCACTTGAGGCTGTTCATTTCCTTGTAAAATATGTGTGTGTTTTTAGGCTTAGCTGCTTCCAGATATTTTCGGCACTTTGTTACCAACCAAAACATCTGACAAGTAGCTTCTTTCTGAGGCCTCAATCTTATGTTGTTCTGGGAATCAAAAGTCCTTGAGGCTGACTTTTTTCATGTTCCTATCACTTACTTCATTAGTGAGATTAAATGTTTCCAGGTACCACAACACCTTGTTATATTTATATAGCCTCTGTTACATAAACCAATGTGCCTAATTCCCTAATCAAAGGTTTCCCTGAAAGTTTAGCATTCAGAAAAGGGAGACAACTGAATATCTTATCTTCTGTAGCTTGAATTCCTTTTTAAGTCAGATTTACTTAAGGTAGCAATGTTTAGAGAGTTCAAGCCTCTCTCACATAAAAGAAAATATTTCAAACTCAGCCTATTCAAATACTAATTTCTTTTGTTTTTGCTGTCTTGGTTTGGTTAAAGCAGGGGTTCCCAACCCCCTGGTATCAGGTCTGTGGCCTGTTAAGAACCAGGTCACACAGCAGGAGGTGAACAGTGGGTGAGCCAGCAAAGCTTCATCTGTATTTACAGCCACAATCTGAGCTCTGCCTTCCGTCAGATCAACACAGACGTTCGATTCTCATAGGAACTCAAACCCTATTACAAACTGCACATGCGAGGAATCTAGGCTACGTGCTCCTTATGAAAATCTAATGCCTGATGATCTGTCACTGTCTCCCATCACCCCCAGATGTGACCATCTAGTTGCAGGAAAACAAGCTCAGGGCTGTCACTGATTCCACATTGTGGTGAGTTGTATAATTATTTTATTATATATCACAATGTAATAGAAATAAAGTACACAATAAATGTAATACACTTGAATCATCCCTAAACCATCGCCCCCACCCCCAGGTCAGTGGAAAAATGGTCTTCCATGAAACCAGTTCCTGGTGCCAAAAAGTGTGGGGACTGCTGTGTTAAAGGATCCTTCTAATATTCCATGAACACAATTTTCTGTACAAAAAAAAAAGATTTAGTAGAAAATTAAATAAGATTATATAATGTTGAACAAATGCTTTTAAAACACTTAAGATTTAACCACTTTATGATTACTTATCCTGATGCCCTAGGATATGACATAGCTATCAAAGTCCTTTGAGTTAACTCAAACATCTGCTTAATTTCACTTTTGTAGTAATTTTAAGAATGTAATGAAAGTTATCTAATTTTAAAGTGCATATAAGAATCAGATAAACAATAGGAAAAAACTTCCCTATTTGACAATGACCTGCTTTACTTTATGAATTGGGGATAGATGATTATATTTACCATAGCTTATTCTGCGTAAGTTTGAAGTCCATCTGTACCTCAGATTCATGTGAATCACTATAAATGACAAGAATGAGTTCAGTGTTTCCATCTCTTTTCAGGTGGTGCATGTTAGAAATCAGTGATTATCATTATTAATTAATAAACCATTAATAGTGGTTTATTTAACCATCAAACTTTAATGTATCACACTATTGAAAAGCGTGTTCTTGGTTGTTTTCTCCATGCCGATCAGTTCCATAGTTAGTATTACTTTGGAATTATAAGTGCACAAAGTAGGTCCACAAAAAAATTATTAAAATAGTGACTTAACATCAGGAATCTTGAAGTTTCAAACTAGTAAGTAAGTGGAGTCTAACATACACACATGCACACACAAACATATACACATGTATATACCTGGCCACTCTTATCTCTTAGTAGGCAATCTTTAGTGAATGATTATAGTTGAAATTGACTGATTTTAAAGCAGCCATGCAAGCTGAGTGGAACACATCATTCTGAATAAGTTAACACAGATATAGAGACTTTCATCTATTCTTCTCTTACAGACAGTACATAATAAAGATTAACTGTCCCTTATGTGTATTGTTATCTCCATCTCCCAAATACTCGATGCCCAACAATGCCATTAGCTGTCAGTGGATGTATTTAAGCATGATATAGGAATCTTTTGTGACTATCCAGTCTCCTATAAGCATAGCACTGGTCTTAGCAATTGATCAGAAAATATTAAAATAAATGTTGTAGATCCAGTCCAGTCAATCAGATACCCACAATTAAGTCAGTTCACAAGAAAAAAAAATGGGACCCTCTGGACTGTCTTTGGAATTATCTCACTTTTATATTATTGTGTGTGTGTATGTGGTGAACTATCTGAAATGCTGTTTTCAGCTCCAATGGCAATCATTCTCCCTATCACCATGAAGCATCTTTTTCTAAGCAGCACAATAAGGATAACAAAACCCATTTCAGTCTCAATTTAAGTTTAATTCCCAGGTGGAACTTGAAATGAGGCTGTAATGAACTTGAACTTGCAGCAGCGATTATCTCATACATGCACATAAAAGTGTTCAGATACAGTAGTGGTGTTTCCAGATGCTAAAGTCACTTCTTCAGAAACAGGTTAAAAAAAAAAAATAGGGTGTTGTGGTTGGGCATATTGTTGCATTGAGCGTGGGGCAGCCAGCCAGGTTTTGTTTTATTTTACTTTATACTTAACAGAGGTTGACAGAGCAGCATACAGTATGATCAGAGAATTTTTTAAATGACCTGTATAAAAATATTTCCTTCAGAAGTTTCCGAGTGAATGTATAAAACAGCAATGTTATCCAAAGACAATACATGAAGGTGAGGGTCGATTAGAATTATAAAATAAAAAACAGAGCAGATCTCCCCAGTGTCCTAAGAATTGCCTAAAACCATTTGGGCTTTTAAGAAAATGAACTCGTTCCTTTAGCTGTCCTATTTTATTCTAAAACACTAAATTATATTTTGTGAGCAAGAATGATATATTCAAGTGCAAATAGCTTAGGCCTGAAGTGGATTAGAGAATGGTCACTGGAGTCTATGTCACCGATAAAAATCAGCCCAAGAAATCAAGGAATACCTGAATCGGGGTTCTTATTGTAACATTCTTGCTTTCTGGTAGAGGTTAGCAATTAGCACCTTACTACCCTCCCACAATTTTCTAGGTCTAGGTTATCATTCATGGTTTCTTGGAGAAAAATTGGGAGATTCAGGTTAATATTGAGTGAAACACTCCGGCATATCTAAAGTAAAGTATTTTCTGAGAAAGTGGGCCATGACTACAGGTACAATTGTAACTTTTATCTGTGTGGAAATGTGGTAGCCATACTTGGGACCTAGGACTAAGTCAGGATGACAATTTTTCCCAGCAGAACAATGATACTAGTACCAATATCACCAGTGTTTATAAAATACATGTTTCCTTTCTGTTAATGATACAATGTTACCATCCACTTAATGTTTTTGGTAGATCCAGCCTCACCACCATCTCTCTTCAGGTTCTCTCTCCTCATTGCCTTCTGGAAGCCTTGCCTTTGTGTTAGCTTTCCAAATTCATATTTCAAAATACATATCTGATCTGTGTACCAGCTGCTTAAGAGCAGTTCAGTGGCCTGTCACATGGTTCTCCATCTCCCTCTCCTTTCCCTTCTCCACAATTTTTGTCCTCCCAGCCAACCCTCCAGGTCCTTGAAGTCACTGTCCTTTTCACACGCAGTCCCTGTTGGCCGTGTCCTTTCCCCTTCTCTGCCTAATAAACTCCGACATCTCTGTGAAGTCTCTCCCAGACAATACCTCTTCTGTGGTGGTTCATTGTTCCTTTGTCTATGCTTGAATGTCACTGTACAGACATTCATCATGAGATTGATGTTTTAATATTGATTTGGGTATCATTTCCCCCTTTAGTCTTTGAGCCCTGAAGGCTGGAACTTTATCTTTCAGGCATCTAGTACAGTGCCTGGTACATGATGAATGAAGAGTTAGAAATTAAGAGGTAGAATTCGACAAGCAAATATAGAATTGCTGAAGTAGAATAGACTGTGGGCTTATAGAGAGTACCTAGGCCAATTGTCCCAAATACCATTTTAGTAAGTCAAGTTTAAGTAAGTACACACCACTAGTCAGTGAGAGCACCAAGCTCAGAACTCACTTCCCCAGTGTGTCCTGCTACTGTTTTTTCTTTGCATAAATATGGTTCCCATTTGCCAAATCCCATCATTTTTAATGCCCAAATGGGAAAAAAGGCTTACATCTCATCAACAAAGTTCTTACCCTTGTTAAAAAGCTCTAAAATGACTATACAAAAATCTGGGGGAAATTATTTGTACATGTCTTGTCTGTTGGAAATGCTTTATGTCTGTAAGTGTTTCCAAAAGTGTAATATACAATACTTATTTAGCACAGCAAAATTGATGTCATGTTTTTTAGAAATACATCTGAAGAATAATAAACACGGTTTAACACAAAAGAATATGGGTTATACTTCAGGTAGCAATTTTTGGGCAAATTTTAAGTAATTCTTAGGGAATAAATAAGCTAGTTTAATAAAAAGAGCAATAGCATTTCTCTTTAGAAATCATTAGGCATGTTAATTTATTCTACATCTAATCTCTTTAATTTTCATTATCTAATTTATAATACATGGAGTATTTAAAGTTATTAAAGGTATAAATATTTGGACAATTTGTGAGGTCATTTTGTAAATAGTTGAAAGGTATTTAAATATAATGGTAGTCTGATAAAAATAGTTTATTCTTGATCAAAAAAGACCTGAGTGTTGGTTCTAAGGAAGTCAGAACATTTTATTTCAGTCTAATGTGTCATTTTATACTTTTTGCAAAGTAAAACCATCAAAGAAAAATGAAGAGATGAGAACGGTGTTATTACCTTTACTTATAACTATAAGGAATCCACATTGCTTTCTTGTAATGAGAGGTTCTGGACCCACAGATTTGTAGGAGAACCCTAGATTTTATCCTTTACCAAGTGAAAAGAAACTGAAACATTTATTTAGGTTAAAAATCAAAACAAAATGATATCTAAATGTATGCACACAAGAATAATACACTTTCGTAAGAATTATTTAGACAGTTGAATTAATTTTCTACTTAGCTTTGTGACCCATCACGATTGTGGTATGTGGATATCAATTTAGGTAAATGGTTTATTTTCTAATTAGTTGGTGGCTTTAAATGTCTTTTAAAACCCTTGTAGAGCAACGCTGATGTTAAATGTGTGTACCAAGAGAAAATTATTTTTAATCTATATCTCCTTCGAATATCACAACATACATTATATGTAAGACTTTTTTATGTATTTACAGTAAAGTGAATAAAAAATAGATGTACATTTCAAAAACATAATTATAAAGCAAAAACCGATGAAACCACCACCCAAGTCCAAGAAATAGCATGTTGCTAGCTCCCAGAAGTCTCACTTAGATATTAAAGTCTTAGGAAAACTCTACCATAAAAGAACTTAACTTTTGTTAACCCAGCATCTAGTATTCTATAACAATACTTACGGAATACTGTATAGGAAAGTCTGTCTTAGAAAACTAGGCAATTTAAGCACTATGAATTTTAGCCAGTAGATGATAAAGTAAAGGTATTATGTTCAAAACAATGTTTAATGAAAGTATTCAATGTGTTCTTGGCTGTAGTATCTTTTTGAGGATTAATGTTCTTTTATAAATATGTGCTTGTTTGTGGAGGAATAGAGGGAGAAGAGAGAAACCTATATATTTATTTTAACTTATACAAATATGCAACTTCTCTAGTTTACATATCTCAACACAGAGGAACATGTATTATACTCAATCAGGTAGCAATTTCTAGAGAAATTTTAAAAAATTCCTAGGGAATAAATAAGTTTGGAAGTCATTATGTATGTTAATAATTTATTCTGCAGATAATCTCTTTAATAATTATCTGTATGTAATTAAATCTATGGGTTCCTCATCAGCTGATGGGTGGTTGGTTGTATCTGTGGACCCAGAGGGCTGGCTGTAAGAGACTTGAGCATCTCCAGATTTTGTTATCCATGGTGGTCCATCCTGGAGCCAATCCACCTGTAGGTACCAAGGGATGATGGTATTTAACATATGCCAGACATGCTAAAGAAAGATTCTGTACATGTTCATGTTTGTTTGTGTGTATACAAATTTATCATCCCTATTTTAAATATTACAAAACGAATATTTACCAAAGTATAGCTCATCTAAATAGCACAGGTAGGAAGAGAATAAGCCCGATTCAGACCTAGGATTGTCTGAGTCCCCACTAAATAAGCACTACATTATAAGCCTGTATATAATGGAGTTGAGAATCCCATAATATATATAGAATCACTATGTGCTGTGTACAGTGCTATCTACTGAAAATTTCTAAAAACCTGATATTTATAGAATTATAAGAATCCACTAGCTAATAATCTTTTTTGTTTTTAATTATTCTTTTCATTGAAATACTTCTTATTAGAAAAATGTTAAAGTAATGAGGCAGCTAATTCTTCTTTTACCAGAATGACATCCTTTTGGTTACAATCCCCTAAAACAAAAGGATAAGAAACCTGGTAAATTTTAGCTACAGATTTCTACATAAGCATGTTTTAGATAACTATTAGATTAAGTTTGGAATCTCATTTGTACTAAGTCAATTCTTCCCTATCCCCTAGCCAACTTCTTGGCAGCAGTTTTCAGTGAATTATTTGCTTGTATTTAGAAAAAATGAATTCAAAAAATAAAATAAAACTATTTGAGCCATGTGATGCGGGAGCCTAACAATAGTAATTAATTCATCACCTGATGAAAAGTCATAAAATCAGCTTCCAACATCATCAATGGTATTTTACGTGGATAAGAACATAGGCCTTTAGTTGATTGTTTTGTGATTTTGAGTAATGAGATATGGTGTCTGAATTGCCTTTCATATTTCTTTCTACTTTGTATTTTAATGTATCTTACAAATTGCCATTTATTAATTTTGTCACAAAATGAATTTCTGCTTATTGATAGATTCATCTTTCTGGAAAGAAATACATTTAGTGCCCACCACATAATGACAAAACTCACATTTTAGTCAAGTGTATCTATTGTACCAAGTCTTGAGTACCAATCATAGATTATATGGTTAGTTTTATTTCTTATATTTCTTCATTCTTTTTTTCTTCCTACAGAATTTGACATACACAACATATACTTCTTGATGCAGTCACAACTACTTATTATTGTTGCTTTTTTAAATCTATTTTCTTCCTATCCCTTTACAGTTTTACTTCCAAACCACCAGTCCGCTTAACCTATACAGTCATAGATAACTACTTGCTTGTCAAAGCCATTGATGTAAAAAACAACCTTATTTGTATTAGATTTCTATTTCTCAGCTTGAGTCATAAATAGACCTCTTTAAGGAAAAGTAATTATTACATAACTTCTTTCAGGCATAAATTTTCTTTATTATGTTTCTTGTAGATATACAAACATAAAACCAGACATAAACTTCCTATGTCTTTAGTTTTCATGCAACTATAAGCCAAAACAAATGTACAAATTTACATAGAACAAAACCAACAAACTTTGAACTAGCAGAATTCATATACTTTGACATGATACTCTTTTGCTGAAAGTAAAATACATGTAACAACAGGTCAGATTGCCTGTTTTCTGTGCTATATGATGATAGGATTCTTCCATTACATTCTTCCATTACATTTTTTTTAATTACTGTAAAAATGCTTTCTGGTAACGTGTGCTATAATGTTGGTTTGCTGGCCAAAACTTCCAAAACTTCATGAGTGCAGTAAGCCAGCTTCTCTTATTCTGTCACTGCCCATGGTGATAGCATCTCAAAGTTGTTGACAATGTAATTGTAAACAATGATGTAAGTCTTAATTACTAGTCTGTTGCCCAAAATTCTGCCATTTCTTCCCCCTCGATGTGTCCTTTGGCATTGATATGTTCTGCCACCCTGGTCCTATTTTATTTGCCTCACACCTTGATTATTTCAATATTCTTTGCAATAATCTCACTGGCTTTTCTGCTTCCAACTGCTCTGCTTCAATCTACCATGCACAGTATTTTCAAGCTAATATTTTAAATCCAAGTATATCATGTATAATACTATGATCTTGCAATAGCTTTTCTTTAACCAGCTCTCAAGCTGCTTTTGCCTCTGCTGGTTGCCCACCTCATCTGCTCATCCCTTTATCAGAGCACACCTCTCTGTTGCTCTCCCCCACTTATCGTTCACCCTTAGTTCACATAAATACCTGCCCCCTCCAACTCATATAGCAAACATGTAACACACAAACATAACAAACCCTTGCCTCTCTTTATTTCTTTTTCTCTCTTTTTTAATGTTGTCATCTTTCACCAGATGCCCTTCTTCCATCCTTCCATGTAAATCCTTCTGGGACAATAGGTATGAACTGGGGACATCACAAGTCACCCTAAGCCTAAGCCCACTCTGATAACTGTTTAGGTTCAGAACATATATTTCATTTACAGAGAATACTACCTATTACTCTCCAATTATGCTGAGTGTTGAGCTGTCCTACATATTCTGTAAGGCCATGTGTGCAAGTACTATAATCTGCAGTTTCTCGTGCAATGGAGAATGTAGGAAAAAAGTATAGCACAGTTGTTAAGAGCACAGACTTAGGTGTCAGAAGGAACTGGATTCAAATTCTATATCTCTACTTCATGTTACCAGTGAGAGTTTGGACATAGTACCTAATATCTCTGAGTTTTCCAATTTGCAGAATGGATCTTTGTACCTACCTCACAGGAGTGGTATGAAAGCTAAAGGTGACCACTGGGGTGAGGTGATCAGCATTTGTGAAATAGTCAGTGCTTAATACATAGGAACTTTTATGATTGACTTTTTATGAATTTAGTTGATGCTTTTGAATAAGTGTTAATTTCCTTTCTTCTTTATCCTGGAATTCTTAGTGGCTTATAAGTTGGTGCAACAGCAGCCACAGTGGCAGGTTGAGAAAGGCTAATTTCATCCCATAATTATCTAGGAAAAGGAAGGAAAATACCATGGGGATTGCTGGGAAATAGAGAGATTTTTGTTTCATATCTGTGCTATCTTTCTTTGTCTCTGCTCCCTTGCAATCCCTGGGAGTATTTCTGCACAGGAATGTCTCAAGATATATAAAACCTGAAAAGTATGAAACCAACTCTTTCCTCTCTGTTACAGATGGGGGATGAGAGGAGAGATTCTGCTTTATTTTGTGGGAGCCGAAGAGTATCATTAATCTAATTGTTCTGCACATAATCTCTACTCTACACCCCATGGAGTACTAATGAGATCTCGGTCCTTCTCTGGAGGCCTCTGCTTTCTCATCTGAAAAATGAAGGGGTTGGACCAGGTGATCTCTAAGGGTGCCTTCTAAATTTAACAGTCTGAGTTGAAGAAAAGCTTTGAGCAATTTAGCAGAAGCCTAAACAAAAAAGTCAGGGAAAAAATACCCTTTTTCCAAGCTCTGTGTCTTCGTGTCTTATTCAATTGAACAGAATAGTCGATATAAAATGTCATTTCTGACTGATGTGCAACAAAGCACAAACCAAATGGATAGAAAAAAACTGGTGCCCTTAGAATTCTCTTGGCTCTCCTAGAATAAAACTACTGAAACACTCTTTATTTCTATCAAAAAAGTTAACTCTGAGCAAATTACCACTGTTGGCTCCAAGTGATATTTTGTACTCTCCCTAATAGCCATCTTCTTGACAAACAACACAGCCATTTCAAGCATTATTGCAGAGAATCGTTGCAAGTGTCAGAAATGATGGCTCTGTTAGACCCAGTCTGATTATCTGCTTCAGTGTAGTTATAAAAAGAGAGAGAGAGAGGAGAAAGGAAAAAAATGTATCTGAGATAAAATACTGTCTCCTCAGTCTTGGAGTTTTTAATTGCTGCCTCTGTCTATAAGCCTTGTAAGGTGAGCTCTCTAAGATACTAATTCACTCACTCCCATCTTTTTAATACATGGTGTCTCGTTCATTTCCTCCTCTTGCTTTACTCCAGACCTTTATGACTTTTCACTGGGACCACTGCAGTAGTCACTTAATTCCCTTTTCTCCAGTCCTTTATCTTCCAATCTACTTTCCACATTCCCATCAAAGAGTAGTTTCCTAAAGTTCAAAAATAGTCATGTCCCTCCCCAGTACATACAGAGTAATTTTAAAATTACCTAGAATTTAGGGGCCTCTGCCATTTCAGGATCCATCAGCTTTTCCTACCTTATTCCCTCCTCTTTCTTTTCACTCTAGCCTCTACTCAGTTTGGATTATTCACAGTCCCTGCATATGTCTTTAGTTTTTCCTAATACCTTTGTTCATGCTGTTCTTTCCTTCTCCTGAGTTGATTACCCGCCTCCTTCAACTGTACTACATTCATACATCTTTTAGGCACCAATTTGGCTTTCACAAGAACCCTTGGAGATGCCCATGAATCCCCAAGGCCAAGCTAATCCCTTTCTCC